>NC_000018.10:64537528-65787528 GCF_000001405.40 Homo sapiens
CTCTCCTTCCCCCTCTGAAGATGATGGTGATAGTGATTAATATGGTGATAATGTTGATGATGACGATGATAATGGCGAAGGTTGAAGAAGAGGCTTTTAATTATTTTATTTTATATTTTTAATGTTTTAACTTTAAAACTGATTAGTGTGATTTTTGACCTGAACATTTGACTATAGATTATGTATAATTATGTGATTTTAACATTTATTTTCCAAAGAAGAATATTGTAATTTTGTAGTTTTTGATGAAGTCAATAAGTTATTTCCTAATAAGTATCTTCATGTTCTGGGAAGATACTTAAGTCATAAAGCAATGACCTGTAATTGACAATTACATTAATTTTTTCAAAGAAAGTATAATAAAATATATAGTATTCAATAAATTTGAAAACATCAATCTGAATTTTAATCAGCGTTACCCAAATCTAAACCTATTTAAACACAGATAAGATGAGTCAACCAGCCAGTGAATCCTGGGGGCCGAGGGCAACGACAGGATTTGTGCTTGGATTGTTCTTTCAGTAGATTTGATCAAATAGTATTAATGTGATTTGAACTCTGAAATTCCAGCCAGAGCCTAGAAAATCTTTTATTTAATTCCCCTGCTACCTGAAATCACTGAGTTTAACACGCCTCCAGTTCTAATCCATTAACGTTAACAACCTTCAGAGCCATTAGCGATAACAACTTCCTCCATCACAGTTTCTCGTAGTAACCCCCTGTGAAGAATTTATACAAAAAGTAGATCAAGGGAGAATAAACAAATTCACATCTTTTAACACACTGATACTAGCCATGGGGACAAAGTGCGTGGTCAAGGCTTCTGTGTACACACATCAAGCTAAGAATTCAGCAGACTCCATTGCCGCTGTTCCCATGATTTCTTATTTACTTCAGGATGGAAATTCATGTCTTACAGGGCAGGCTAGGTTCATAATGCCACCTTTCTCCCTTCTGGAGTTTACAAACAACTGTCAGACGGACAGAGAGCCAGTGGTGAGGGAGGCTGCAGAGTTGCAGTCATTTGCTGTAAACTCAATTCTTCTTCCTTCCTGCCTGCTTTGTGCTTCCGCAAGAACCAAGTATTTTGAAGATTGCCCCTTCAAATCATGCAAACTTTTAAATGTCTCTTCTCGTCTCACCTGGACATTTGGTTTTGATTTTGCATTTGCAAACTAGGGGTGGATTTAGTATCCCATTCTGGCAGTGGTTTTAGACCTGCTGCTGGGCCTGCATTGCCTTTCCTCTTCTCTCTTTTGTTGGCCTTTGTTCAGGGCATTGCCAGGCAGCAAGGTGGGACTGGGGTGTGGGCAGCAGAGACAAGTGCTGGGATTAAGTGATTTTTCCTTTTTTACTTACTGTTATTTAAACTCTGGATATTCTCTGTCTTAAGTCATATTGAGGGCCTTGCATTTGTGTAGATTTTTTTTTTCTTTATTTTTCTCCATTGTTTTTCAGTTACCTGGAAATTTCCAATTTTTTAAATCATAAAAAAAAAAAGTCATAATTGGAAAGTTCTTTAAGGGGTCTTGTGGTCTAGTCTCCACCCATAGGGTGGTTTGTGAAGTACCACCCCATTCAAGTGCTATGGTGTGTGAACTCGATGAAAAAGTATTCTGTTAGAAGTAAGGCCTGTGTAGAATCCTAACACATTCTAAAACATTCCATGGTAACTAGAACCCCATTACATTGTTTCATCATGCAAGTTGCAATAATTTCAGGACGATATTCCGAAATTTGGGCAAATATAAAAGTTAATTGCTAATGAAAATGCAAGAATTAATTTTATTATTGTTACATTACAGGGAAAGAAAAAGGATTTTATTCATTGGTAGAACTGCAAAGGTGTAATAATTTTAATAAATAAATTTTTTTTTCTGAATTCTTTATTTCTGAACTAGCTGAACAGATTTTTATTTGAGTTTCCCTTAACATAGAGGATAACTAACTTGTAGCAAATACTAACTGAATGGAGTTAAAAGTCAAAATTTCAAGGTTTTTGTTCATATTCAACTACATATTTCCAATGTTTTGTTAGATTATTTTAATGTTATTCATAGTTATCAATATCAATGATTTATAACCTCAACTTCTTTGTATAACAACAAACACTATTGTTACCATAAAGGAGTCCTGATTCAGACCCCAAGAATGGGTTCTTGGATCTCACACAAGAAAATATTCAGGGTGAGTCCACAAAGTAAAGTGAAAGCAAGTTTTTTCGAAAAGTAAAGTAATAAAAGAATGGCTACTACATAGACAGAGCAGCAGTATGGGCTGCTTGTCTGAGTATACTTACAGTTATCTCTTGATTATATGCTAAACAAAGGGTAGATTATTCATGAGTTTTCCAGGAAAGGGGCAGGGATTTTCCCCAACTGAGGTTTCTTCCTCTTTTTAAAATATGTAGGGTAACTTCCTGATGTTGCCATGGCATTTGTAAACTGTCCTTGGCCTGGTGAGAGTGTCTTTTAGCATTCTAATGTATTATAATTAGCATATGATGAACCGTGAGGATGACCAGGAGTCACTTTCATCACCTTCTTGGTTTTGGTGGCCTTTGGCTGGCTTCTTTATGAGTCCTGTATTTTGTGTTGATCTCCAGTCTCATCCTGTGACTAAGAATGCCTAACCTCCTGGGAATGCAGCCTCAGCCTCTTTTTACCTAACCCCTATTCAAGATGGAGTCACTCTGGTTTGAATGCCTCTGACACTATGACCTCATTTTGTTGTTGTTGTTGTCATGGTTCAAGTAATATGTTAGAGTAACTCTTTTTTAAGTGGATTGCATGCACTTTGTGCTTCACTGTGGGTAATTTTGATCCTTCACTCATTTGGTGGTATGGCTGATATGCACTTTGGCACTATTAATTTTCAAATTCTGTGTACTGCACCATGAGGATGATAAAAGCCTAAAGAACTCGGAGCCATACTGCACATGCCTTTAGAGCCATCGGCATGCCATGTTAGTGGCTATACAGTCTGCCAAGCATCCTGATGCTAGCAAAGATCTTAATATTCTTATGGCTGGTGATTTAACATGAGATTGAATAAAAAGGATCACAGCCTCTAACTTTAAGTTCATTATTAAGACACCCTGATCTTCACCACTTTAGAGATTTTTTTTTTGTTGCTAGAGTCACCAGCTTTGTCTTTTCAAATAAAAACTTCTCCCATTTATGTTCTATGACTTCTCCTCTAACTCTCTTCTTTTAAACCCTTGGAAAAAAGTTCTCAATGAATCCATACTTCTTTTTCAACTTATACCAATATTTAAAGAAGCAAATTTCTTTTTAGCTCTTTATACTGATAATTTTAATATATTAGTTACTGGCCTATGAAGCAATACATTATTATTTAGGGAGTCTTGATGTAAGAAGGGTATGAAAACTCAAAATTTCAAGTTTGTCTTGTGAGCTAGATTTTATCATCCATATCCTCGATTGCTGCTGTTTTACAGACCAGCTTTTTTGGCTGTTTGCTTTACTCATCACTGTGGCCCCTTCATAGTCTCAGATTCTTATTGTCTGTTTTCTTTTTTCTGACCTTATGCCTATTGCTTTGCTAACTTGATTCTTGTTATTGGTTTTGCCAGACTCCGTGTCTTTGTTTTGAGATAAAGTTTTAGCTAAGAGTTTGGCGTGATCAAGAAAACCCTATTATCTCTGCATTAGTTCATTCGTTTATTATGACAACTTCATTAATTGAACATGATGTGGTAACTACTGTGGTAGAAACTAAAGGTACAGTCACAATGCTTGCTATGAAGAAACTCTATGGAGTAGAAAAAATGCTAGAATACAGTATGGGAAGTGATATGATTGAAGTGTGGGGTGTCTTGAGAATGCAGAGAAGGCACAGTACAAAGGGAAAAACTAAATCTATCTAGGAGTGGAGTCAAGAGAGCAGTCAGAAAACTGTGCAAAGGAGGTGGCTTCTGATCTAAGTCAAGAAAAATTAGCAGGAGTTCAATCGTAAAGTCCTTTCACCTGTCTACTAACTCTTTACCTTCAACAAATACCTCTAATGTTACAACATCATTTTTTCTCCTTTATGTTTTTCTCCTGTTACCACCCTATTTCACTTTTTCTCATCAGGGCTCACCTTCTTGGAAAAGTCTTTTAGATTTTCTCTATTTTCTTAAAAACTAGACACTCATCAATCATAGCTATCCAGATTCTGCTCCAGCCACTACACAAACACTATTGGTCAATCTTCAGAGGTGACATCCTAATTGCCAAAATCAATAGCAGCTTTTCTCGATTGTCCTATTTGACCCGTCTGTATCGTCTGGCACAGGTTACCACTTCCTTCCTGAAACTCAGCCATTCATTCACTTTTTGCTATCACTTTCTCCTAATTTTCCCCATTTCTGGATGCACATGTTAAGATATTCCTTAGGTAATTTCTCTTTCTCCTCACCCTATGTAAACAACGATAGAAACATACAGCTCTATGGTTCTCTTTGATAAATACATTACATTAGTTAGTAATAGCTAAGTATAAGATTCCTGTTCTATAGAACTGATGACTGGACTTGTGTTTCTCTGGTCTAGATAGCCAGCCTGCAGAGGTGTCATTATTCTGACGCCAGTTGATCTGTGTGTAGTGTTTGTAAGGGGCCTACTTTATGTAAGATTCTAAAGGTAAGAAATGTGTACATAGCTAGTTAACGAATCATATGCCAATAACAACTTAGGATTATTTCCTTTTCTTCTCCTTCCATTAGTATTCTTGAATGCCTTATTAGTTTTGCAAATATAATTTTATTTTGATTTCTATTTCTACTTGTTTGTATGAAATCCATTTGCTTTATTGTTGTTTTCTATTTGCAATATATCTCACAGCAACTGTGAGCTCAATGCCTCTCCGGTCTTCAATCATGCATTTATTCGCTCCTTTCATGTCATTAAGGATGATGTTAAATGGGAATAGGATGATGATCCATCCTAAGAGCACCTCATTAGACACTCCTCCCCAACTGTAGAGTGAGCTATTTGTCCAGTCCCCTTGACCAGCCTTCTCTCACCTATGTTTCCTCAATAGCTACTTTAACTAGGCTGTCATCATTGCTCAATTTCCCAAATTTCCTTTCTTCATTTTTCTCTTTAAAAAATGAGAGCTGTATCTAACCCATTATCAATGGCTCATTGATTTTTATGTTCCTCCTTATTTGTTACCAGGCTTGTATTTTCTCTGCCCTCTTTTCTTCTCTTCCAACACTTAAAACTCTACTCAGTGGTGTTACTAATATGTCTCTGTGTTGCTCTTCGCCAGTGTTCCTTACCGAAATTTCCTATCTTAGATTCTGTTTTCCATTTTTAACTGACTTTTGTTTGTTTGTATATCTTATAAAATAAGTTAAACTGCTGGAAGGTAAAATAAACAAAAGCATGTTGTACGTGCTTTTGAAGTGAGCATTTTATAAATTATGCTTTTTTGAGGTGATGATGGGTGATAATTACAAACGTCTTTCATACAATTTTTCCCCATATTGTTCAGCAGTTGGAAACCCTTTTTTTTTTTTTTAGAAATATTAGTGAGCTGCTGTGACACAGAAGAGATTGGAAAAACTGAGAAGAATCTGCAGCTGTAGGAAACACAGTTTAAGGACTTTGCCTTTGATTATTATCTTGCTGGTAGAACAAATATAGCAGCTGTTGCTAATAATGTACTTGGGTGCTGCAGAAAACATGCTCCAGAAATCAACTCCATTTGCCAAGTTTCAGGACAGACAAAAGTTGCTTTTTTATATTTATTCATTAAAATTTTTATTTTATTTTAAGTGGAATCTTATACAACGTTCATTCTATGTATTTAAATATTATCATTACAAATATATTTTGCTTTTCATGTACTTGGGAATTTTTTTTAAAAGGAATGACTATACATTAAATAAAACAGTAATTACAGAAAATTCCATGGACAGATTTGTAGAAATATCAGAATTCTCCAATATATGAGTTGCGTGTCTCTTAACTTTCTGTGGGAAAAAAAACATATGATTAAGTATTTCTTATAATATAGAGATATAAAGAGAGGAATTAAATCTTATAGCTCTATAAAGATAACATTCAGACATTTTACCTTTCTGTTATTAACAACGTTGTTATATTTTATTTGTACCTGCAAATCAGTGACACCTTTTCTATTTCTCTTCTTGCCTATATTCCCGAATAGTACATAGACTTTATATATCATATTTTATAAATCTTATAACATGTTTTTTCTTTATTAATAAATTCAAAATAATTGTGCAGTACTGTTAACAAA
This sequence comes from Homo sapiens, assembly GCF_000001405.40. NCBI lineage: Eukaryota > Metazoa > Chordata > Mammalia > Primates > Hominidae > Homo > Homo sapiens. The sequence continues at coordinate 64,543,802 of NC_000018.10, forward strand.
TGACATTTTTTTCCTTTGAGTATTGTCTTCAAGTTCTCAACATTTTTTGCTTCCATTTATTTTGTTACTTTTCAAAGTTCCTAAAAGGAAATGTGAGTGTATCTGTGGAAATTTGGAAAATTTAGTCATATTCAGTCTTAATACAATTACCCACACACATGTAATTTCTGTGACCTCCAAATTTGAGTTTTCACAATTTTTTTTTTTTTTAATTTTGAAAACAGGTATCTTCTGGAACTACCTTTCAACTTTATCCTTCTGTACCTGGCTTATCTAACTTAACATGTCTTCCAGGTTTCTTCATGTTGTAACAGATAGAAAGATTTCCTTTTCATGATTACATAACATTTTATTGTATGTATCTGTCATGTTTTCTTTATCCCTCAGTGGACATTTAGATTGCTTTCACATATTGGTTATTGTGAATAATGCTGCAATGAACATGAATGTGCAGATATCTCTTTAAGATACTGATTTCATTTCCTTTAGATATATACCATATAGTGGGATTGCTAGATCATATGGTAGTTTTTTAATTTTAATTTTTAATTTTTGATGGAACCTCCATACTACTTCCATAACGGCTGTGATAATTTACATTAACAACAACTGTGTAAGGGTTCACTTTTATCTCCATGCTTGCCAACATTTATATTTTGTCTTTTTTGATAGAAGCTACTTTAACAGGTGTAAGATAATCTCATTGTGGATATTTTAAAAATTTTAAATAGTTTTACATATTTTGGGGGTACATGTGATATTGATACATGCGTATAATATAGTGATTAAACCAGGGCAATTGGGAGATTCGCCTTTTATGTGTAGGGAACATTCCGATTCCTCTCTTCCAGAAATTTTGCACTACACAATAAATTATTGTTAATTAAAGTTGCCCTACTGTACCATCAAACCTCAGGCTTTATTTCTTCCATCTAACTGTATTTTTGTATGCACTAACTAGCCTTTCTTCTATCCCTGGCCACTACCTTCCCAGCCTCTAGAACTACCCTCTAACTCCATGGGATCCACCTTTTTAGTGCTCACTTATGATTGAGAACATGTGGTGTTTCTCTTTCTGCACCTGGCTTATTTCACTTAACATAATATCTTCCAATCCCATCCATATTGCTGCATATGGCAGGATTTCATTTTTTTAAATGGCTGTGGATATCTACCACATTTTCTTTATCAGTTCACCCATTGATGGATACTTAGGTAGATACTGTCTTGGCTATTGTGAATATAGCTGCAATAAACATAGAAATACAGATATCTCTGCAACATACTGATATCCTTTCTTTTGGATATATAAATCTCTCCTATATATACACATATATCGATATGTATATGTATATCCCATATATACACATATATCCATATGTATATATATCCCATATATATATCCTATATATATAATTCAGCAATTTTGCTGCCAAATATATATATATAGGATACATATATATAGGATACTATATATAGGATACATATATAGGATTATATAGAGGATATATATAGGATATATAGAGGATATATAGAGGATATATAGAGGATATATATATAGGATATATATATAGGATATATATATAGGATATATATATAGGATATATATATAGGATATATATAGGATATATATATAGGATATATATAGGATATATATATAGGGTATATATTTATAGGATATAGGATATATTTATAGGATATATATATAGGATATATATATAGGATATATATAGGATATATAGGATATACATATAGGATATATACATATATATATGGGATATACATATAGGATATATATATGGGATATACATATAGGATATATATATATAGGATATACATATAGGATATATATATAGGATATACATATAGGATATATATATAGGATATACATATAGGATATACATATAGGATATATATATATAGGATATACATATAGGATATATATATGGGAAATACATATAGGATATATATATGGGAAATACATATAGGATTATATATATGGGAAATACATATAGGATTATATATATGGGAAATACATATGGGATTATATATATGGGAAATACATATAGGATATATATATGGGAAATATATATATGGGATATATATGGGATATACACATGGGATATATATGGGATATATATACACATGGGATATGTATATGGGATATATATACATGGGATATGTATATGGGATATATATATGGGATATATGTATATGGGATATATATGGGATATATGTATATGGGATATATATGTGGGATATATATGGGATATATATATGGGATATATATAGGATATATATGATGTATATGGGATATTTATAGGATATATATGATGTATATGGGATATATATAGGATATATATGATATATATGGGATATATGTAGGATATATGGGATATATATATGGGATATATATGGGATGTATATATGGGATATATATATAGGATATATATGGGATATATATGGGATATATATATAGGATATATATGGGATATATATATGGCATATATATGGGATATATATGGGATATATATATGGGATATATATATGGGATATATTTATATAGGATATATATATGGGATATATTTAGGATATATATATGGGATATATATATATGGGATATATTTATATGGGAGATATTTATATGGGAGATATTTATATGGGATATATATAGGATATATATATGGGATATATGTATGCGTGTATATATATGGCTATACATGGCAGCGAAATTGCTGAATCATATATATAGGTTCCTATATATATATCTATCTATATATATATATATCCTCTTTCTCTCTCTCTCTCTCTATATATATATATGGCAGCGAAATTGCTGAATCATGAAATAGTTTTATTTTTAGTGTTTTGAGTACCATCCATACTGTTCCTTGGTGGCTGTACTAATTTACATTCCCACAAACAGTGTATGAGCACTCCCCTTTCTGTACACCCTTGCCAGCATCTTTTAATTTCCGTCTTTTAGGTAAAAGCCATTTTAACTGGGGTGAAAGAATATCTCATTGTAGTTTTGATTTACATTTTCCTGGTGATTAGCAATGCTGAAGTTTATTTTTTCATTAAAAAGTCCATATATATACCTTCTTTTGAGAAATGTCTATTCAGATATTGTGTCCATTTTTATTTTTAACTTTCATTTTAAGTTCAAGGGTACAAGTGCAGGATGTGCTTGTTACACACCTTGTTACATAGGTAAACGTGTGTCATGGGGGTTTGTTGTGCAGATTATTTCATCACTCAGGCATTTTGTTCATCTTTAAATTCAATTATTTGTGGGTGTTTTCTTTTTTTTTTTTGCTATTGAGTTGTTTGAGTACTTTATATATTCTGATTATTAAACTCTTTGGGGATGGAGAGTTTGAAAATGTTTTTCCCCATTCCATTGGTTGTCACTTCACTTTGCTAATAATTTTCTTAGCTGTGTAGAAGCTTTTGAGCTTGATTTAATCCCATGTGTCTGCTTTTGCTTTGGTTGCCCATCTTTTTGAGTCTAACCCAAATAGTCTTTGCCAGACCAATGACCTGAAGTGTTTTCTCAATATTTTATTTTAGTAGTTTCATTGTTTCACATCACACATTAGAGTCTTTAATTCATCAAAATTTGATTTTTGTATATGATTATCCAATATTCTCAGCACCTTTTATTTAAAAAACTGTCCTTTCCCCAGTATATGTTCTAGGCACTATTTTCAAAAATGAATTCGTTGTAAATTTGTGAGTTTCTATTTAGGTTCTCTATTCTGCTCCACGAATCCATGTGTCTGTTTTTATGCCAGTAATATGCTATTTGGGTTGCTATGGCTTTTCAGCATATTTTGAAGTCAAGTAGTGTGATGCCTCCAGCTTTCTTCTTTTTGCTCAAGATTGCTTTGGGTATTTGGGGTATTTTGTGGTTCTGTATGAAGTCTAGGATTTTTGTTCTATTTCTGTGAAGAATGTCATTGGTATTTTGATAGAGATTACATTGAATCTGTAGATAACTTTGGGTAGTTTAAACATTTCAACAATATTAATTCTTCCAGTCATGAGCTGGGATATATTTTCATTTGTTTATGTTCTCTTCAATTTCTTTCTTCACTGTTTTATAGTTTTCCTTGTAAAGATTTTTTACTTCTTTGGTTAAATTTACTCATAGGCATCATTTTTGTAGCTATTGTATTGTGATTACTTTCCTAATTTCTTTTCTAGATTGTTCACTGTTGGCGTATGTAAGTGCTACTGAATTTTATAAGCTCATTTTGCATCCTGTAACTTTGCTGAAGTTCTCTGTAAGTTATAATAGTATTTTAGTGGAGTCTTTAGATTTTTCTAAATATAATATTATGTCATACGCGAAAAAAGGTAATGACTTATTTTCCAATTTGGATGCCCTTTATTTCTGTTGCCTAAATGCTCTGGCTAGAACTTCTAGCACTGTACTGAATAAAAGTGATAAAAATGAAGATGATTTTCTTGTTTTGGATCTTAGAGGAAAGGCTTTAATTTTTCACCGTTCAGCATAATGTTGGCAGTGTGCTTGTCATACATGGTGTTTATTGTTTGAGGTATGTTTTTTCCTCATTTTCTTGAGAATTTTTATCACAAAGGAATGTTGAATTTTGTCAATTTTTTTCAGCACCTATTGAGATGATTATATGGTTTTTGTCCTTCATTCTGCTAATGTGATATACCACATTTACTGATTTGCCTATGTTGAAATATCCTTGCATCCCTGGGATGAATCCCACTTGATCATTATAAATGATCTTTTTATCATGATTTTTTTTTCAGTTTGCTACTATATTGATGAAGATATACATCTATGTTCATCAGGGATATTAGCCTGTAGTTTTTTCTTTTTGTTGTGTTCTTGTGTGTTTTTGGCATCAGTGTAATTCTGGCCTCGTAGAATGAGTATGGAAGAATTTCTTCCTTTTCAAATTTTGGAACAGTTTAGGCAGAATTGTATTAGTTATTCTTTCAATGCTTGACAGAATTTAGCAGTGAAGCCATCTGGTTTTACTTTGATGGGTATTACTGCTTTGATCTCATTACTTATTATTAGTCTGTTTGGGTTTTCTAGTTCTTCATAATTCAATCTTGGTAGGTTCTTTGTGTCCAGTAATTTATCCCATGATAGGTTTTTCCATTTTGGGGTGTATATTTGTTCATAATAGTTTCTAATGACTTTTTTGCATTTCTGTCCTATCTGTTGTCATATCTTTTTTTGTGTGCTTTTTTAATTAAATTTATTTGGGCCTTCTCTTTTTTCTTGGTTATTGTAGGTAAATTTACCAATATTGTTTATCTTTTCAGAAAAAAATCTTTTGTTTCATTGATCTTTTGTATTTTTCTTATTCCTCACTTTATTTCTTATCTGAAATTTATCATTTCTTTCCTTTTTTAAATTTTATTTTCTTACTAATTCTGGGGTGGACTTGTTCTTGCTTTGCTGGTTCTGTCGGGTGCATCACGAGATTTTTTTATTCGAAATCTTTCTACTTTTTTGATGTAGTTGTTTATAGCTGTAAACCTTCCTCTTACTACTGATTTTACCATATGCCATGTATTTTGGTACATTGTATTTTCATTTTCATTTGTTTTAAAGTATTTTTATTTTCAAAATTATTTATTCATTTATTTTTATATTGGAAGGTTTCCCACTAGAAAATTCGCTAGACAGATTCTAAAAGAACTGTAACATTTATTAATATATCTTTACATTTCCATCTTGATTTCTTCATTGACCCATTAATTGTTCAGGAACTTGTTTTTTAATTTCCATGTGTCTGTATGGTTTCAAGTTCTTCTTGTTTTTAATATCTAGTTTTATACCATTGCAGTCATAAAAGATACTTGATATGATTTTGACCTTTTTGAATTTGTTGAAATTTATTTTTTGACCTAACCTATGGTCTATCCTGGAAAATGTTCCATGTTTTGGTAGAAAAAAATGTGTATTCTGTAGCAGTTGGATAAATTGTCTGTAAATGTCAATTAGGTCAATTTGGTATAGATTGTAGTTCATTTCCAATGATTCTTTGTTGACTTTTGTCTGGATGATCTGTCCATTGCGGGAAGTGGGTGGTGACATTTTCTACTATTATTGTATTCCAGTGTATTTCTCCCTTTAGATATATTAATATTTCCTTTATATATTTGCATGCTCCAGTGATGGGAGTATATATATATGTACAGGTTTTATATCCTTTTGTTGAATTGACTCTTTTGTTATGATATAGTGACCTTTGACTCTTTCTTACAGGATGGTGCCTATTGGGTGGAGACCTATCCAAAGCTGTTGGCCAGAACATCTACAGGTAACTTTGTTTCTTCACAACCTGATGTGCTGGGTACAAACACAAGAACCCTGAGATAGAGGTAGTCTGTTGGAAGCTAAATTGTCTTTTAAAAATAATTCTTAGAAGTCATAAAGCCTTTTTTTCTTGTGGAATTCTGCTGTCAATATTGCTAAAACACTGTGAAAGATACACTCGGGTTCAAAGGGAGAAAATAGAGACTCCCTCCTCTTGAAGGACTGTCAATGTAAATGCATGTAAGATGGAATATATATCAGTGCAGTTATTGTTGGAAAATTCCATCTAAATACAAAGTATACAAGTCAACTATATTCCTATATATCAGGAATGAAGAGTTGGAAAATGAATGATTTTTAAAACACCATTTATAATAGCTTAAAAATAACATGACCTGGTTAGATTTAAATTAAAATTGCATGTGTAAAAGCTGTACATTAAAAACTAAATACAATATTGTTGAGGTAAGTAAGAGTGCCTAAATAAATGGGAAGATATATCACAGCCTTGGATTGAAACTCTCAATGTTGGTAAAATCTTAGTTTTATCCAAATAGGTCAACTGACTCAAGGCAGTTCCATTCAAAATGCTAGTAGGGTTTTGTTTGTTGTTGTTTTGGGTTTTTGTTTGTTTGATTTTGTAGACAGAGAGTAAAAAATGACAAACAGAGTCTAAAATGTATATACTAATGCAAAATGTCTGTATCAGTAAAAATAACTAGTGGAAGAAAACTCAGCGAAGTCTGCAAAAGGAATGGCATTAATACTTTCTACATGTCTGCAGGTGATTTTTTTTTAAACGATGGCAAACATTTGCTACATTCATAATCCCCTTGTACATTAAAAAAAAATACAAACACTTGTGATACAATTTTTTTGTGCAGATATATGCTATGTAAATGAGAATGTAAACTTTCATTCCCAATTTGTCCATTTTCATTAATACAGATGGTGCTATATGCAAAATCATTTATATGTTGCCTAGTAAATATGAAATGAATATTTTTATTTTAATTAAAAATCAATTGTATATAGACAAATTAATCCTTTACTTTCTATAAAAATGGTAAAATCTCAGGACAAAATATTATTTGCCAAGAATCATAAGCTAGGCTACCATGACTTTACAATTAGATATTGTTCTAGAAATGGCTTTTTCTGGCTTACTTTAGATTCATATGAGAGACTTGCATTTGCAGTTTTAGATGCTTGATGGAGACAGAAACTTAAATATTCGACTATAAAAATAACAAGGTGATGGATAGAAATTTTTCTAAAATGCTTCTATTAAATGATGGATATATGATGAAGAATAATAAATAAGTATACTTCACAGTCTCAAAACTAGTAGACTAGAAATATGAATCCCCTGTCACCAACTACCCATGTATGCACGACTAAATAAAAGTATTTTATTTATATTTAAATTTATGAAACCATTCTGGGTTTCTGTGATTCTCTCCATTTGAGCTATACGATTTTAAGCTTTTTCTGCCCCCCATAACAGTTATTTCCTTTGATTAGGAACAAAATCAATTAGTCATTTTGGATGTCCTGATGTTAAAAAAAAATCCAAATTTCTGATTTTTAGGAATCAAAAAAATCATAGCTTCTATATTTATTTAAACTGTTATCTAATAATTAGTCTCTGAAATAGCTCAGAAATATTTTTTAGTTACTGTTATAATTTGCTATCTCATTTAATTCGCTTAAAATATTTAAAAGTATATTAACCTTTTAAATTAGTTGTATTATTTTGTGGCACTTTCAACACTAACATTGTTTTTGGATATTAGCTTTTGAATTTCCTGATTTGTGGGTTTAATTTTAACTCTAATTGCTCATAATTATACATATTCCCATTGAATTCATGAAGGTATTTTATTAAATGCTTACTTAAATTGAAAAAATGAACCATACAAAATTGTCTTCTTTTAAGTAAGTACTTTCAAAAATCATTTCATTAGCATATTATAAATGGCACTAGCAAATACAGACTGCATATAGGAACAATAATTTGCTTCCCCATGGATATTTTATGTTGTGACAGAATAGCATAAGAGCTTTACCGAATTTTTTAATTATAGAGATCAAGTTAGATACTATTCTAAATGTTGTGAAATTATTTTGTTTTAATATTGTGAAATTTAGTATCATGTTCCAGGAACAAATAAAGAGAATAATAATTTGAAAGAAAATATTAGTTGTTAATTTTAGAAGAGGGTGAATGGTTGATATCGGGGCAGCTCTGAACTGTCATTGGTGGCTATTAAGCATTTACAAAACATTGGTGACTGCAAAGGTTTTTACATGGATAAACATACTACTCACAAAACCTTACAAAGCATGTATTAGAAATAACTTCAAGTAAAGAGAACTTAGCTAATTTGTCCAGGGTTGAATAGAAGGAAATAGGAATAGGACTTGAACCTCTCCTTGTTTGACTTGTCAAACTGAGCTCAAAACACTAAGCTGTACTCACTGGGGTTGTCAAATTGAAAATATGGTATACATACTACAAATACATATATTTTTAAACTCATCTAATAAACATTTGCTAAAGTCAACTATGTACCATGCATTTATGAAAGATAAATGCTGCATTTTTGTGCATGATGTTTGAAACTAGATTTATTGTTCTAGTGTGCTCTTGCAAATATTTGGATCTATTTGCAAGAAGTTTGTAGTTTTCTCTCACAGCCTTTTTTCCAAAAGCTAGTGGTGAGTGAGTACGGCTTTCCCTGCTTTTCACGTACCCAGGAAACTTGACCTCCGTCATCATTGAAAGCAGGGGTCCTCAACCAGTGAGCTGCAGACTAGTATTGGTCCGTGGCCAGTTAGGAACCAGGCTGCACAGCGGGAGGTGAGCAGCATCCAGTGGTGGAGGGATCATTACCACCTGAGCTCCACCTCCTGTCACATCAGCAGCATCATTAGATTCTCATAGGAGCACAAGCTATTGTGAACTGCGCATACAAGGGATCTAGGTTGCACGCTCCTCACTGGAATCTAACTAATGCTTGATGATCTGATGATCTGAGGTGGAACAGTTTCATGCCCAAACCACCTCCCTCACCCGAAACCCCACCCCTGTGGTGAAAATATTGTCTTCCATGAAACGGGTCCTTGGTGCCAAAAAGGTTGGGAACCACTGAGCTAAAGTACTTTCTCCATTGTCCTTAGTTTTAATGTTGTACTTACCCCTGTTTGCTGTTCTCTTACTTTTTAAAACAATTTCATCCTGTTCTTTCTCACAAATTATTACTTTGTTGATGGCGAGCCCCAAATCTCTTCTATCTTGGTACACCAAGTACTTAGAAAAGCACCTGTGCATACTAAGTACACAAAATGGTGATTAAATGGACATTTGTTATATACAATATAGCAGTTGTTTAACAATATTTTTGTGAATGCAAAAGTAATACAACTTTATTGTCATAGAAAGCCATAATGATTTGGTTCATCAATATTTGAACTATCCTGTTACACATTTAGAAAATTTGTTACCAACTGAATCTAACTTGTTACTTAACATTTTCCCTGGAATAAACACATGGCTATATTTTTGTGAAACCATGTGGGTTTTGTAAATGAAAAGAATGAGACATGTTGTTTTCTAAAGTTAGTGAATTTAGATATCTTTGATCTTTAAGGGTCTGAAACATGGAGTTCATACTTCAGGTCCACTCTCCCTAAGCTGCCACCTTAGCTCCTCTGAACCTGTTTTCCCATCTTTAATATGAGTATAATAAATGTATTTGCCTAATATGTGCATGCAAGCAAGAAGAGGATATGACACCCAAGAAAACGTAATTGTTTGTGACTATTTTAAGGTTGTCAGGAAGGACTGGAGCTATATGATCTACTTAAACACCTCTACGTCCCTTTGCCCCATTTTGACAACAAAAGGACAAATGTAGCAACTCCAGCCAAATACAGACACAGTGGCCTAGGGAAGAGGTGATAATGGAAGGAAACAGATATTTTAATGGATAGTGGAAGTGGGCAGTGCTGAGAATCGGTTGTGGCCCTGCACAAGCTGTTAGTGGGGCTGTAGTTTGTCCCACAGCTCTTCCTTATTTATGTTTTCACCAGGAAGATTTGTGGAAGAGTTGTTTTCAGAAAGTATATAGACAACTGAATCCAAGCGGTGGCATGGATGGACTGTGGTGGACTCCCAGATGTTCCTTTAATGAAAGTCTTCTTTCCACTGCTGCTGGGCATGCATCAGAGCTCAGATTCTCTCTCTGTCCAGCCTTATTTCCATTCTTTCCCTTCCACAGGTGTTGACACCAGAGGTACTCCTTAGTACACATCCTATGCTCTAAGCTCCACCTGAATCTCTGCTTTCTGGGGAACCCAAACTGTGACACCTCCCCATTCTCTGTCATATGTCTGGCTGAAACTCTAGAGGTCTTGCTTCGGTGAGTATTCTGTCACCTTTACCATCAACTCATCACTATTTGCTCACTCTTTCCATCAGCATCTGAACGTACATTTCCTGATCTAAAACAAACAAACAAACAAAACAAAAAAAAATCTTCACCTCAAACCCATACAATCTTTGAGCTCAATCCCATTTTAGGAGTAAAATCTTTATAGAACTGTTATTGCAGGTTATAGACTGAACTCTGTCCCCTGCCAAACTTCCTACATTGAAGCCTAAACCTCTGTCCGATAAGACTATGTTTAGAGGTCATAATGGTGGGACTCTAATACAATAACACTGACGTCCTTATAAGATGAGGAAAAGCTAGAAGAATGTAATGTAAGCCAGAAGCTTATACCTGAATAATACATATATATAAAATAAATAACAAATATTTTATTGATGCTAAAAAGAGTACTTAATTCCTGAAAAAAATTGTTTAGAAAATATCGCATAGATACCAGAGGAAAGGCAACTTATCTCTGTTGGAAAATAAGGCTATTACATTTACTTTCCAGTATCCTAGTAAACAAAATTCAAGGTTACAACTTACAATGTATTTTTACAGTAACAATATTTCCCATTAAGCACAATACAATACATCTTTTTAAGGATTTTTTGGATGGATTTTTCTCTGAGCTGTATTTAGCCTTGAATAGTGCATCCTGATGAAAAAATTTCCTAGAAACGGATGTTAAAAAACAAGAGCTTATGAAATTCCATTTTATCTACAAAGAGACGGCAGTGAAAAAGAAAAAAAAACTTACAACCAATGAAAAATTGTAAGTCTTTTGCTACTAAAAAGTTCTTTTATTGTATTAACACACTGTCAGAACATATAAGCCTATTTCACATAGCAATCAATTCTAAAACAATTACAAATTTTGCAACACAGCTCTAGAAGAGATCTTTGAGCTGTCCTGGGTGAAAACATTCTCTAAAAATAATAGAACTGTATTTTTGAAGGGAGGGGCATAAGAATTGTACTTCTCTATGGAAAAGTATTAAAAATAAGTATTTAGATTTTTGTTTTATATTTTAGAAAACTAGAAAATATATACATGCAAGACTAGAATTTAGATGTAATATTTGCTACCCAGTGGTAATTTCTTTTTATCTTTTTCTTTTTTTGTCTTTTTGAGACAGGGTCTCACTCTGTCACCTAAGCTGAAGTGCAGTGGTGTGATCATGGTTCACTGTAGTCTCGATCTTCTGGGCTCAAGCTATCCTCCTGCTCAGCCTCCTGAGTAGCTGGGAGTACAGGAGTACCTCACCATGCCTAGCTAGTTTTTTATTTTTTGTAGAAACGGTGCCTCACTATGCTGCTCATAGTAGTCTTGAACTTCTGGGTGTAGGTGATCTTCTTGCCTCGGCCTCCTAAAGTGCTGGAATTACAGGTGTGAGCCACTGCGCCCAACCTCCAGTGGTAATTTCTGTGTGCATTTGATCAGATAACTATCTGTTATTTCTTTCTCTTTATATATATATTTTTCATTCTAAACAGAATGCTGGTAATTATCATGGAATTGAATTTTGTTTTCCTCCGCTTCCCCTCCGCTTCATGTAATCCTCACAGAGAAACTCCTTTGCCAATGCGATTCCTGAGCAGTAGAGCAACAATGGCTGAAAGATGGCTGGCAAGAGCCCCTTACGTTTCTCTGTTCTTTGTTGTTGTTGTTGTTGTTTTGTTTTGTTTTTGAGACAGAGTCTTGCTCTGTTGCCCAGGCTGGAGTGCAGTGGCGCCATCTTGGCTCACTGCAACCTCCACCTCCCAGGTTTAAGCAATTCTCCTGCCTCAGCCTCGTGAGTAGCTGGGATTGCAGGCGTCCACCACCATGTCCGGCTAATTTTTTTGTATTTTTAGTAGAGACAGATTTCATCATCTTGGTCAGGCTGATCATGAACTTCTGACCTTGTGATCCGCCTGCCTCGGCCTCCCAAAGTGCTGGGAATACAGGTGTGAGCCACCACGCCCAGCCCACATGTCTCTTTTCTGTAATTAACTTGGAAGAATGTGTAAACAGTTACCCTGGACATCTCTAGAGAAGCACAGAAGTTCCTGAGGTTGAGGGTGTATACCCAGGTAAGCTAGAAATTGGGAACAGAAATAATGTTCCATAGAACTAGAAGCCCTGGTGTATTCAGCACAGAATAAGAACTAAAAAAACAGAAGGGAGCAGAAGAAATGAGTTACAACCAGAGAAGGCCACTAGCATGGAGAACAACACTCAGACCTGATGACCATCCCTAGGGTGACCAGATGCTTATGCACTTCCGGGATCACTTAGGGAGAGAATGGGAGGTGATGACTCTTAGGATAACTGAATACCTATCCCAAAGAAACTCAAGTTTCAGTCAGATGGAACTAAGTTTCTATAAATGAGAAAACATATCTGTTTGCCAACAGTGGATAGGGGCATTGTGAGGTGTTTTAATGTACATTTGAATAAATAGATTTACCTCACTGCACATCCAAGACGGCAGAACGGTAACTACATATTTTAACCCGCTAGATATACATTCATTAATGTAATTTGTTTTTATTTCCAAATGTCAATGTTATGAACATTCTTCTACACCAGTAAGTATATATCTACTAAATAATTTTTAGTATTACAGAATTTTTTATTGCATGAATTTACATGTTTGCCCAGTTTCTTTTGCTTCTTACTTTTCTGTTTTATGTAGACTTTTTTTGTTTTATAGAGGTATATAAGTATTTAGACTTCACCAGATTTCCCGTAAATGTTCTTTTTATGTTTCAGCGTCCAACTCAGAATATTATGTTTTATTTAGTTACTATATCTCTTTGGCCTCCTTCAGTTTGTCCTACTTTCTCTTTTAAAAGAATTTTCATGACTGAAACTTTTGAAGACTACTGGTCAGGTATTTTGTAGGATGCTTTTCAACTGGAGTTTGCATGATGTTTCCTCATGATTAGATTGGAGTTAATATAGGTGTGAAAGAAAAATACAAAAAGGTGGGGTGTACTTCTAGTCTCATGTGTCAAGTTGGATGACCTGTAAGACACTCCTCAACTTATGATGGGGTTTGTTGAAAATATTCTAAGTCGAAAATACATGTAATGCACCTAACCTATAAAGGAACATCACAGCTTAGCCTAGGCTGCCTTAAACATGCTCAGAACATTTACATTAGCTTACAGCTGGGCAAAGTTATCTGGCAATACAGTTCTCTAGAGTCTGATTTGTATACCCTTGTGATTTTGTGGCTGACTAGGAACTGCCACTTGCAGCCACTCACCAGCATTGCGATAGCATATTGATAGCCCAGGACAAAGATGAAAATTCAAAATTTAAAGTATAGTTGCTACTGGATGAATACTGCTTTTGCATCATTGCAAATCCAAAAAATCCTAAGTCAAACAATTTTAAGTTGGAGGCTGTCTGTATTACCCAGCGATTTAATCAAACACTAATTTATATGTTGTAGTGAAGGTATTTTTGTAGACATGATTAACATCCACAGTCAATTGACTTTAAGTGAAAGAGATTGTCCTACACAATGTGGCTGGGCCTCATCCCAGTCAGTTGAAAGCCTTAAGAGCAAAAACTGAGGTTTCTTTGGGAAAAAGAAATTCTGTTTAAGGCTGCATTGTCAAATCCTGCCTGAGTTTCCAACCTGCTGGCCTCCCCTATAAATTTCACACTTGCCAGCCCCAATAATCACATGAGCCAATTCCTTAAGATAAATGTATGTATGTATGTATGTATCTATCTATCTATCTATCTATCTATCATCTATGATCTATTATTTCTGTTGCTTTGGAAAATCCTAACAAACAATTTCTCATTGCATGATATTAGTAGTTACATAATATCCACACGACTCGACTGGCGATATTAACATTGATCATTTGGTTTACTTGGTGTCTGTCAGGTTCCTTCTCTGTAAAGTTTCTATTTTTCTCTTATGTTACTCTACATTTTACAAATGAGTTGTGAATTCCAGTCCACACTCAATGGGAGGAGAATTAAGTTCTACTTCTTGGAAGAGGGAGTGTCTACACATATTACTTGGAATTCTTTCATAAAGATTAGTTCTGTCTCCCTTGTTTATTTATTGAATTATTTATTTATATTAATATTGATTCATCTATACTCATTTTGTATTTTGGGTTATAATTCAATAATATCGGTATTTATTTTTCTGTTTAATTTTTTCCATTTGTGGACATTGAGAATTCTTTTAGTTAGCTCCTGTGTCTGATGAACCTCTACCTTTTCTTTTCTTTTACTTTCTGCTCCTCTCCCCTCCCCTCCCCTTCCCTTCCCTTCGTTTAACATTTGTTCCTAACACTACAGGGTCTCCCAGATCATCTTGTATTTTTTCTACCCTAGGTTAGAGTCAGCCATTTTCTAAAATACCTTGGTTACACTTGTTGGAGAATGGTCTCTGGAAACCAAGAGCTGAGTGCTGAATGTGCACATTGCTACTGCAGTGTCATTATTTCTAGGATCTCTCAGTGGACAGAGCTAGGGAGTGTATGTGTATGTGTAAGAAGCCATGGAAATGCACACCTCTAAAATTAGTCATTATCAATATGCACACACATACACACACACATAGAACCATGAGTATGCATGTGTCTAAGTATATGTGTATGTGTGTGCATATTGATAAAGTGCATACTGATGGCTCTGATGCTAATCTAGTATATCAGGGCTCATTCTAGGTCTCCTCCCTTGCTTATTTTAACATTTTTATCTGACAGTGAGAAACCTGGCTCTCATCTATAATTTATTACTTACATGTTTAAGCCCATAATACATATTAAATTGTTTCAGAACTACTCAACCCATATGGTTGTGAGAAACCAATTTACTGACTAGAGTACAATGTTCATGTATAGTTCTTTTTCTCTGTAGTCTTACAGTATTCAGTAAAAACATTGTTTTCCAGTTACTTTGGTCAGTTCCCTTTTATCCTCCAGTCCCTTCACTGATGGCCTGTCATACATATGTAATACATTGAGTTATGTGTCACTGTCTGTACTCCATCCTGGAATCCCTTTAAATTTTGGGTGATTTTCAAAAATTTTGCATGTAATGAAGTTCATTCTCTATAGATTTTGACAAATGAAGAGAGTCAGGTACCCAGTACTTCAGTAGCATACAGAACAGTTCTATAACCCTAAAAATACTTCTGTGTAGTTCCTTTGTAATCAACCAATTCCCTCCTCACCAACCCCTCTGATGGTTTAAGGAAAGATGTTAATTTGTAGTTTATTCTATTAAGGATGAGAATAATATTCTTTGTTATTCTGCACATTTTTAAAGTGAGTCCAGAAGTCTAGTCAATTGATTGTTGATAAAGGGTCAAGATTCTTCAATGAAAAAGGATATTATTTTCAATAAGTTGTGCTGGATCAACTGGATGTTAATTTTTTTAATGATCATTAACTCACACAATACATAAAATATCAACTCAAAGTGGATTATAGATCTAAATGTATTATTAACTCATAAAATTCTTAGAATAAAATCTTTAAAAATTTGGGGTAGGCAATGTTTTCTCATATAGAAAAGAAATAACACAACCATTTAAGTGACATATAAAATTTTTATATGTGTATATGACATATATTTCATTCTATACATAATTTGACTTCGTCAAAATAAAATGTTTTGCTATTTGAAAGACACTATTATGAAAATGAAAAGGCAACCCATAGACTGAGAGAAAATATTCATAAGACATTCATCATACCAAGAACATACATTCAGAATATATAAAGATCACTTACAGTTCAATAATAAGACCCCAAACCATGATTTTAAAAAAGGAAAAATGTGCTTCACAAAAAAGATATACAAATTACCAATAAATACATGAAAAATTGTACTATGATTACTTAGGAGAAAATTGCAAATTAAAACTGAATGACATAGCACTACATACCTACATGGAGTGACTAAAGCACTACATAGAGTGACTAAAGTTAATTTTAAAAATCCCTCCCATAACTTTCATGGTCAAGTATGTGCACCAACCTGAACTCCCATACAACGCTTGTGGGAATATAAGTGGTACAGGCATGTTGGCAAACACTTGCCATTTTCTTACAAAGTTAAACAAACACATATCAAGACTGTTTGGCATTTTACCCAAGAGAAATGAAAAGATGCATACAAAGATGTGTACATCCAAATTCAGACATTTTTTGTTTCTAATAGCTTCAAACTGGAAACAATAGAAGTGTCTATCAGATGCATGGATAAACAAATTGTAGCATATCTATAGCAAAAAAGAAACATATTGTCTATAAACAAGTATGCGCCTTAATATGGTTAGGCTGATTGAAATAACCCAGGAAAAACAATCTGACTACATAGCATGAGATTCTGCTTGCGCATAATTCCGGAAAGTGCAAATGAATCTGTAGTGACACAAAGTATATTAGTGATCATCTGGGGATATTAATGGAAGAAGTGATAAAAGGAAGCCTTGGATGGTGATAGAAATGCTGGCTCTCTTGATTTTGGTGATGGCTTTTTATAGGATACCATACATACTCAGAAAATTTTACCATTGATTGTATTTAAATTATACTTTATGAAAACTAAAAACTGTACCAGGTGCAAATTACTCAACTACAAAGTCTGTGTGATGTGATTAATAGCAACTTGTATATAACAGATTAAAGGAGCCAAGAACTTAAAGGAAAATTGATAATAAGTTTTTCAAATTGAGAAAAACAGTAGTCTTGGTGAGCTGTGGTGTAGTATCAAGCTAGCTAATGTATATGTACTTGGAGTTTCAAAAGGAGGGCAGAAAAAGCAGCAAACAATTCAGGGATCAGAGGAAAACAAAAAAAAAAGCATATTTCAGTTATTAAGCATTGTAATCAAAGACCTTTTTAGTGTGGTTAATGTTACATGAACTAATATATTCCCTTCCTGGAGTGCTTACTTCTGCCTCCATGATCTAACTTGTCTCTCAATTTTCACCTCCAGGGTAATTACCCCTGATGATTTTCTGACCTCCACTCCTCCCACTGGCAGCAATGCCTAGGCATTCCTTTGCATCCTTTAATTTTACAACTTTTATCATAGCACCTTTAACAATATATGAAATGTTTTATTTACATGTTAATCTTTCTCTGCCACTGCTAAAACCAATTGCGGCAGGGACTGTCTTATTTTAGTTGATGTATCTAGTATTTAGTACTAGGATAGCACACTATTACTGTTTCATGATTATTCATTTAAAGAGTAAAAGAAAGAAGAGTCAAAAAGATAAAACATAAAGAAAATACCTAGAACTTGAAACTATAAAACTAAATAGATATGAAAACTAATCTTTGAAAGATAATCAGGGCAAATTATTATGCACTTTTATAAATAACTTCTATAGTTCCTTAAGATTGATTTAGAATATCATGGAAAACAACTTAGATTTCAATCTGGTAGAGAGCATTGCTTAAGGATCAAGATAAATAGGTTGCTTAGTGTTCGTGTCTACAATATGTCTTTCATTGGGGTGTTTATCTCTTTTTTCCTATCTGATGAGAAGTTAAATTGGTGAGTATGGGTCTTTCATCTATTCTGTTAACTTTAATCTAGTTCAGGGATAAACTGTTTCTTCTCATTTTAAAATCATTTAAAAGCAATTGGCTTTAGCATGCAATGGTATAGCTGCTTCCTCACTAACCTGTAGAGGATGTAATAGTCTCCTTCAGAGAGATGTCCACTGGGAGATGGAAGTTTCATGAATGTGAAATGATCTGAAGATTTCCTTTTTGGGAAATGTGCCTGGGTTAAATACCTTTTTTTTTTTTTTTTCATCTGTTAGGGAATTTCCCTATTGCATGCTCATAAAAGTCCCATTACAAACACGAGACTGGAAATTTTAGGCAAGATCCAATCTCTTTATCTTGAGCATTGCTTCTTATGTTAAGTAAGTCACTACTTACCACTTCTAATATCCATGACTCTCATGCATGACCTCACAATTAAAAAGGGGAGCATAAAATAGCCTCATCTCTTGGTAGGGATGCTAAGTAGCAGGTGGTGTGGACTACATGCCATCTAATGTCCAATATTTAGGACTATTTGATTCTCGGGAATACACAGAATCTCAATAAAACAAAGGACAATGTCATCAAATAATAAGGCTAAAGGAATCATCATTTTTAGAGAGCAGTATTAGGTAGCATATAGAAACTAGCATCTTTAAAATTCTTTTAAATTCTAGCAAGGCATATGCTGATAATATATTTTTTTTTCTCAGCATGATGTTTATGGCATACATGCTTACTCTCCTAGAGTTTCCATGGAGACTTGGCACTATGGTTTATTTTTATTTAGTTTATCCACTTACATGTTTCCTTCTTGTAATTTTAGTTCTCTCAGTGAACACATTTATAGTGTTCTTCAAAGCTATACTTGGCTTTGGGAGCTCATCTCATTTCTCACCATTATATATTTGCACAAGTTGTTCAAATACATCAATAACCTTATTTATTATGTGGACATAAGATGAAGGGGTATCATTTCTCAGATATTAAAAATTCTGATATTTATTCATGTTATATTGCTTAGAATCATAAAATCTAAACTAAAATTATTTATCTCATGCTTTAATTTTGTACAATAGGCAACTGAGAGGCAGAAAACTGAAATGACTTGAGCGAAGTCTTACACCAGTTTGTAGTAGTCCAGGGATTAGCTAATCCCACAATCCTGGCTTCTCAGATTTTTATTTTTCCTGCAGCCCTTTGGATTGGAGAAGGTACTGTCTCTATGGTCCTAGTCATAGAATCATTCAAATTAAGTAGAATGCTTACTTGGCCATGGCTGAACTCAGACCTTTGGTAGCTGAGAAATTTGCTTTTGTAAACTGTGAGTGCCTTTGCAGCAACTGCTTGCAAAAGACAACACCTGGCTTTGTGTTTGTGATTGATACCTTCTCCTCACCTCCGCTTGCACTTCTAGCTAGACCCCAAGTGTTTGATTTTTAGAGGGCATAATGTTTCCATGCAGTAGCTTATTTTTCTCTTGGAGAAGAGTTTCTTCGTGGATTTCCCATAGGTGCTCACATGTTCACTGTGCTTTAAGAACATGTGAGCACCAATTTTTATGTTCTCTGTTTTCAAGTCTTGGCTGGAATCTAAACATTACTTACTCTTTCCTATCACTGTGGAAAAGACAGACACATTTAAAAAAAAATTATCCCATGGAAGTATACACTAGCAGAAAGGCAGCTATTATAATCTCACTACTGTGAGTTTCCAAACAACCTCAGTATGAAATATGCCCTTTTGCATTTGGACACAGCATCATCTTCATAATCACTGGTTTTATAAAAAAAAATTAAGTATAATACAGCCCAAATAGAGGACAAAGATTCTCCCTTCTGGGAGCTTGTATTTTAATAATTGTTTTTATTGAATTGAAAAAAAACTAGTATGCCACAAGGACTTCCAACTTGCTGTGAAATAGTTGATGAAAATGTTACTTTTCATAAAATGTTGAGGAAGATGAACATGAAGAAGGTCTGAGCAAATTTCATTAGAAGGTATACAGTGTCTCATTCAAGGTTTAGTTCATAGGTTCCTTTCATGTTTCCTTAAAGCAGAGATTAATATAATGTTACGATTACTCTAAATGAAGTTGCAAATATATATATTCCTTTGTTCATAATTGCTTATTCTAAACCTACTTATATTCATCATTAACTAACATAGTGGCAGATGCTCATTCAGCGCATCCATGCATATGTACATTTAGAGGTTTTTCTAAGCAAAGTTGGTGTTTGAATATGTTATGATATATTTGATGGAACTTGCTTACATAATGAATGGGTCCTGCCTGCTAGTCACCTCTCTTCTAGTGAGAACCTCAAGGGAGCTGTATAAAAGGAACAGCAGTGAGTGAAAATCAGCATGACATTCTATTGTCAGCTGGGTAGGTACCTGGTCCTTTTTTTCTTTTCTTTTTTTTTTGAGACGGAGTCTCGGTCGGTCGCCAGGCTGGAGTGCAGTGGCACATCTCGGCTCACTGCAACCTCTGCCTCCTGGGTTCAAGTGATTCTCCTGCCTCAGCCTCGTGAGTTGCTGGGACTACAGGCACGCGCCACCATGCCCAGCTAATTTTTGTATTTTTAGTAGAGACAGGGTTTCACCATGTTGGCCAGGATGGTCTCCATCTCTTGACCTCGTGATCCCCCGACCTCGGCCTCCCAAGGTACCTGGTACATTTTAATGCCAAATTCTGGTGAACAGCTTGGACCACATGCTTTAGGCTGGAACCAGTATTTTTCTGAAAGTTTCAATTTCAGACTTGAGAAAGAATGATCCTCTGGTTATTTGTATGATCTTGGGACCTGAAGAGATTGGCATGAAATTTAAGTGGAGAAAACTATGGCCAGAAATATCTCTTATGACGGTAGGCCTGGGTCAGTTTATCTTTCTATCCCCTATCGAAGAGGAGAGGAAAAAAACGTGGATTCCTGTGTTCAGGTCTTCTTGTGTCTTTTCACCACATAAAGGTAGATTGTAGGTCATATCTTGGTGGAAGGCTGATAAATTCATACAGTTTTTACACCTAGTTATATGTGCCCTCAAGTAATATTTTATATTCCAAACATTAGGTTAATGCTTTTGACATTTGGAGAAAATTAGAAAAGGAGGCCACAGTCACAGAGGCAGTTGGAGATACCTTTCTGGAGTGGGGACACTCCCTTTTCCTTCTGCAGAAATAAACTCTGACAACTGGATGAAGGAAGTACTTTTTTCTTTGTTCTTTAGCACTGTGGATGTATAGTGATATCCTCATTTTGTATAGTGTACTTTGCTCATTAATGGGAAATAGCCTCTGGAGATTTCTAAAGTTGTATAAATACTAAGGTTTTGTATTTCTAATGAATTTTCTAAAAACTTGCAAAATATTTTTCAATTATTCTTTTGCCAATTATAGTAGTCCTCTACGTGTACCTATTTTCACTTTCCATGGTTTTTGTTACCCACAGTCAACCACATTCTGAAACTAAGATATTTTGGGAGAGAGAGAGAGCACATTCAGCTAACTTTTATTACAGTGTAGTGTTATAATTGTTCTATTTTACTATTATTGTTGCTGATGTCTCCTGTGCCTTTTTATAAAATAAACTTTATCATATGTATGTATGTATAGGACAAACATAGTATATACAGGATTTGGTACTAGCCGTGACCTCATGTATTCACTGGGGGTCCTGAAAGTATTTCCCCATGGGTAAAGGAGGAGCTACTATATTTTCCTTTCGTATCACCTTCCCACCTCACTAACCAACTCAAATAACCAGACAAGCAAAAATTGAAGTCTCCAAGTAAATGACTCTCTCACTCATTTAACTAATAGAAGAGCCTCCCAGATCTTTATACATATATTGTTTTAGCTTACAACAAGGATTATATATATATATGTGCCCTCAAATATTGTATAATATATATTTCATATATAATATATTATAAAATATTTTAATATAATATATATTTTATATATTATATATTTATATATAATATATATTTTTATATATTATATTTATATATATTATACAATATTTTATATATTATACAATATTTTATATATAATATATAATATTTTATATATATTATACAGTATTTTATATATAATATATATTTTATATATAATATACAATATTTTATATATAATATACATTTTATATATATTGTTCAATATTTTATAAATACATAAATATATATAAATTTATATATTATATATTTAAATATAAAATTATATTATATATATTAAATATTTCATATATTTATTATATCATATTTTTATATCTATAAAATATATATTTTTATATTTTTATAATATATCATATTTTATATATAATACATTATATGGTATTTTATATATAATATATAATATTTATAATTAATTCCATTATGTATAATTATACAATATTAATATATCACAATAATGTTATAGATATGATTATATATAAAATATTAATTTATATTATAGAATTATACTAATTTTTGTATTTTTATCATGGACAGTGTCTCACCATATTGGCAAGACTGGTCTCAAACTCCAGACCTCAAGTGATCCACCCACTTCAGTCACCCAAAGTACGGGGACTAAAGGTGTGAGTCACAATGAGTGGCTGTAGCTCATTTCCTTTTAGTACTGAATAATAGTCCATTGCCTGGATGTATAAAAGTTTTTTTATTCACTTACTAAAGGACAACTTTTTGTTAATACTGGATTTTAACAATTGTAAATAAAACTGTCATATGTGTGCAGATTTCAGGCCGGACATAAATTTTCAGATTCTTTGTGCAAACACCAAAGAGTGTGATTACTGGAGGGGATGTTCAGGCTACGGTCCGTAAGAAACTGCAAAACTGGCTTCCAAACTGGCTGACCATTTACTATTCTCATCAGAAATAAATCAGAGTTACTGTTGTTATACATCTTCCTCAGCATTTGGTGGTGTCAGTGTTTTGGATCTTGGTCATTCTAATAGATGTGTAGTGGTGTCTCACTGTTGTTTTAAATTGCAATGCTCTAATGACATATAATACTGAACATCTTTTGGCATGCTTAATTTCTACGTGTATATCTTCTTTAGTGAAGTGTCCGTTCAGGTCTTTGGCCCATTTTTAAATGGAATTGTTTTCTTATTGTTGAGTTTTGGGAGTTATTTTTTATATTTGGAATACCCATCCTTCATCAGATGTGTCCTTCACAAATATATTTTTTTCCCAGTCTGTGGCTTATATGTGAATTCTCTTAACATTGTCTTTGGTAGAGCAGACATTTTTAATTTTACAAAGTCCAGCTTATTGATTCTTTTATTTATGGATTGTGCCTTAATTGCTGTATCTAAAAACTCATTACCAAACTGATCTAGATTTTCTCCTGTATTATCTTCTGGGAATTCTATAGTCTCTGCTTTTATATTTAAGTCTATGGTCTATTTTGAATTAATATTTGTTAAAGATATAAGATGTGTCTAGATTAATATTTTTGCATATGGATATCCGGTGTTTTTAGCAACAATTATTGACAAGACTCTTTTTCGTCAATTGCATTGCCTTTGCTTTTTTGTCAAAGATAAGTTGACTACATTTACAGAAGTGTTTTTCTGGGCTCTCCCTTATGTTCCAGCCATCTATTTGTCTATTTCAACAATACCACAGTGTTAATTACTGTTGTTTTATAGTAAATCTTGAAGTTGTGTAAAATTCATCTTTCAACTTTGTTCTCCTCCTTCAATAATGTGTTGACTATTATGGTCCTTTGCCTCTTTGTATAGACTTTAGAAT
Organism: Homo sapiens; assembly: GCF_000001405.40. Taxonomy (NCBI): domain Eukaryota; kingdom Metazoa; phylum Chordata; class Mammalia; order Primates; family Hominidae; genus Homo; species Homo sapiens. Next base: position 64,567,850 of record NC_000018.10, read on the forward strand.
CAGTTTGTCTGTATAGACAAAATAACTTCCCAGGATTTTAATTGAGATTCCATTGAATCTATAGATCAAGTTGAGAAGAACTGACATCTTGACAATAATGAGTATTTTCTATGAAGACCCATGATCATGGAAAAACTCTCCATTTATTTCTTGTTTGAATTATTTTACCAGTTTTATAGTTTTTCTCATATAGATGTTGTATATATTTTGTTAGATTTATGCTTAATTATCTCATTTTGGGGGGTGTCAATGTAATTTCTTTTGGTTTTTAATTTCAAATTTTACTTGTTCTTCACTTGGGGCTAGGAAAGTGACTGACTTTTATATAATCTTGTGTTCTGCTACCTTGCTGTAATCATTTATTAGTTTTAGAAATTTCTTTGTCCATTATTTGAATTTTTCTACACACACAATCCTGTCATCTGCAAAGAAATATAACACAGTTCAATTCTCTTTTGAAATTTCTATCTCTTTGGTTATGTTACCCATCTGTTCTCTCATGTGCTCCACTTTATCCATTAGAGTTTTTATCATATGAATTATAATTGTTTCAAAAGTCGACTCTGATAATTCCAGCATCCTGGCTTGTCTGAGTCTAGTTCTAAAGCCTGTCTCTTTAAAATTTTTTTTTTGTCTTTTACTATGCCTGGTAATTTTTTCTTGGTAGTTGGTCATCATGTACTGGGTAAAATGAACACTGTTAAATAGTGATGTTGTGGTAAGGTGTTGGGGGACGGGAAGTGTTCTATAGTCCTACAATTAAGTCTTAGCCTTTTTGTAAGCCTATGCCTCTAGGCTGTGAACTGCACAAGTGCCTCTCATAACCCCCACTCCCCTTATTTGAGACAGGTTGGCTAGAATCTACTGAAGTTGAATATTTCTTTTCTCTCACACGGAATTCTAGAAGGAGCTACAGCTGAGTCTTCCCCTTCCCCCAGGTCATTTAGGCTCTGATAAAACCCTGGCAGGTTAAACTGTCTTTATTTCATTTCTCCTGAGGGCATGCCTTATTAAGAACAAAGTACTCTGGTGTATTTCAAAAATGGTTATTTTTTTCCACCCCTTTCTGAAATCATGAGGGTGTTTTCTTCAATATTCACTGTGAGGATATGATCAAGTTGTGGAAGGTAAAACTCACAAAGGGGTGGGGACTCCCCCATGACTGGGTTCCCCTAAAGATTTTGCCTCTCAGACTTGTCCACACTGAGCCTCCAGAAATTCATCAATTGCATTTCAGACTTTTCTACTCTAGTACTGATTCCCAAAAGTTTTCAGCTCCTGGGTTTCTGCTGTGTATCTGCCTGTCTATCATTCAATTTTTGGAATCAGTGTTTTGCTTTGTGACCTCACTTCCCTTAAGAATCTAAGAAAAAAGTTGTTAATTTTTCAGTTTGTTTAGCAATGTACTTATTAAGATGGAATAATGATTTCCAAGCTCCTTATATGATGGACTGAAAACCAAATGTTGACCAATGCTTGTCTTCATATTTCACCATATAAACATAATTATTCAGTTTTACCTGTTTTAAAATTTTATCTACCTTGAATTATAAAATTGTTATTCTAGGCCAGGCGCAGTGGCTCACACCTGTAATCCCAGCACTTTGGGAGGCCGAGGCAGGTGGATCACGAGGTCAGGAGATTGAGACTATCCTGGCTAACACGGTGAAACCCCATCTCTACTAAACTAAAAATACAAAAAATTAGCTGGGTGCAGTGGCAGGTGCCTGTAGTCCCAGCTACTCGGGAGGCCGAGGCAGGAGAATGGCATGAACCTGGGAGGCGGAGCTTGCAGTGAGCAGAGATTGCACCACTGCACTCTAGCCTGGGCAATAGAGCAAAACTCTGTCTCAAAAAAAAAAAATTGTTATTCTGTCTGACATATTTTGTTGAACATGTCTATTAGAGTTATACATACATTTTTCATGTAACTATAGTGCATTTATATTCAGTCATATTTCAATATATGGATATATCAAACTTTTTCATTACATGGTTGAGACATTTTTGGATTAGTTTACTGTGTTTTGTTATCATGAAAAACGTCACTATGAACATTCCTCCACAAGCCATTTAGAATATATGCCCAGAAATTTTGTTGGGAAAAAAAATATATGCTTATCTTTGTAATAGTTAATACTAAACTCTTTTATAAAATGCGAATATTAATGTGCATTCTCATCAGCATTGTGTCAGACTTTTGTCTCATATTCTTACCGACTCTAGGTTTTAGCTGAACTCTTTGTGACACGTGCTTAGAGGAATATTACTATGGCCTTAATTTATATGTCTTGTCTTAGCTTCAGTTTCTTCATGAAAACAAAGCCTAAGAAAAGGACTTATGTGCAGAAGGCATTCCAAGGATGCAGGAGTGAAGGACCTTGGGGAATGATAGAAAAAGGAAAACTTAACATAAATGTATGTTATAGAGGTCAGCACTGTGGGCAACTAGAGATTGCTCCTGTCCAGGACATTCTGAAGTGTATACAGAATGCCATTTCCCAAAGATGGATCAACAAAGTGGTTGGTTATTTTTCATTGACTCTAGTTCTCTCTTGGTAGAGGATTATCCAAGACTTCTCCTGCTTCCAGGCATGCGTACTTGCCCAGTTGGCTTTTACTGGCATTCTTGGTGCTGGAGAAGCGTTGGAGCAAATATAAATGCATGACACATTCTTAAAGCAGGATGCTGTCCAAGAAAGGCTAAAAAGAAAAAAGCTGAAATAAATTAAAGATAAAACATAGGTAATACAAAAAGAGTACAACAGCCTACAATAAAATTCCACTGAGAACTAATGGAGCAAAGCACATATTGTATTTATTGGTGATTTGGATATTTTTTTTTGAAATAGTTATTTTAAGTTCTTGCATATTATTTCCTAAGATCACTTCTGCATGTTTTAATTTGTAGAAATGCTTTATATGTTGCAGTTACAAGCACTTTATCACTTACATAGATTACAAATATCATTTCATGGTTTCACCTTTACTTTTCAGACTTTTCCCCATGCCATTTTTGAAAAAGTTCCTATTTTAAGACAGTCTGATTTATCAGATCCCCTTTTTATAATTAGTTATTTTCATGTCCTGCTTAAGAAAACGTTTCCTATCATGAATTCATGAGATATTGTATATTATTAATAGAAGTCTGTTGCCTATCTTTCATAGTTAGCTCTTATAGTATACTTGTATTGATGTTTACATATATTATAGAAATCAAGTTTAACAATTTTTTTCTTCTGTATTTCTTCTAAAAAATAAAACCCCAAAATGGTATACATGTGCAGAACGTATAGGTTTGTTACATAGGTATGTGTGAGCCATGGTGGTTTGCTGCACCTATTGAACCCTCCTCTACGTTCCCTCCCCTCACCTCCCACAACCCAACAGGCCGTGGTGTGTCGCTCCCCTGTCTGTGTCCATGTGTTCTCAATGTTCGGCTCCTACTTATGAGTGAGAACACATGGTGTTTGATTTTCTGATCCTGTGTTAGTTTGCTGAGGATGATGACTTCCAACTTTATCCAGTCCCTACAAAGGACATGATCTCATTTCTTTTTATGGCTGCATAGTATTCCATGGTGTGTATGTACCACATTTTCTTAATCTAGTCTATCACTGATGGGCATTTGGGTTGGTTCCACATCTTTGCTATTGTAAACAGTGCTGCAATAAAAATATGTGTTCATGTGTCTTTATAGTAGAATGATTTATATTCCTTTGGGTATATACCCAGTAATGGGATTACTGGGTCAAATGGTATATTTGGTTTTAGATCCTTGGGTAATCGCCATACTGTCTTCCACAATTGTTGAACTAATTTACATTCCCACCAACCACGTAAAAGTGTTCCTATTTCTCCACAGCCTTGCTAGCATCTTTTGTTTCCTGGCTTTTTAATAATCTCCATTCTGACTGGTGTGGGATGGTATCTCATTGTGGTTTTGATTTGCATTTCTTTGATCATCAGTGATGCTGAGCTTTATTTCATATGTTTGTTGGCTGTATAAATGTCTTCTTTTGAGAAGGGTTTGTTCATATCCTCTGCCCACTTTTTTTTTTTTTTTGAGACAGTTTTGCTCTTTCGCCTAGGCTGGAATGAAGTGGCACAATGTCTGCTCACTGCAACCTCTGCCCCCCCAGGTTCAAGCAATTCTCCTGCCCCAGCCTCCTGAGTAGCTGGGATCATAGGCACCTGCCACCATGCCCAGCTAATTTTTGTATTTTTAGTAGAGGTGGGGTTTTGTCATGTTGGCCAGGCTGGTCTTGAACTCCTGATCTCAGGTGATCCACCCATCTCGGCCTCCCAAAGTGCTAAGATTACAAGGCATGAACCACTGGGCCTGGCTCCTTTGCTCACTTTTTGATGGGGTTGTTTTTTTCTTGTAAATATGTTAAATTCCTTCTAAATTCTGGATACTAGACCTTTGTCTGATGGGCAGATTGCAAAAATTTCTCCCATTCTGTAGGTTGCCTATTCACTCTGATGATAGTTTCTTTAGCTGTGCAGAAGCTCTTTCTTTTAATTAGATCCCATTTGTCAATTTTGGCTTTTGTTGCAATTGCTTTTGGCATTTTTGTTGTGAAGTCTTTCCCCATATCTATGTCCTAAATGATATTGCCTAGGTTTTCTTCTAGGGTTTTTATGGTGTGAAGTTTTACATTTAAGTCAAGTCTTTAATCCATCTTTAGTTAATTTTTATAAGGTATGAGGCCAAGCCAAGATGGCAGAATAGGAACAGCTCCAGTCTACAGCTCCCAGCGTGAGCGATGCAGAAGACGGGTGATTTCTGCATTTCCATCTGAGGTACCAGGTTCATCTCACTAGGGAGTGCCAGACAGTGGGTGCAGCACACCATGCACGAGCCGAAGCAGGGCAAGGCATTGCCTCACTCAGGAAGCGCAAGGAGTCAGGGAGTTCCCTTTCCTAGTCAAAGAAAGGGGTGACAGAGGGCACCTGGAAAATCGGGTCACTCCCACCCTAATACAGCGCTTTTCCAACGGGCTTAAAAAATGGCACACCAGGAGATTATATCCTGCACCTGGCTCGGAGGGTCCTACCCACAGTCTCGCTGATTGCTAGCACAGCAGTCTGAGATCAAAATGCAAGGTGGCAGCGAGGCTGGGGGAGGGGCGCCTGCCATTGCCCAGGCTTGATTAGGTAAACAAAGCAGGCAGGAAGCTCGAACTTGGTGGAGCCCACCACAGCTCAAGGAGGCCTGCCTGCCTCTGTAGGCTCCACCTCTGGGGGCAGGGCACAGACAAACAAAAAGAAAGCAGTAACCTCTGCAGACTTAAATGTCCCTGTCTTACAGCTTCGAAGAGAGTAGTGGTTCTCCCAGCACACAGCTGGAGATCTGAGAATGGGCAGACTGTCTCCTCAAGTGGGTCCTTGACCCCCAAGCAGCCTAACTGGGAGGCACCCCCCAGTAGGGGCAGACTGACACCTCACATGGCTGGGTACTCCTCTGAGACAAAACTTCCAGAGGAACAATTAGGCAGCAGCATTTGTGGTTCACCAAGATCCGCTCTTCTACAGCCACCGCTGCTGATACCCAGGCAAACAGGGTCTGGAGTGGACCTCTAGCAAACTCCAACAGACCTGCAGCTGAGGGTCCTGTCTGTTTGAAGGAAAACTAACAAACAAACAGAAAGGACATCCACACCAAAAACCCTTCTGTACGTCACCAACATGAAAGACCAAAAGTAGATAAAACCACAAAGATGGGGAAAAAACAGAGCAGAAAAACTGGAAACTCTAAAAAGCAGAGCGCCTCTCCTCCTCCAAAGGAACACAGCTCCTCACCAGCAAAGGAACAAAGCTGGACAGAGAATGACTTTGACGAGCTGAGAGAAGAAGGCTTCAGACGATCAAACTACTCCAAGCTACAGGAGGAAATTCAAACCAATGGCAAAGAAGTTAAAAACTTTGAAAAAAAATTAGATGAATGGATAACTAGAATAACCAATGCAGAGAAGTCCTTAAAGGAGCTGATGGAGCTGAAAGCCAAGGCTCGAGAATTACGTGAAGAATGCAGAAGCCTCAGGAGCCAATGCGATCAACTGGAAGAAAGGGTATCAGTGATGGAAGATGAAATGAATGAAATGAAGCGAGAAGGGAAGTTTAGAGAAAAAAGAATAAAAAGAAATGAAGAAAGCCTCCAAGAAATATGGGACTATGTGAAAAGACCAAATCTACATCTGATTGGTGTACCTAAAAGTGATGGGGAGAATGGAACCAAGTTGGAAAACACTCTGCAGGATATTATCCAGGAGAACTTCCCCAATCTAGAAAGGCAGGTCAACATTCAGATTCAGGAAATGCAGAGAACGCCACAAAGATACTCCTTGAGAAGAGCAACTCCAAGACACATAATTGTCAGATTCACCAAAGTTGAAATGAAGGAAAAAATGTTAAGGGCAGACAGAGAGAAAGGTCGGGTTACCCACAAAGGGAAGCCCATCAGACTAACAGCAGATCTCTTGGCAGAAACTCTACAAGTCAGAAGAGAGTGGGGGCCAATATTCAACATTCTTAAAGAAAAGAATTTTCAACCCAGAATTTCATATCCAGCCAAACTAAGCTTCATAAATGAAGGAGAAATAAAATACTTTACAGACAAGCAAATGCTGAGAGATTGTGTCACCACCAGGCCTGCCCTAAAAGAGCTCCTGAAGGAAGCACTAAACATGGAAAGGAACAACCGATACCAGCCACTGCAAAAACATGCCAAAACGTAAAGACAATCAAGGCTAGGAAGAAACTGCATCAACTAACGAGCAAAATAACCAGCTAATATCATAGTGACAGGACCAAATACACACATAACAATATTAACTTTAAATGTAAATGGGCTAAATGCTCCAATTAAAAGACTGGCAAATTGGATAAAGAGTCAAGACCCATCAGTGTGCTGTATTCAGGAAACCCATCTCATGTGCAGAGACACACATAGGCTCAAAATAAAGGGATGAAGATCTACCAAGCAAATGGAAAACAAAAAAAGGCAGGGGTTGCAATCCTAGTCTCTGATAAAACAGACTTTAAACCAACAAAGATCAAAAGAGACAAAGAAGGCCATTACATAATGGTAAAGGGATCAATTCAACAAGAGGAGCTAACTATCCTAAATATATATGCACCCAATACAGGAGCACCCAGATTCATAAAGCAAGTCCTTAGAGACCTACAAAGAGACTTAGACTCCCACACAATAATAATGGGAGACTCTAACACCCCACTGTCAACATTAGATCAACAAGACAGAAAGTTAACAAGGATATCCAGGAATTGAACTCAGCTCCGCATCATACAGACCTAATAGACATCTACAGATCTCTCCACCCCAAATCAACAGAATATACATTCTTCTAAGCACCACACCACACTTATCCAAAATTGACCCCATAGTTGGAAGTAAAGCACTCCTCAGCAAATGTAAAAGAACAGAAATTATAACAAACTGTCTCTCAGACCACAGTGCAATCAAACTAGAACTCAGGACTAAGAAACGCACTCAAAACCGCTCAACTACATGGAAACTGAACAACCTGCTCCTGAATGACTACTACTGGGTACATAACGAAATGAAGGCAGAAATAAACATGTTCTTTGAAACCAACAAGAACAAAGACACAACATACCAGAATCTCTGGGACACATTTAAAGCAGTGTGTAGAGGGAAATTTATAGCACCAAATGCCCACAAGAGAAAGCAGGAAAGATCCAAAATTGACACCCTAACATCACAATTAAAAGAACTAGAAAAGCTAGAGCAAACACATTCAAAAGCTAGCAGAAGGCAAGAAATAACTAAAATCAGAGCAGAACTGAAGGAAATAGAGACACAAAAAACCCTTCAAAAAATTAATGAATCCAGGAGCTGGTTTTTTGAAAAGATCAACAAAATTGATAAGACCACTAGCAAGACTAATAAAGAAGAAAAGAGAGAAGAATCAAATAGACACAATAAAAAATGATTAAGGGGATATCACCACCAATCCCACAGAAATACAAACTACCACCAGAGAATACTACAAACATCTCTATGCAAATAAACTAGAAAATCTAGAAGAAATGGATAAATTCCTAGATACATACACCCTCCCAAGACTAAACAAGGAAGAAGTTGAATCTCTGAATAGACCAATAAGAGGCACTGAAATTGTGGCAATAATCAATAGCTTAACAACCAAAAAAAGTCCTGGACCAGATGGATTCACAGCCGAATTCTACCAGAGGTACAAGAAGGAGCTGGTACCATATTTTCTGAAACTATTCCAATCAATAGAAAAAGAGGAATCCTCCCTAACTCATTTCATGAGGCCAGCATCATCCTGATACCAAAGCCTGGCAGAGACACAACAAAAAAAGAGAATTTTAGACCAATATCCTTGATGAACATTGATGCAAAAATCCTCAATAAAATACTGGCAAACCGAATCCAGCAGCACATCAAAAAGCTTATCCACCATGATCAAGTGGGCTTCATCCCTGGGATGCAAGGCTGGTTCAACATATGCAAATCAATAAATGTAATCCAGCATATAAACAGAACCAAAGACAAAAACCACATGATTATCTCAATAGATGCAGAAAAGGCCTTTGAGAAAATTCAACAACCCTTCATGCTAAAAACTCTCAATAAATTAGGTATTGATGGGACGTATCTCAAAATAATAAGAGCTATCTCTGACAAACCCACAGCCAATATCATACTGAATGGGCAAAAACTGGAATCATTCCCTTTGAAAACTGGCACAAGACAGGGATGCCCTCTCTCACCACTGCTATTCAACATAGTGTTGGAAGTTCTGGCCAGGGCAATTAGGCAGGAAAAGGAAATAAAGGGTATTCAATTAGGAAAAGAGGAAGTCAAATTGTCCCTGTTTGCAGATGACATGATTGTATATCTAGAAAACCCCATTGTCTCAGCCCAAAATCTCCTTAAGCTGATAAGCAACTTCAGCAAAGTCTCAGGATACAAAATCAATGTACAAAAATCACAAGCATTCTTATACACCAATAACAGGCAGGGAGCCAAATCATGAGTGAACTCCCATTTACAATTGCTTCAAAGAGAATAAAATACCTAGGAATCCAACTTACAAGGGACATGAAGGACCTCTTCAAGGAGAACTACAAACCACTGCTCAATGAAATCAAAGAGGACACAAACAAATGGAATAACATTCCATGCTCATGGGTAGGAAGAATCAATATCATGAAAATGGCCATACTGCCCAAGGTAATTGATAGATTCAATGCCATCCCCATCAAGCTACCAATGACTTTCTTCACAGAATTGGAAAAAACTACTTTAAGGTTCATATGGAACCAAAAAAGAGCCCGCATAGCCATGTCAATCCTAAGCCAAAAGAACAAAGCTGGAGGCATCATGCTATCTGACTTCAAACTATACTACAAGGCTACAGTAACCAAAACAGCATGGTACTGGTACAAAAACAGAGATATAGACCAATGGAACAGAACAGAGGCCTCAGAAATAATGCCACATATCTACAACCATCTGATCTTTGACAAACCTGACAAAAACAAGATATGGGGAAACGATTCCCTATTTAATAAATGGTGCTGGGAAAACTGGCTAGCCATATGTAGAAAGCTGAAACTGGATCCCTTCCTTACACCTTATACAAAAATTCATTCAAGATGGATTAAAGACTTACATGTTAGACCTAAAACCATAAAAACCCTAGAAGAAAACCTAGGCAATACCATTCAGGACATAGGCATGGACAAGGACTTCATGTCTAAAACACCAAAAGCAATGGCAACAAAAGCCAAAATTGACGAATGGGATCTCATTAAACTAAAGAGCTTCTGCACAGCAAAAGAAGCTACCATCAGAGGGAACAGGCAACCTACAAAATGGGAGAAAATTTTTGCAATCTACTCATCTGACAAAGGGCTAATATCCAGAATCTACAATGAACTCAAACAAATTTACAAGAAAGAAACAACCCCATCAAAAAGTGGGCAAAGGATATGAACAGACACTTCTCAAAAGAAGACATTTATGAAGCCAAAAAACACATGAAAAAATGTTCATCATCACTGGCCATCAGAGAAATGCAAATCAAAACCACAATGAGATACTATCTATCTCACACCAGTTAGAATGGTAATCATTAAAAAGTCAGGAAACAACAGGTGCTGGAGAGGATGTGGAGAAACAGGAACACTTTTACACTGTTGGTGGAACTGTAAACTAGTTCAACCATTGTGGAAGTCAGTGTGGCGATTCCTCAGGGATCTAGAAACTAGAAATACCATTTGACCCAGCCATCCCATTACTGGGTATATACCCAAAGGATTATAAATCATGCTGCTATAAAGACACATGCACATGTATGTTTATTGCAGCACTATTCACAATAGCAAAGACTTGGAACCAACCCAAATGTCCAACAACGATACACAGGATTAAGATAATGTGGCACATATACACCACGGAATACTATGCAGCCATAAAAAATGAAGAGTTCATGTCCTTTGTAGGGACATGGATGAAACTGGAAACCATCATTCTCATCAAACTATCATAAGGACAAAAAACCAAACACCGTGTGTTCTCACTCATAGGTGGGAATTGAACAATGAGAACACTTGGACACAGGAAGGGGAACATCACACTCTGGGGACTGTTGTGGGATGGGGGGAGGGATAGCATTAGGAGATATACCTAATGCTAAATGACGAGTTAATGGGTGTAGCACACCAACATGGCACATGTATACATATGTAACAAACCTGCACATTGTGCACATGTACCCTAAAACTTAAGGTATAATAATAATAAAAAAAAGAAAGAGGAAAAAAAAAAATATGGTGTAAGTAAGGGGTCCAGTTTCAGTTTTCTGCATATGGCTAGCCAGTTTTCTCAGCATCATTTACTGAATAGAAGATCGTTTTCCCATTGCTTGTTTTTGTCAAGGTCATCAAAGATTAGATGGTTGTAGATGCATGGTGTTATTTCTGAGGACTCTGTTCTGCTCCATTGGTCTATATGTCTGTTTTGGTATGAGTACCATACTGTTTTGGTTACTGTAGCCTTGTAGTATAGTTTGAAGTCAGGTAGCATGCTGCCTTTAGTTTATTCTTTTTGCTTAGGATTGTCTCAGCTATTCAGGGTCTTCTTTTATTTCATATGAAATTTAAAACATTTTTGTAATTCTGTGAAGAATGTCAATGGTAGTTTGATGAGAATAGTATTGAATCTATAGTTTACTTTGGGCATTATGGCCCAAAACCCCATCCAAGCGTCAGTAGCCTCAAAGACTGAAACTAGACAATCAAAGATGAGAAAGAATCAACCAAACAATGCTGAAAACCAACAGGCCAGAGTGTCTCTTCTCCTCCAAATGATTGCAACATTTCTCCATCAAGCGTGCAGAACTGGATGAAGGATCAGATGGATGAATTGACAGAAGTAGACTTCAGAAGATGGGTAATAAAAACTACCCTGAGCTAAAGGAGCATGTTCTAACCCAATGCAAAGAAGCTAAGAACCTTGATAAAAGGTTAAAGGAATTGCTAACTAGAATAACCAGTTTACAGAGGAACATAAATGATCTGAAGGAGCTGAAAAACACATCACAAGAACTTCGTGTAGCATACACAAGTATCAACAGCTGAATCAACCAAGTGGAAGAAAGGATATCAGAGTTTGAAGATCACCTTACTGAAATAAGACATGCAGACAAGAATAGAGAAAAAGGAATGAAAATGAATGAACATAGCCTCCAAGAAATATGGGACTCCATAAGAACACTGAACCTACGGTTGATTGGAGTACCTGAAGGAGACAGGGAGAATGGAAACAAGCTGGAAAACACACTTCAGGATATTATCCAGGAGAACTTCCCCAACCTTGCAAGACAGGTCAACATGCAAATTCAGGAAATACAGAAAACACCGTTAAGATATTCCACAAGAAGATCAACCCCAAGACACACGATCATCATATTCTCCAAAGTCGGAGTGAAGGAAAAACTGTTAAGGGCAGCCAGAGAGAAAGGCTAGGTCACCTACAAAGGGAAACCCATCAGACTAACAGTGGACCTCTCAGAAGAAACCCTATAAGGCAGAAGAGATTGGGGGCCAACATTCGACATTCTTAAAGAAAAGAATTTTCAACCCGGAATTCCATATCCAGCCAAATTAAGCTTCATAAGCAAAGGAGAAATAAAATCCTTTTTAAATAAGTAAATGCTGAGAGATTTTGTTACCACCAGGCCTGCCCTGCAAGAGCTCCTGAAAGAAGCACTAAATGTTGAAAGGAAAAACTGGTACCAGCCACTGCAAAAACATACCAAAATATAAAGACCAATGATACTATGAAGAAACTGCATCAACTAGTGTGCAAAATAACCAAATATCATCATGATGACAAGCTCAAATTCACACATAACAATACTAACACTAAATGTAAATGGGATAAATGCCCCTATTGAAATACTAAGACTGGCAAATTGGATAAGGAGTCAAGACATATTGGTGTACTGTATTCAGAAGACCCATTTTATGTGCAAAGGCACAAACAGGCTCAAAATAAAGGGATGGAGGAAAAATTACAAAGCAAATGGAAAGCGAACAAACAAATAAACAAACAAAAAAAACAGGGGTTGCAATACTAGTCTCTGACAAAACAGACTTTAAACCAACGAAGATCAAAAAAGACAAAGAAGGGCATTACATAATGGTAAAAGGATCAATTCATCAAAAAGAGCTAACTATCCTAAATATATATGCACCCTATACAGGAGCACCCAAGTTCATAAAACAAGTTCATAGAGACCCACAAAGAGACTTAGGCTCTCACAAATAATAGTGGGAGACGTTAACAACCCATTGTCAATATTAGACAGATCAACGAAACAGAAAATTTAGACAGATCATTGGAACAGAAAATTGACAGGGATATTTAGGACTTGAACTCAGCTCTGGATCAAGTGGACCTAGTAGATGTCTACAGCATTCTCTACCCCAAATCAACAGAACATGACATTCTCCTCAGTGTCACATGGAACTTATTCTAAAATCAACCACATAATTGGAAGTAAAACACTCCTCAGCAAATGCAAAATAATTGGAATCATGACAGTTTCTGAGACCACAGTGGAATCAAATTAGAACTCAAGATTAAGAAACTCACTCAAAACCACACAATTACATGGAAATTGAACAACCTGCTCCTGAATGACCCCTGGGTAAATAAGGAAATTAAGGCAGAGATCAAGAAGATCTTTGCAACCAATGAGAAAAAAGAGACAACATACCAGAATCTCTGGGACACAGCTAAAGCAGTGTTAAGAGGGAAATTTATAGCACTAAATGCCCACATCAGAAACTACAAAGATCTCAAATCAACACCCTAACATCAAAATTAAAAGAGGTAGAGGGGCAAGAGCAAACTAATTTTTTTCTTCATAAGTTTCAAGCTGACCCAACACTATTTATTGATAAGATGCTTCTTCCTCCAAAGCTTTCCATAAGTGAATTGGGCATATATGAGTGAATTTGCTTATGGGCTCCTACTCTGATCATTGGGCTGTCAGTTTACCCTAAAGCCAATAGTATGTTGCCCAAATTACTACAACTTTGTAATAAGTCTTGATAAACAATAAAGTTTTTCTGTTATGTTAACTATTCAATATTCTCTATGATATTCCTGGACTCTTGAACATTCACATACAATTTAAAATGAACCTTTCAACTTTTAGATTCACATATTTTAACTATGAAATATATGTTTGGATTATATTAAATTTATAGTTTAACTTAGGGGAAGGGTTTAGTATGTTTGATATAAAGAATATTTCAATCAGTGAACATGATAAATTCTTTTTATTTATTGAGGTTTATAATTTCTTTCATTAGGGTTTAATAGTTTTTGTTTTGAGATATTTTATATGTTTAATACAATAAGTGGTACTATTCCTCAAGGTCTACATTTTCAGAGAATATAATTATGTAAAAATACAATTGATTGTCTTGTGTTGACTTGTGTCCAGGTATTTTAATAAACAAATTTAAACATTCTTATATATTTCCTTAAATTATTTTGAAGTTTTCATTTAGAGAATCCTTATACGGGTGAATAATGACATCAAATGAGATCCACAAGAAAGCTTTTATAATTTTACCATTAATTATGCTTTTTTAGATGTTTGTAGATACCATTTGACTAAGAAGTTACATCCCATTTCCAGTTAGCTAAGTTTATTTTTTAGCTTTTAAGTGGATTTAATAAATTTAACAAAATTTATTATTTAAATGTTGAATAAAATTAGCAAGTATATTCATCAAATTGAGATAATTCTAAGATTTTTATTATTTTATTAATATGGCATCTTATATTTATTGTTTTTCAATTATTAATCCAATCTGGAATTACAGAAATTTATCATTTTTTCTTGTTATATTGACTTTCTAAAATGTTGCAATTATTTTTATATTTTACTTAGGTCTTTTGCTTCAATGTTCATTTGTAAAATTGGCATGAAATTTTACTCGATTATGTCCTTGTCCAGTTAAATGTCAGTATTATTCTGGGCTCATTAAGGTAGGTACTCTCTTTCTTTTTATTTACTGTAGGCATTTTTCCATGATTGGGATTACTTTTCTTAAATATTTGATAGAGTTTACTGGTGAACAAAAATCTGATCCTAGAGCAGTGTTTCGTTCGTTTGATTTTGCTTTGGAAAAATTTAAATATTTTAAATTATAAATTTACTAGCTTCACTTATTACTATATGGATCACCAATTTTGTCTCATGATAGCTGTAAAAATTGCATTCTTAAAAATATTTTACATACATTTTCATATTATTTCCACATGTATTATAATATCATTGTGTACCCATAAATATATACAAGTACTTATCAATTAAAAATAAAATCAAAATAAAATGAAATACTGTCCATAATATATTATCATTACCTTTTAAAAATTCTTTAGTACTGCAGTGATGTATTTTCATGGGCTACCCTGCATTATTTGTGCTTTCTCTTTGTATTCTTTTATCAGTCTCATTAGTGGTTCAACCATTTTGTCTTTTGAAAACATCAGCAATTTATTTTTGCATTATAATTTCAGATACTCTTAAGGATAAAAATGGGATTTTACTTACATACTATAAGTGTCAAGGAGATGCACACAAAGGCTTTGTAACTAAGATACAAGGAGTTAAAATGGAAACTGGTGGGTTAATGAAATGTCTTGTTTGTGGGAAAATGATTGCCAGAAAACAAAGCTAGATGTATTTATTTTAATAATGTCTGTAAAAATAGGTTCAGCAGTATACCCACTTATCTACAATAGCATGTCTCAATAAAATATTCTAATTCTTTAAATAAGATTATTCTAACAGAAGCATATATATATTTTTTTCAATTTTGATATATTTGCATATATATATTTGTTGGATTATTTCATAATAGAGTTAGAACAAATATTTTATTAATTTGTCTTTGGTCACTATATAACAATATTACTAAATTGATAAAACACACTAATTTGCATTATTTTTGTATACCCCTCTTTGGGTCAAAGTAGCAAATATCCTTATCAACAAATAGCTATTCAAATATTTATTAATGTATTTATTCAATAAACAAACACTAAATAGCACCTTATTTGAGGGATTGGGTTAGGTTATTTTTACAGTAGCATTTTGCTTCAAATGCTCTTTCATTTGTGTGTTTGTTCACATATTTAAGCACTCATTTGCCTTTTATTATTTTCAATAGTTTGAAATATTCATTAGTGTTAAACTGAGGCTAAAATGTGTATCACTTGCGTAGCCACCCATCCTCCTCATTTCTTCATCTACAAGGATCTCTTGTACATCCCCACTCCCATATAAATAGTAAGTTTTTTTTCCACAGGAACTGGATCTCGTCACCACAATACTTAAGACCTATTACAAGGACTTCTAAATTACCCATCTTTCTCTGGTAGTGGATGCTGCAAATAGAAAAGATTGGGATGTACCAATGACTGTATTTTCCTCTATGTTTAAAAGAGATAAGGAAAGAATGAGGAAGAAAGAATACTGAAAACATTCTAGTCCTTAGTTTCTCATATGTCTGAGGCAACCATCACTTTTCCTTTCTTCAAATTTTATTTCTCTAGAATTAGATTATTCTCACTTACAGAGCAAAAAACCCTCTGTTTTTGTTGCTGTATTTCTGCAGCCTAGATCACTAGAACTACTAAAAGTAAACACATTGCTCACAGCACATTCATACGTAAATTCTTCATTTTGCAGCCAGATGCCTTCCAGAATGGCTTTAATACCCTAATTCTCACCAATTGTATATAAGTAACTTTTATCTTACACAATTTTCAACCACATACCTTATTCATTTTTTCACCTTTACTTCTTCAAAATCAATTAGTTCTCCCAGCTTTCATGTTTGTTGAAATACTAGCCACTGGGTCATAAAGATAGGAAGAAGCAAGTGAGTCTAAGAAAGAAACAAAACAAATTCTGAGAATTTAAGGACTACAAGATTTGGGAAGATCTTTTTGTTCCACAGCGGTTTTAATTTCTCTCCTGACATAAACATGACTCCTGTGTGTTGACCACCATGAGCCTAAAAATGAATGGAGGAAAACGACTAGAACTGGGTGAAGATTATGAATTAGTAAACACAAACATGTTTGTATTTAGTGCCCCTGGTAGCCTAAACGGAGAAGAGCAAAAGTCATTATGCTCTGTTATAGTTACAAGACAGAGCTACTTTTTAAAAGGAATACTTAAGAGGCTTTGAAGTTGAACAATACTTATTATGTCATATAGATATTTAAAAATAAATAATTCTAGTTCCTGATATGGTATATCTCCCTTACATTCAAAACTGTAATTTTTGGAGAACATGAAATATATTTTTACATGTTTAATTTTAACAAGTGAATGGAATTTAGAGGAATTGGCTGGCTTCATGTTAATTCCTAGTAACAAAACCATCTGTAATAAGAGCAAGCATGTATTGAGTGCTTACATGTTTAAATGGGTCTCAAAATGTAATATGGATAATTCCATTACTTTTCACAATAACACCTGCAAGTAAATACTATTAATTTAGTTCCTCTTTACAGTTTTTTTTCAGAATTCTATACTAACTCCATAGAGATAGATATTTTCTTTTTCAGCAACTCCTCTGGCTGTTTCTATGAGTTAAACTGATATAAATATAGGGAGTCTGAATGAATTGTACAGTTGTTTGATGATAAAAGATTGAAGATGTAAGCTTCTGTAAGACATGTGAGAATGCTAGCTCTGCTCAGACCCCAAAAATGTAGCAAGGATGAAGCCTAAGTATAAAATATTTTAAAGTAGAAAAGGGTCTGGGCAAGTGTTTTAGTCAATGCTGAAGAGAGCTGTCCAATAAATGAAGTAGAAAAGAAAAATAATTTCTTGCTAATATGACATAAAATAGGTAGTATAATCATGAGTTGAGAACCATAGGTCTCCTAATTAGTTAAGGGTTTTTGCCCAAGTTAGTTTTCCTCTGCCTGTTCTTCTGTTGATTCATTGTTAAAATGAAGCTAGTTATATACGTTGATTTAATTGATAGGAGAAAACATAAAAATACACACGTATAATTTAGTCATTTATAAATCCAAAACAATGTAGAACTAGCGAAATGATGCTCAATAGTTAATTAGAAAATGTTTCCTGATTTGGTATTCTGGAGCTATAGATAATTAACAACTTCTGACAAGCAGTTCATCTAGACAATACGATTCAATGGCTTTTAATTGAATTATGTCTATGTGTTTGTTACTTCCTTTTGTTTCCCTGCATCAATTTTAAGTTCACAATAATAGATACATTAAAACTGCTTACAACCCTATGTCTGCCAGTTAAAGGATTAATTAAGGCAGGTTGAATGCAATTCAATTAATGCTTTTTATCTGGCGGCTGTTTCTTTGCTTGTATATACTTTGTGCTAGTGTTTGTAATAAAATCAGATACTGCCCATTGGTTGTAGCAGTAAGGAATGCCTGGGCCCAGCAGGTTCAGTTCTAGAATTTAATGACATCTCATGAGGCACACACTTGGGGGTCTGGCAAAAAAGTTATTGATTTTTAAAAAAATGAATGGACCTGTCAGCTTCCAACACAAATTGTTCCACATATAGGCTACTTTTGTCTTGGAAATTTGAGAGGGAATACAAAAGTCGGAGAGTTTGTCTTTGTGGTCTGAAGATCGAGGGTGCTTTGTTACATGATGGGAGGTACTCTACACAATTTTTATAGACTTCTAAAATTCTGAGATCAGGGTGAAAAGGGAGAGTAGTTTCATAGCATTTTAAATCATTTGTCAAGAATGAAACAATCACTATATACATTTTTACTCCACTTAAAAATATTGAGTTGGTATCGGTAAAGAAAACCTAGTAATGACTTAGTCTTTTAATTTTTTTAAGAATGAATTTTTGGATAGGCCCAGTGAATTGTTTCACAGAATAATTCATTGGGGACACTTGGGTTTCAGTTTATATTACATATTCATAGCTTTTTGTGGCAGCCATAGGCCATGAGTCTTAGTGCTGACATGATAAGTCTACTGGGAGGATACAGTTTGTTTTACACATGCCCTTAAGAGAGTTCCCAGCTGTGTACTCTGTTTTTAAAATGGATGCAAAATTAAACTTAACATAATGACTTCTGCTGGAATCAGGGAGAATTAGTCTTCAGCTATACAGGTGCTACAGGATAGAATGACTTATTTAAATACTCAAAGTATTTCTGCAAACTTGGATAATTCAGAAAATGAACAGGAAAGTTTATCTCTATTTCATGTTTTTTTAATCCTTAAGTATAAAAACTTCCAAAAGGAAAAAGAAATTCTTCCTTGTAGCTAGAATACATGAGGGGAATGAAAGGTTTTCCAAAACCCTAAAAAGAAATTTTGCAGTCTTCCACTAGACAACATGTAGAGATGTCTAACTTAAGGAGAACGCTTACTCAGAAGGTATGTTGTTAGGTTCAGAGAAAGAGAGCTACTCCATTGTTTTACTCAAGGGTGGTATTGACAGAGGTTTCTGCATGGGCAGCATCCACAGGAACTGCTACAGAGGGCTTTCTCTATTGGAGGGCATGTAACTCTAGCAGAGTTGAAAATGGCATTACAATTCTAAACTTGGTTGAGGATACAGTAGGCACCCTTCAAATTATGACCTTCAAGAGTAGAGACAGTGACAGCCTTAGGGAGTATTCTTCTGAAGCATTTTATTGGAATAAGGAATAGAAAAGCAAAGGCACCACCTTTAGCTAATTTGATTTTTTACTTTAGAATTTTGGAAGCTACTCCAATAATTTTGAAAACATCATCTTCTGAAAGTTAAAGAACCCTATTTATTGCAAGCACTTTCACAATTCCAAACCTAGGGTGTCACAGTGCTCATAATTCACCTCAGATTATGAAATCACTGTGATGCCCTACCTTGTAACCATACAGTTAGGATTTTTTTTGTTTTATAGTTTTTTTTTTGTTTAGTTTTGCTTTTTTGTAAGCCCACACAGTTTTTCTCAGGGGCTGCAGAAATTGTTGGGCTCCATTACTGACACCAAATCCAGCAAGAACAGGTATTTATCTAGTATTACCCAGTGCTAGCACTCAGAGCAGCATTCCTAAATGCTGATTCTCCAAGGCTCTGCAAAACTGTGAGAGAAAAACTGAGACGTGTTCTGTTCACTTCGAATTCATATAAACAACATAGTTTCTGCTCTTATTTCAGGGAATTTTCTGGGCAGGAAGTACTAACTTTAGCGTTAGCAGTGTAGTGGTGTCTATTTCCTGGAACAGATATCTGGACTAATAAGAGGAACTGGTGATATTTCAGGCCCACCAGAAGCTAGTTTTTGTGAGATGCTACTTAGTGTGAACTTGCACCAGTCTGAATTTATTTATCCTCCTAGATATCCTCGGCCCTAGTTGCCACTTTGGGCCTGACTACTTGGTATGTCTTCCTGACGAGAGGCCCAGACATGTGTTGGGCTTTCACATGGTCATGAAGTTCTACCCATCACTGTAAGCTCATCACTTAGCATGATCTGCTGACTCAGTCTTCCTGGTGGCAATGTTGGTTTTTGTGGGAACCCAGCAGTTTTGGAGTCCAGATTCTCCGAACACCACAGGGAAGTCCTAGAGGGTCTGAAAAATACATTCTGGAAGTATAGCTTCTTTCTGTAGGGCAAATTTTGACCAAATTAAGACAATTGATATAAAAGAATTGGAAGATAAGGTTTTTCTTTTTTCTTCCTATTGATGGATTGTTCTAAGATGCAGCAGTTCCACAGAGTTTCCTTAAAAATATCCCGAAATATTGAGAACAGTTATATTTTCCTGAGATATCGTGGCCAGCTTAATAATGTGTAACTTTATTTTTATGCATTCGCTCTCTTCATGCACAACTTATTTTTTCAACCTCATGCTTGTTACATCCAATTGTACCCTACCCTCAATAAAAGTATTACCATACGAGCATATCATCAGGCTGTTTTCTAGGAAATCAGATTCAAACAGAACATTTACAAAGAAAGAGAAAGACAGATGGACAAGATCAACCTAGTAAACGGAACTTAGTTTTAGCTGGGTGTTGTGGCGTACGCATCTAATCCCAGCTACTTTACTTGAGAGGATGAAGTGGGAGAATTGCTTGAGCCCAGGACTTTGAGACTAGCCTGGAAACATAACAAACAAAAGAACTTAGTTTGGAAGAAACCATATATGTCTCATTATAGAATGGTATCAGTTGCTTGCCAATTCTGATTCCATTGTACATGTTTGGATTACATGAGAGAAATAACAGTGGGACAATGGTATGAATATAAGAAATGAAAAAAACCCTACAATTCCTCTATAAACGTGTCAGATACTGAAGTACAAGCAACACTGTTTTTGAACCCATGTGAATAGTGCAACAATAGAGTTACAGAAAAATATTTGAATTTGTAGTTGAGAATCTTTCCATTAAGCAAAGTTCAGGTCTAGTCGGCTTCATTGAATTCTACAAAATATTTTTTGGAAGAAATAACAACATTTCTACAAAAAATCTGAAAAATTGAAAAGGATGGGATTTTTAAATCTTCCTTGTGAACAATATGTTGTGAATAGAAGCAAGGGAGCACGAGTTTGTACCCCTGCATCAACCAAGCGCTGGATGAAGGATACCCTCCACAAGGAGTATAGTCTCAAACAAAGCTGGTTCCTTTGACTGAAGGCAATTTATGGAGAGGAGTGTGGCTTTGCGCATAGACACTCAACTTTCCTAGCAGCTCAGCAAATGAGAGTTTCAGCCCTGCAGCTGGTTATCTGTGTGGTGCACCACTGTACCCATGGCAGATGCATTTTCCCCTATTAGCACTTGACTTATTATGATTTAGGTTGAAGAGTGTAAAGGAAAAATGTTACTTCAGCAATTTCTGATGTGTCACAGAACTGGCAATGGCCAGTAAGAGTTGGCAGTACCTGTGAGCAGGGGGTAATGCCATGTAGGAAGAAGTGTTATCTGGCGAAATTGGCAGGGGAGATTTGTCTCCTTGGAAGTAGCAGACCCTGGTGATATACAGATGTCAGGAAGTGCATAGTGGAATCCAACACAAGATCAGTGTTGCTTACCTTAAGACAACAAAAACAGATTTCACTGAAGGAAGCTCAGAGAAAGAGGAAGTAAATGGGAAATGTAACGTAGTAGTTAGTTAACACGTTTTATTTATAAGAATTTGTTTTGCAGCCTTAGGACACCTCCAGATTTGTGTGTGTGTGTGTATGTGTGTGTGTGTGTGTGTCTTTCAAAGCTTTAACAATGGGATGGGGAATAGAGTATTCCTAATACTTCTTCCAAATACATATATTATAAGCATATTTAGGAATTATGCAGGAAAAGGACAAAAGTTCCCTATGTTGAGTAACTGTGCTTTGGGTCAAAAAAAGGAAAAAAAAAAAAAATGAAACAACCTAAAAATTAAATTAGATAGAACATCGTAACATCACAAAATATCAGAGCATAACCTGTATAATAGAATTTTTACAATTCAAATTCCTTTCCTAATGTCTAAACTCATGTTTCTCTGATTTGAATGGAATGCTTAGTTAGATTGGCTCACTCATGTGACAAATTCCAATTATGTTCAACTTCCCAAAAATATACTTATTAAACACACCAGTAATGTGTGCTTATTAAACACACTGGTAATGCTGATCTTCTGTATAGGTTTTCTGAAACTTATATACCTAGGGATAGATCCCAGACTCTTAATACTTTGCTCTTCCACCTGTTATGAAAGAGTCTTAGCAAAAACAATACCCTCTTTAGCTTTCTTATCCTCTGGTGAGAATTCCCCAGTATTCCTTTGGGATTCAGTGTCATAGATCTCTTTAGTATCTGTAGTTCCACCCAGTTCCATGCTCAATATCCGTGATACACATATCGGCATAGAATTGCCATGTGTCATGAAACTCAGTTAACTTGTTACTTAAGTAGTGCACAACCATTTATTTAGCACTATGATGGAAAATGAGCAGCGGTCACATGGCATGGAGACTGAGTTGCTAGCAGCTGAGCACTGGGCACCTTGGTTCTTGAGAATTTGGTGGAGAACAGCCCTATTTATGAAACAGGCACCACTGCGGGATGGTTCCTGAACCAGATCCTGTTCACCTCTTTCTTATTTCCATCTTCTCGTTACCAAAACTGATAAATCTCTTCCTGGGCACTGGTTTTGTTTCACATCAACCCACACAGTGCTTCTATTCCAGAAGGTTCTGCTTCCATTTTTCCTTTTGTTTTGGACCTTTGCAATGACCCACATTGACTTGATTCTCTCCCGTATACTGCTACTAACCTGTTTTCCATAGTCCATAGGCCTTAAATAAGTCAGACTTCCTTTTAAAGGAAAAACTGTCCAACCCGAAGATTTATAGCATCACTTTTTACAAAACTGCACCTAAGACAACACATAGCAGTTGTTTTATTACGCCAACAACTTTTTCTTGCTTATTACAAGAAAAATTTCAATTGTATTTTATTAATAGATGTTACACTTAGAAATATATTCTAATAGTGGCACTCCAAATTGAGGGACTAGGAGTTTTTGTTTTACAAGAATATAGGCTTTCCTGAAAACAAAATCACTCATACTGTAATAACTGATCCCATGAAAAAAATAGAGTTGGGCCAGACCATTCAAAACCTATGCAAGTTTATATCCGAATATTATGGAAAGCAACTACTGGTTCATCAACAGATAATGTGAAGAGTCTAGCCAGGCATCTCAGTAGGACTGAATGCTGCTTCAGGGGTTTTAAAAAATATTGTCAAAGTGTTGTGAGCTCTGAGAGGCTGCATCTGCCATCTGGATGTATTGCTGTGAGCACAGGAGGAAGTGGCAGCTGCCAGAGGTGACAGCAAGGTGTGCTTCTGTGTGAACGGAGGCTTTGTGAAGTTGAAAGCTCTCCTGCCTGTACAGCAGTCACATTACGGACCTTTTCTTAAAAGTTAGGATTCTCTGCCCACTACTCGCGATTCAAATTACATCTGAAGCAACCCAATGCTGAAAATAAACAAAGTTTTCCTATTCAACAATCATGTAAGAGCGGATTCGTGTATTAGAAACATGTTTTATCAGAACAAACTGCTACTCCAAATGTAACATATTCAATTTATGTTTCCTTATGGACTCATTAATAAGTGTGGGCCTGAATGACATTGGCCATGGGCTTCCAAGTTTTATGAGGCGGATCCTGCGTGTGCCATGTTCACTTACAGGCATGACGCTGAGTATACTGTACTCAGACACATGCTTTAAAATGTTTTGTTGGATAATTGCTTTGATAGAACATGTTTTATAGTTCCAACAAAAACCTGGGTCTCACATTTGCATGCTCGTTAATGTTTTTATTTACAGTGATCCAGTGTATTAGGGCAGGTTTATTATTAGATTTTTACAAATGTATATATTGAACCTCGGAATTTAATGACTAAAACTAGCATTAAGCAATAAAGTGGGGAGTAAAAACTACCACATTATATCCTTCTTCTGTACCATGTTGTGTTTCATGAAGTAAATTCTGGGCCATTTGAAGCTTGGATGTCATTAAGTGAAAGGGGATGGGGTAGTATTAGGGAAATAAATGGCACTCTACATGACACATTAAAAGTGAATGAAGTGGCTGAAGTACATAAAGCTGAAAAAAATGTGGGGAAATCATTAGAGTTGAATGGTTTCTCATGTAACTTAAATTGTTTTTCAAATACCTGTCCACCCAGAATTTTTTTTAATCGTCTTCTCAATCACTGATTATGTCAAATGTCTGATAAAGATTTTGAAAAATAGTTCATTTATAAAAGCATTTATGTACCATGAAAATATCAACCACACCCTCATTCATACACACATATATACACAAACAACATATGTAACACTAAAACATCATAACACATAATTAGTGTCTAAAAATAATACCATCCTATCAAAAATACAGGATGGTATTATTATGAGTTTAATTAAATGATTCACGCATGACTGCACAGCTAGCCTGTCTGCAGATCTCAGGATCTGGAGGCAATTACTTTAAATCTGATCTCATCTTATTCATTATCATTAGTGGTATCACAGGTTTTTACTGCATTTATATGATTTAGGCCTTAACACAATTTGTAAGAGTGAATGGAGCTTAAATACCCATCTTTTTATTAAATAATGTAATTTTAGATAAAGAATTTAGAGTTGAATAGCTATCTTTTCAACATGTAGCTGGCTTAGTCCATTTGTGCTGCTATTAAAAACAAAAAGAAAGAAGAAAGAAAGAAAGAAACAAACAAACAAACAAACTACCACTACCTGAATGGCTTATGCATACAAGAAATTTGCTTCTTGGCCGGGCGCGGTGGCTCACGCCTGTCATCCCAGCACTTTGGGAGGTCGAGGCAGGTGGATCACAAGGTCAGAAGATCAAGACCATCCTGGCCAACACGGTGAAACCCCATCTCTACTAAAAATGCAAAAACTTAGCCGAGCATGGTGGTGGGTGCCTGTAGTCCCAGCTACTAGGGAGGCCGAGACAGGAGAATGGCGTGAACCCCGGGAGGCGGAGCTTGCAGTGAGCTGAGATCGCGCCACTGCACTGTAGCCTGGGCGACAGAGTGAGATTCCGTCTCAAAAAAAGAGAAAGAAATTTGCTTCCCACAGTTTTGGAGGCTAGGAAGTCTGAGATTAAGGCACCAGCAGATTTGATGTCTGGTGAGGGCCTGCTTCCTGGTTCATAAATAGTGCCTTCTCCTTGTGTCCTCACATAGCCGAAGAGCAAGGGGGCTCTCTGGATTTCTTTAACAAGATCACTAATCTCATTCAAGAGGGTAGAGCCTCCCCAAGACCTCACTTCCAAGTACCGTGGATTAAAGGAAGAAATTTTGAAATGCACATTTTGAGGGGATGCAAATATTCATTCTATAGCAGTAGGGATATTTATAATTCTAGTTCATTTTTATTGACATGGTTCAAACATAGTCAGAAAACATTTGGTTGTGTATCTAAATGGAAGCATTCGTGTACAATTCACGTCAGCTTGCTCATATCTGACAATACAGTTACAGTTGATATTGATATGTCCCCTTAAATATTCAGTATTTAAGGATGAGATGCTTGGGTAAGACAGTAAATAAAAAGTCGGACATGAAACATTTTTCTGTGTGACAAAAGAAAAGAAAATGTATTCATTAGAATCAAATATTTATAGGAAGTATAACCACAATTGCCTCTACGATTGATGTTTTTCTTCATTACAAAAAAAACTTATTTGTCCTGAAAAATAATAAGTATTATGAAACTACAAATTTCTAGTAACTGCCCGTAACCCTAATAGATATGAAGTGAATTTTTGTAGGCTGGGGTGAACATAATAATATTGATTTCATTGTTAGTTTAGTTTTTTAGATGGGATTTTCAGGAAAAAAGTGTGCCTTTGATTAGAACTTCATTTATTCTGTGTAGTTGCTGTTCCTTTCAAAACTATTTATAATAGTGTATATGTATTCAGTTGTGTTAATATCAGTTTACATTTAAGGTATTTTTTATTGATTCTATTAGTTAATATTTATTGCTTAGAAGAATAAATAACAAATTTGTAATGTATAGACAAAATGTAAAATGGGTTAGGCTCTCAAAATGATCAAAACTGTAGCCTTCTTGTAACCCTCCAAATCAATGTAAAAACTATTTTCAGGAGCACTTTAAAACATATAAAATATTAATTTGGTAAAAACTGTTTCCCTTAATATCAAAAATATAATTTCAAATTAATAAAACAAAAAACATTTCTGTAAGAATCAGAATTTTTAAGCTTTCAAAAATTCTATCTCATTAATTCTCTATGATAAATTTTCAAACTTCTTCTGAGAGCCATTTTGAAATACATGGAAATTATTTTCTCAATTTAGATTCCCTTTTAAGGAATTGTCTAATATATAAGAGAAGTTTGAACTCTATGATAAATATGACAGACCTAAGCCTGGAAATAAGGCACATTTTGAATAAATTATCATTACAGGATAATTCAGGGTATAGAAAAATCTTGTTACTTTGGTTCAAAATCAGCAGACTATAGCCTAATTTAATTTAAAACTGTCTGAATCTGTTTTCTTGTTTGGCAAATAGGAAAATGCAGAAATGGTTAAAAGAAGAAAATCCAAGTTTTGAGAATTTTGAAAAAAATATGGTTTTATCAAAATAACAATAGTTTCAGTGTTTTATTATTAGGTGAAAGGACTGCCTTCTCAGGATTATTCTCACTTCAACATGTCCAGGGTATATTAAACATTGGAATGGAAAATAATTATACACACATTTCAGCACCTCTATAAATTTTGTTCACTTTCTAAAATCAGGTGGAAATAGAAAATGATTCTAAATTTAGCTTTTCTACCTACACTGTTATAATGTTAATATGTTGACATTTCAAATCTCATAGCATCATTTAATGCCTGAAAGACAACATTATAGAAAATGGCTGAAAACTCCAGAATTATTAAGTGATATAGAGAAGTGCTTTAGTAAATAATTTTGCTGTTACGGTTGTTCATGTTTTTCAAATAGACTAGATATCAATATAATGTATAAAACTTAAATTTCATGATGATTGATTTTTATCTTTAAAAAATTTAACAAATAATTCTGCTCAGATATAGCTAACACACAATATCTATAGTTGGAAGAATAGAAACATAATATTAAATTTTGAACACAGCTAACGGCCACACTTAATAACTCTAAAATAATCACGAGAATGGCATTAACAATCGTTGCTTGTTGTGTCAGTGATTTGGCTGTGTATATTTGCTTCTAAAGTATACCTACACTCAGAAATTAACATTAATATCTACAACTTTACACACATCTGTGGCAGATTGCCACGGTTACTACTTGAGATGGTCACTATGACAGTTACTACTGTTTCTACTTGAGACAGTCATTATGAGAGTTACTACTGTTACTGCTTGAGACTGTCATTACCAGACTGAACTAAGGAGGACAAATGTAGAAATGAAAACTTAAGACAAAAGAAACTGTTTTAAAGGAAGGGATCGGGGAAGAAGAAAAGGGCTCCCAGCTTCTAGTGAGTAAAAGCAGCAGCCTGAGCTTCCACAGTCCTTCGTATTTATTGAGTAGAATGAGCAGGGAGGAGGAGGCAATGACTGGTCAGCTGCTTAATTGATCACAGGTTCAAATTATTACTAACAGGCTTCAAATGTGCCCTGTAGATAATCACAAGAAACACTTGTGCCTGGCTTATGACTGCCCTCAGCATTTCTTCTGGGTGGCAGACGCAGTTTGTCAGTTTGCCAACATTCTGCTTTTATGAGAACAATTTGCTGTTTACTCATATAGCTCCCAGTGGTATACAGAGTTGATCACGACCCTCACTCTTTCAGCCTTCAACACACATACATCCATGATGATGAATATCTCCTGATAATTTAATTATGTCTATTCATTTATTTATAAAGTCAAAATTGAATGGATTAGGTCCACTGTTCATTTCTTTTTAAAATTTCTTAAGAAATGTTAAAAGAGTAAATTCAAATCTTTATAATCCCACTAAATTAAAACAATAACAGTAGATATTGTGAGAGTACTAAATATCAATAGTACTTGATACTTGAATATTAGTACTTAATTATTTGATATTTAGTACTATTGATACTTCAAGGTCAAACTAGACAGAAAGTTTGAGCTAAATTTTGTAGTATATGAAATGAAATAATGATACTAGATCTATAAATTTGCAGACACCAGCATCTGTCTGAATCCATACATACTTCTGGCCATTGTATACCCCAGAGAACTGGCTGCATAAGAAAATGTAGAGTTGGACATCAGTAAGTTTTGATCTGAGGCTTCTTTAGTGATTATGTGATGAATGATTGGTCCTACCAACCTGTAGCTCTAAACACTACTACAGTATGGAAAGAAATCTGCACTAGTGTTTGTCGCAGAGACTAAGCCAAAGCTTCATCCTAGCCAAATCACATCTGACCTGCCAGATGACATCAATAACCACATTGCTGTTTGGATGGTGTGATTTCAATAGCTTCTGTCTTGACAATTCAGGCTGCAATAACAAAATACCGTTGACTGGGTGGCTTAAGCAACAGATTTTATTTCTTACAGTCTAGGGACAAGGACATCCAAGACCAAAGTGCCAGTAGATTCAATTCCTGGTGAGAAACGTCTTCCTGGCTTAGAGGCAGCAGCCTTCTCCTTGTGTCCTTACAAGTGAGAGGGCAAGGGAGAGAGAGAGAGCAGCTAGCTGGGGAAGAGAGAAAGAGAATGAGCTCTGCTCTTTCTTCCTCTTCTTGTAATGACACTGATGTTATTATAGGGCCCCACCCAGATTACCTCATTTAAGGTTGGGGCATTAACATTTTTAAATTTGATTCAAATTTAATTCAAATTCATGGGGTACACGTGCAGGTTTGTTACAAGAGTATATTTTGTGATGCTGATATTAGAGCTTCTATTGATCGCGTTACCCATATGGTGAACATAGTACCCAACAGGAAGTTTTCAGGCCTTGCCTCTTTCTCCCCTCCCTCTCTTTGGATTCTCTAGTGTCTGTTGTTCCTGTCTTTATGTCTGTGTGCACCCAAGATTTAGTTCCCACTTATCAGTGAGAATATGCAATATTTGTCTTTCAGTTTCTGCATGCATTCACTAAGGACAGTGATTTCCAGCTGCATGTGTGTTGCTGCAAAGGGCATGATTTTGTTCTTTTTAATGGTTGCATAGTATTCCATGGTGTATGTGTACCACATTTTCTTTATCCAATCCACCATTAGTGGTCACCTAGGTTGATTTCATATCTTTGCTATTGTGAATAGTACTGCAATGAACATACAAGTGCATGTGTCTTTCGTTAGAAGGATTTATTTTCATTTTGGTATATACCAAATATATTAGGTATATATTGCTGGTTGGATGGTAGTTCTATTTTTAGTTCTTTGAGAAATCTCCAAACTGGTTTCCACAATAGCTGAATTAATTTCAATTTCCACCAACAGTGTATAAATGTTTCCTTTTCTCTGCAGTCTGGACAGCATCTATTATTATTTGACTTTTTATTAATAGTCATCCTGAGTGGTATGAGATGGTATCTTATTATGGTTTTGAATGCATTTCTCTGATGATTAATGAGTGAGCATTTTTTTCATGTATTTACTGGTCACTTGTATGTCTTCTTTTGAGAAGTGTATGTTCATATCTTTTGACTACTCTTTAATGCAATTATTTGTTTTTTGCTTGTTGATTTAAGTTCCTTATAGATTCTAGATATTAATTATTTGTGAAATGCATAGTTTGCAAAATTTTTCTCCCATTCTTTAAGTTGTCTGTCTACTCTGTTGATAGTTTATCTTCCTGTGCAGAAGCTCTTTAGTTTAATTAGGTCCTACTTGTCAATTTTAGCTTTTGTCACAGCTGCTTTTAACGACTTAATCATAAATTCATTGCTATAGCTGATGTCCAGAAGGGTATTTCTTAGGTTTTCTTTGAGTAGTTTTTGTAGTTTGAGATCTTACATTTAAGTCTTTAATACATCTTAGTTGATTTTTGTATATGCTGATTTGTAGGGGCCCAGTTTCATTCTCCCCCACATATCCAAAGCATTCAGGCAAGTGAAAGAAATACAAGGCATCCAAATAGGAGAAGAGGAAGTAAAATTATCCCTTGTTGCTTACTATATGAATCTATACCTAGAAAACCCTAAAGATTGCCAAAAGTCTTCTAGATCTGATAAACAACTTCAATAAAATTTCAGGATGCAAAATCGATGTACAAAAATCAGTAGCATTTCTATACACCAATATCATTCAAGCTGAGAGCCAAATCAAGAATGCAATCACATTTATAACAGCCACAAAAAATAAAATACCTAGGAATATGTTACCATGGAGGTGAAAGGTGTCTGCAAAAACAACTACAAAACACTGTTGAAGGAAATTATAGATGACACAAACAAACAAAAAAAAAAGTATTCCATGCTCATGGATTGGAAGAATCACTATCACTAAAATGTCCATACTGCTCAAAGCAATCTACAGATTCAACATTATTCTTATCAAATTACCAACATCAGTTTTCATAGATGTAGAAAAAATTAAACTGTTTTCAAATTCATATGGAACCAAAAAAAAAAAAAAAAAAAAAAAAGAGCCCAAAAAGCCAAAGCAGTCCTAAGTAAAAAGAACAGACCCTGAGGCATCACATTACTGGACTTCAAATTATACTCTAATGCAACAGTGAGAAAAACTGCATGGTACTGGTACAAAAAACAGATATATACATCCATGGAACATAATAGAAAACCCAGGTATAAAGCTGCATATCTACAATCAATTGATTATTGACAAAGTCCACAAAAATAAGCAATGAGGAAAAGACTCCCTATTCCACATACATTTTTGAGGTACACAAACATTCAGTATAGAACAGCGTACATCAGATGGTCATTTTAGCTGCGGGACAAATTTCATAATGCTTATTCTGGATGTGGGCAGGAATTGACTACAAAGTTTCGTATGGAAACTATTTGGAGTGACGGACACGCTCTACAACTTGATTCCAGTGGTAGATGCAAGACTCTATATGTTACCAAAACTCATTAGACTACACATATAAAATGGGAAACCCTAATGATATTTAAATCATTCTTCAGTAAAGCTGTTTTTTATTTTAAAAAAAGAGAAGAAAACTATGGACGTATAGTATTTTGAATTCAGGAAAATGTGTCTTTTATAAAATATCACATAATCCTATAAAAATGATGAATGACTATGAATATAATGATAGCTAAGTTGTTTTGATTTAGCCTTGTAAAACACCTTTTTAAAATTATTTTAGTTCAGTATAGTCATTTTAGAAAAAAACCCTATATACTACACTATTTGCTTTCTGTGGCATTTTAATATGTTACACTTGTGAACTACAGTAAATATTAATGTATTATAGCTTAAGGATTTCATCAATTTTGTGATATTGGAACTGCTTTCTATGCAAGTTCTATTGTCAAAGATAATAAAGACATATTCAGGATTCCTACATGTAATTGATTAAGAATTCTTCTAAGAACTAGAATTGTTCAATGCCCAGAGAATTGCTGATGTTCCCTCATAGAAGGCTACAGTTAAGAACTCAAACTATTGTGTAAAAAATGCATTAAAAATAACCATTCCTTGAAAAATATTGTCAATTAGTTGACTTTATTTTATAAAACACTCCACCCAACAAATGCAGAATATATACTTTTTTTACAGGCATGTAGACTAAGATAGATCATATTATGGATAAATCACAGTAATTTTAAAAGAAAACAAAGAAAAGAGTCCGCAAGATTCAAGATGGGGAAACTAACTATTACAATAAATCTGAGTGGTGATTTACTACTCAATAGCATAGTTTCCATCCTGGAATCCCATACTCACTCCAAATATCAATCAATCATGAGAATAAACTAAATACATTTTTAAATAAACGACATCTAAAAGACTACCTTGTTATGCTGTTTCTAAGAATGACAGTGAGGAAGTGATACACATAAAGAAAAGAGTAATTGAGAAAAAAATGAAACGAGAGAAGAAAGAAAACAAAAAAAATTCAATGCTCAAGATGAAATAAATGTATAAGATGATGGATTAGTGCAATTCTGGGATAACGGCTATATTGCTGACTTGACAGAGCCAGGAGGTCAGATAGGAGCATGAAGATGGTGAGCTCTTCAAAGAATATCACTGAAAATAGACAAAATTAATAATTATGAGGGATTTTTAATGTACTGACTGTATTTTCGTCAATGCATTGGGAACCATTTAATGGTAAGTACATAGAAATATGGACAAACCAAGAAAAGAGTCAACTGTTAACACCAGGTAGAAAAAAAAAGTTATATGAAGAGAGATAAAAATGCAGATTACTATATGTCACAAATTTAAAATATGTTTACATAGTCAAAATAGTATAAAATTATAACACAACCATTATGGAAAACCTGAAGAATATTGTATTAGTCCATTTTCATGCTGCCAATAAACATATATCCGAGACTGGGCAATTTACAAATAAAAGAGGTTTAATGGATAACTCACAATTCCACCTGCCTGAGGAAGCACCACAATCATGGTGGAAGGCAAGGAGAAGCAAGTCACATCTTATGTGGATGGTGGCAGGCAAAGAGAGAGAGTTTGTTCTGGGAAACTCCACCTTATAAAGCCATCAGATTTTGTGAGACTTACACACTATCATGAGAACAGCATGGGAAAGACCTGCCCCCATGATTCAGTTACCTCCCACTGTGTCCCTACCACAACAGGTGAGAATTCAAGATGAGATTTGGGTGGGGACACAGCCATACCATATCATTCAGCCCCTGGTCCTTCCCAAATCTCATGTCCTCATCTTTCAAAACCAATCATGCCTTCCCAACAGTCCCCTAAAGTGTTAACTCATTTCAGCATTAACTAAAAAGTCCACAGTCCAAGATAAAGCAAGTCCCTTTCACTTATGAGCTTGTAAAATCAAAAGCAAGTTAGTTACTTCCTAGATACAATGGCGGTACAGGCATTGGGTACATACACCCATTCCAAATGGGAGACACTGGCCAAAACAAAGGGACTACAGGCCAAATGCAAGTCCGAAATCCAGCAGGGCAGTCAAATCTCAAAGTTCCAAAATGATGGCTTTTGACTCCATGTCTCACATCCAGGTCATGCTGATGCAAGAGCTGGGTTCCCATGGTCTTGGGCAGCTCCACCCCTGTGGCTTTGCAGAGCATAGCCCCCCTCCTGGCTGGAGGATGGTGGCCCTCTTCTCACACATCTGCTAGGCAGTGCTCTAGTAGGGACTCTGTGTGGGGGCTCCAATCCCACATTTCCCTTTTGCACTGCCCTAGCCAAAGTTCTCCATGACGGCCCCACCCCTGCAGCACACCTCTGCCTGGGCATCCAGATGTTTCCATACATCCTCTGAAATCTAGGCAGAGGTTCCCAAAACTCAATTATTGACTACTATGAACTCGCAGGCTTACCACCACATGGAAGCTGCCAAGGCTTGGGGCTTGCACCCTCTGAAACCATGGCCCAAGCTCTATGTTTTCCCCTTTCAGCCATGGTGGAGCAGCTGAGACATGGTACAAAATCCCTAGGCTGCACACAGCATGGGGACTCTGGACCCAACCCATGAAATCATGTTTTCCTCCTAGGCCTATGGGCCTGTGATGGAGGGGCTGCCATGAAGACCTCTGACATGCCCTGGAGACCTTTTCTCCATTGTCTGGGGGATTAACTTTTGATTCCTCGTTATTTATGCTAATTTCCATAACCCAGTTGAATTTCTCTTCAGAAAATGGGATTTTCTTTTCTATCACATTGTCAGGCTTCAAATTTTCCAAACTTTACTGAACTGCTTCCTTTGTAAAACTGAATGCCTTTAACAGCACCCAAGTCACCTCTTGAATCCTTTGCTGCTTAGAAATTTCTTCTGCCAGATACCTTAAATCATCTCCCACAAGTTCAGTTTTACAAATCTCTAGGGCAGGAGTGAAATGCCACCAGTCTCTTTGCTAAAAACATAACAAGGGTCACCTTTGCTCTAGTTCCCATCAGGTTCCTCATCTCCATCTGAGACCACCTCAGCCTGAACCTTATTGTTCATATCACTATTAGCATTTTTGTCAAAGTCTTTCAGTAAGTCTTGAGGAAGTTCCAAACTCTGCCACATTTTCCTGTCTTCTTCTGAACCCTCCAAACTGTTCCAACCTCTGCCTGTTACCAAGTTCCAAAGTCACTTCCACATTTTCAAGTATCTTTTCATCAGTTCCCCACTCTACTGATAACAATTTACTGTATTAGTCCATTTTCACAACCCTGATAAAGACATACCTGAGACTGGGTAATTTACAAAAGTAAGAGGTTTAATGGAGAACTCACAATTCCATGTGGCTGGGGAAGCCTCACAATCATGGGTAGAAGGCAAGGAGGAGCAAGTCACATCTTATGTGACTGGCGGCAGCAAAGAGAGAGAGAGTTTGTGCAGGGAAACTTTGTCCTATAAAGCCATCAAATTTTGTGAGACTTATTAACTATTATAAGAACAGCACGGGAAAGACCTGCCCCCATGAGTCAACTACCTCCCACTGGGTACCTCCCACAGCACATGGGACTTCGAGATGAGATTTGGGTGGGGACACAGCCAAACAATATCAGATATTTTTTGCACATATTTGTATGTGCATGTGGGTGTGTGTATATGTGTTTGTTTTTGTATTGTAGGTAAGCTAAGTCATCATGTTCCATAGTAGAAATTCAATAAATGGTATCTTAATAACATACAGCTAACTAGGCATAGTGTTTATAATGGCAAATATCAGAAGAAATTAACAACAAAAAATAATTATTTCCACCAAGTAGTACTTGAGGACAGAAAGAGGTAGGGCAAGGTTTATTTTAAGGCTGAAGGATTTTTTGATGTTTTTATCTTGTACCTGTATTACCATGATCAAAACAAATTTTAAAAACTAAAGTTTATTAAAGATATACAATGCCAAATAATCTTTAAAATATGGATAAATGCTCTAAATTGAGATGGCTGATGAGGTCAATGACAATATCCTATGAATATTTTGCTTAGAAATTTTTTTTGAAATAATCTAAAAAAATGTGGTTTTGTCTTAGAATATTTTACATTTTTAAAATCTCCATACTTTCTGATTTTTAATGCCCTGTTTTCTTTAGCCTTCTAAGGGAAATATATATATTTTTTGTTGGATCAATCTTGAATTTTCCCTTTAAATCCATAATTTGGTGATAAGCAAGTAAGAACAATATTGAAGACAGCGAAGTAAACAAACTTTTTAATCATAAAATATATTAACACTGGAGAGAAAGTAGGAGGAAAGAGAACAATCTTTCTGAATGAATTTTTGAAAATATGAAGGAAAAGTTTAGAACGATTTTTGGGAGTGAAAGAATACACACATACACACATACAGATGGTGTGAAGACAGAGTGGGGGCAAAAGGGGAGAACTACCCATTTGATTATTATGAAATTCTATTCTGTTGTCATTCTTTAAAAGACTTCATGAAAGATTTAAGTCTCTCTCTTTAATTATATGAGTAGTAAGACTAATGAATCTTTGATTATAACTTTGTACCTAGATTAGCCCTCACTGTTTCTAAGCGTTTCATTTAACATTTATTTTGTGAGTTCTTACCTCCAAGTTTGGACCTATAGTCAAAACTTCAAATGCAACTAAAATTAAATTTAGCAGATAAATCCTGAGTCAAGAACATAATGTTACTGTGACCATCTAGCTATAAGCTATGTTATCAAGAATTTTATGTTGTTCAAGTATAATATATGAGTGTTTTTAGACTAATTCAGCAAAATAGAGGAAAATAGAAGATAAAAATTATATTTTTTGAAACAATCTTGTTTTGATTAAAAAACACTATAGATAATTAAAATATGCTTTATGTGAGTTTATGAAATGGAAGATACTGAAAAAACACATAAAATTGTAATCTAGACATTAGTCTTTAACTGAAATGTGCAAAAAATACCAATTTCTTAATGCATTAGAACCCTTTTGGGACAGATGGAGAAAATAAACACTTAAACTAGTTCAAAGTTATTTTCTTACTATATTGAAACATATCAGATTCCTTAAGGACTTAGTTGATGCTAGGGGACTTGCCATCAAACTCACTTTGAAATTATTGTTTTAGCTCACCGCAACAAATATCTATAAGTTCTGCTACAGGCTTAATATATTAAAACCCTATATCTTATTTGAATCACAATCCACAAACTAGTCCACAAAACTACGCTTCTCTATCTCAGAACTATACCATCTTAGAAAATGTGGTCTCCAACTCTGCAACAACAGACAAAGAAAGGGCAGTAGGATCTTGTAAAATATTTTTTTTAAGTAGACCTGGAAATGTTTTAAATCACATTTGCTCTAATCCATTGGTTTGGCAAAGTCATACAGCCTCAACTTAGCTAAAAGGTAGATGTGTCTTTGAAGAGTGGAGTAAGATGGAAAACACAGCCTGGGTAAGTATATGAAGAGGGAAAATAAGGTTGTCATAAAAGGGATGACTAATGACCAGTGATGATGAGCTTTTTTTCATGTTTGTTGGCCACATAAATGTCTTCTTTTGAGAAGTGTCTGTTCATGTCCTTCACCCACTTTTTGATGGGGTTGTCTGTTTTTTTCTTGTAAATTTAAGTTCCTTGTAAATTCTGCATATTAGACCTTTGTCAGATGGATAGATTGCAAAAATTTTCTCACATTCTGTAGATTACCTGATCACTCTGATGATAGTTTCTTTTGCTGTGCAGAAGCTCTTTAATTTAAATAGCTCCTATTTGTCAATTTTGGCTTTTTGTTGCAATTGCTATTGGTGTTTTAGTCACAGAGTCTTTCCCCATGCTATGTCCTGAGTGGTATTGCCTAGGTTTTCTTCTAGGGTTTTTATGGTCTTAGGTTTTATGTTTAAGTCTTTAATCCATCTTGAGTTAATTTTTTTATAAGATGTAAGGAAGAGGTCCAGTTTCTGTTTTCTGCATATAGCTAGCCAGTTTTCCCAGCACCATTTATTAAATAGGGAATCCTTTCTCCATTGCTTGTTTTTGTCAGGTTTGTCAAAGATCAGATGATTGTAGATATTTGGTGTTATTTCTGAGGCCTCTGTTCTGTGACATTCGTTTCTATATCTGTTTTGGTACCCGTACCATGCTGTTTTGGTTACTGTAGGCTGGTAGTACAGTTTGAAGTCAGGTAGCATGATCCCTCCAGGTTTGTTCTTTTTGCTTAGGATTATCTTCACTATATTGGTGCTTTTTTCATTCCATATGAAATTTAAAGTAGTTTTTTGATACCATCTCACACCAGTTAGAATGGCGATCATTACAAAGTCAAGAAACAACATGCTGGTTAGGATGCGGAGAAATAGGAATGCTTTTACACTGTTGGTGGGAGTGTAAAGTAGTTCAACTATTCTGGAAGACAGTGTGGTGGTTCCTCAAGGATCTAGAACCAGAAATACCTTTTGACCAAGCAAGCCCATTGCTGATTATATACCCAAAGGATTGTAAATCATTCTACTATAAAGACACATGCACACATGTGTTTATTGCAGCACTATTTACAATAGCAAAGACTTAGAACCAACCCAAATGCCCATCAGTGACAGACTGGATAAAGAAAATGTGGTGCATATACACCATGGAATACTATGCAGCCATAAAAAAGAATGAGTTTCTGTCCTTTGCAGGGACATGGATGAATCTGGAAACCATCATCCTCAGCAAACTAACACAGAAACAGACAACCAAATACCACATGTTCTCACTCATAAGTGGGAGTTGAAAAATGAGAACACATGGACACAGAGAGGGGAACATGACACATCAGGGCCTGTCAGGGGGTGGGGGGAAAGAGGAGGGAGAGCATTAGGACAAATAGCTATTGCATGCAGGGCTTAAAACCTAGATGATGTGTTGATAGGTGCAGCAAACCGCCATGGCACATGTATACCAATGTAACAAACCTGCAGGTTCTACACATGTATCCCAGAACATAAAGTAAAATAAAATACAAAGGGTGACTAATGATAGAGAAGAGGAACACCAGTGGCTAAGCCTTAGTGTATTTCATTAAGGATTTATATAGCAAAAGTGTAACCTAAAAGAGAGATTGAGAAATTGTAGCTCAGGGAAGTAGGAGAAAACAAAGTTTTTTGTTCAGAAAGTCAAGCAAATGCAGTGTTTTTGGAAGGAGGGAATGATCAATTGTGTCAAATTTTACTTACATGTCAAATAAGAACTGAAACTGACCATTAAATTAACAAATATAATGCATAGTGGTGATGGGTCAATAACAATATTAGTAGAGAAATGGGAGACAACTATGAAAAGAAAGAAAAGTGAAAGAATAAGCAGAGGCCGAGTGCAGTGGCTCATGCTTGTAATCCCAGCAGTTTGGGAGGCTGAGGTGAGTGGATCTCTTGAAGTCAGGAGTTCAAGACCAGCCTGGCCAGCATGGTGAAACCCCATCTCTACTAAAAATACAAAAATTAGCTGGGTGTGGTGCCAGGCACCTGTAATCTCAGCAACTTGGTAGGCTGAGGCAGAAGGATCGCTTCAACCCAGGGGGCTGAGATTGCAGTCAGCCGAGATCGCACCATTGCACTCCAGCCTGGGCGACAGAGCGAGACTGTGTCTCAAAAACAAAACAAAACAAAAAACAAACAAACAGAAAGAATAAGCAGAGAAGCTCTGGATATGGTTCACATAGTTCTTTAAAGGAGTTTTACTAACAAGCGATAGAGAAAAATGAGAAAATGGCTGGAAAGAGAGGAAGAGCTGAAAGAGAGTTGTTTTTTATGAAAGAGATGACAAATTGTATACATGCATATGAGAATGATAAATAGAGAACATAAACGTCAGGGTGTAGGACAGAGTGTGGTAAATTACTGGGTGATTACTGAGTTAGCAAGAAAAAGCATCTAGTTCATGAATAGAAATTTGACCTTAGGAAGATGGGCACTTCATTCATAATAACAGGAGTGAAGGTGAAGCAGAGCATATGAGTACGGCTGCTAGTGGGCATGTGGCAGGAGGTTATAGAAGTTCTCTTCTGATTATCTCATTTCTAAAAAAAAGTAGCAAATACTCCATCACATAAATATAAGACTAATAGAGTTGGTAGGTATTGAAGGAGTGAAAAAAGCATAACAGGCTTATCTAGGAGAGTGGGAGAATGAATAGACTAGGACACATGGTCTAATTCTTGGTCATCATTAAGATTCAGGCTCACATACTATGCAGCCATAAAAAATGATGAGTTCATGTCCTTTGTAGGGACATGGATGACGCTGGAAACCATCATTCTCAACAAACTATCGCAAGGACAAAAAACCAAACACCGCATGTTCTCACTTATAGGTGGGAATTGAACAATGAGAACACATGGACACAGGAAGGGGAACATCACACACCGGGGACTGTTGTGGGGTGGGGGGAGGGGGGAAAGATAGCATTAGGAGATATACCTAATGTAAATGATGAGTTAATGGGTGCAGCACACCAACATGGCACATGTATGCATATGTAACAAACCTGCACGTTGTGCACATGTACCCTAAAACTTAAAGTATAATAATAATAAAAAAAAAAGATTCAGGCTCATGATTTTAAATGAGAATAGTCAAAATGGATTTGCGTTTTTCTCTAGCCGTGTGCAGCTGTACAGGTGCTAGTGTATAAAAACAGGAAAGGTAAAAAATGCTGCAGTTATGGAATTGCCTTTTACAGCTGTTTAATAAAGCCAATGAGGAACAAGTGAGGGAG
The DNA here is from genome assembly GCF_000001405.40 of Homo sapiens. Classification (NCBI taxonomy): domain Eukaryota; kingdom Metazoa; phylum Chordata; class Mammalia; order Primates; family Hominidae; genus Homo; species Homo sapiens. The sequence continues at coordinate 64,607,795 of NC_000018.10, forward strand.
ACAGGCATCTATGAGGGGACTTCAAAAAGGTCATGGGAAAATAGAATTAAAAGAGTGAAAGGTATACACTTTATTTCTCAACATAAGCTCCATCAAGCTCAAGATGCTTTTGTAAGCAATGATACCAGACATTTGGTCCATCCCTAAAGAACTGAGGGTTCTGGAAATTTAATCATGTCACTGCAGTCTTTTTTACATGATTAACTGAAGAAAACTGGATGTCTTTTAAAGGGAATTTTTAAAGATTAGGAAACAAAAAGAAGTCAGGCAGAGACAAATCAGGACTGTATAATGGATGCCTAATGATTTCTCCTTGAAAATCTCACAAAATTGACCTTGTTTGATGAGAGGAATGGGCAGAAGCATTGTCATGTTGGAGAAGAACTCTCTGATGAAACTCTCCTGGGTGTTTTTCTGCTAAAGCTTCAGCAAACTTTCTCAAGACACTCTTATAATAGCAACTGTTATTTTTATTTGACCCTCAAGAAAGTGTTGCCATGACCTTCGCTCTTTTTTATTTATGTATTTATTTATTTAATTTATTTATTTTTTATTGATCATTCTTGGGTGTTTCTCACAGAGGGGGATTTGGCATGGTCATAGGACAATAGTGGAGGGAAGGTCAGCAGATAAACAAGTGAACAAAGGTCTCTGGTTTTCCTAGGCAGAGGACCCTGCGGCCTTCCGCAGTGTTTGTGTCCCTGGGTACTTGAGATTAGGGAATGGTGACGACTCTTAACGAGCATGCTGCCTTCAAGCATCTGTTTAACAAAGCACATCTTGCACCGCCCTTAATCCATTTAACCCTGAGTGGACACAGCACATGTTTCAGAGAGCACAGGGTTGGGGGTAAGGTCACAGATCAACAGGATCCCAAGGCAGAAGAATTTTTCTTAGTATAGAACAAAATGAAAAGTCTCCCATGTCTACTTCTTTCTACACAGACACGGCAATCATCCAATTTCTCAATCTTTTCCCCACCTTTCCCCCCTTTATATTCCACAAAGCCGCGATTGTCATCCTGGCCCGTTCTCAATGAGCTGTTGGGCACACCTCCCAGACGGGGTGGTGGCCGGGCAGAGGGGCTCCTCACTTCCCAGTAGGGGCGGCCGGGCAGAGGCGCCCCTCACCTTCCGCCCCGTCTGGGATGTGAGGAGCGCCTCTGCCCGGCCACCCCGTCTGAGAAGTGAGGAGCCCCTCCGCCCAGCAGCCGCCCCGTCTGAGAAGTGAGGAGCCCCTCCGCCCAGCAGCCGCCCCGTCTGAGAAGTGAGGAGCCCCTCCGCCCGGCAGCCGCCCCGTCTGGGAAGTGAGGAGCGTCTCTGCCCGGCAGCCACCCCGTCCGGGAGGGAGGTGGGGAGGTCAGCCCCCCGCCCGGCCAGCCACCCCGTCCGGGAGGTGAGGGGCGCCTCTGCCTGGCCGCCCCTACTGGGAAGTGAGGAGCCCCTCTGCCCGGCCAGCCGCCTCGTCCGGGAGGGAGGTGGGGGGGTCAGCCCCCCGCCCGGCCAGCCGCCCCGTCCGGGAGGGAGGTGGGGGAGTCAGCCCCCCCCCCGACCTTCGCTCTTGATGGTCCATTTTGCTTTGACTGGACCACTTCCCCCTCTTGGTAGCTATTGGATTGACTGTGTGCTGTCTTCAGGATTATACTGGTAAAACCATGTTCCATCTCCTGTTATGATTCTTCAAAGAAATTCTTGAAGATCTTGATCCCACTTGCTTAAAATTTCCATTGAAAGCCCTGCTGTTGTTTGTAGCTCATCTGGGAACAACGGCTTTGGCATCCGTCACATGGAAAGTTTGCTCAACTTTAATCTTTCAGTCAGAATTGTGTAAACTGAACTAGTTGAGATGTCTCTACAGTGTTCCCTAGTGTTTCTGCTGTTGATCTTTGGTCCTCTTCAATTAGGGCATAAACAAGATGAAATTTTTTCCTCGCAAATAGATGTGGATGGTCTGCCACTGTGGACTTCATCTTCAGCATGGTCTCATCCCTTCTTAAAACGAGTTATCAATTTATAAACTGCTGATTTCTTAGGGACATTGTCCACATAAAGTTTGTGTAAAGCATCTAATATTTCACTGTTCTAGCCACCCAGCTTAACCATCAATTTTTGTTTGTTCTTGCTTCAGTGTTTGCAAAATTTGTGTTGCTCTGATAGGGCTCTTTTCTAGCTGATGTCTAATTCTTTTTAGTGCCTCAATCTAGGTGTTGTTCAGATATGTTAAAATAAGTCACTACAAGTTTATTTTGGTGTAAACATTTCTGAAATACATGTATAGTTTTTTTCAGAATGCACATTTTTCATAAACTTTTTGAAGACCCTTCATATTCAAGGGACTGAATTTAATGTTTGTGCATGAAATTGATTCTGTGTAAAGTGGAAAATAGACATGCATGTGAAATACAAAGGCAAAACAAATTGGCTCTATAAATTATAGGTCTAGGTGAAAAGAAAATTATTAAATTTGGAGTATATGAGGAAATAAGCAGGAAAGTGAGCAGATATGGCCAGAGTTTAGTATGCTTAAAATTGACATTACAGAGAGCTTACACTTACTGGTAATGATAAGTTCAAGAGCAGCGTTTCTCAACCCTAGAACTATGTACATTGTGGAATGCATAATTCTTTGTGTCTATGAGTGTGTTTGTGTGGGGCTATCTTGTGCAATGAATGATATATCCCTGCATCTGGGTCTTCTCACTAGATGTCAGTAACAATCCTCCTCCCTCCCCAATTGTGACAACAAAAATGTCTCCAGATGTGGGCACATATTTCCTGCAGAGGCAACATTTCTTTACATTAAGAATCATTGGGTCTAGAATATGCCAATGGGAGTGAGTGCAGAGGTAAAGGGCAAAGTCACAAAGGATATGGGGTTAAGAGATTTGGAACAATCACCTACAGGTATTCGAAATTACTAAGATTTAATAAATCAATGGTTTGGGAGAAAGTTACAATGAAAAGGAGCCAAATTCACATATAAATGATAGGGAAGTAATTTGGACTTTATAGATATGGCATTAAAAATGGATAGTGAGTGATACAGTGTGAACAGTGAGATGATATGAAAATTTTCAAATGGGAGTTTTAGGGACAAGGAAGAGAAAATAGTCAGGAAGTGGAAGTGAGGACTAAGGAAGATAATTATCCAAAGGCCTTACCAGTGAAGGAAAAGTAGCTACAGCCTGAGACTGCAAGGGAAGTGGGGTTCTCAAGAGAGATCCTAGTTTGAATTAGAACAATAAGGTTAAGTAAATGCCCAAAGTTGATAATATAGGAAATTTAGTTGTTCATGGTCCATGAATATGTTATCAGAAGGTAAGGCAGATGGGTTTCATGAGTTACGATGAGACAAAGGAGGGAGTAGAATATGAGCCGTATTTATTTAAGGAGTTCAAGTCTTCTTTTGGTCAGCCATATTAACAGAGGATGGGGAAGAAAGAAGTCCTGGTAAACTCAAGACAGTCAGTGGTTTCAAGGCTCTCAATGTCAGGAATATAGGAGGATGGGTCCAATACAGAGGGTCTAGGAAATGCTGTAGACCCTGAAAATGGACTCTTCGAGACCTGAAAAATAAAGGCGGGGAGTTTTATCTGCAGTGCTTGGAACTCTATCTTGCCTTATCGCTGGGAAAAGTAAGACCCTGTGGAAGTATGGTCATATATCAAGTGAACAAGAATCACTCCTCCCTCTTGAGCCTTCTCCATGGGCAGTAGCAAAAATAGAGAAGCTAGATCTTACTATGAGTGCTATTTATCCTGATTCCTATAACAGAAGCAAGAGGGTCTAGGAAGACTGAATCTTATCCTAAAGTTAATCACTCATCAGGATTAGTAGTCTTGAGCTGGCCACTATCAATGTAGGAAGCAAGAGGAAATCAATGTAGTGTGGTAGAAAAGAAGTAGAGCATTTGCTTGGACTGCGATTGATAAGATAATGGAATATATACATATGTTGGAGAGAGTTACAAATATTCAATTAAGGGATAGTATATAATGGATAAAAGAATACAAATTAAGTTTTGTCTTCATATAACTCTCAATCTGAAAATGAGAAAAGGTTGCTGTTAATGAGTGAATTAGGAAAACAACTAAAGAAACATGATAGTTTAAATTAATCTACTGAATATATGCCTGTTCAGGGATGAAAGAGGAGAGAGAAATGGTACTGATCAGGTTAGATGAGCATGTCTGGCCTAAGATAGCTGTTGAGTACATGAGGGAGGTGTGTGTGTGCACATTTGTGCACGTCTGTGTGTGTGTGTGTGTGTGTGCATGAGTGTATTTATATGCAGATATGTGTATAATATAGGTACATTTATATAGAGACATAGATCATAGACATGTTCAAAGAACATATATATGCATATATTATATACAGAATAGAAAATGCAAATTTCAAGAAGTATCGAAGTTCTTTCTACATGGGTGAAAATGTTTCATTTCTGCAGTGAACTTAAGAATAAATAAATTAATTGCTTTTTAAATTATTCATAGGATTGGACTGGCATTTCTAGTGTTTCTTTGTGACTCCATGCCAGACTTGTACCATGAGGTCGCAATTGTTTGCATACTCGACATTTTCTCAGAACTCAAACATAATATGGGATTAGAAGAACATGAGAAAAAATGACAGCCTTACTATTATTTAACAGTTTGTTTATTTGCTTTAGTCCCAAACTTCTTGTGTCACAAATTCTGCAATGTATCTGAGGAGTCATTCCCACATTAATTCATATCACATCCAATATAAACCAAAGTTAGCTTATCTGGCTAACTTTTTCCATAACCAATGTCTTTATTATCAGTTGACTCCTTTTAAAATAACTATTGGGGACATTTTTATTAAGAAGCATGTTGTGGGATTTAGGTAAATGCGACTGAGTTTACATTGTGTTTGAAGAGGCACCTTGACATTTAATGACACTACATAGACTGGAATTGTCCAAGATTTTACTCTTAAACTTACATATTTTTACAGAATACACAAGAGTGTATTACTATCAATAATTAAATAATATGTCAAGACAAACAAAAAGACTAAATTTAGCATACTATTGTCTTTCAAACTAGGTTACATTCTAGAGCATATGGATATCCATGTCCAAGTCATTATTTACAACACATCTCCATAACCATTACCTTTCTTTCCTGTCTACAGCTCATCATTTAAAAGATCCTAAGAATATGTACCACCCCCTTAGGTCTATAGATACATTTCCCTTGGCACATTATGTATAGTAAAATAATATTACTGACGATTGCTTCTTCTAATACCAGGGTAAATTCCAGTGTTTTTTTTTTTTATTTTTCTCTCTCTAGTTACCTGATTTTTGAATTATTCAATTAATTTATGATGGGTTATTGAATTGCTGGTTCTGATACTTTTTAATGTGATTTTTTTAAATGACAGGGCAGGGGCCTCAATAATTAGTTTTATACTGCTGTTTTTCTTCAATAATCAGAGTTGAAGGGGAAGTACACACTTACTTATTATGTGTATTATATTTGCCATCTGAGATTCAGACACTATTTTCTCCCAGTCGGGGGAGGGAATTTTTTTTTTAATACAAAACCATTCCTTTTATTTTGGGCTGCCTAATTATGAGAAGCCTGGGGTGCTTGGGAATATTTTGCTGAATAGCTGGTCCCAAACTATCATAAAACTACTAAATCCTAAGCTTTTAAGTTTTGAGATTTAGAAAGATCCCACCTGTATTAGAAGGTAAATTAAACACAAAAAAAAAGCCTCTTGATAGAAAAGATTTTTAATGGAATCGTCTTGCTACTTCTTGAAAAACACAAAGATCTTTAAGAAAAATCATTCTTTTCCAGGGCTTCTCTATTATCACCCTGGAGAGTTCCATATTTTTCACTACTTGGGGTTAAAGTAGTATAGCTACATGTGGAAATGGAGGAGGTAATTAAATTAAAATTCCTGGAGGAAGTAATCATTAAAAGCTTAATTCAAATTTTGTCAATTAATTGCTTTATTCATGGCCTTATAAAATGAAATGTAATGTGAAAATAGGCAAATCTAAGAAAAGCCTTGGTAATAGAGTACTTGCAGCCTGCAGAGTTCAACACTCACAGTGTTACTTGAAGCAAGGTCAGTTTAACTGAAATGGGAAAATTGTGGGTGAACGGAGGAACATACACTGAAGAATAAAAGAGAAGTTAATTACAAGGGAATGAGCAAGAGCAAAGTCAACATACTTAACAAATTTAGATTTTCACCAATAAAGAATCCAGAATGCATGCACCGGCGTGGGTGGGGTGGGGTTCTTTGACTGACAATGTTTGAGGGAGTCTTAGAGCCCCTGGGGACATAGAGATACTCAGCTATCAGTTTGGTGAAACAGAATATTTCATTTTCTGCTTACTTGGCCATGCCAGAACTCAGAGCCATCCTGAGCTTTTCTGTTGTGTCCCCTTAGGGAGAACAACACAGGAAAACTATTCTTTTTTTTTTTTTCTCTCTCTCTCTCCTTAAAAGAAAATAAAATGAATAGAGAAATAGATGCACATGAACATCCCTAGATACTTAAGGTTCTACTGGTTTCCTTCTGAATGAATTCTTTCTGTGTATCATTTCTGCTGTCCTTTACTCCCAAAACATAATGTCATACTTCACACATCAGGCTTTTCCTTCAGCGTGACAAGCTGTCTTCTTCCCCAAATCTGAGTGTCAATGCAGAGCATGTTACCAGATACATACCAGTCAGCCTTGCAACATTTATAGGGGCTTGTTTGTCAAAGTTCACAGCTTAGCAACATTTACTGCTACTCTAACTTTCTCTGCAATGTTATGGTTGTAATTATTTGGTGTTATTCTGGGAGTTAATTGCCAGGAAACAAAATTAAGGGAGCATGTCTGATCCTTTTCCTCCTCTGAGACTACTGAAAAAAGAATTGAAAAGAGGTGAGCCTTAATATCAATCCAGCATGGACCATTTCTCTTGTCATTGGTCTCATTGAAGGAGCTCACTTCAGGAAAGTCACAAAGAGGTCAGAAGATTTTAAACTGCCAGCTTCTATCTGCATTACAACTTCCGAAGACTTTCAACAATTTGGTGTGGATATTCTGAAAATCTAGCTCTCTTCTCTATCATGAGATTGCAGAGTAAAGTCCTGGTTTTCATTGCACTAATAGAGCAGATCTTAGAGAAATATTTGAATGAGGCATTTTAGTAGCCATTATATTTAAAAGCCACTATATCTTACATTTTTAGAAAAAAAAAAGTTTTAAATCATTTGAGATAATTGAATGACATCATTGACAAAATGTAATCAAAAGGTGATTCTGACTGCAGAAAGTGTGAAATACATTTTTGGATCGTTAATTCTGAAAGAGGATCACCTTAAACAGGATGTTAAGTTCAGAAGGGTTTATGTCATCACTAGTATATCCATCAACCTGGGGTTACTCAGGGTTTACTGAGAAATAGGAGAAAGTGCCATATCAGCTCATTTTCCCTTTTTAAGAGAGAGAATTGTCTTTATTGTCTAACATAGGAATCCCATACAACTGCTTGGATCTGTTTTGTCTTGACCTCTACCTCAATTTCAATGACAGAGTGCCTCATAGAAGGCAGCTCACAGCAGAACTGTGCACTTGTCCAAGCACAGCTTCTTCTTCTTCTTTCTGCTGTGTGTCAGTCATGGCCTGGGCTTCTCTGAATAACCCAGTGTTCATTTCACATACAAACAATTAGAGAGGAAACTATTTGTCTTTATTGCTGAGGCTCCAACAGATGTTTTGTTAATAGTGGCAAAGCATCCTCATCCAAAGTATTGCTTTAAGATGGGAAAACACTGCCTGGTGCCAATTTGAATTGTTATAACTTTGAAAATGTTCACATTCTACTTTGAAGGGCAAACACACTTAAAATTAAAGACATCATTGTTTTATATGTTAATATCCTTTACTCACAATTGATTTTTAAATGTTCCGCACATTCATAGAATTTGTACACATTAAAATATTAACTGCTGGCCAAAATTCTGCTAAGGTATGGTTAAAAAATATTGAATGCTTTTTGGGAAACAACTATGTCTTTATGAAATAAATAGGACTTCAGGGCAGCCTTAAATTTCTTCAACTGGTAAATGCTTTTCTTCAGGCTATCACGTGAATTTTAGAAGGCATGCTGTTTTCATGGAATTCACTACTTTGTTCAAGTTAATAAAAAAAACTCAAATATTACAATTTCTATGTATGGTTCTTCTCTTAAATTTTTAAGTTTTTTTTTTAACTAATAATTAAGATCATCGTGTGGAAGGTACACATTCACCATATTCCTGATCAAGAAGGTAATTTTTCATTTTCAAATACCTGAAGCCGTCCTTTCTCTATCGGGTAAGAATGTAAGATGCAATATGAAGCTTTATGACTTTAGTCCAAAACATTTTTATTCATTCATCAATAATCCTCAATCAACTTTTATTTTACCTTGTTAAATACATATTTAGTACTAATAAGAATGATAAGCCAACTTACATTAGCTCACCACACCCATGAATCTAGTGGCAACTTTTGACCACCTTCATGAGGCAGAAACTTGGCCAGGGAGAGAGAGGTAGGCCAAAGACAGAAATTTCTCTCTGAGATTTCTCTCTTCTCTCTCATGCATCAGCATAGACTTGGCGTTTAGTAGATCCACATTCTAGGTTGTGGCTCAGGTTATGATCTAATGTGATATATCAGATCACTCAATTTCTCTAAGATGAACTTTCCTAATATATAAAATGTTAATAATCTCAGATTTTTGAGAAAGATTTAAAAAGTTAATCTCTAAAAGTGATTTCCAAGCTCTAAATGGTTATATAAATATTAGTTATTATTATTTCTCCTGGGCCTACGATTACTTATTACTACTATGGAAAAGAGTGTCCTAACTTCGGTTTTCCTTACTATAGCCTGTGTGACTTCTATTCCAGTTGTTCAGTTTCTAAGAATAGACTGCTCTTTTGTGTGCTCCTGAGTTATCATAATAAAATATCTAGTATCCCCTATGTAATAACCCCTATTTCACAGCATGGCTTGCCTAGAATAATTCCTATGTAGGAATACGACTCTTTAACTAGATTATATGACAGTATGTGTCAACAATGCAGGGATGATGCTGAGAAGATAAAGATTCTTTAATCACTTGAGTTTTACATATACATACGCTTATTTCCTTAATTCCTGGGGAATCTTGCCAAGTAATTAGTAGCCATGCATTATACAAGAAAATATTTCATATATTTGTATTAATATCGACTAGGATGTGATTTACTTTGGATAAAAGTATATTAAAGTGTATGAGATTGAAAGTATACAGTAGAGACAGAAGCATTCACAAGGTAAGTTTAAGGGGGATGGCAATCAAATTGTGGTCAAAGTTTACTTTATAGCAAATTACTAGAGACAAGGATAGACATAAAATAATCATAACTGATTATTCCACTGGGAATATGTAATAATGTCAAATGTGCATGTAAAACAAAAATCACAGAGAACCTAGAAATAGACCCACGCAAGTATGGCCAAATGAATTTTGACAAAAGTTTAAAAGCTATTCAATGTATGAATAAATCAATAAACAGTGCTTAACTAATTGGATATCCACAGGCAAAACATGAAACTCAACCTAAATGTTAACATGAAATGGATCATGACATATCTGCAGAACATATGACTATAAAATTTAGTTAAAATATACGTGAAAATGTTCAAGATCTAGGGCTAAACAAAGAGTTCTAGACCTGACACCAAAACTACAACCCCCAAAAGGTGGAAAAAAAAAAAACATAAATTAAACCTCATGAAAATTAAAAACTTCCCTCTCAAAAAGATCCCATGAAGAGGATAAATACACAAACTACAATGACAACACATATCAAGCAAAGTGTTTGTTTCTAGGATATATAAAGATCTCAAACCTCGAAAAAAAAACCAATTTATTTAGAAAATGGTTAAACATGATGAACAGACATTTCACTTATAAGAATATACAAATGGTAAATAAGTACATGAAAAGATGCTCAACATTATTAGCCATTAAGGAAATGCAAATTAAACCATAATGAGATACCCTTACATTCATATTGGAATGGCTTAAATGAAAAATAGCAACAACACCAAATGCTGGTAAGGATGCAGAGATGCCTGTAGATGGTTGGGAGCATGGAAAGTCCACTGCTGAGTAGATTTTGTAATGAAATGCTCACCATTATCACAGGGTTAATCCAAACACGTGACAGACTGGTTTCAAGGACCACAACGGTATGAATGGTGTGGTTGGAGTCAGGTGATCAGATTGACTGGCACACCGTAACACGCAGACGTTGTTAACTCTGTTGAGACACTGCTGATCATATTGAGAGGAGTCTAAAGTGTGAAGCAATCAGTCCTTTAGGATCAAGCAAGGGCACTACCCCAGGTAATGGCCTCCCTCTGTATGAGACTACAGGTCAACTCTAGCCAAAGTCTTGAGTCTGGCATGCAGTGGTGATCTGTGCATCAGAAACAGAGTCTATGTAGAAGATGTTCTCCTACGCTGAGGCAAAAAGGATGGTGCTTTGTATGATACAGGCTCAAACAGCAGCTTGACTTCACTTAGTTTCATCAGATAACAGACACTTAACTTGGGCATTTGCATGAAGAATCCAGATGGTTTGATCAGTAGCTGTGATTGGTTTCTGCAGTTCATGGCCTCAAAGAGCGGAGTATTAATCTGCCACAGTCTGTAGTTTTCCAAGTTGGCAGGCTAAACACTAGGCTATTGGCAACAACCCAAGCTTCAGTTGAATTTTAACCAGTTTCCTCAAGGTGCTCACAGGCAAGAACTGTGAAGATAGCTGTGAGTTCTGTCCACAGAGCAGAGTGATCTCAACATTTTCTGTTCCACACAGCTGTGCTAAGGTGGAGCAGATGTGGAGGCCCAGTGGATTTCATCAGTTTCCAGCTTAGCCAAACCATCATTGAACCAGGCCCAGTCATTTAGAGGAACATCAGTGAATCAAGGACCTCAGGGGCCCAGCACCTTTTTTATAAGGTATTTGTGTAGGATATGAAGTTTCTTCCAAAGTTATTATTACTACTCTTCAAGTAAAATGAAGATATAGGGGCCAAGGCAAGCCAGCTGCATTCTTGACTATAACATTTCCATTTGAAAAATAAGTCTTTTTGGGTCCTTCCCATCTTGTTAGTCTTTAAGTCCAAGTTAACCAACATCAAAGTGAGGCATTCCATTTCAACAATAACCCAGTGGCAAGCTAATAACTGTATTTCTGGCACTGCTGTCATGGAGGCCATGATGCCAAAATCCCAAGGGTGGCCTCTACATTAAGGCTGCCTCCCTTTGACAAAGGCCCAACTGGCAAAGTCATCGGTCATAGAAACTCAAAACCTAAAAATATCATTCATACATAAGGGGTGCAAAAATAGGGACTATGTCAGTTTGCTGGATAGCTTCCATGCAGACTGTCAGTTTGTGTCCCACACAAAGGAAACTGATTTAAGGATTGTCCAACATAAAAGACTAATGCCAGCGTCAAACTTAAGCACATATTTCTAATATCTCGAGTTCGAAATGGTGCAAGGCCTCCTTTTTGGTGGTGGGTGCTGAGAAGACAGCAGTTTTTTCTTGATTGCCAGGGCAGTTAAGTAGTTTGAATCCATTAACATCATCCCAAGACAATGAGGTTGTCAGGAAGAAATCTGAACTTTCTCTGGGTTTATTAGCAGCCCTTGCAGGTGATAGTGAGGAATAACATTGCAGTAAGGGCTATTGAGACTGAAAAAATACTGACTTGCCAACCAGCAAGAAGTCATGTATGTAGTGAGAGCTTTAAACCTCAGAGGGTAGAGGCACTCATGCTAAATCATGACCAAATATTGATTGCAAGCGGAAGTGGGATTTACAGAAATGAGTTATGTATCACTTTTTTTCTGTGCTTTCCAGGTCTGGAGAATCCTTCTGGTATTGATGTGCTGGGGAAGTATATGCACATGACATCAATTCCAGTTACCCTTTTAGAGGCGGAAACAACATTACATTTACTTCATCCAAAGGATCCTGCCCACAAAGTCATTGATGTGGTTTGGATTTGTGTACCCACCCAAATCTCATGTTGAATTGTAATCTGCAGTGTTGAAGGAGGGGCCTGATGGGAGGTAAATGGATCTAGTGGGTAGATTTTCCCCTCACTGTTCTCATGATAGCGAGTGAGCTTTCATGAGAGCTGGTTGTTTAAAGGAGTGTGGCACCTCCCCCTTTGCTCTCTTCCTCCTTCTCCAGCCAGGTAGGGCATGCCTGCTTCCCCTTCAACTTTCACCATGATTTTAAGTTTCCTGAAGTGACTCCTCAGCCATTCTTGCTGTGCAGGCTGCAGAGCAGTGAGTTAATTAAACCACTTAACTTCATAAATTACCCAGCCTCAGGTAGTTCTTTGTAGCAATGCAAGAAAGAATTAATACAGTCATATTACCTTGTCTTCTCCACTGGGCTCAAAGAGCATTAACTGAATCTGGGTGCATATTTTCCCCTGGTCTGGAGAAAAATGTGCTTTGGGCACACATATCCCTTAGAGCCAAAAAAAGTTTAATTTTCTTCCCCCATTCATATTCTCCATCTCACTTTGAACAGTGTGTCTGGTCTTCATTCCCTCCCCATGTTAATAGAGAGTTAGGTTCCTTCTTTAATCATCTTTACTTTCCTTACAACAGCCGATTTTGGGGTAGAGGGTTTAGGAAAGACTGGTGTCTGATATTGCTTGGCTCTGTGCCCCCACCCAAATCTCTTCTTTTAGCTCCCATAATTCCCACGTGGGAGGGACCCGGTGGGAGGTGATTGAATCATGGGGGTGGGTCTTTCTCGTGCTGTTCTTGCTGGTCTCATGAAATCTGATGGCTAAAAATGGGAATTTCTCTGCACAAGCCCTCTTTTTGCCGGCTGTTATCCACGTAAGATGTGACTTTCCCTTCCTTGCCTTCCACCATGATTGTGAGGCTTCCCAGTCACATGGAACTGTAAGTTCAATTAAACCTCTTTCTTTTGTAAATTTCCCAGTCTTGGGTACATCTTTATCCACAGCGTGGAAACAGACTAATACAGTGTCCCAGAGGAGGAATGTGGTATCATGTCACCAACCAAGGCTTTGCATTTACTTTTTTTTTTTTTTGAGAAGCATGATGGCAGCTCATGGCTCAAGCAAACTTTTAGTATTTGGACCTGTCCAGTGCTCTGTATCAGACAGTAAGAGCCCTTAACTTAGCAATGAGAGCCTCATCGCTTTTTGATGGGGTTATGGCATTTGCACCTTCTGGCTTACTCAAGCTTGGATCATACAAGTTGATGTTCTTTGAGAAGTCCACCTTAATCCAAAGCATCTGCTCCCCATCACCAAGATAACAGTGCTTATGTTCTCTCCTTAGCCTAGTGAAGTTTTCCATGGTGGTAAGCCTGACTACAAGATTTTATCTAGATTTCTTTGGATCAGCTTCTCAGTCTACAAAATAAGTCATTTTTATTATTATAAAAAACTCAGTCTGGAGCAGTAAGAGCCTATGAATAATATTCAATGCCTCATGTATGGTTTCCCACAGGAGTTTGCCTGTCTCGGGGGAATCTCCCAGATAGAGACAAAGCTCCCTTACAGCATATAGCAGGACTCACTGCAGAAATCTCTGAGGTTATTTATGGACCTTTCTGAATGGATCTAAGATAGCAATGATAGATACAGGCGCTTTAAGACTACCCAGCTGTTGCCATTTTTCCTTAACGAGTATGGGCCCTGCCTCCTAATCTCACAAGTGAATCAGACAAGAACCGGGTGATTCACTTGGCTTCTGCCCATAGTTTTCGAGCAGTTTCCCTGTTTTATGCCCAGTGTAGAAGCACATTTTTGTAACTGTTGTCTGAAATGGAGAAGATCTTTCTGAGCATCTAGGACACATCTTAGGATCACTTGTTATTGCTGAGGACACAGAAGTTTTTCCTAGACTGGTAGAGGAATTAAGCAATTGAATCCATCCACATAGTCCCAGGAAATTTAAATGGGCTGGCAGATCCCTGAATTTTATCTGGGTTTATTAGCCAACAGGGAAGACCGGCAAGGAAGTTTCCCTCCCAGAGAAGAGTTAGCAACAACTGGGACATAGTTTGGGCAACTCTTGGTGCTCTGCCTGCCACATCCCAAATTTTTCCTCATCTAATTATTAATAAACTAGAGAACCATTTTTTGTCCACTAGACTATGGAATTTTTCCACATAGTAGCTACTAATTCCTAAAGTCCTCTCTCAAATCTCCTTAATTCATTCACAAGGCCTTTATACTTCTGTTTTCAGAAAGCCAAGTCTCTGTCATAATCCTATGTTCATCACCTAACCTGTCAAGAACTTGGGAAGTTCTACAATTTTATTGTACTTTCAAGTGCACAGTTAGTGCATTCTAGTTTCATGTATGGTAATAGAAGACACAAGACCCAAGTCAGAGAAGACTGCTTATTACTCCAAGTGATAATAGTAGTAAGAGCATCAACATGTTCAGGCCAGTTTCTGGAGCCTATGCTTCTACAGGAAAATGAGACAAGGAACCCAGGATGCCTGCACTGAATTGTGTTACAGGGGATGAACTCTGAGGTTAGGGATTTCTAATCTCTTATAAATAGAATAAGCATGGCTACCCTTAGCTCTGAAGGGAGACATTACCTTTCCTATGTTAGAAAGTAAGAATATCTGCCCTTTGCTACAGAACGGTATAATCTCTCTATATTCTAAGGCTGTTCACTATAAACACAACCTTAAAAAAGACAGTCTGGAACAAAAAGCTGTCAATGTCTTGCTTATAAGACTTGCAGATATTCTCAAGAAACCTATGGATAATTGATTTCCAACACTAAATAATTCAATTAAAAACAATTCAAGTGAGTCAGAAATATTAACTAATATTTCTGGTAGAAGTAACAGAATCAACAAAGAAAATTTTAAGCTGCTGTTTGAAAACAAACTGCATTCATTTTATTACCTTACATTGTCTCATACGAGCTTCTAGGCTTCACCAGTAGTTAAGGCCCATTGGTTTTAAGGAAGAATTTTGTCTTCAAAGGATGAATTTTGTTTAACAGGGTAAACTTCATTAGGACTTTTACTTAGGGACCTTAGTCCTGGCAGAATGGCAATGGGGAGCCTGGGGTTTTGACCCTTTGAATTCAAACAGCCCCATAATACTTGGGAGAGCTTTTAAAGGTAAAAATAAAGCTGGGCATGTTGGGGCATGCCTATGGTCTCAGATATGCAGGAGGATTGCTTGAGCCCAGGAGTTGGAGGCTGTACCGCACCAATGATCACACTTGAGAATAGCCTTTGCATTTCAGCCCAGGCAACATTAGCAAGTTCCCATCTCTTAAAAAAACATAAAAATTACACATGTTAGAAATTTACATAATATAAGCATGCTATATCTGTTCATTAATAAAAATTCAAAAGTTAAAGAAATAGAATGCTTGATTTATATGCCAATGATTTTTTTTTAAAAAAGAACACTCTTCTTTTGAAAGTGTTTTTAAAACACAGCGTAGGCAATATCATGGCATATACATGAAGAAACTCTGTCCTAACATGCTGATCAGATTGTATTCCCTGTAAAAACCCGTTCCACTAAAATGATGATGGAGGATGGGAAATGTCTCTTTAAGATGCTGGAGGCTTAATAGGACTCAAAGCCTTAAATTCTCCATTTGAAAGAGAACAGTGTGGTTGGGCCTCATGCCCCATTTCCTCCTACATTAATTTTTGCTATAGGGGGTTTTTGACATGAAGGAGAGAAGTCCTAGGGCTGTGCATAATGTTCTGCCCATATTGTAATAGAAACCTGCCAGATGCTTCCCTTCCAAAGGAGAGGGATGAAGGTCAATGGGTAAGTGTGCTTGTTGTGAAGCGTTTTTTACTGGCTGAATTATACCTGCCGTGTCAGCAGTACCCAGACTCACCTCTGAGGAAGAGCAGAGGGAGGATAAAGCAAAGGAGAATTTCAGGTGGTAACTTAGTGCAGAAGAACAGCACTTAGGGAATATTGGTGGTGAAGAGAACTCTACGCCCTTATCAAAGGTCATACATAGGAGTCTCTCTCTCTCTCTCTCTCTCCCCCTCTCACTTGCTCTTCCTGTCTTTCAATATCCCTTCAGAAGGAACAAGACATGTGTTTTTGATACAAGATACATTTTTCTTCTGTTTATTATTCTCCTTGTCACCTCTGATTATCCTGTTTTCTCTCTAGCTAGTTCTGGA
Organism: Homo sapiens; assembly: GCF_000001405.40. Lineage (NCBI taxonomy): Eukaryota > Metazoa > Chordata > Mammalia > Primates > Hominidae > Homo > Homo sapiens. The sequence continues at coordinate 64,624,070 of NC_000018.10, forward strand.
AACTTGTTTCATTGATCTTAAAGACATACGGAGAAGGTGTTCATTATGTGTGCTTGTCTAGTGTTCACCTGTACCTGTGTGTTTATGTGAATGTATTTGTGTGCGTACCTGTGATTAGAAAGCTTAGGGGTACTTAAGGAGCTTCCGTTTGTCTTTATTTTTGGTTTACAGTGGTCGGGATTCTGATAATTGTCTTATATTCCTCCTTTATTGTTTCTTGGGCCTTGGAGTCTCCTCTGACCTTCACTTCCCTTGTTTTCTGTGGTTTTAGGATCTGGATTTAGCTGCGATTGGGAGCTCAGACATCAATTATGAAGCAGAGGATGTGCTTTGAAACTAGAGAACCGGTGAGTCTGTTTGGTGAGATTCAATAATGTTCCAAGTAGAAGAACATTTGCTTAATTAACATAGAGTTTTTCTACATATACTATGTAGAATCTTCATCAACTAAGCTTCTCAATGTTCTTGCTGTATATCAGTGTGACTGAAAATGGCAGTGTGAGACTATGATTTTTATTACTATAAATGCTCACTACCACTTCAGGTGCATGACGTAACCACCAAATTATGGACGGCTGTGGGATGAGGCAGGCAACAGGAGCCTGAACCAGGATTGGTCCCAGGAGCTGAGCCTGGGGATTAAACGGGAAAGGAAAAAACAATATTCTGAGATAGGAGTTAGGCAGGAGGAGCATCCTTGAAGATGGGGTCTGAGCATAGGAACTGGGCAGGGTTGAAGCTTGAGCTATGTCAAAATATATATCAAAGAACAACAACCGTTTTTTTTTTTTTAATTAAAGCCTCAATTTACTCACTTGCTAGGTTAACGAACAGGCAGTTGCAATGAAATTCTCTGAGTAGTACTCAAAAGAGAAAAACGATCAGAGTTTTCAAACTGTTTCAAAGGGTTACCGCTGTTTTGAAAACTGGAATCTTAAGCAAAGTTCATAATGGCTAAATATATTTTATTACTTATGAATAAAGGACATATTTTCAGTTCTGGCGTACCAAGGTTACCTAAAGCTCTTGGTGGTTCATGTTTTTCCACTGTTAGAACCAGTTGCAAAGAAACACAACACGTAATTTTGTTATTTGTCACCCAAGCAGCCATAAATGAAAGTTTTTATGTTTTAAAGAAATACAAGCAAATTGAATAAAAAGAAGAACATTTAGGCCATGGTGAAGGTTGGCTTCTCTAGAAGCGGATGCTAAGATGAGGTTCAGGATGTAAGATGTTAATCAGGGATCAATTCTTTTGAAAGGAGGGGGAAAAAGCATGATTTGTAAAGAAAGAGAAGGCAAATTTCAACACAGGGCTAGCAAAACTTCAGCTAGCCTGGGTCAGCTGAAGGAGGCGCATCCTTGAAGATAAGGTCTGAGCATAGGTACCAGGCAGAGTTGAAGCTCGAGCTATGTCAAAAACTAAACCAAAGAACAACAAACCGCTAATAGGGCCAGGCCCTTACACCCTTACCGTATTTGGGCATTGCATATGAACTTCCTAAGAAATGGTGTGTCCTTGGGTGGGTGGCTCTCTGCAGCTAAGGCAGACCCTGAAGTTGTTGGTATTTGCAGACTGTCTGCTGCTTACATGTTTACATACCTCATGGCCGAGCAGCAATTCCTAACCGAATACAAAGAAGGCCTGATCCAAAAATAAACAAAACCATGGAAGGTTTGAAAAAAACACTTCACAAAAAAATACATGAATGTCCAGGGATGCTAATTTGTACATGTGATATGATAGAGTATATTTGCATATATCATTAGACATCAGTAAAATTAAAGCCAAAAAGAAATATCATTACACAGCTACCTGTCTAATATTACAAATAGGGACAAATTTCAAGAGTTATAAAAAATGTGGAGCCACAAGAATACTCATATACTGCTGAGATTTAACATTATACAACTACTTTGGAAAATAGTTGGATAGTTTCTTTAAAAGTTTTAAAAAACTACCATATGGTCTACCAATTCCACTCTTTATTATGTATCCAAGAGAAATAAAAATAGGTGGCCATACAAGTGTGCATAAATGTTTATAGTAGCTTTCTTCATAATAGCCAAATCTTAGAAATTATTGAATCTCACCAAACAGACTCACTGGTTCTCTAGTTTCAAAGCACATCCTGTGCTTCATAACTGATGTCCCCAAAATGTATCAAAAGATGGAAGGAATATCAATCATCAACATAAAGAAACAAACAACGGATACACACAATTCCAAAAACATAATGCGGAGCCAGACAAGAGTGCATCATGTGTGATTCCAATTATGTAAAACTGTAGAAAATGATTTAATCTACACGGTGACAAAAATCTCATCAATGCTCTCCTGAAGCTGAGGGCCAAAGAAGAGACTGACTAGAAAAACGTGTAAGGCAATATATTGAACTAGAAGAAATGTTCTATCTTGTTAGATTTTGTTGGTGTAAACATTTGTTTAAATGTATCAACTATATACATAAAATAGTCATTTTATGTAAATTATACTTTAATAACTATATAAAATATTTGTACCTGACATTTTGGATATCTTTATTGCCATATAATTCACATATTGTAATATTCACATGTTTAAATTGTACAATTCAGTAGTTTTTGGTATGTTGGATTTGCACAATAACTAAAATCTAAGCATAGACAATTTTCATCATTGTTAAATAAATGTCCTAAAAGAAACAACTTTATGAGTAGTTTTTTCTCTCATCTTTCTCCCTATTTCTTGCTCATCCTCTCTTTTTCTCCATATGTAGAATAAACATATCTACAATGCTTCTAGCATCTGCTTCTAGATTTTTTATTTCTCCATATGTAGAATAAACATATGAATGACACAATGTAGTTTATATATACATTAGTTTGTAAACATTTACCTAAGTAACTACAATTATTTGTAAAGCTAAACATAAATCCAAATATTCAAGTTTATGAATATTTAATTTATGTAAGCATTTCCCCACTATTGGAAATATAGTTTATTTTATTGAAGGCTTTTGAAAAAAGTAAACTATGAGATATAGAATATATTAACAGCTTTTTTGTTTGTTTAAATGAAAACAATTGCCTTATTTCTTACCTTCTTTCTAATGAAAAATAATGATTCCAAAAGATTAATAATGAAGAATGTTTAGGGATCATTTTTATCAATTTTTAACTATCAATTGAATTTTTAATTGTTAATTTAATCACCACACTGCTAATTAAAATTATGGATTAATGGTTAATGAATAATTTTGATTAATCTTTTGGAATCAGTTAATAGGAATATAGAATTTTGATAATTACTTGGATTTAAAATCATTGCTTCTTTTAGCATTACATTTGTGATTTTGTGATTTGGGTGTTACTAGATTTTAGGGAGATATTTTAAATTATGAAACCCGGAAAACTAAAGATATTTTGAGTAACTAGTGCATATATTATTTTGGGAAAAAAAAAGATTACAGTAAAGCCATTAGTAGAGGTTACCTTTTTTTGCCCTTGGAGTAATCAATGCACTCACTCAACACACCTTCCTAGGAGAAGATGCGAGAGTTGTAGAAGTTCAAAACACAAAACAAGATTTCTTTTCATCTTTACATATCTGACCCATAATGTTTCAAGAGATAAATTTTGGAGGGGAGTCATCTACAGGAACCTCTTCTCAGTCACAAAGAAGTGAAGTTCTAAGATGCTGGGTTTTTGGTCTTACATGTCATTGAAATTGGCTTCAATAACATAGTGGAAAACTACCTGAGTGGTATCAGGTTCACTAGTTTTCACATAAACCTTTGTTTGTTTGTTTGTTTGGATGGTCAAGAAGCTCTATGCCTGCTGTTACTGGCATTGTTTTATTGAGAGTGTGAACCATAATGAGCAATTGGTATTCTCCCAAGATGTGTGCATAAAAGACTTCTGTAATCAAAATGTTGAAGGCCTGGGAAACTCTTTTGACTTGGAGGGCCAGAGAGTCAGTCTTTAAGGAAACAAATCAATTATTTTCAAATAAGTACGAGATAAAGCTTGACATTGCTATCCCATTTGTGGAGACAGGTAGGATTTATTTGTCTGTTAATGTACACAGGTCAGCCATTGCTCCTAGAAGTGTCCCACCAGAGGAATAAACATTCTTTGATTTGCAGTATTATTTGAGATGTCAGTTGGATCAACTTTTCACTTCATGTATCTAGCCTTCTTGAACTCTTAATATGCTTTTTTTTTTCTGTTAGAGATAGGGCAATAGATCATTTACTCTAGATAAATAATTATTGTTTGGTGATTAGTATCAGTCACCTTAAAAAAATAATATTTCCTTTATAGGACCAAAGCAATCTTGTTCAATTCTGCACTACTGGCTATGAATATAAAAAGAAACATATTTTGAGAACATATTTGTAGTCTCAATCCCCAGAAGATACTGTTTGTGAATTACGGGACTCAATACAGCCTTTCACTGTGTAGGTAAGTTTTATTACTAGTCTAGGTTTCAGGCACATCTGTAGATATCGAGCATAAAGCATCTAAATAAGTATTTCCCAAAATATTCCTCTATTCCCTTAATATGTTCTGATAATAATTTACAGTGTTTAATAATTTGAGATGATATATACAACCTTCTCCCCAAGTTGTAACACAAAGAGAGTCGCTGGAACCTGTAGAATTACACACTGTGGGAAGATTTTCACTGGTCATCTTTTTTTTCTCTTTTTTATCCTTTGATAAAATTGAATGGTGAGTCCATCAAATAAGCAACATTTAATCAGCTTGAGTTCAGGTAGGCCTAGTGATAATGTTTTACTTTAAATCTTTTCTTAATTTGAAATTTTACTATTATCAAATCTAGTTATTGTAATTCCAATTCATGACTCCTCCATGTAACTCCTGCAGATTTAGAAACTTTAGGGATTTTATGTTGGGGTCATTTGTTTTCTTTGATCTCTGAAGCATTTTTTCCTGTGCTTTTCTTATGCACAATATGTTCCTCCTCAGGACTTCTCAGATTATGATGCCAGTCATCGGCAATAACTAGAGATTTTAAAACTAGAGATAGTAAAATGCATATTTACAGTGGGTCTGGAGTGGGCACTGGGGACCTGGTTTGCATTTGAGACAAGGAATCCTTTTTATTCTGATGTAGGTGGTTCACTGACTACCACTGAGAAGAACAGTTTTGCCTAATGTTATGTCTATACCATATCTCCCTAGTTATACTATCAGATTCTTTAGCTTTCTGTGTGAGGAATTCATAGCATTGACCATGGTTGGCATCTAGAATATATTTCTTAAATCAATTACCACTTAATCCAGTTTCATCAATAGCTTCACTTGGTGCTTATTCATGGCCTATGGCTTGTTAGTTGGATGTCTGTCTCCCTCATGCCTGCTTGCCTGCCTGCCTGCCTGCCTTCCTGCCTTCCTTCCTTCCTTCCTTCCTTTCCTTCCTTCCTTCCTTCCTTCCTTCCTTCCCTCCCTCCCTCCCTTCCCTCCCTCCTTGTTTTTTCCCCCTAGTGTCTATCAAGAGAGATTTTCCCGAGGCCTAGAAATGCTTGAGAATCACCACAAAATGAATCTAATTGTACCTGGGCTAATCTTTTAATTAATATAATGTTTCATACAATTTAAATAAAAATGTATTGAAATGACTTATTTTTAATTGGTTATCAATTGTGGTCTGGATTTGTTTTTTTCAATTGGAAGACATGACACATACTTCTGCCTAGCACTTGTTAAAAATTACGTTACTGTTTTGATAGACAAAGTGGTAAAAATAAATCCCTTGCTAACATTGTCTGGGATATCATTTGTTATTATTAGTGGAGATGGGACGCCAAGTCCCTGGAATGCTAAAATAAGGAAGATGAAGTAACAGAACATTATAAAAACAGATGTGATGGGGAAATGGATTGGAAATTAACAAAGAGATACAAGAACTTAGAATCAGTAATGCTGGCTCTATTTTTGTTTCATTTATTTATTTTAGAACTATATTTTGGAAATTGGTGCCTGTGCTTCACCTGAGAAGTTGAAGGGTTTTTTGTTTTTTAATGTCTTCTGTGAACAAGCTTTTTTTTTTTTTTTTTCAGAAATTTCAAGTTGAAATTAGCTGAAATAATTCTTAAAGAGACAATGCTATGCCATTATGGAGATAGCAGGAGTAACAATTGAAAGCTATGAAACTGTAGGGAAACAGTAACTCATTCTGAAGCCAATTTTTATATTGCTATTGCAGACTTACCACTCAGTGGTCACTCTATCTACTCTGTCATCTTCAAGTTCACAGCAATTATTTAGAGAGATGGTTTCTGTCTTGATAGACAAGATGCAAAATACCAGAACATCTACTGAAAATTAAACAGGGAAGACAGAGGTAAATTGAAAAACCTAGAGATGTGATTAGTTTGTTGGATTAGATGTTCACAAATTAGCTCTGCAGTCTCGAGTGTTGAATAAAGGTTTTAAAGAATGAGTTGCAATACACTCGAGGCAACTTAAAACATATATGAACAAAGGCATGTCAGGAAAGTTTTTTAAAAAACTACATACTGGCTATATTCTGAAACCATAGCAATACAATGAATTCAATAGATTGAATTTTTCCCATATCCTAAGAAAAGGCAAAATTCAATAGAATATTACTTTTTCTTATCCCACAAAGAAAAAAATAACAGTGAAATTTAATTCAAATTCAACCAAGCCCATGTGAAATGGCTGTGTATAAGAAACTGGAGTTCCATTCAAAAATGTTTTTAAGAATATAGATAGATGCTTATTTGTATTATAAACTCAGCTATTATTCATGAATTCATGAAAACTCCATATAAATTTTTTTGAATCTATAAATATCAACGTTATTTGTAGTTAAAATTAGATAAGTTGAGAAGTGATAAGTATTGGATGTTTCATCATTTAGAACTAGAACTTTGAAAGGTAGAAAATTTTGTGATGAATTTCAAAATAACCAAATAATATAATAAATAGTGTTTAACACAGTTATTATGCAGATGTAGATGAACACGTAAAATGTAAAAAAGTGAACACTTGCTGACTGACAACTTTGAATGATTTCCTCTCATTTTTAAGTTGATGTCCAAAATTCTTGACAAGAAATTTCTTGACCTGTCCAGAGCCTCTCTGTTCAACTCTCAAGCTTTTCTGACATCTTCTTACCATCTGAAACCATTCTAATTCTCCCTTATCTCACTCAAAGAGCCATTCTCTGCCTCAGAACCTTTGCCCATTTAATTTCCTCTGCCTGGAATGACAATTCACTCTCTTTTGATTCACAATTCAGCTTCCACCTCTCCCTCCCTCCCCAGCTTCTGGACTTTCCCACTTTCCTGCCTGCCCTGGCCTGACTCCTGTGTTGTGACCTCATATTTCCTTACAATAATGAGCTTTATGACACACTATTCTAATTATCCACCGAATAGTCTGTCTTTTTGGCTAGTGATGGGGTTTGGATCTATATACCCACTCAAATCTCATGTTCAATTGTAATTCCCAATGTTGGATGTGGGGCCGGGTGGGAGGGGATTGGATCATGGGGGCAGTTCCTCATAATGCTTTAGTTCCATCCCCTTGGTGCGGTTCTCATGATTGTGAGTTCTCAGGAGATCTGGTTAATTAAAAGTGTGTAGCACCTCCCCCCCCCCCCCAATTCTCTTTTGTTCCTGCACTGGCTGCTTAAGATGCACCTGCTCCCACTTTTCCTTCCACCATGATTTTAAGTTTCCTGAGGCCTCCCCAGAAGTCAAGCAGATGCCCAGCACCATGCTTCCTGTAAAGCCTGCAGAACTGTGAGCCAATTAAACCTCTTTTTTTATAAATGACCCAGTCTCAGATATTTCTTTATAGCAATGACAGAATGGCCTAATACAGCTAGGAAAGAGTGGATTTTCTACCACTCTTCTTCATTGCCATCCATATGACACAGAGTGTAATATATAGGAGGTGCTCCAAGGTATTATTAAATGAGTAAAAGAATTGAGCATTTAAGTCATCAAAGAATGTATATTTGAAAAGGTGTATGCAGCCTTCTTTAACTCAGAAGTCTGATACCATCACTCACAGGTGGCCATGCTACTTCTACTCAAATAATTCCATTCATAATTAATATTTTCAGGCAGTGATTTCACTTCTTTCCCTCAAATAAATTTCCTTTTTTTTTTTTTTTTTTTTTTTTAGAGAATGTCTCACTTTGTCGCCCAGGCTGGAGTGCAGTGGCACAATCTTGGCTCACTGGAACCTCCGCCTCTCATGTTCAAGGGATTCTCCTGCCTTAGCCTCCTGAGTAGCTGGGAGATCATGAGAATGCCTGGCTAATTTTTGTATTTTAGTAGAGATGGGGTTTCACCATGTTGGCCAGGCTGGTCTCAAACTCCTGACCTCAGGTGATCCACCCACCTCGGCCTCCCAAAATGCTTGGGATTACAGGCGTGAGCCACTGTGCCCAGCCGCTTTCTCTTTTTTATACCCTCTGAGGAATGATGCATTATCTTTTCTACCTCCTAAATTACATTAAGCGTGTGCACTTTCAGGTTTCTTTCACAAATTGTAGTATATCTCCTTGCCTCTGTCTCCCACTCCTCTTGTTCACTGATACTTCACTCCATGTTCAAGGTAATTTCTCTAAAACGACAGTTAATCATATTCACGATTAATTTTTAAGGTATTTTAAATTATCTAGATGGTACTTTTCAAAAATCTGTTTTTACATCAGGTTGAGCTCTTGCCATAGCTTTATATCCTATCATCTCTATGACCGTTTTACTGAATGTTTTACTTTACAGCCACTCTTCTCTTTAACTTAAATTTATTTAAAATAAAAATTTCTCCAATTTTTAGGTAGGAAAACATCTTCCCTTACATGAACAATAAGCAATGATTAAACGAAAATCACTGAAAACTTGACAATATTATTATAAATTAGAGCTGAAAATGCCTTTTTGGATGACACAGAATGTGGAGATTGCTCCTTTTCTAAAAAAAATAGCAAATGCCAGGGAAGTGTTAAAATGCATGTTATCCACAAACTAAAACATGCACTCTAAGATAATTACAAAAATTAAAATACAATTGAAGAGGAAATATCTTGAGATAGAGATTTAATAGTATTTGATGTTCTGACCCAATACTCCATCTCCAGTGTTAGTTTTCTCACCATGTAGGACTCAGCCTTTTCCACCTCTTCCCTGAACAATTCCTTTGCAGAGCATGCCAGATCCTTGGTCATTTAAATTTTACCCAGCTTTTCAGCTCTGTGTCCCTACCATCTTCCACATGTGCCTAGTGTCCTGCCATGCTGAACTGCTGGTAATCTCCTAATCCAGTGTTTCTCAGTCTCAGCACTGCTGATACTTTGCTTCAGATAATTCTCGGTTTGAGGGGATTGTAGTGTGAACTGTCCCTTGTTAGCACCTCTGCTGGCCTCCACCCACTAGATAACAATAGCACCTACCAGTTGTCAGAAACAACATCACTCCTAGACATTTACTGAGGCAAAAGGCAATGGCAACTCCATTTAAGAACCACAATTCTAAACTGAATACAAAGTTTTTTGCATCCTTGATGTTGTGACATGACATTATTTTGCCTGCAGTGTCTTAGAGAAACCCTCTTACTCTTTCCTGTGCTCTTCCACCCCAACTAGTAAAGCTCACTCAAGAAGAAATAGATAACCTTAATATCTCTATATCTATTTTAAAAATTATACTTGCAGTTTAAAAAAACCTGCTAACAAAAAGAAAAGAAAAGAAAACCAAAAAATCTGGTCTTTACTACTTCAGTCTACAGTGCCAATTCTGGTACCACAATTCGGATACTACAACACAACAAACACATTTTAACAGAAAGAAAACTACAAACTGACATCAATCATGAATATAAATGCAAACATTCTTAACAAAATTTTATCAAATGGAATCCAACCATACATTATTTAAAATCGTAACATGAATTTTATCTCAAGTATGTAAGGCTGCATTAACAATTGAACAGTATAAAATGTAATATACAATATTAACTACAAGAATAAAAACTTCATGACTTTATCAATAGATACAGAAAAAGGAATTGACAACATTGAAATCACTTCTCAATAAAATTTCATCAAGATAGAACTAGAGGAGAACTAAGTCCTTATAAAACCAGGACTAGAAGATCACTTCCTCAATCTGATAAAGCAAATCTATGTAAAACTTACAATTTTATTATATTTGATAGTGAAAAACTGTCTTTATGATCAGGAATATGACAAGGATCTTTACTCTCGTCACTTGTATTCAAACTGTAGCTTCTACCCAGTACAAGAAACCAATAAAAGAAATGAAAGATACCCAGATTGGAAGAAAAGTAGTAAAACTGTCTTATTTACAGATGACTTGAACTTCTGTGCAGAAAATCTGAAGAAATCTGCAAAAAAAAAAAAGCTACCAGAAATAATAGATAATTTTAGCACTGTTTCAGAATAAAATATAAATGTTCAAATGTTCACAAGCCAATTTTTTATATGCTAGCGAAGAACAGTAAGACATTAAAATTCAAGGAGATGATACCATTAACAATAGAGTCACCATAATGAAAATGCTTAGAGATATTTCATTTTCCTAAGATGTGCAGCAGATCTAAGCTGAAAAGTACAAAGCATTGCTTAATGAAATAATAGAAGACCTAAATAAATGGAGACGTGAATGGATAGAAGGGAAGATGCAGTGTAGTCAAAAAGTCCATTTCCTGGGGAAAGGAAATGATGAATAAGCAGAGCCCAGAGGACTTTAAGGTTGGTAAAACTACTCTGCATGATACTATGATGGAGAATGCATGTCATAAATCTGTCCAAAGGCGTAGAATGTACAACACCAAGAGTGAGCCCTAATATGAACTATGGACCTTGGGAGATAATGATGTGCCGATGCAGGTTCATGAATTGTAAAAGACGCACCACTATGATGGGGGAAGTTGAGAATGAGGTAAGCTAATGCGTGAGTGGAAGCAGCAGGTGTATGGGAAACTCAGTAGCTTCTTAACCTTGCTGTTAACCTAAAACTGCTCCGAAAACAGTAAGCAAACACAAAGAAAAAGAACAAAAATAAGAACAAATGAGATTTACTCCACATTCATTACAATTTTAGTAAAAATTTCAGCAGATTTTTTTTTCTTTACTGTTTAGGAAAAATATACACTTGAATTGTAAAAATAGATACAAAAATGCCAAAGATTTATACGTTCTAAAAAAAAAAACTTAGAAAAAGAACAAAATTTATGAATGAAAACTACTTGATTAAGAATTATTATAAAGCTGTGGTTAAAAAACAAAAAGTTATAAGCATGGAGATAGATAAGTATCTTAATGGAAAATAGTGTTCAGAAAATATGCTGACATATATATGAGCAATTAATTTTTAACTAGGACAAAAAGGCAATTCTGAAACAAATTCTATTCAAGAAGTTGTGTTTGTGTATTTGTGTCTAAAAGCAAAACTATAATTGATCCATACTTCAAATAATACACAACATACAATACCATATGGATAACAGACCTAAATATAAAAGCCGAAACTATACAACTTCTGGAATAAAACGCAGGAAGAAATATTTTGACCTTGAGTGAAGCAAAATTTCCTAGAACACAATACCAATCATGATTCATAAAAAGAATAAATTGGACTTCATCAAATATGCAAATCCTTGATCTCAGAAATATATTACTAAGAGAATGAAACAAACAAACAAGCCACAAATTGGGAGAAAATATTTGCAAAGCATATATCTGAAAAGGAACTTATATCCAGAGTATATAAAGAACTTTGAAAATTCCATAAGAATCAAACACAATGATTGAAAACAAGGGCAATATATTAAGAAAAAAACACTTTTCTAAAGAATTTATATGGATGCAAATAAGCTAATAAAAAATACTCAATGTCATTAACATGAGGGAAATGTAAATTCAAACGATATTCTAAATCAGCTGGCAATCTACCAGAATTACTGAAATTAAAGACCTATCATGCCGAGTGTTAGTGAGGTTGTGGAGGCACTGGGATTCTCACGCATGGCTTCTGGGAATGAAAATGCAGTTTTCAGTTTCTTAAAATTTAAACATAGTTCATGATTCTGCCATTCCACTTCTAGGTATTTACCAAAGATAAGTGAAATCTTACTTTTATACAAAAACTAGTACAAAAATGTTTATAATTTATTATAGTCCCACCCAGACTAGAAACAACCAAGATGTCTATCAACAGCTGAAAGGATGAACAAATCATGATTAAGAAACTACACACGTGTCTAAAAACAATTATCTTGTAGCAAAAGAAACCAGGAAAACAGTATATGCTGAGTGATTCCAAATATATTGAACTACATAGTGGCAGTACACAGGTCAGTGACTGCCTTGGGTTGGTTGGGTGGGACAACTGAGGAGGGACAGGAGAAAGGAAGTACAGAGGGAATCCTTGGGTGTGATTGACATATTCTCTAATATAGTTGAGATCATGGCTTATTGCATATATACATTGGTAAAACTTATCAAAGTATATACTTCAAATATGTGCCGTTTCTTTTATGTCAATTATACCTCAATAAAGCTGTTAGAGAAAACAATCTACTCTTTACCAGACACCGTATTAGAGAATTTTGTTCATAGTTTTAAATTCTTATGGATGTTACTGAAAGGTAAGTGTTAGCACAGTCTTTTTATAGTGATGAAATGAAGCTGAGACACTTTGTGAACTGCAGAAGGTTACACAAGAAAATGAATTGTGAATTTGAGATCAAACTCTGGCTTTCTGACTTCAAAAGACCAGATTCTACCAAGCAAGCCTTTCCCCCCCCCCAGTTTGAGATACTCCCTGTCCCCTAAAGTTTCCTGGCCACTCCCCCAACCTTTAGAGTATTCCTAGCTAGAGCCTCAGATACCACTGAATAGAGACAAACTATTGACATTTTACTTGGTCCCAGCTCCTGGTCCACAAAACCTGACAGTCTAACCAAGTGTTTGTTTGTTTGTTTGTTTATTTATTTATTTAATTTTTGACGGAGTTTCGCTCTGTTGCCAGGCTTGAGTGCAGTGGCACGATCTTGGCTCACTGCAACCTCTGCCTCCCGGGTTCAAGCGACTCTCCTGCCTCAGCCCCAGAGGAGCTGGGACTACAGGTGCACACCACCATACCTAGCTAATTTTTGTATTTTTAATAGAGATGAGGTTTCACCATGTTGGCCAGGATGGTCTCTATCTCTTGACCTCGTGATCCGCCTGCCTGGGCCTCTCAAAGTGCTGGGATTACAGGCATGAGCCACCTCACCCAGACAGGTTTGTTTCTTTCCAAGGGTTGTGAGGAAAGATTTGTTCTAACTCTTTCCTTGGCTTATAAATGGCTGCTGTCTCCCTATATCTTCACATCATCTTTTCTGTGTTCATTTCTATGTCCAAATTTCCTCTTCTCTTAATGGATACTATGTACATTATGTAGGTGATGGTTTCACACAGAGCTTCACTACAGAGCAGTATATCCATATAACAAAACTTCTCCTGTACACCTTAAATGTACACAAATTTAAAAATAAGGAAAGAAAAACTGCAATTGAGAAAACATTTTAAAATAATAACAAAACATCACTAAATATTAAAATAGAAAAAAATTCTCTTCTTACGTGGATGCCAGTCATATTGGATTAGGCCTTACTCTAATGACCTCAGTTTAACTTAATTACCTCTGCAAAGAACCTGTCTCCAAATATAATCACTTTTGAGGTTCTGGGGGTTAAGACTTCTACCAGTGAATTTGTGGCAGAGGAAGGAGATGCAATTCAGCCCATAACATAAAGGGTTTTTTTTTTTTTTGGTTTTGTTTTGTTTCAATAGAACAAACCCTGTACAGTAACTTCATTGCACTACAGTCTACATTTGAGGACCAGCTGTTTACAGGAGTTGCAGGGAATGCCAGATACTAAGCAACTGGGGACACTGGATGGTATAATCCCATCTTTTGAAGGGTAAAAGCCACTTTCCATGGGAAGTGCCTCACTGGGAAATATTGACTGTGCTCACCCCAAACTTAAAAGCAGTCATCATCAAGAAGCCAAAGGAAAGCTTCCCAGGATATAGTACTAAACGAGAATAGGAATGTTTAGAGCTTGTACCATCAGCAGTACCACCCCCATTCAATGCAGAAGCGGAGGAAAAGGCCCAGTTTTGTGTTCCCTCTGGCCCTAACAAAATTCAACCAGCTGTAACACCCTTGGACTCAAGCAAAGACCATGCCCCATAAGCCGATGACAGCAAAGGGAAATTTGCCATGAAATATAGAGACACCCCTCTCACCAAACTCAACTGAACCCTCCACTCTCATTACTGACACTGTTCAAGTTCCAGCTTGCCCTGTTCTTGTAAACGGTGACTGAGGAGGAATGCCATGAGGTTTGAGGATAGATGCTGCTGCCAGTTTTTCACAGAGATGCTGATTCAGAGCAAGGGAAGGACTCTTGTGGCTGATATATTTAAGTACAAGGAAAGAAACATTATTTAACTTCCCAAAGTATTCTCTTTAATAGCAGGAAAGCAGCTGAATTTTTAGTAATTGGAGATCATTCTGGGCTCAATTTACTTGCATCTCTTTGTGCTCTAGTTCATTTTGGAGGTTCGAATGATTAGATCTAATTAAACAAATTGAACATGGATGCTGAGGACTGTTGGGAACATAAAATATTTTATGTTACTTTCATATAAAAGTTCAGATTTTATGTGACTGAAAACATGGTACTGAATATCTCGACACCCATATGGATATTAAATACTAGAATTGTGCATTTAGTGAAGACAGTTTCATTTTAATGGAAGTATTTATCATAATGATTAAATTTAAGAGAAACAACTTTTCAGACAGATTAGAATTTCTGATATAGAGTTTGATATACATTAAGATAATTTTTATGTTTGCCATTTAATTTTAATAATTTTAATATTTAAGAAAATACTCTTGAAAACAAAATTCATATTCAAATTTTAAATACTTTTGTTTATAGTTTTTTAAAATAAATATTTTCATATAGTTGCATTTTATAGTTTTGGAACAGCCCAGGGGCTAAGAATTTTTAAAACACATTTAATTGATTGAAAATAATTAAAAGAAGAGTAATATTTTATGACATATGAAAATCACATGGCATTAAAATTTCAGTGTCCATAAATTAAGTTCGATTGGAACACAACCACGGACATTTATTTATGTATTATAGCTGTTTTCAGACTACAGCAGCAGAGCTGAATAGTTGCAAGAGAAAACCGTACCAATGGCCAGGAGCATTGGTTCACACACCCGGCTAATTTTATTTTTGTATTTTTAGTAGAGAAGGGGTTTCACCGTGTTAGCCAGGATGGTCTCGATCTCCTGACCTCGTGATCCACCCGCCTCAGCCTCCCAAACTGCTGGGATTACTGGTGTGAGCCACCGTGCCTGGCCGTTTTATAACTTTTAAAACTAACATGCTATTGAATGAAATATGTTCTAAATGTTTTCTCTCCTCAAGTAAAGTTGTAGCTTGTTCCCTGTCTGCCCTGTTCTAGTGAGTCTCTTTCTGGAATTTATTTCTGGGGATTCTGCTATTTTTATATCCACCCATGTAATTTCTTGTACCTCTGCAGTGTCTCTGACAAATTTCTTAGGAATGTGTCCCAGAACCACATCTCTTCATTTCCTTGGTAACAGTCTACTGAGAAGGGTGGAGGATGAGTGATGGGCAGAAGGGGATTGGTTCTCCCAAATCCTTGGCTCATGACTAGAACGGACAGCTTCCCTACTTCTTCAGTTGCATATTCTACTCTAAATAGATAGCCCTATGTCTAGGCCCCCTCCCAAAACTGCTGGTTAGCTATTCAGGCATACTTAGCTATGCTAATGTTTAGCATATATATTTATTTTGCTTGTGTGTGTATATAGATGTGTGTATGTGTGTGTGTGTGTGTGTGTGTGTATATATCTTATCCTCTCATATGGCCACTGCTAATGAGCAGACGGTACAGTTGCTCCATGCAGACATTCAGGGATCCAGGCTCAAGAAGCAGCCTTCACAAAACACATTTCCAAAGGGAAATCTCTATAGGCATTTGCATTGACAATTGCACATACTGGCCTTAAAACACATTCCCATTTGGCTAACAACTCACTGGGCTAAATAAGCCACAGGATTCACCTATCCACAGGAGTCCAGGAATGTAGAGAGACAAGAGTATTTAAAAAACACCAGTATTGACTACCACAGATATAATCAAATTTTATGCGTCTTAACAGTTTTTCTTAATAGGACAGCTTAGTCCCCAGGAAGCCTTATCCCTTAACTGAGTGAGACACATCCGTATCTTTACTACTTATCTTCTTCCAAATCCTGAGTTGTCTCCAAATTTAGGTGATTCTTTGGAAATCTGTGCTGGAATATGGATTAACCAGGACTTTGTGAAATTTAAGAGGTGCAAAATGTTTGAGGCATGCTGTGTTCATTTTATGTCTTTTTTTGAGGGAAGGGGATGAAAGGGATTATTTATAGACATGAGGTTTTTTTGTTTTTAATGTAGTTTAAAAAGTTATGTTGGGCCCTTAGTTTAATTATGATTGCTTATAAATATTTCAATTTCATGTTGCATAATTGAAAATTATAGTAATATATATTCTGACTCTTCTGAGGGCAATGAAATTCCATCTGAGCATGTGAAATGTGTCTTCTGATGTCTTAATTTAAACATGATTTGAAAATATATTTAGTTTTATCTCACTGCAGCTTATATGGTATAGATTTAAAGGGGCTAATATGGAACTGAGAATGCTTAACATAATTTGTTTTCTATTCATTTACATTTAGGTATTCATTTATTTCCACTGGTGAAATACAAATATAAACAAAATATAATTAAACCTATTTTTTCTTAATGAGCATTGATTTTCTTGACAGCGTATGATAGCATTGCCATCACTAAGCAGGGTATTCAAATGGCAGTTTTGATAAAATGAAAAGTAAACAGACAAATAATGCTCATAACTTCACTTTTAGTAGGAAGAGGAAAAACCCAGAGGTCACAGTAAAGGAATGAGGAATTTTAATAAAAGATGCTGCCATTCATCACTAACATTTATTCAGCATCCATCATAGGTTTAGGCACTAACAAGGCACTGTATGACCCTTATTCATTTAACCTTCACAGAAGCTTAGTAAAGTCACCATCCATTATCTGCACTTCACCATCAAGGAAACTGAGGTCCAGTGAGGTCCATAATTGTCCAAGTTTATACATTAGAAAACCTGAAAGTCAAACCCAGATGGAACACACCTCTGAGCTTTGGTTCTGCTGTCTTATCAATCCTAATCTCAGTATTTCCAGTGTCATTTAGCTGGAAAATCTATTTCCTCCCTACATGAAACCACAGAGTCAATACAGAGCACCATCAAATGCTCCAAGAGTGGCTTTTAATGAGATAATTGCATGACTAGCATCATCCAGAACCATGGGGCCTGAATTGCTGCAACTGGCCACTAGTTAGCTCATGTAGTCAAAGTGGCTGGCACATGACAAAGGAAGGATGGAGCCACTGGGATATTGATGTTGTGGTCATGGCACGAAATGGGCTGCTCACAAGACCAAGAGTCATATCAAAGAGACTGGTAATTTTTATTGCCATAGAATGCAATTAAGGTAAAACAGAAGCACTTTGGGAGGCTGAGGTGGGCTGATCACCTGAGGTCAGGAGTTTGAAACCAGCCTGGCCAACATGGTAAAACCCCATCTCTACTAAAAATACAAAAATCAGCCAGTCGTGGCAGAGCGCGACTGCAGTCCCAGCTATTCAGGACGCTGAGGCAGGAGAATCACTTGAACTTGGGAGGCGGAGGTTGCAGTGACCTGAGATCACGCCACTGTACTCCAGCCTGGGCGACAGAGTGAGACTTCATCCTCCCCACCCCTAAAAAAGGTACAACAGAGGCCTAGGAAAAGTGAAATTTGTCCTCAGACAGCTGGGCGGCCAGAGAAAACATACAGCCTTGCACATTTCTGAGACAACAACATAGGGAACCAGCAAGAGCTAAAATAACAGCATAACATTGTCAAAGAGACAAGAAGTGAATGCACCCACAGGAGCAGCAGCAGGGGTCCCTGCGTGCTCTTCGGCACTTGAGGCCAGCAAGCCCAAGCAGCACAGGCATGGCACTACTGGAAAGACTGAGGGAACCCCTGTCACCTGCCTGGCAGGACTGACCTGGATGGAGGTCAAGAGAACCCGAAGCAGAACCAAGACCTTGACGTTGACCACACGTAGCTAAAAAGAAATCAATTCCAGAGAGGGAACTTGTGCAGTTGCACAAGAGAAAACCATTAAACAATTAAAAATATTTAGTCATATGTAAATATTAGTTTTCTGCTTAATGAACACAGAAAAACGGATTGTTGTTTATTAGGCAATGCTACACCAATTGCGGCCAGGCTATTTGTTCCTTGTGTATTAGTCACATCCCTGTCTTTAAGCGTCTCAGAGAATCTGTTCACACAGTGAGGAGGGGAGGGGGTGTTATCTTAGCAAATTCAGCAAATTTACAGACCCTAAACAGACATTTAATTTTAGATTAGGGCCTCCTACCCCCGAAAAAAAAAATATTCCCAATGAGGATGTGCTTCTTCCGAAAATTGAAGGGTAGGAGATGGGGAGTGGTTAGAGAATAAAGAACAGAAATGGATTTGCTACAAAGGGATGTTTAATGGACTGAAGAAGATACCACTTTTTCATCTCTCACAAAATATGATGCATAAGAATTCTGAATTTTCCTAGAGATCATCTCAGAAAATGCCTAAGCAATATTTTTCTTATTCTATGATTATTTACTTTCTGCGCAAAAATAGACATGAAAAATTCCCGTCACAGACTATTTTCAGAGGTGCTCAAATGGGGAAGGTCACGCCAACCAAGTCAGATTATTCAAGGATGAAAATCCAATGTGCCCCTTTCTCCTGTGCCTTATTATTATTTTTTCCCTTTTGTCGATTTCAATACTCATTAACATCTACATTAAAGGATAGGAAAGCAAAAGGAGATAAAAGGAAATTCTTCCCTTTCAGATGTTATTAATCTTTCAGGTGATTGTTCTTTCATTAATGATACCTCTGATCAAAACCATGTCGAACCTTCCTCTTTGCTGAGGAGCAGATGGTTTTGTCAGATATATTTCTATTCTACAATAGTTTGCAGTTTGTTACTGTATTGTAAAATTAAAGATATTTTACAGGATCATATATAACACAATTTATTTCTCAATATGCACATCACAATTTTTTTTTTTTTTGAGATGGAGTCTCACTCTGTTGCCCAGGCTGGAGTGCAATGGTGTCTTCTCAGCTCACTGCAACCTCCACCTCCTGGATTCAAGTGACTCTTGTGCCTCAGTCCCGAGTAGCTGGGATAACAGATGCCTGGCACCACCCTCAGCTAATTTTTGTATTTTCAGTAGAGACGGAGTTTCACCATGTTGGCCAGGCTGGCCTCGAACTCCTGACCTCAAGTGATCTGCCTGCCTCAGCCTCCCGAAGTGCTGGGATTACAAGCGTGAGGCACTGCACCTGGCCCACACTGATGATTTTTGATCTCTGCTTATTTCTGCTAATGTTTTGTCAGTATCACATTATTTTTATATACGCTCCACTTGGTGGACTATTTGAGAGACCTCTATTTTCAAAAATAAGTGTTCTGCTCCTTGGGATTACATGCTTTAAAATTCTTTTAATAGTTTCTAGGCATATAACACCCCAGTTATTTGACTCTAAAAAAAAAGAGAGCTATATCATTTAATAGGAAAGACACAGTAAACTATAAATATGTTTTAATCTTAATTGGAAGAGAATCTGGCCCACACAGAAAAAGCCCCTTTGGGTGAATTTTCTAGTTCTGTGGGTTAAGAGATGCTTTTCACAGGCACTTCCGTCCTTTACCCACTGTCCCTCCTAAAATACGCTACTGTCACTCTTCTACTTAAGGAACAGGTGGTGGGAGTGGAAAAAAAATATGTTGCTGCCGCTGATTTAGTAAAATAATTGATAATCATAATGAATAGTTCCATTAACAGTGTCAAACACACTACTTCCATCAAATGCATTATTGAGTCCTTACAGGTGATATATGAGATAGCTATTACTGTTTACATTTTGTAGATGAGAAAACTGAAGATTAGAGAATTAATTAGCCAAGCTGGGGAATGGTGGGATTAAAATGTAAACCTAGGCAACTAGATTTCAGAGCATATGCTTTCAGCCAGTATGTCAAAGTGCCTGAAACATAAAGTAAAAATGGTCAGGCATCCTGTGTGGACTCACAGCCAGAGTAGAGGGAGGTGAGAGTTTGGAGCTTCAACGAGATTCTCTGAACTTTTTTTTTTCTTTTTCTGAGATGGAATCTTGCTCTGTTACCCAGGCTGGAGCGCAGTGGCACGATCTCAGCTCACTGCAACCTGCACCTCCCCAGTTCAAGGGATTTCTGGCTTTTTCTTTTTTGTATTTTTAGTAGAGATGGGGTTTTATCATATTGGCCAGGCTGGTCTCAAACTCCTGACCTCAAGTGATCTACCCACCTTGGCCTTCCGAAGTGCTGGTATTACAGGCTTGAGCCACTGCGCCCAGCCAAGATTGTCTGAACTCTTTTGTAGCCAACCCTGCAATAGTCAGCAGAGTCTAGGAATAGGTAAACACAGAGCATGGATGTAGGAGCATTTAAATTACACTTTTAAGAGCTGATTCTCAGATTCTTTATGACTAGAGGAAGCAAACATTTATTTAGACTAAAATGTCCTTACAGTGGAAAGAGGCCTTCCTCCACGTTACCAGATAATCACAGCCCTACTACAGAAAATATGCACTTTCTAATTGCCTTCTTTCCAAGCCAATTTTCATCTGCAATATGGTCTCCAGACTAGATATGTCTCAACACAGAGTGACCTATGTGGAGGAAAGTAAATTGACAGACCTGTTGTAATTTTTTCTGGGTGGACCACCCCAATGGGACTTACAAAATCAAGTTTCTGGACCTGGAACACCCTTTGTCAATTGTTTTGAACAAGCTCCATTATTTTCACAAATGGAGCCGGATGCCAGAAGATACTGTGTCCTAGACGAGTGGTTCTCAAAGTAGGCTACACATTAAAATTACTCCAGAGAACTTTTCACAATACTGATGCCCAGGTCACATCCCATACTAATTCAAATAGTATCCTTCAGGATATAACACAGTATTTTTAAAACTCCCCAAGCAATTCCAATACACAGCCAAGTGTGAAAAATACTGATCTTAACAATATTTGAAATGTATCTTAAGTCAAATCGTAACAGTAACAGTTTTCTCTTTTTATATAGTGAAAATGTGAAACCATTTAAACTTTTTTTCTTTTAAAAAGCCTAAATGTGAAATAAAAATAATAAAAACAGAGCTTTAGTTAGATTATAACCCTAAATGTTGGTGTTTGCATTTTGCTGTTTACTATATTAATTTGCAAATTTGGTTTTGAAAAATAAATCTGAATGGATTTACAATAAAATAAGAGTACTACATTCCTGTTGTACCTCTGGCATAGCCTTCCTTTATAATTCTCAACAAGTGATCACAGTAACACTTAGTACTCTAATGCTAATTTGTGTCTACATTTTCATAACTATTTAGGGAAATAAAATGGTTTATACACGTATATTTATGTCTTGGGATCCTTGGGGTGTCGCTTCGCCAGCTGGAAAGCTCTGTGGCCAGTGGTGCCTTCTGCCTGAGTATTGCTCACACCCAATGGGCTCACTCTGCCCATTCAGCCTGGCAGGCTGCACTCAGCTTGTGCTACCAGCCCGAGTCCCACACCTGCCAAGGTTGAGTCAGGTGCAGAGCAGTGAGGGGTGTGTGGATGAGTGAGTGCAGGGTCCAGCCATTGTGCACAGCCAGGCACACCGGCTGCTGTGGCAGGGCAGGCAGCTCCAGGCTGTGGCACATGTGCTGGCTCTGGGTGAGGCTGCAGCTGGACCAGATGTACCTTCATGTGGCTTCTATTGTGGGCACCTGCATTTGGATGAGGGAAACATGATGGCACCTGGAAGCTTGGAGATGTCAAGAACTACAGAGCCCCATGGAGGGTGTCACAGCCCTGGCTCGGGGAGCCCCTAGTCTGGACTTCCCAGAAGGCCACAGCTGTTCTCTCCTTCTCATTATCCGCAACTGTGGCAAGCAGAGGGGCATGTTTAAACCCTGTTGGTGTTACAGCTGTTTCAGTCCTGCCATCTGGCAGGTCCTGAGTTCTTGTCCTGCATCCAGGAATAATGAAGTACATGGACAACAGAGGGTGAACAAGGCATAGAGAAGCTTCATTAAGTGATAGAACAGCTCTCAGGGGACCCAAAGTAGGTAGGTTCTTTCTGCAGGCAGGTCATCTGAGAAGTGTCCAGCTCCCAGCAGAGAGGAGACCCATAGTGGACAGCTCCTACCTCAGGGGAGAGGAGACCCATAGTGGACAACTGTGTTCTGTAGGCAGGTCATCTGGACAAGCTGAGGAGACCTGAAGTGGGTAGCTCCTTCCTGCAGCTGGTACTCCCAATGTCTGTGTGAGTCTGGCTGAGTCTGGGGTTTTTATGGGCTTAGAAGGGAGGAAGTGTGTACTGACTGGTTTATGGGTGGTCATGGGCAGGCATGGGCAAAAGCACCATAAGTTCTCACTCTGGGTCACAGACTCCACCCAGAACTGGAAGTCTGATCCTGAGGCTTCTGTCCATCCCTGGCTTGAAGGTGGGGTTTCACCGGGGACCTGCCCCTTTCCACCCAGGAGACTGTCTGCCTCCTGCCATCAACATACCATCCATGGCACCCAGGCTGTTTGTGCTGAGGGGCACCTCCAGTCCTGTGCCAAACAGCCCTCAGCACCCCTTCCATCTCCTTCTTGTGCTTAGCAGTGTCCAAAGTCTGGAGGGGCCCAAAGCATCAGGAGGCTTGTGTGTTAGTGTTACTCCCAAGTGTGTGCACACCCAGCTGGGTTGCAGTAGCACCCAGACTAGGCCACAACTTTGCATTGCCCCGGAGTGGGTGCCTGGAGTAGGAAGAGGCCAGGGAGTGGGAGCATGAAGGCCATGGTGCTATGTAAAGATTGAGTGGAAAAAGGCATGAACTGGAAAATGACAAACCTAACCCCATCTCAGCCACCTGTAGGTATGACTTGGTGCACATATGTGGCCTAAGTTTCTTTTTTTCTCATGGGAAAACTGGCCAGTTGGCAAAAGGATCTCTGAATGTATGACTCTTATCTCAAACTTATTAATATTATTTTGGACAATTAAAGATTTTTTTTCTACTGTGAATTTATTATTGTATTTTCTCTTCTGTACTATGGAGACTCCACTCATTCAGTATTAATAAACTAATAGGCATCTGACAGTCTAGCCTCTCCTCAAACTTCCTTTTCAAGTGGTAGAGTTGATCGGACCTTGAACAAGAAAATAACAAACATGCTCCTAGAGTTCATAGAAGCATCTTGTTTATTTCCTGATTTGAGAAGGGCTGATAGAATTGCCCTCTTTCCTAAATTTCCCAGTAAATTGCCCTCATTGTGTGTAGACTGAGTTGGACTTCTGAGTTTTCAGTTAGTGGGCATGGCAGTGCTCCTGCCTTTATGTCAGAACTCCCATTGCACTGCTCACCCCTCTTTAATTTGTTGAAGTGTTAGCAATTACCAACTGATTTGCTCACAAATGTGGCAAGCCGGCCACATCAGCCTTTATAAAATCAGAAACCCAAATGTTGGAAACTTGTTGTTTTTCAACTTTTTTGCCTTCTTTTGCCAAACTTTGCCACTGAGATTTCTGACCACCATCTTAAATTCCGCATGAAATTATGTAAGTAATCAGACAACCAGATAACAAATGGGAATTACGTGTCCATTAGGGAGGAAAAATTATTCAGAAAACTTTAAAAGTTATGCAATAATGGTTTTCCTCAAGTGTTTAAGAGAACAAAAATAATAATTATATTACTCTGAAACAAATGCATTATACCATGTTTTTTTTCTCCTCAGATAATTAAATAACTTCTGTCAATCCCCTTACTCAGGTGGTTACTGACTCCCTAATTGTGAATACATTTCTCTCTGGCTAATAACCAACCTACTGTGTCTGGAATTTATTCCTTCCAGTGGGTTCCTGGTCTTGCTGACTTCAAGAATGAAGCTGTGGACCCTTGCGGTGAGTGTTACAGTTCATAAAGATGTTGTGTCCGGAGTTTGTTCCTTCAGATGTTCAGATGTGTCTGGAGTTTCTTCCTTCTCGTGGGTTCGTGATCTTGCTGACTTCAGGAGTGGAACTGCAGACGTTTGCAGTGAGTGTTACAGCTCTTAAAGGTGGCGTGTCCAGAGTTGTTTGTTCCTCCTGGGGGGTTCGTGGTCTCACTGACTTCAGGAGTGAAGTCACAGACCTCCTCAGTGTCACAGCTCATAAAGGTAGTGTGGACCCAAAGAGTGAGCAGCAGCAAGATTTATTGTGAAGAGAGAAAGAACAAAGCTTCCACTGCATGGAAGGGGACCCGAGCAGGTTGCTTCTGCTGGCTTGGGTGGCCAGCTTTTATTCTGTTATTTGGCCCTGCCTACATCCTGCTGATTGGTCCATTTTACAGAGTGCTGATTGGTGCCTTTACAAAGCTTTAGCTAGACAGAAAAGTTCTCCAAGTCCCTACTGGACCCAGGAAGTCCAGCTGGCTTCACCTCTCACTACCACATATTATTCTTCTCCTTTACTTAATATTACTTGATGATCCTCAGTTATGTGCAAGGCATTATATTCTCAGGAAATTCCTTTATTCTTGACCTATTCCTTTTGCTCCCTTTTATGATATGCCAAGATACATTGCCTTTATAACATCCATATAGGGGCTTTGAGAATCTCTATCTGGAAGACGGACTACATTATGTTTACCAATGAATGTTTTGGAGAGAAGGAAGAAACCATCTTATTTCAGGAGTGAGTGGGCTCCCCTCTGTGAATAAGCACTGCTTCCAATGTGCACATACACAGCTAATGATCCAGCAGGCAAAAA
The DNA here is from genome assembly GCF_000001405.40 of Homo sapiens. Lineage (NCBI taxonomy): Eukaryota > Metazoa > Chordata > Mammalia > Primates > Hominidae > Homo > Homo sapiens. The sequence goes on from NC_000018.10 coordinate 64,649,131, forward strand.
TAATTTTAATAATTTCATTAACAGTGGGAATAAAAAAATTGCTGAATAAAACACCTATTTACTAAATAAAAGAAATATGTCTCTGCTTTTCAGTAGACTGAACTTTTGGTGTTTACTATAGATAGGAAGTCAATGGACAAAGGGCTTATTGCTAATTCAAAACTCAGCACAAAGGCATACCTTTTCTAGTTTGTTAATTGTTTTACCGAAATCATTAGATTAACTCCAGAAGATTAAGTATTGAGAAATGCGGTAATTAAAAATAATGTAATTATATTCATAAAGAATACAGAAGCTATGAGATTAATAAAATGAGAAAAATTCATAAACAGACAGTATGGGATTTATTGTTAATAATTTATGATGACTCTCTATAGAATAAACCTGGAAGTCTTTCCTGACAGGATTCTAATGTTGTTGCTATATTTACGCTCCGCTTCTTGGATTACTAGAATTTGAAGTAGCTGAAAGTCCTATATTTTCCTGCTTCTCTCTAAGACGTCATTGGCAACACTCTTTACTGTCCTCTAACCACTATACTGGAGATCTGAACATTTTGAAGAGACAGCAAGTAGCTTCTTCTGACAAACAAAGAAAAAGAGATATATTACTTCCTAACCTCTACTGACAGTTCATGTTCTAGATAATTTACCTGTATAGGAAAGAGCTAGCTGCAGAGTAAAGATTATTAATTTGAAGATAATTTCTCCTTATTCACAGACAATGATTGTAGAATAATTATAGGCTCTTCTCTATCATAAAGCATCCTCAGGCTTCTCTTCAGCTGCTACTTGCACTCAGATTACTGGTCATGAAATCAACTAGCATTCTTACATGATAGAAACGTCCATGTGTTTTAATGAATTTGCATACACACAGAGAAATAAACACACACACAGAATTATACAGACTTTAGCACTTCTTTGCTTGTATTTTATCAATCCTACTGAAATATTATATTGTATCTTGGAGCTGATGTTCGAAGTACATTTTGGATTTGGATGCAGAAGTTAAATACCATATCCTACATGTGAGGCCAACACATAAAAGGCTTAAACGCTGCATCCAGATCAGTGTGATAAATTAAGAGTGATTAAATAGCATGCTAGAGCTGGTTTGACCTAAAGAGGCACTTAGGAGCTATCTTATGCAGACAGTAGAATTCAGAAATTTAACATAATTAGATGCCTGCCTTGTGATTTTGCAGCCCTAATAGAATGCTATGGACATGTTGAATTTTAATAACTCACAGAAGAATACATCACAGCATAAAATTGTAGACTTACAAATGTCTTTAGTTCTCATTTAACAAATCTCCCCTTTTCTTATACTGTCAAGAAGCTGAGGTTTGCAAAGATTAAAGCAATTTATCCAAGGTCACACAGCTCCTAAATACTAGGGCTGAAACTAGAATCTCTAGACCTTTTCCTGAAATCTTTACCATATTAACTGCCTACTAGAATTGAACATTTACTTTCTATTTCATCATTGGAACTTATTCTCTTATCCTATGCTAAGGAGAGAAAAATATCTCATACATAAAAGTGTCTAATAAATATGGTTAACTTTTTAAAAAATTGGATCACTAATTTCATCCTCCTATAACCCTGAAAATTGCTAGCATTCATTTTTAAAGAATTCTAGAAAACAAGTATGGACATCTATCTATTTCTGGATACAAATTAGGCCATAAAACAGCTTAAGAATATGTATGAACCCTCAAGCTCAGTGTCAGACTCCAACTAGGCATTTTGGTTGCCATTATTTATATCTTCTATGGTCATAATTTGAACATGATTTCAATCAAGTATTTCAGTATTTTTTATTTTTCCAATGTTTTCGAATAGTGATTTTTAAGGTTTGTGTCTTGTGAACGGATTTAAAAGTAGAATGAATTATACAACTCCCTTTGTCTGTGAATATTTTATGTTTAATATGAATTATTTTCTCAGAGCTTCAATGTTGAGATAAAAGTCAGGCACAAAAAGTCCATTACAGGATGCAGGAAGCCACTGAAGTTCGATTAGTCTATTGATTGTCTAAGGAGTAATCAACAATGATTCTTGAATATTTTATTCCAATATTTTGTTTCCATTGCAACTTCTATTTGATACTTTCCTTCTAAGCATGCCATTCATACTCACAGGTAAATCCAGAAGAGGGAGCTCCCAGTATAAGGAGGGGTTTGGATCAACAAGGCCTCCTAGGTCCTGTGCAATAGCCAGTGACCCACAGTGCCTGCAAAAGGATGCTAATTCCACAGCCTGCCACCCACAGCTTTCCTTGCTATGGCCTCATCCTACTCACCGAATTTCATCTCAACAACTCTTACTCCCTCACCTTCCTTTTTCTTTTTTTTTTTTGAGATGGAGTCTCACTGTGTTGCCCAGGCTGGAGTGCAGTGGCGCAATCTCGGCTCACTGCAAGCTCCGCCTCCTGGGTTCATGCCATTCTCCTGCCTCAGCCTACTGGGACTACAGGCGCCCGCCACCATGCCCGGTTAATTTTGTTTTTGTATTTTTAGTGGAGACGGGGTTTCACCGTGTTAGCCAGGCTGGTCTCGATCTCCTGACCTCGCGATCCGCCCGCCTCGGCCTCCCAAAGTGCTGGGATTACAGGCATGAGCCACCGCGCCCGGCCAACTCCTTCATTTTTCAACAGAAAATCCCTCAGCTTTTCTCTGTTTAAGTATTTATTTCTGCTTAGTGATGTTTGCCTCAGGAACACATACCACACACACAAACACGCATGCACACACACACCTCTTCCACACTGGGTGTGGAGTGATACTTCATAGAAATGCTGTACTTTCCTAAGTCTTTCCTATTCTGGTAGATGTTTGTACTGTGTTTCTTATCTTACTGTATCCTATATAAAAGATACTGGATCGAATTACCAGATGAAAGACTTGAGGGTTCAAAGGCAAGATTTCTAAGAGGTTTTGAAGGCAACGAGGACAGCAATGAGCTCAATGAAAGATAAAGCACTAGGAACCACCATATTTTTTCAGTTGGCATGCTTTCTGTATAATAGGCAATGTAATAGGCTTTTATCATATGTTATTCCATCATTATAAGTATATATTTATGGTACAACTAATAGGATTTTTCCATTTTTGTATTAAAAAGACAGAATAAACAGTTTTACCTATTATCAACATATATTGATCCTTAAAGTAGAATGACAATGTATACTAATATCCTTTCAATTAGTATATTTTCAAACACAGACTTATGATCTACCTATTTACTGATGCTAAGTGGGAGTTATAATCACTTCATGGATCCTATTCAGATCTACATTCAACATACCAAATTCATCTAGACCACTTCCTGAGGGAAAATAATGTGTTTTCACTGGTAACGCAAAGCAGCATTTTTTGAGTCTTGGTTCCAGCAACCACATTGCACCACTTTTAAATTCATGACACTCCATACTGAGGCATTATTTTTTTCTTTGAAAAATGACTAATTTTATTATCCTAATTCATATATATTTGTTCTTACACTTAGAAATATTTTTGTCCAGGAAACTGGTTTCTTACTTCTATATACACCTATAGATATTTTTAAAGTAACATTTTTGCCAGATTTGGATTGCCTAGAATATATTTCATTTATTTATATTATCTGCAAAATATTTAAATTGAAATCACACAATACAGTTTTATTCTAAATATAGCATTTGGTGCGTGTAATGTGATGACCTGCTGTTGCGAGTTTTAAAGACTGAGTGTTAAAATGAAGGAAATTATGTGATATATTTTCTTACACTTTAAGAATATTTTAAAATCTCTCAAATTTATTATCTAACTTTTTATGATCATTCTGAGTCAGATGAAGCAATGCTAGAGCTAAGAAAAATGAAGCTTACTTAAGATTATGCCAAAATTAAGTCTTGGGTATGGGATTAGAACATATGTATCAACTGTTTCAGCAAAATGACCTTTTCCACATACCACATCATTAAATGCTACTCTACTTAAATTCCACAGTTTCTTAATTATTTTTCTTTTTCGTCAGATGGCATCAAGGTATGGGAAAGTATAAGTTTCATGCCAGAAGTCTTGTTAGACACATCCTTAATCCCTCTGAGATTCAGTGTCAAATAATTCATTCATTAAAGTAGTATCTGTCAAAATGTCAGTCCTTTAAAGATGAAAATGCAAGTTAACAGATTGTCTATAAACGCTACCAGAAGTTAAGGGTGGTGGAGATGATTGGGATAATAATGTTAATATTGGCTTCCAGTGAATCTCTCATGAAAATTGGGTCTTCGTGATTTTAACGCTTATCAAAATAAGAAAATAGCAACATTGGATATAAGAAATAGCCAAAATGAGGTATTAATAGCATAGAAAATATTTGAATTGTATCTTACTATGTATCAAAATTTCTATCATAGTGAATGTATATTGAAGTGCTTTTTACTAGAGTGCATTTGGCTGCAGAACTCTAGCTGGCAGAGAACAAAAATGAGTGCAGAAGAGAGAGAGTGTTTTGGATATAAGGAAAGGAAAACAGGACAACATAAATAGTCAAAGAACTGAAATCTTCTAAATGTTAAACCCTATCCTTTCTTAAACACTGGCCTTTCCAAAGGCTATATGGCTGAGTGTTTAGTGAAGCTCACACTGTCCTTGCCAAAGACTGACTTTGACTTCAGAGCCATAGGTTTAGTTTGCTCTCACAACTGAAGCTGAAAAACACTAAATTTCCTAGTAAGAGAAGTGAAGAGAAATTATTAATAGGTTCTTTTGCTCAGCTATAAGTTAAAAAACTTGGGGGTCCCTGATATAAATATTCAGGATCATGTAATCCTAATCTCTGAGACATTTACATATTTTATAAAGCATTTTATTGGTGCAAGTTTCTTTAAGAATATTTTGTATCACAAAATTACCATATGAGCCAGGAATGTCAGTTTTGGTACATAATTGAAAGAATTGAAAGCAGAGTAATAATTAGAATAATAGTTTATTCTAAGAATAAACTCTTAGAATAATAATTCTAAGATTTTTGTCTGAGTTGCTTAGACAATGACTTGGCTCCTATAGTGATAGGGCAAGAGCCCTTACCTCCTACCAGCTTATAGGGCTGCATGTGACCTCAGCTGACCACTGCAGGAATGACCACTCCCCCAGTTCCTGGCAAGGAGACTGCAAATTCCTTTGCCTGTGAAATTTTCAGGTAGTAGGCAGCTGTAGAAAGCGGTACCCCAAATCCAAACTGACTGTCATTCAAACAGTCTATGTGCCCTACTATTGATAACTTTGTTCTCACCTTGTCCTATAAAACAAGAGCAACGAGAGAGAAGTGGGTATCCTACACTGGGCTGTGGGAGTAGTTTTCTTGTCCAGCAGTGTTTACTGGCCCTGGCACACAGCTGTATGAGATGATAGGAAGCTAGGGGGGTCTTGATTTATCTTCTCTGTCTGACCCCAGATGTGTAAGTTTTCCCCTTCCACAATATAACCTCTTTCTCACATCTATGTCGTGTTATCTTATGTATCCCATCACAAGTCTGGTGCAAGGCAATTGGTGAACTATCGGGACTCCCCTTTCACAACAGTGATGAGCATGGAAGGAGATGCTGGGCATGGCCTTCCCATTACTGTTTGCCAGCTCTGGGCTTGTTCTTTTAAATGTTATAATTTGAAATATTTTAAACGAATCATATAAATAATTATCTACTTTGGTTTTTAACCTTAGATCTCCACAACGTTTAAAAATGTCAATTTCCAATAGTTTTTCTCCCCTCCCCTTCATTCCTTCAGCACAACTCCAGAAGGCTGTTTGCTATAACAGGCTGAGTGCAACTGAAGTAACTCGAGGTTCAGTAGAAATGGAGGGGAATAACAGCACACCGTAGACAAAGCCCAGACAACACAAACCACTGTTAAATATACATGTAGATGTTCTTAACACTTTGTAGACTTTCTACCTAAGAATGTGTTTCTCACTGAAAATCTTTCTTCAATCCCTAAGCTATTTATATTTTCTGGAACCATCTTCATTTACCAGCTCATTGTCTCATAGTTCTAGAGCTCAGAAATCTCTGTCAAGAAAACAAAGAAAAGCTCAGAAATGTCTACAATTTTATTTGCAGAGAAAGTTATTTTCCCTTTCTCTTAACTGTTTTAAATGGATATAGAGTGAAAGTTTCTCATTTTTTGTTTGTTTGTTTTTTGAGATGGAGTCTCACTCTGTCACCCAGGCTAGAGTGCAGTGGCACGATCTCGGCTCACTGCAACCTCCACCTCCTGGGTTCAAGCGATCCTCCTGCCTCAGCCTCCCAGGTAGCTGGGATTACAGGCATCCGCCACCGCACCTGGCTAATTTTTGTATTTTTGGTAGAGACAGGGTTTCGCCATCTTGGCTAGGCTGGTCTCAAATTCCTGACCTCATGATCCACTCGCCTTGGCCTCCCAAAGTGCTGGGATTAGAGGCGTGAACCACCGCGCCCGGCCAAATTTCTCCTTCTTAATAAAAAGCTTCTAAAAAATAACTTGTAAATTAGAACTTCTAAAAAAGTTCTAATAAATTATATTAAAGAGGTTTGCTAAATTGACAAAGTTTGTGGTTACAAACTGTGCTTTATTAGCATAGAATTTGAACTGGTTGGAAAGTGCCCAATCTATTACCAAGACCATGATTAATAGACAAGGACCCACTTTACTGCAAAGTATGAGAGAGTTGATCTGACCTAGCAGATTAAGACAATGGTTTCTGGAGTCAAAACTTAGGTATAAGTTCAAGCCTCTTGACTTCCTGATTGTGAAATCTGAGCAAGTTTTTTAACCTGTCTGTGCCATAATTTCTTCATTTATGAAATTTCTTCATTTACATAATTCCTTCATTTATGAAATTGAGGTAACAATGTAACTACCTTTTATGATTGTTAAGAGAGATTGATAAATTTTTAAATGTTTTTTAAAAAAACAGTGATTGGGGCATAATGCTCAAGGAATATTTGTTTTATTCTTATGGAGAAACTCAAGATCAAATTTTTGGTGTTTTCACAATACCACTTTTTATATGACAGTGTTAGAAGGGTCTTCTATGGCCATAAATTGAGTTGGAACCAATTTCTAGGTTTCTAACTTATACACTATATTTTCTCAGCTATAGACACACTTTCTGATGTGTGTACACAGGGGACAATCACTGACTCTATCTGCCTAATTTGTGTTGGGAGTGGTAGTGAGACAAGAAGCAAAGGAAGTCCATGAAAAGCTCAGAAACTGAGCAGACTTTTCAATGTAGCCACAGAGCTGGGCACAAAAATAAGAGAGAATTAAATCACAAGAGAGAGATCTTGATGTACACACCAGTTTTTTGGAGGAGCTGCAGACAATTACATTTCTGGTGTACATGCAACATAAAACGACCCTTGCACAGACTAAAGCACACCTGCAAATCAGCCAGTCACTAATTAGGGTGAGGAGCTCTGCCCCTAGTCTACCTGTTTTATATGAGCATAAGTTAGTGTCTTTGGATGAATATAATAGCATTTAATCCTCAGATTATCTATATGACTTTTTATATGTAATATATAGTGAACTAAACATATGCAGATATATAAAAAGGCAAGCTTTAAGCAAAAGCTAAGATAAATAATGAATGCAAAGGAGTTCTAGAGTTTTTTGCACACACATATAATTACAATTACGCTATCAAAAGAAATATTAACATAGATATTTTTATGGTGAACTAAGAACTAGAAAGTAATTAAATGGAAATATTGATTAAAAATGTAATGAACTAAATGAACTCAATTTAGACATAGCTGAGAAGATAATTAGTAAATTGAAAGGAAGCTTAGAGAAAAATATCTAGGATGAAATTGAAAGATGTAAATTCAGGATAAAATTCAAAAATTTAAAAGATAAAAATATAGGGGAAAATTGAAAGAACTGTATGGCACAGAGTAGAAAGTTCTACATGTTTGTAATTTGAATCCTTGAACAGGAGGAAACAGAAAATAGGACAAAAACAAAGCATAAAAAGGTACTAAATTAGAAATTTTTAAAATTGGCAATGAATTTCTAGCCACATATTAAAAAATGGCTAAAAACCACAAGAATACAAAATAACAACAATGTAACAACAATAACAAAATTTTAAAAAAGCAAATCTATAACTAGGGTATATTAAAAAAAGTACAGAAAATTGGCCAGGCGCGGTGGCTCACGCCTGTAATCCCAGCACTTTGGGAGGCCAAGGGAGGCGGATCACGAGGTCAAGAGATCGAGACCAGCCTGGCTAACATGGTGAAACCCCTTCTCTACTAAAAATACAAAAAATTAGCTGGGTGTGGTGGCAGGCACCTGTAGTCCCAGCTACTCAGGAGGCTGAGGCAAGAGAATGGCGTGAACCCGGGAGGCGAAGCTTGCAGTGAGCTGAGATGGCGCCACTGCACTCCAGCCTGGGTGACAGAGTGAGACTCCGTCTCAAAAATAAATAAATAAATAAATAAAGTGCGGAAAATTAAAAACAGGAAAAGTTTGAAAAGCCACGCAGAGGAAAAAAAAAAAAAAAAGATGGCAGTAAAACTCAGGTCTGATTACTCAACAGAAAATATGGAAATTAGAATACAATGGAATTAATTATATTTTCAAAAAGCATGTAAGTGTCACCATAAGGCAATAAAGGCCTTTCTGGAAAAAAAAAAACTGAGAATATTTTTCACTAGTAGACTCACACTTAAAAATAACTAAAAGTGCTATTTTAAAACAAAAAGAAAATTTTCCCACGTTTGATATCTATGTGTGTGTTACACAGATTGAGTAAGAGCATGCGAAAGTGTAATTATGTTGACAAAGTAACCATCAATATTGACTGAAGCATCCAAAGGCTGAACAACCCCAAAATATCCACCAACAAAATAATGAATAAATATATTGCAATATATTGAGACAGCAGAATACCATACAGTAATAAAAATGGACAAGTTACTTCTACCATCAAAAATAGGGACAGATTTTACAAAAGTATTGTTGAGCCAAGGAAAACAGAACCAAAGTAACAAACCCCTTGAAAGAATCCATTATATATAATGTTCTAAAATGTATTTATGGTGTGAGAAGTCAGGAAAACAATTGAGGATATTTGGGAGGGGACACAGGAGACCATCTAAGATGCTGGCAATGTTTTATGTATTGATTAATTACATGGTTGTGTTCACTTGACATTAACTTATCAATTTGTGCAACTTTTCATAGCTTTAGTGATTTCTAAACTTTAATTTGGACATTGTTCTTTATATATATATGTCTGCATCTCTCTCCATATATAAAAATACATAAATAGAATTTTATAGATATATAACTCTATGTCTAGAACTCCTTTGCATTTATTGTTTATATTTTATATATATAGACTCATATATATATATATATATATACACATACACATGTATCTGAGTTTAATCCTTAAGAAAATATGTCCCTCCTCTAGCATTTTGCAGCACAATCAATTTTAAGATTGGCTGATACACATTTTAGGAAAAGTGTAAAAATATAAAATTTATGGACTGAACAGCTTAAATCAGAGTCATATGTTCAAATGAACATTTCCACACTTTTTTAGCTGCTTTATTAATTACATTGGGTGAAAAATAGGTATGTATAATAATCTTAGGGACAACAATTAGAAATATGCTAATCATCTTGGAAAACTAATGTTAATTTATAATTCAAATATTATGTTACTCAATTCAATCTCTTCATCCTTTTATACATTGTGTAACTTCCCCACAATGAAAATTACACACTGATGCAGAATGGAACTTTTCTTTGTATGGACAAAAGTGCTACATGAACATAATCTGTACCACTCTGGGGGGTCTATTCTCAGATATCTTTGTTATCAGTCTCTAATACATTTGCTACTAAATTACAACAGAGAGAATTATAGTTGTCATTTGGTAAAATATTAAAGAAATTTAAGGTAAGAGGCAATGCTGCTGGCAATTCTTTTTATAGTTAGGAGAGGAGTAAACAAAACAAAACAAAAAACTCCCTACATTGTCCCCAAATGTATCACAGCACTTCCTTTTATCTGAAATTACCCACCAGGCAAGCAAACAAGAGATCATGGGAGATGTAGCTGTCTGTGTTTAAGAGATGGGCAGAGCAAGGCTGAACAGAGCAAATAGACAAACGACTGGCATGTTGAAGGAGATCCAGCATTCCTGTGGGTAATGTCTCCTGTTGTCACCAGTATATAGCATAAAGACATTTGCCACCTGCCAGCTGCACGCCTGGATGACCCCTGAGGACGGAGCTCATTATTTTGTCTGTCTTAGTTTATTTAGGGCCTGATTATCTTACCTAGATGAAATCTGGCTTCCTCTCAGCCCATCTCATTCCGTGTTATATTCTAAATCCTCTTGTAAGGAAATAAATCTTGCCAAACTGGTATCTAAAGCATATTCATGAGCCCTTCAATCAACATGTACACCCCAGAGGTTTGAGGAAGCTCTGTCTCAAAACCTCTCTTTGGCTAATAAAGCTCAGACCCTAGAGTATATGATGTTGCTTTCTCCTGGGTTGGTTGAAAACAACACTTTATTTCATTGGTTTTATCTTCTCTGACCTAATGCAATTTCCCATTTCTAGCCAAACCTAATAGTTTTATTTTCTTCACACTCTTCTCATTTTTCCTTTAACGCTTCTCATTGGGAGAGAAAAGCAGCAAGATTTTTCTTCACTTTACTTTCGTCACCTCTTTACTCTCCCTGAGCATCAAGTGTCAGAAATTCCACAATCATGAAAGGCTAAAATACTATGATATTATGTTCCTACAGGTCTGGGCCTTATAAATTTCATCAATGAAATGTTACAGTAATGGGGGGTGCTAAAATGATTTATCAAATCATCTCTCAACTTAATAGTCTGGATTGTTGGTGGGAATCTTTGTTTCTTTTTCTCACTACCGTTCTTACTACGAACCTAACTCCCTTGCTCAGCTCAGGCAGGTAGACAACACGCACTAATTACGGAAAAGGCCTTGGACTTCAGATGGCAAGGGCTTGTCTACTAGAGTAAAAAGTAGAAAAAAAAGTAGTCCTTTTCATTGTCCTGTTATGCAGTTTATCTATGTAGTAAGTGTTCATCCCCAAATATAATCTCAAAATAATTGATATCAGGCTCTTAAAGAAAGCCAAAGAGAAGGAAGTAATACTAAAAGATCTCAAAGGTTATACAGTGAAACCACCAATCTTGATGCACAAAATCATAGCCTTTCATCAAGCTGAACTTCACTTCATACCTTAGTTGACCACAGAGTTGCCTTCACTAGATTAATTTTAAATGTTATTCCCTGAAATTTTATTGGCAAGCACTAGATCAAAATGATTGTATCAAAATCACTAATGTACTTGCCATAAAGCTGTGTGGACACTGTCCTCCCTGTCCTTTATGTCTTCTTTGTAACGTCAGGACGTCTCTTGTAGAAACAGGCTAACAGAGCTCATGCCTCCCTTGAGGAACTGGCTTTCTGCCTCCTGTCAGTTAAATAATTATGCAAATAATCATCTGTCTTCTTACTTTGGCTGCTAAAAAAGATCAGAGAAAAAATTTGTAACTGCAATATAACAGTTTGGTTTGAATCTGAATTTATGACGTCTTCTATTACTTGGATCTAATTTTTCTTTCCTATTTTGTATTTTCTTGAAAGTGTTTATATCATATAATTGATGAAGTCCACAGTGTAGATATCTGCATTTTCCTGAGGAAAAGTTTAGAGATTTGTTGGTATGATGGTTAAAACCGAATGTCAACTTTATTGGATTGAAGGATGCAAAATATTGTTCCTGGATATGTCTGTAAGAGTGTTGCCAGAAAAGACTGACATATGAGTCAGTGGACTGGCAAAGGCAGACCCACCCTCAGTCTGGGTGAGCACCATCTAATCAGCTGCCAGTGCCACTAGAATAAAAGTAGGCATAAGAACACAAAAAGACCAGACTGGCTTAGTCTCCTGGCATACATCTTTCTCTCACGCTGGATGCTTTCTGCCCTCAAACATCTGATTCCAAGTTCTTCACCTTTGGGAATCTTGGACCTTCAACCACAGACTGAAGGCTGCACTGTTGGCTTCCCTACTTTTGTGATTTTGGGACTCAGACTGGCTTCCTTGCTCCTCAGCTTGCATATGATCTATTGTGGGGCCTCACCTTGTGATCCTGTGAGTCAATACTCCTTAATAAACTCCTCTTTATATATACATCTATCCTATTATTTCTGTCCCTCTAGAGAACCCTGACTAATACAGTTAATTAAACAACTATTTTAATTTTTCACTGTTACTAAGACTTAAAAATGGATGTTTTCATGCAAAATTCTGTTCCCTTTACATGAATCCAGTGGTTTTCAATGGGAAGAGTAAGGTAGCTGTCCTTGAGATATTTGCAATATTTGGAGACAATTTTGTTTGTCACAACCTAGGGGAGGATTGATATTGATATCTAATGGGTAAAGCCGAGGGATGCTGCTAGATGTCCTAGAATACACAAGGCAATCCTACTGTCCTCTGCCACTCCAAGTACAGATAACTTTTCAACTCAAAATGTTAACAGTTCTGAGGTTGAGAAAGCCTGCATTAAGATTAGCTCTTTTTAATACTATTGGCAAACAAAAAACTTCTGGGTAATTTGCCATACCTCCTTTTCCTTTTGTAATTTTACTTAATCACCTTGTCAGTGTCCTTATATTTTATTAATTTTTCCACTGTACCGACACTTTTATTACTTAATTTGACTTTTCATTTTCATTAATTCCACCTTTATTATTTCTTTTCTATGTAAATTTCGTTCCTTTTCTTAACTCTCAAGGTATATACTTACTTCATGATTTGCTTTATATATTATTTAACAAGAAAATGAATTGATAACAGATTAAAGTGCTTTGGCTCTTAAAGTTGAGAATAATAGCGTTGGTGATGAGAATTACACAAGGCCATTCCTGTTCTGAAATGGACTAGACTCGGATGAAATTTCTCTAGTGCAGGGCTCCCACTAGATTAAGCTCACCTCTTTCAGTGGTTATTGTTGAAAAGAATTGCTTCTGCCTTGTTCTCTTATGAATAATATAAACTATTGGAAACGTCTTCCAATTCTGATTTTTTTTCCTCACAGGTTATCTTCTACAATGAGGGAGTATACATCTTTAGGGAACAAAGGTCTTTGCCTCTCTGCTCTGCTAGAAGGAGAGAAGGAGATTGTGTGTTGAAGTTATAATGAGGCAAAGGATAGATAGTTTTAGGCAGCAAGGTAATAGATACAAAGATAGATGAGGAAATTCATTTTTAAAAGAACAAGAAGACCCATCTTAAGTGTATGTTATCTTGAGAGTGCTTTTGGCAATGTGATTTTTAAAGCGAGAGCTGAGAGTTGAGTAGGAGTTTTAGTTCTTTGGCTGACAGTTGCCAGGAATTGCATTTCAGGAATTCATGCATGGGAATAAGGAATTAAAGCCTTTGTGGTAAGAAAGTACGTGCTGAAATTGAGGAATGGAAAGATGATTGGTGTAACCAGAGTATGGTGTAGAAGCAACAGAAGACTGTAAGGAGAGGCAGGGAGGTTAGCAAGGGCCACATCAAACAGGAGTATTATAGCGTTCTTTTCCTAAGAGTAATGGTCAAGTCTTTATGGTCAAGTAATGGCATGATGCTTTTTAAAAGATCGTTCAGGGGATAGTGAACTGAGAGTAAGGAAGAGGAGAAGTAGGGAGACAAAAAGGTAATGCTGCAGCCCAGTGAGAGACAATGGTCGTTCACTTCAGGGTACTGGAGGTAGAAACATTGATATGAGTGCATTTGTAGAGTTGGTTTGCCAGAACTTGGTGGCAGATTATTGAGATGGTAAAGAAAAGAGAAAAATTAGGAATAACTTTCAAATGCTACATTAACTAATTAGATACTGTTACCATTTATTGAGATGACAAAAACTATGGAGAGATTTATCCAAGAAGGTCAATTAGTCAGCTTGGGATGTTTCGTTTTGTTTATTTGCCTATTTGCTTTATTTTTTCTGCTTTCCCCCCCCTTTTTTTTAATTCTCTTGTTAGCTACTGAAGAGAATAATTCCCATAGGAAGCTGAACATGTGACTCTGAAACTCAAAGAAGGCAACTGGACTACAGATTCTTTTTTGTGTCCTTGACATACAGATTCCATTATGGTCAGGCGAATGAATGAGTTAATTTAGGAGAAAGTTTTGCCCATAAAAGTGATATCTTAGAATGTAGCCTCAAGGAATCCTGACATTTAGAGGTCAAGCAGAGAATAAGCAGGGGAAAGAGAATTAAGAATTAAGAGAATAACTACAATATTATGTTATCACTGAAGCCAAAAACAAGGAGCAAGAAATTGACTATACCATGTTTGAATAAAACAAAACTTTTTTGCATAAGCCTAGCTTTGCAAACAAAGCATAAAGCTTAATTGATCAATTTACTTTTCTAATTATCTTAATACTATAGTAATTATTTATCTTACTAGTAATAAATTGGTCAGTGGTATAGAGATGCAAGTATAAATGTGGGCTAGAGAAAAGGGAAAATTGAAGGCTATTGAAATTGCATTCTCATAAAACCGTATCAGTGAAAAGCTGAAAACTAAAAGAAAAGCATATGAAGATGTTAATTTTAGGTTTAAAAACACTATTTATTCACATATATTAGTGTTTGAAAATATTATATCGAGAAAATATGTATCTATGTTCTTTATATGTATTCATATTACTTAAAATACAAATGGAATTACACACACATTTTCTGTTATCTGTAATTTTTAATTCATAGTAACTTTCCAATATCAAACTATCAGTTCCATATCAATCCTGGCTGATGCTTTGATGTGTTTTTGAAATATACATGGTTTGACTGGAGCTGTACTTCAAAGAAAAATCGGCCTTTTAATGGAAAAGAACTTTTCTTCTTGTTTAGAGATAAGTATATGAAAGTCACAGACTAGTATAGATAACAAAGGACCTCTCAAAGTGTCAGAAGATCAGACAGCGGGGCAAACTCTATGATTCAGAAGTCTAAATCCTAGTCGCATCTAAGAGAATGACATTTCTTTACCACATCATTAGAAAATTTTCTTAGTTAGGGAATAAAATAGGAAGGCAGGGTTTTTCTGCGTTTGTTATTTCATTTTAATGTCTGTTTATCCTGAAAAGATTTGAGAACACAAGTTCAAGTATTTGGAAGTCCTCCTTGCAATTCACAGTAGACAAGATTCATGACCCAGGTGAAATGTGGATGGATGATGAGTAGAATCTAAGATTTTAGGAAATATTTATCAGTGTTCAGCACATTTTTCTAAACTTACATAATGATCAATTCTGAACTGTTAATACTTTTGTCTGACTTTAACTTACAAGAGTCATTATTTCAATCATGCAGTGAAAACCAAAGGTACTTTAATGATATTATTTTCTGAACATCAGAGCACAGCAAAACATCTTACTATTTAGGCAAAGAATGCTTAGGCATCTTAGAGTATAAGAAAGCAATTTTGTTTTTTAAGCAAAAACTATGTGTTAAAAAAAACTAACATTTTGGGGGTGAATCAAATGGTGTAATTATTCTGTCAGACAGGTACAATAATTAAATAAGCTATTTCATAAATTGAATCATCTTAATATACTCTGTCATATCAAGAATTCCATTATTAAAGAAAACTATGCTATTTGAATAGTTGAAATAGTTTAATACATGGTCATATAACTTCTTCCAACTTAGTTACATGTTGGTTTAATAAGTATATTTTGATTTTGACTTCATGGCATATGTGTATAATCAAAAAACATCTACACCCTAGAAACTAAAGTTCTTCTTAAAGAACATGAGATGGGCACACATTTCTACATTAAGTTTATTTCAGCAACAATATTTGATATACAAGACAAAACTTAGACTAAAACTGCCCATAAAGGCCTAAATTGTCCCTGACAATTTTATTATTTAAACCAGGAAAACAATTAAAAAGGGCAATTTTGGTGTAAATTATATGGAAATATAGGGATAAATATTATTCTATAATATAATGGGAAGTTTTACATTGGTTGCCTAATTTGTATTTCCAGACACTGTTTTCTCTGTATCAAGAAACCCAAACTAGAGTAGACATAATTTGCTTTCTACCGCTTACAACAAAAACTAGTAAAGTTCACCTTGTTGGCTACACCAAGGGCATCAAATCACTGAAGCACTGTGACAATATTCGTCAAGGTTCCAAATTCATTATCTAAATCACACATGCCTCAGATTTTCCATCTAATGCAAGTGTGGCTCTTGCCTCTGAACCCTTGAGATTATCAGACAAGAGCAAAAGGCTCCTATCTCTGTACACACATATGTGCACTTTCAAATGCGGACATCAGAGTGAAGCAGCCACACCCAACCGCAGCAACATCTTTTCTTCTAGTGCATTCATATCCCTAAAGAAGTTTAAATAATATTTAAAAAATAAAGTATTTATTCTCAGGACTTCCTAGGTAGCTTGGAAAAATCCTCTCAGTATTTTTGAAATAAAATACTTTCTTTTAATATATACACATTTGATGTATATTTTTATCATAATATATACAAAAATGTAATAAATATATATTGTAAAATATATATATATACAAAAATATATATTTTTTATTGTAATATCCTGACATTCAACAAAGGATTACATTTTAGAACGAAGCCTAAAGTAAAATATAAAAAGACAATAAAAAATTAAATAACATTTTTAGTGAAAGTCATCTTCACCCATTCTATGATCAAAACTCTAATTATTGTATGAGAACAATTATGAACTGATTACAAGGAAATAACAGCATTGAATGAAAGGCATAGCCGTACATTGCTTATGAAGAATCAAATGCAAACATACTTGGGAACATTCCAACCTTCCACTTGAAGATAAAATTAGTTATGCCAAACAAATGTCTAACTTTCTCCTGTGATTTCTTTATAGGAAAATGGCCTGACAGCATGGATACTTAAGTGGGCTCTCCCACCTGACTGTTTTATTTATCATGCAATAGAGTATGCATCTTTAAATTTAATACCTTCTGAGTTGAAACAACAGAAAGAGATCTATAAAAAGTAAGTCTGCAGAAGCCAGACTCTAACTTAATGAGATATTATTTTACCACTTCTTAAGAAACGTGAACTATAATGACACTGTGGAGGAGAGTGAGAAGTAAAAGAACATTGAAACAAAAATGAACCAAACTGAATTTACCTGTTTCCCAGCCCCAGAGATAATAACTAGAAAATCACATTACTTACAAACATCTGGCCCTGAAATACTTTGGGGGCACCTGGAGTAGTAAAGATTTGGTGTCAGGTTTTTCTCTTTAGTCAATTCATTAAGCTGCAAGGGGCCTAGAATATTAGATCACATTAGTCTCCTAAAATTGCCAAAACAAGTCTGTTTGGATAGGAAAGTACACTTCTTTTTTTTCTGCTAGAAAATAAAGCATTTGCTTTTGATAGTTGGTCTTTGTTCTTTGGTAGAGCCAAGAAATGTGTACTATTTATCAAACTATATTTTAAGTAGGATTTAAAAAACATAATAAAATGAAATGCTTTATGTTTCAGCATTAAATTTGCTGATGTAAATTCTAAAAATGTGAAGATAATTTAAACTTATATTTAGCCTAAGCAGAGATAATAGTTTGGTGAGAGAATATAGATTACAAATTCCTGCATAATAAAATGGACTGATAGGCTATTCCCGGCTACAGAGACGCTGCCTCATTACATTTAGAAAGCATGCAAAGAAGGGGAAAAAAGCTTTTTTTTTTTTTTTCCAATTAATAGTACCATTGTATTTTTATGAAGACAGTATTTTTAGAATCTTTCTAACATGTGATGGGAAAGCCTGATATTGTCAATATAATACTAGGTTTGATATCAACAATTTGAATATGAACACTTAATCTCCAATTCAATGAATGTGAGGATGTAATTTCACTGTCACAAAGTAAACAATTAAGCAACAGGTCTGTATTCTATTTTTTCCTATCTGCCCAGTACCTGAGAGGCAGTTCCTAGAAGTTAGCAGTACACACTTCATAATTATGCTACATGCTGTCACTGATTACTACAGCTGTCCCTGATATGAGAAAGAGTATACAGGAAGTAAAATAGGCCAAATAGGTGTTGTATACTATTATAGAATTAGCCACCAAATGAGTTCTTTTCAGTCCCAATTTTGAAATCAAACTAGGATAATGTGCATTCTCACATAATGGGATCTAGTATACATTTGCTGTTTTGCCACATTATTATTTTAATTCACCAGTTTATTGAGATGAGACTTGCACTTAATAATCATTATGAGCAACATAGTGAACTATATTGATGATATCATGAAAATTGCATTCTCAAAGGAAGAAGGGCAAAGGAGTTCAGAACATAGTCACTCACATGACAAAGTCTGATAGATAAATCCAGCTAAAATCCAAGGCTGAGTTCAACCCTGGAAATTTCTGAGACTTATGTGGGCTCCTACAACCAAGAGCATTTCTTGAAAGGTGAAAAATAAATTGTTATATATACAGACCCTGTCCAAAAGCAAGATGCTCACAGACTGGAAGGTAATATTTCTCATAGAAACCCTAACTGTTCACCATTGCCGTGCATTGTCAGGCAAATGGGCCCTAAATACGTGGACAAAAAAGATCACCCTTGAATGAGGTCCTTATTTATGGAAACACCTGTGAATTTAGAGGAAGAATGAAAATGGGCCATGTAGATGTACACAAAATATGCATACCAGATGGCTCAAGGAACAAGAATGCTAGAGAAGATACCTCAGTCAGATCACTGGAGCCAGTTAATCGATTTTATTAAATAAACTGGCTTTGTGTGTGCTTGGCCATGCACTAAATAAGCAGAATCATAGCACATTTTTGTTGTACCTGACAAAATGGCTGAAGTGATAAGAAACTGCATCCAATGGCAATAGAAAGGAAATCACTTGGAAATGGCTGTGAGTAAAATTCCCCAAAGACAAGAGCCTGCACAAAGCTCGCAAGTGGATATATTAGGCCTCTACCAGGGACCCCAGGAAGCTACAGATGAGTGTTAACTAGGATTGACACCTATTATGCTCTTGGATTCACTTATCCTGTAACACAGGCAACTGTGGAGGACACAATGAGTGGTTTGGAACAGTGAATTATCATTCAAAAAATCTGGACATACTACTTGCAGGCAAATTAGGCATTTTACTGCAGCTAGTATGCAGAAATGAGCACGGAGACATAGTGCCACATAACCTTGTCTCATTCCTCATTCCCCTCCAAGTACAGTGGACCATCTAAACACCTGACAGTCAAAGCATCTGGTAAAAATAAATTTTTAAAGAATTACATGTGTGCCTTCACACTGCCTAAGGGAGGACTCTACTGGAAGGGTGGAGTTGGAGCTAAGAAGAAACATTAGCAAGACTGTAGTGATTACTGGCACTTCGGTTAAGCAGTAGATCTGAGCTGGTAATCCCAACTACTGGGGAAAGGGTGTGGATCAAAACAGTTAATACATAACAATGGGACTGGAAGTTAGCAAATGGAAGAGACCACTAAGTGGACTTCCATGCCAGGAGAGGGTGCAAGCATACTATTTACATGAGAACACCTTAGGGAAAGAAAACACTCCTCTTGCTTAGATCTGGTGCTGACTCATTGGTAATATTGGGAGAAACCTTCAGAGCTGATGTCTATGGAGAGTGGAAATTGGACTCCTGAATCTTTGTAATCTTGCAAATAAATAGTCTATCTGGATAATTCAGAGAAAAGAAGTGCACAGCACATAGGCCCAATGTGCCAGGAGCTGACCATGTAAGTGAATGTACTACCTAGTAAGTAATAATTAGAATTCCAGGTGATTTCTAAGAAAAAGAGAAGCCAGAAAACAGGGAAATATCTTCCAACGTTTAAAATCAAAAGGTCAACTTTAATTGTAAATGCAGAAAACATGTTATAAAAGAACAAAAGTGATTATATGCATTTTTAGATAAAAGAGGAAAAGGTTCACTACTAACTGATCTTTACTAAATAAAATTTAAAAGTACACTTGACCCTTGAACAACAGAGATTTGAACTGCAGGTCCACGTATATGCAGATTTTCTTCTTCCTCTGAAAATTGTTGCCACACCTGAGACAACAAGACCAACCTCTCCTCTCTCCCCTCCTCAGCCTACTCAGAGTGAAGATGATGAGGACAAATACCTTTATGATGATCCATTTCCACTGAATGAATAGTAAATATATTTTTTCTTTCTTATGACTTTTTTTTTTTTGAGACAGAGTCTCGGTCTGTCGCCCAGACTGGAGTGCAGTGGCGCCATCTCAGCTCACTGCTCAGCTCACTTAAACCTCCTGGGTTTAAGTGATTCTCCTGCCTCAGCCTCCCGAGTAGCTGGAACTACAGATGCCCACCACCATGCCCAGCTAATTTTTGTATTTTTAGTACAGAAGGGGTTTCACCATGTTGGCCAGGCTGGTCTCGAATTCCTGACCTAATAACATTTTTCCCACAGCTTATTTTGTTGTAAGAATGTAGTATATAATACATATAGCATACCAAATATGTGTTAATCAACTTCTTATGTTATTGGTAAGGATTCTGCTCAACAGTAGGCTATTGGTAGTTAAGCTTTTGGGGAGTCAAAATTTATAGGATAATTTTCTACTGTTTGAAGAGTCAGCACTCCTAACCCCCACATTGTTCAAGAGTCAATGCTTATAGGTTCCATGAACACTCACTCAAATTTTCAACAGATTTTTTTCTACTTTTCCTTTATGGAACTTGAAAACATGACTGAAATTTATATGGACTTACAAATGACTGAAAGATAGCTAAGATACTCTGAAAAAAAAAACAGACAAATTTTTCAACAGCCAGATATTAAAAATTGTTAAAAAGCTATAGTAATTAAATAAGTGACTTAAATGAAAGATAAAATACACTAGAGTCTAGACACAGGCCCATATATACATAGTCATTTATAACAAGTGTGCTACAGTAGTTTCAAATAGAATAGTGGGAAAGATTGTCTTTACTGCGGTTTCCAACAAATTAAAATCCATAAAACATAGAAAAAAAATGATGCTTAAAAGTTACACAAAAATCAACTTCAAGTAGATGCTAAATCTAATGTAAAAACAGGAATGACAGAGGAAGGAAGAAAATAAGGAAGGAAAAAAGGGAGGAAGAAAGGAAGCAAAGTAGGAAGGGAAGGAGTGAGGGAGGGAGGGAGGGACGGAAGGACAACAATTATAAATAGGACTAATGTGGTATAAGAGAATGTACCAGGAAGAATGTGATATAAAAAAAAGGTTAGTTAGGAAGGTTAGTAATGAGTCTGACTACAGTTTTATTTTCAGGATTTGTATCTGATTTGGTTCTAAGTGTTGAGGCTGGTGAAAGGAAGAATATCTGGAAGAGGGAAGAATGGATACTGGAGGGCTGCTTTGTACAAGTGGAAGACATTGTTGTTGATGGCAAGAGTCATTGATTGGCTGTCACCCAAGGGGCTTCACTGGCTCTTGGTGAATTTGATAGTTTTATTAGCACCTCAAAAGAAGACCAAAGCATCTAGAAACATGGTTTCACACGTAGTAGATGAAGGCAGAATGACAACATTGGTTTTGAATTTAGAATGACACCCATAACTATCACATGGAATGGAATACTCATTCCCCCGCTCACCATTTTGTAGGGATGACTAAATATATGTATGTCTGGTTAGCCTAGGAGAAGAACAAAGGCAGATGATGTAAGTGTTCATAGCACCAGAATAAGCACACTGTGTCCATCCCACAGAGGAATAAAGGACCACACCAAAGACTCTAGAATGCCAAAGTATGTGGATATGTGGATAAGTTTTTCTCCTCTGGCAGCATTCACACGGTCCATTCCAGATTTACCTTTTAACTAACATTTCCAGTAACTTCACAGCTGACCATTCCCATTCTGATTGAAACATCCTTTACATGTGTGGTACATTTAAACAAGGCACAGTCAACTCTGCAGATGTTGAAGTCTTTGTCTTGCTTTATCATGAAATTGCAAACCTATACTTTTAATTCATTGTGCATTAATTTTACTGTTTATATATCTCATAATGAGAGGTGAAGCCAGCTGGACTTCCTGGGTCCATTGGGGACTTGGAGAACTTTTCTGTCTAGCTAAAGGATTGTAAATGCACCAATCAGTGCTCTGTGTCTAGCTAAAGGATTATAAACCCACCAATCAGCACTCCGTAAAAACCCACCAATCAGCACTCTGTGTCTAGCTAAAGGATTGTAAACACACCAATCAGAACTCTGTAAAAATGCACCAATCAGCACTTTGTGTCTAGCTAAAGGACTGTAAATGCACCAACCAGCACTCTGTAAAAACGCACCAATCAGCACTCCGTAAATTGGACCAATCAGCGCTCTGTGAAATGGACCAATCAGCATGATGTGGGCAGGGCCAAATAAGGGAATAAAAGCTGGCCACCTGAGCCAGCAGTGGCAACCCACTTGGGTCCCCTTCCACGCTGTGGAAGCTTTGTTCTTTTGCTCTTCACAATAAATGTAGCTGCTGCTCACTCTTTGGGTCTGCACCACCTTTAAGAGCTGTAACACTTGCCTTCGTGGCTTCACTCCTGAAGTCAGCGAGACCGCAAACCCACTGGCAGGAAGAAACTCCAGACACATCTGAACATCTGAAGGAACAAATTCCAGACACACCTGTAACACTCAACGCGAATGTCTGCGGCTTCATTCCTGAAGTCAGTGAGACCAAGAACCCACCAGACAGAATAAATTCCGGACACAGTAAGACAAACTTCTTCTTATAATTCAATGTACTTTAATAATTCCTTGCTCTTGGCCATAGGCTAACAACATGGTACAAGCCTAGATATAATTTAGTTTCGTACCCATGGCATAAACAAGAATCTGACAAAAATGTTCAATGAATGACTTTGAAGTGTTTGTTAAAGTGAGTATCATAGGGTCTTTAATGCTATTTATCTCACTGAGCTTTGGAGCATAATATTAATATACGTCACATTGCCTTTTGTCACTCAGTGCGGGATTTAGAAACTCCTCAAAACAATCGGAATTTGAAACTTAAAGGACTATTTAAAAAAAATTTTTTTTTAGTATATTCTGTATGTAGTTATATTTTATTCAATTTTGTTGTTGTTGTTGTGGCAGGATCTCACTCTGTTGCCCAGCCTGGAATGTAGTGACACAATCTCGACTCCCTGCAACCTACCTCCCGGGTTCAAGCGATTCTCATGCCTTAGCCTCCCGAGTAGCTGGCACTACTACAGGTGTGTGCCACCATGCCTGGCTAATTTTTCTGTATTTTTGGGAGAGACGGGGGTTTCACCATGTTGGCCAGGCTGGTCTCGAACTCCTGACCTCAAGTGATCCACCCACTTTGGCCTCCCAAAGTGCTGGGATTACAGGTGTGAGCCACTGCACCTGGCCTAGATCTATTTCAGATTTTTCAGTTCCATCATCATGTCAAGCTTTATATCTGTACTCAGGTCTATATTTAGGTAACTGAAATTTATTTCTCATCCTAAGGAATTGGAAGGTTCTTCAGGATTTTCAAACAAGGAGAGGATATATTCCTACTCAATCAAAATGTTCCTTTTTCTTTCTTCTCCAGGTCAAAGCTTAGAATGTTTAGTGGTAAGCCTTTTCCCCCCAAGATTTGACCTTGTACTCAGCTATTGCATCAATTTTCTGTAATGTAAAGTTTACACAATGACATATTTTTAAGTTTTAATTTTAAATTTTATTATGTAATGACAAATTATAGTTGCATATATTTATGAGGTTAAGGGGGATGTTATGATTTTTTGAATATAATTTAGAAATAATAAATTAAGCTAACTAAAGTTTCTATACCTCAAATATTTAACACTTTTTTGTAATGAGGGCATTAGATATTTATATTTTTAGTGATATTGAAATGTACAGAATTCAGTTATTTGTTATATTCTCCATGCTGTGCAAATGATCTGGGGAAAAAAAAAAAAAACACATTTTTCTCCTAAGTAAGCGT
The DNA here is from genome assembly GCF_000001405.40 of Homo sapiens. Classification (NCBI taxonomy): domain Eukaryota; kingdom Metazoa; phylum Chordata; class Mammalia; order Primates; family Hominidae; genus Homo; species Homo sapiens. Next base: position 64,673,216 of record NC_000018.10, read on the forward strand.
CCATCAGGGATGAATGGATATAGAAAACGTGGTTACACGTACACAATGGAATGCCATTCGGCCTTAAAATAAGAAGAAATTCTGTCCTTCGTGCAACATGGATGAGATTGGAGAACGTTATGCTAAGTGAAATAACACACACACAGAAAGATATGTACCAAGTGTTCTTACTTATAGGTGGAATCTAAAACAATTAAACTAATAAAAGCAGCAAGTAGAATGGTGTGGTTACCAGAGGCTGGGGAGTGAGAGGGACACGGAGATGATGTTCAAAGGGTACAAATCCTCAGCTAGACAATAATATATTTAACTGAAGCATCTTTCTGTACTGACCCATCTTCTCTGCTTTTCAGTATAATTAGTTATTACCCATATTAAGAGGAGTTTCATTTTAAATTAGGTTTACCGGAAGCAGATCCAGAGATAAGGCATTGGTGTGCTAGTGATTTATCAAGAAGGTACTCAGAGGACAAACTGATAAGAAACTGCGGAAGAAAGAGAGGCCAAGCATGGATGTGAATTCAAAAGTCCCCAAGCAGATTGTTTGGGTCTTGTCCCTCAAGGCAACTCTGGAGTGTAACTCATGCCACAGGGCGATTTCTTCCAGAGGCCAGGGCTTAGGGTTTTCTTGCTCTCGCACCTAGGTATAATATGTTATGGACCACCTGAGTGGGATGGATGAAACCCAGAACACTCCTGCCATCCAAGCACGTGCAAAGTGGATCCATTAACCCTAAAACAGCAATCCAAAGTGGTGTCAGGTACAGGCAGTTGGAAGCAAAAGCACACAGGAAATGGGAAAAGTCCTCAGAGAAACAGGAAATAAGATCTGAGCACTTTGGGAGGCCGAGAAGTGGACAGATCACTTGAGGTCAGGAGTTCAAGACCAGCCTGACAAACATGCTGAAACCCCATCTCTACTAAAAATACAAAAAATTAGCCAGGCATGGTGGCGGGTGCCTGTAATCCCAGCTACTCAGGAGGCTGAGGCAGGAGAATTGCTTGAACCCGGAGACAGAGGTTGCAGTGAGCCAGGATGGCGCCACTGCACTGGAGAACTGGGCGGAGCACTTCCCTTGAACTTCTTGCATTAGAGATCATTCCATTTCTGATTCAGCAAACATTTATCAACCATCTTCTATTCTTCCAACATTAGGCTGAATGCTGAAGACAGAGAGGTGGTTAAGAACAAGTTTCTGTCATCAAAATTGTATAATCCGGTGGGGACAGGGGAGGACCTGCAAATCATGATAAGGAATGCTCCAGCAGGGCATTGCACAGGTGTTCCAGAATCACGAATCAGAGACGCTGGTTGCTTTTGGAAAAGTGTCTGGGGTAAAGTTTACTTGAAGTGCCCCTCCCTCTGGACCTCTAGGTTCAAACAGGATTACTCTAGTAGTTGTATCATTTTTTTCATTCCTTTTACTGTCAGTGTTTTCTAGACTCAATTTAAGTTTCCGAAATATGACTTCCTTGAGCCCAATTCTCCTAAAACCCATAAGATAATTAATAAATGACGCAATGGCCTTTGTTCAGCGTTTTTATAGCAGTTTCTCTGTAGCATTTTATATTTGTATTGCTGTAATCATCATAAAACCCTCTTTTTCTTTAACTGTGCTGGCCCTGGCCTGTGCCCACTTTCTTTGTGTCTGTCTCATCTATCTCTTGCCTGGATTGTTTATTCTTTTCTTTGTAAGTCTCGTGTGTCATTTGCTGAGGTGTAATCTTCAGTCCTTGGCTCTGCTTTCTGCTGTGTTTGTTTTTCCCTTGAACACTCTTCCCTGGGTCACAGCTTCAGAAATCTTCATAATAATGTCTTAATTTTTTTTTTTTTAAATTTAGCTCTATTCTTTCTCTGAAATCTCAGTTTAGATCTAGGCACTACACTTTAAAGAAAGACATAGTGAAAGCATTGAAAGCACATCAAATGATGTTTAACCTAAAGAAGAGAAGACTCAATGGGACATGAAAAGTGCCTTCAATTATTTGAAGGGCCATTATGTGAAAGAAGGATAAAGTTTATTTTGGGTTTCCACAGGGAACAGCTACCACCAAAGCTTAGAATTTTAAGGAGGCATACTTTTGGATCAGTATAAGAGGAACATTTATAAAAAATTGAACGGCAAAAAAAAAAAAACATTAAATTCGTGGAAAAACAGGGAATTTTCCTGTCATTAAAAAAATGTCAAACACAGGTGGAATGATGATTTGCTAGGGATGATGTTTAAGGGGATCGATAGATCAAATGAAGACACAGCCTTATAGTTTTTAAAGTCCATTTCAACTCAGAAATAATATTGTGCTATCATCCCTTTGGATTTTCCATTCTTTGCTCAGTTCAGGCATATCTTCAACATAATTCATCATGTTCCTTTTTAAGTTCACTTTCCAGATGACTTCCCAGCTGCCAGTACAACTCTCTCTCCATAGATCACCACGCACATTTGAAACTTCAGCACCATCTCTGCCTCATTTTCCTCCTTTGCTTCTCAGGTGTAACCAGTCTTCCAGTCCAGTCCATTGTCTTTTGGTAAAGCTTCTTTCATTATTCCTTTATCCTTCCCATGATAAATCTGGCAATTAAGAACTTTATCCAAAACCTAGGCATGAATAAAGTAAATGTTGCTCCATAGCATTCTCTGGTTCGAGATTCTATTCCCATCATTTACCATGTAGAATATCTCAGACTACCTTTAAAAACTTCACTTTCGCTTAATAGAAAGCATATAAGTAACAGCTATACAAATACAATTAAATTTCCTTAAATTGATTTTACATTATACTAAAGAATCATATCATTAATTTCCCCTTTAACCAATATTTCATTATGTTAACAGCATAAGCCTTTTATTAACCAATGTTTAACTGTTTCCTAAGATGAGCTGGCCTTTCTCTCAAAAGTTGCGAGCACACTTTGTCTTGAATACAACTTTCTAATTCCTTAATCTATGAGTTGGTTTTAACCATTTCCCATACTTGGTCTCTTCGTAAAAAAACAAAAACAAACAAACACGTTCTTTTCTATTCTACCTAGGAAAAGAATTTTCACTTCTGAATTCCCTCCATGTAGAATTCATTTGGAATTTAACAATATGCTTTTGGTTTTGTTGTTGTTTTCTTTTTTGAGACAGAGTCTCGCTCTGTCTCCCAGGCTGGAGTGCAATGGTGTCATCTCGGCTCACTGCAACCTCCGCCTCTGGGGTTCAAGCGATTCTCCTGCCTCAGCCTCCCGAGTAGCTGGGATTACAGGTGTCCACCTCCACATCCAGCTAAATTTTGTATTTTCCGTAGAGAAGGAGTTTCACCATGTTGACCAGGCTGGTCTTGAGCTCCTGACCTCAAGTGATCCGCCCGCCTCTGCCTCCCAAAGTGCTGAGATTACAGGCGTGAGCCGCCACGCCCTGCCACAATATGCTATTGACTTAATACATTCTAAGTAAAACAATTAACCTCTTGAGAGATAACTCTTGTGCTAAGCAGAGTGCCCACCTTCTAAAACTGTTTGTTTGAATATACATATATATATACATATAATTTTTTCTGTTATAACTACATATTTAGCACAATGTACATCTAGTGAGCTCTCAATTAATATTATGAAAGGCAGGACGAGATTCCCCATCCCCATGTGTGGATGTACCGTGAAATAAATCTGGGAACCAGAGAACTGGGAGAGCCAGATTAGGTGAGGATACTGATGATGTGTAAAAATTGTATATTGTGTATGGTCCTAGCAGGAAATTTGTATGGAAGAAATGTTTTCTTACTTAGTTCAACATATTTTAGTGACAAACTTCATGGAAGAACACAGAAGACAGACAACTTCAGAAACATGTACATTTGTCTAGGACAATTCAGTTAGAAACAGAGTGTATGAATGGAATCTATTATATGATAAAATACCACAAATATCATTTAATTTCTAGCAAGAAGATACTTAGTCTCTTTAAAAGATCCCAATGCTGGCATGTTAAAAAAAATTAACAGGTTTATTTATAATGTCATGAAGTTGAAATGCTCAATCTTGTCCACTGAAATATTTTGACTTGCATTAGTGCCTCATGCTTTCATATTTATATTAAAAATTTACACAGAAATTAAAAGCAAAAATCCTAATGTTTGGTTCTATCTCCTATTTTCCTATATTTAGTTATCTTTTGACCTAATGAACAACAACAAAAATGTCTTCCTGATCCTGGAGAAAGATACATTGTTTTAGTTTCTGGTTTGCTGTTTATTTGTGGTTGTTTTTTTTTTTTTGAGACGGAGTCTTGCTCTGTCCCCCAGGCTGGAGTGCAATGGCGCAATCTCAGCTCACTGCAACCTCTGCCTCCTGGGTTCAAGCAATTCTCTGCCTCAGCCTCCCGAGTAGCTGGGCTTACAGGTACCCGCCACCAGGCCTGACCAATTTTTTGTATTTTAATACAGATGGCATTTCATCATCTTGGCCAGGCTGGTCTTGAACTCCTGACCTCGTGATCTACCTGCCTCGGCCTCCCAAAATGCTGGGATTACAGGTGTGAGCCACCACGCCCGGCCTTATTTGTTTTAATAATAGAATGTTTCCTATCATGGTGAAACTTAAGCACATTCTTTAGCTGAAGTTCTTTAGGGTAATTGTTATATGATTGACATGCATAGCACCCACCCACGCTGGTGTCTTCAAACAGGCTTGCCAAGTAGGACTCACTTGGTTCTGGCAAAGCCCCAGTAGTTGCATCCTAGAAACGCAGATCTCTTTTGAAATACTGGGCAATTTCCCCCACCAGATGCTGGAAAAGATGCTTCTATCTGATGTTAAGGAGCATTATGGCACTAAGCATTAAGGTGAGATGTCTGCACCACTCAATAGAAGGTCACCTTTGCAAGCAGCTTTTATATCTAGTCGCTTCCTGGTTGCTTTAACCTGTTGCCAGTGATATGTTTCTTCACAATTCATTACTTAGCTACTTCTCTTTGGGCTGCAACTCAGCTAGTAAGGCAGCTCTTTTGCTCTAGGGAGCAAAAGCAACAGGAAGAGTCCGGTGAAAGCAAGGAAGTATTGAGCACTGCATGCAAATAGACCACCTGCAGGCAGAAGGCATCCTAGGCTTAGCCTGCTTGAAATAAACTAACCAAACATAACCATCCATCAACAGCAAAGTCAATGTTCAGAATACTTACACAGCTGCTCATGCTACCTAATTTTAAACATTTTAAATTGAGCAAATATTGCTTAAAAGATGAAAACATGGAATATTAAACATTTCAAGAGATATTGCTTTGTGCAGACATGATGGATTGCTCTAAGCTTCTAATTCTCCACCTATAGATTTGATAAGAGGTGATATTTGTTGCCTCCTATAGTAAACTGATAAAGCTGAAGAGAAAGTTCAATACGTACTTGAAGTAGATTGGCGATTTCTTTTCATTGTCTAGAGAAGTCATAAGCCTAATCCTCCATTTTTTTGAAATAGTTTTGAATAAGAGGAAATTCTTTTGTGAAAGAAAAGATATTGGCCACATATTTAGAAAAAGCATACTTGTTTACTGCATTGGATTTTAATATTAAAGCTGAATTAATAGTGTGTGGTTCAGCTTTCTAGAACTTCCTGTGAATAATTCATAGTGTCTAATATACCTCCTCTTAATTTGGTATCACCAGGACATTTACTTTATGGACTGAATATGAAAGAGGTTTCTTCTTATCAGATGCATGAATTAGCTATGAATGGGAAATAATCTTTTAACTTAGCTTTATGCTTTTATTTTTTTTCATTTATCATCCAAAAAGAAGGTGCAGAAATGACAAAACAAACAAACAAAAACTTTATTTTTCCTTTTGGTGATCATTTTCTTTTATCAGAAAAATAATGATAGTATACATTCTATGGGAGATTGTTATTTTTTGAAATGTAAGGACTCCTTATTCTAACTCATCTTAACCTATGTTTAGTTTTATTTTCCTTGAGAAAAACCTGGCAATCCAGAGTATTTTAATTTCTTCATTTTTGCTTTGTTTTGTAAATGCCCATGGTGTCCAAAAGGTTCCCTAAGGGTGGATAGTTAAAAAGCTCCTTTTCTTTTCTTCACGGAAGTTCTTTTTGCAAGTGTGAAGAAAAAGAGCCTTAGGGGCTTTTCTTCTCCCTGTAAAAAATACTCCAAGTTCTTCATCTGATTGTATAATTGTGAAGATGATTAACTTCACAGTAACGGCAGAACTTTAATCCCAGCACATGAATAGTACACTTTGATGTTATTTATGACTATAATACACCACCCATTCATTTAAATATCATAGGAAAAATCAATCTACTCAAGGGAACGTGTGAGTTTCCTTCTTGGCCTGATTATAATAGGTATGATATGAATTTAATGAGTTTTAAACATTAAACATACTTTATGTAAAGATTTATTCTTTTGTTGTATTAATGGAAGGTGAATGTATAGTTTCCTTATGAAATATTTTTACCTATTAACTTTTCCTAGAGAAAAACTAAACTTTATTTTCTCTTAGTTTCTTTACAAATGAAAATCCTAAGTTAAACCTTATTCATCAAATACATATATTACTCCCATGAATGTTTTCTGAAAACTGCTTTTTTGTCTAACAGCTTAAACTGTAATACTTTCTATGGGTAAGCCAAAAGGATCATTATAAGGTAAATATCTTTAATATAAAATAAAAGAAAATGTTACACTAGATAGTACTTATTGGAGATTTCGGAACCAGGAAATCCTAGAAGAAGCATACTTGAGGAAAATTTTCCATGAAAATGAAAACATAGGGATATTCTGTCTTATTTAAAAAAAAGAAATATTGAAAATATTTTCCTGAATGTTATTCTATTTATAGTAGAAGCAAGAGGCAATGATGATATCTTGGTTCAGTCTAGGAGGCATACACAGAATTAAGTACAATCACCAAAAGTAAAATACAAGTATAAATGACATTGAGACAAGGAGAACAAGCGTAGGTACTAATTGGAATTTGGAATCTGACTTCTTTTTGTTCTATAAGAATTTATGTGTCTTTGCTGAGACTCAATCAAACCTAATGAAAATTAGAAATAAGCATGTCTCTTCAGACCCTGAGAGGATACAAAAAAATAACTAATGGGTACTGGGTTTAATAGCTGGTGATGAAATATTCTGTACAACAAACCCCCATGACACAAGTTTACTTATGCAACTAACCTGCAATTGTACCCCTGAACTTAAAAGTTAAAAAAAAAAAAACAAAAAAAAAAAGGAAAGAAGCATAGCTCTATGTCTATATTTATCTTTTTGTTGACAGTCAATACTTTACAACTTATCGATTTAAAAACATACTAGAATAAAATGCCAACTCTGCTTGCCACAAATGGTACGTGTATACGCATTTTGTGTATATGCAGGAGTGTTTTTTTCCAAGATATTATAACATGTTTCTTCAAATCAGAACACATTGGCGAGATTTTATTAATAGATTCTAGTTTTTAGAATAGTTTCAGGTTCACAGCAATACTGAGTAAATGTACAGTGTTCCCATATCCACGCTGATTCCCATACATACACAACCTCCCCACTGTGGACATTCTGCACTACAGTGATACGTTTGTTACAATCAGTAAACCTATATTAGTACATCATTATCACCCAAAGTTCATAGTTTACATTAAGGTTCACTTCTGGTGGTGTGAACCTAAGTTTTGACAAATGTATAATGGCATGTATCTACCATTGCAGTACCACAAAGAATAGTTCTGCTGTCCTAAAAATAATCTGTGCTCCACCTACTCATCCCCCCTCCCCCTAACCTCTGGTCTCACGGATATATTTTATGTCTCCATATTTTTGCCCTTTTGATAATGTCATAGAGTTGGAATTATACAGTATGTAGACTTTTCAATGGAAATTCTTTCATTTAGTAAATGTGCATTTTAAGTTCCTCACTGTTTTTTTGTTGCTTGATAGCTTTTTTTTGTTTTTTTTAAGAACTATATTATATTCCACTGCCTGGATGTACTACAGTTTATTTATCCATTCACCTACTGAGAGACATTCAATTGCTTCCAAGTGTTCACAATTATGAATAAAGCTGTTATAAACATCCATTTGCAGGTTTTTGTGTGGACATGTTTTTAGTTCATTTGGGTAAATATCAAGGAGCGCAATATCTGGATCATATGGTAAGAGCAGGTTTAGTTGTAAGAAACTGAGAAATTTTCTTCCTAAGTAGCTACAGCATTTTGCATTCCCAGCAGGAATAAATGAGTTCCTGTTGCTCCATATCCTTCCCAGCATTTAGTGTCTGCACTGTTTCGGATTTGGGTCTCACTAATAGATGTATAGTGGTAAGTCATATTGTTTGAATTTTTCTCTTTTAAAGTATATACATTTTATTACTAACAGATCATGGAAATCTTCACAATAATATTGAGAGAGAAAGAAAGAAAGAGAAAAATGAACCTGACTTTTAAGGATTATGGTTTAGTAAAGATTCTAAGTTCTACTCTAAATTATTCTGTTTTTGTCCTTTCATGGAAATGCTAAGTGTCAGGCCTCTGAGCCCAAGCTAAGCCATCATATCCCCTGTGAACTGCACGTACACATCCAGATGGCCGGTTCCTGCCTTAACTGATGACATTCCACCACAAAAGAAGTAAAAATGGCCTGTTCCTGCCTTAACTGATGACATTGTCTTGTGAAATTCCTTCTCCTGGCTCATCCTGGCTCAAAAGCTCCTCCACTGAGTACCTTGTGACCCCGACTCCTGCCCGCCAGAGAACAACCCCCCTTTTTCCTTTACCTACCCAAATCCTGTAAAACGGCCCCACCCCATCTCCCTTCACTGACTTTCTTTTTGGACTCAGCTCGCCCGCACCCAGGTGAAATAAACAGCCATGTTGCTCACACAAAGCTTGTTTGGTGGTCTCTTCACACGGACGCGCATGAAATTTGGTGCCGTGACTCGGATCAGGGGACCTCCCTTGGGAGATCAATCCCCTGTCCTCCTGTTCTTTGCTCCGTGAAAAAGATCCACCTACGACCTCAGGTCCTCAGACCCACGAGCCCAAGGGACATCTCACCAATTTCAAATCCGTTAAGCGGCCTCTTTTTACTCTCCTCTCCAACCTCTCTCACTATCCCTCAACCTCTTTCTCCTCTCAATCTTGGCGCCACACTTCAATCTCTCCCTTCTCTTAATTTCAATTCCTTTCATTTTCTGGTAGAGACAAAGGAGACATGTTTTATCCGTGGACCCAAAACTCCGGCGCCGGTCACGGACTAGGGAAGGCAGCCTTCCCTGGGTGTTTAATCGCTGCAGGGACGCCACGCCTCTCTGATTATTCACCCAGGTTTCAGAGGTGTCAGACCACGCAGGGACGCCTGCCTTGGTCCTTCACCCTTAGCGGCAAGTCCCACTTTTCTGGGGAAGGGGCAGATATCCCAACCCCTTCTCTCCATGTCTCTACCCCTTCTCTGCTTTTCTGGGGGAGAGGCAAGAACCCCTCAACCCCTTCTTCACCCTTAGTGGCAAGTCCCGCTTTTCTAGGGGAAGGGCAAGTACCCCAACCTCATATCTCTGTGCCCCAATCCCTTATTTCTGTGCCCCGACCCCTTTCCCACTTTTCTGGAGGGTAAGAACCCCCGAACCACTTCCCTCCGTGTCTCTACTCTCCCTTTTCTTTAAACTTGCCTCCTTCACTATAGGCAAGCTTCCACCCTCCATTCTTCCTTCTTCTCCCTTAGCCTGTGTTCTCAAGAACTTAAAACCTCTTCAACTCACACGTGACCTAAAACCTAAATGCCTTATTTTCTTCTGCAATGCTGCTTGACCCCAATACAAACTCGACAGTGTTTCCAAATAGCCAGAAAACGGCACTTTCAATTTTTCCATCCTGCAAGATCTAAATAATTCTTGTTGTAAAATGGGCAAACAGTCTGAGGTGTCTGACGTCCAGGCATTCTTTTACACATCAGTCCCTCCCTAGTCTGTGCCCAGTGCAACTCGTCCCAAATCTTCCTTCCCTCCCTTCCACCTGTCCCCTCAGTCCCAACCCCAAGCATCGCTGAGTCTTTCTAATCTTCCTTTTCTACAGACCCATCTGACCTCTCCCTTCCTCCCCAGGCTGCTCCTTGCCAGGCTGAGCTAAGTCCCAATTCTTCCTCAGCCTCCACTCCTCCACCCTATAATCTTTTTATCACCTCCCCTCCTCACACCTGGTCGGGTTTACAGTTTCATTCCATGAGTAGCCCTCCCCCACCTGCCCAGCAATTTCTTCTTAAAAAGGTGGCTGAAGCTAAAGGCGTAGTCAAGGTTAATGCTCCTTTTTCTTTATCCGACCTCTCCCAAATCAGTTAGCGTTTAGACTCTTTTTCATCAAATATAAAAAACCCAGCCTAGTTCATGGCTCGTTCGGCAGCAACCCTGAGACGCTTTACAGCCCTAGACCCTAAAAGGTCAAAAGGCCGTCTTATTCTCAAAATACATTTTATTACCCAATCTGCTCCCGACATTAAATAAAACTCCAATAATTAAATTCCGGCCCTCAAACCCCACAACAGGATTTAATTAACCTTGCCATCAAGGTGTACAATAATAGAAAAAAGTTGCAATTCCTTGCCTCCACTGTGAGACAAACCCCAGCCACATCTCCAGCACACAAGAACTTCCAAAGATCTGAACCGCAGCGGCCAGGTGTTCCTCCAGAACCTCCTCCCCCAGGAACTTGCTACAAGAGCCAGAAATCTGACCACCAGGCCAAGAAATGCCTGCAGCCCAGGATTCCTCCTAAGCCATGTCCCATCTGTGCGGGACCCCACTGGAAATCGGACTGTTCAACTCACCTGGCAGCCACTCCCAGAGCCCCTGGAACTCTGGCCCAAGGCTCTCTGACTCCTTCTCGGCTTAGCGGCTGAAGACTGATGCTGCCCGATCGCCTCGGAAGCCCCGTAGACCATCACAGACGCTGAGCTTCGGGTAACTCTCACAGTGGAAGGTAAATCCGTCCCCTTAGTCAATACGGAGGCTACCCACTCCACATTACCTTCTTTTCAAGGGCCTGTTTCCCTTGCCTCCATAGCTGTTGTGGGTATTGATGGCCAGGCTTCTAAACCCCTGAAAACTCCCCCACTCTGGTGCCAACTTGGACAACACTGTTTTATGCACTCTTTGTTAGTTATCCCCACCTGCCCAGTTCCCTTATTAGGCCGAGATATTTTAACCAAATTATCTGCTTCCCTGACTATTCCTGGACTACAGCTGCATCTCATTGCCGCCCTTCTCCCCAACCCAAAGCCTCCTTCGCGTCTTCCTCTCGTATCCCCCCACCTTAACCCACAAGTATGGGACATCTCTACTCCTTCCCTGGCAACGGATCACATGCCAATTACCATCCCATTAAAACCTAATCACCCTTACCCCACTCAATGCCAATATCCCATCCCACAGCTCGCTTTAAAAGAATTAAAGCCTGTTATCACTCACCTGCTACAGCATGGGCTTCTAAAACCTATAAACTCTCCTTACAATTCCCCCATTTTACCTGTCCAAAAACCGGACAAGTCTTACAGATTAGTTCAGGATCTGCACCTTATCAACCAAATTGTTTTGCCTATCCACCCTGTGGTGCCCAACCCCTACACTCTTTTGTCCTCAATACCTTCTTCCACAACTCACTATTCCGTTCTGGATCTTAAAGATGCTTTTTTCACTATTCCCCTGCACCCCTCGTCCCAGCCTCTCTCTGCTTTCACTTAGACTGACCCTGACACCCATTAGGCTCAGCAAATTACCTGGGGCTGTACTGCCGCAAGGCTTCGCAGACAGCCCCCATTACTTCAGTCAAGCCCAAATTTCATCCTCATCTGTTACCTATCTCAGCATAATTCTCATAAAAACACACGTGCTTTCCCTGCTGATCCTGTCCGATTAATCTCCCAAACCTCAATCCCTTACAAAACAACAACTCCTTTCCTTCCTAGGCATGGTTAGTGTGGTTAGAATTCTTACACAAGAGCCAGGACCGCACCCTGTAGCCTTTCTGTCCAAACAACTTGACCTTACTGTTTTAGCCTAGCCCTCATGTCTCCGTGCAGCGGCTGCTGCCGCCCTAATACTTTTAGAGGCCCTAAAAATCACAAACTGTGCTCAACTCACTCCCTACATTTCTCATAACTTCCAAAATCTATTTTCTTCCTCACACCTGACGCATATACTTTCTGCTCCCCCGGCTCCTTCAGCTGTACTCACTCTTCGTTAAGTCCCACAATTACCATTGTTCCTGGCCCGGACTTCAGTCCAGCCTCCCACATTATTCCTGATACCACACCTGACCCCCATGACTGTATCTATCTGATCCACCTGACATTCACCCCATTTCCCCATACTTCCTTCTTTCCTCTTCCTCACCCTGATCACGCTTGATTTATTGATGGCAGTTCCACCAGGCCTAATCACCACACACCAGCAAAGGCAGGCTATGCTATAGTACAAGCCACTAGCCCGCCTCTTAGTACCTCTCATTTCCTTTCCATCGTGGAAATCTATCCTCAAGGAAATAACTTCTCAGTGTTCCGTCTGCTATTCTACTACTCCTCAGGGATTATTCTGGCCCCCTCCCTTCCCTACACATCAAGCTCGAGGATTTGCCCCCACCCAGGACTGGCAAATTAGCTTTACTCAACATGCCCCGAGTCAGATAACTAAAATACCTCTTGGTCTAGGTAGACACTTTCACTGGATAGGTAGAGGCCTTTCCTACAGGGTCTGAGAAGGCCACCGCAGTCATTTCTTCCCTTCTGTCAGACATAATTCCTCAGCTTAGCCTTCCCACCTCTATACAGTCTGATAACAGACCAGCCTTTATTAGTCAAATCCGCTAAGCAGTTTTTCAGGCTCTTAGTATTCAGTGAAACCTTTATATCCTTTACGGTCCTCCATCTTCAGGAAAAGTAGAACAGACTAAAGGTCTTTTAAAAACACACCTCACCAAGCTCAGCCACAACTTAAAAAGGACTGGACAATACTTTTACCACTTTCGCTTCTCAGAATTCAGGCCTGTCCTCGGAATGCTACAAGGTACAGCCCATTTGAGCTCCTGTATAGATGCTCCTTTTTATTAGGCCCCAGTCTCATTCCAGACACCAGACCAACTTGGACTGTGCCACAAAAAACTTGTCATCCCTACTATCTTCTGTCTAGTCATACTCCTATTCACCATTCTCAACTACTCCTACATGCCCTGCTCTTGTTTACACTGCCAGTTTATACTGTTTCTCCAAGCCAGCACAGCTGATATCTCCTGGTGCTATCCCCAAACCACCACTCTTAACTCTTAAATAAATAATCTTTACTGGCAAGGCTATGCTGAACCTCCTTAGGCACTCTCTAATTAGATGTCCTAGGTCCTCCCAATTCTTAGTCCTTTAATACCTGTTTTTCTCCTTCTCTTATTCCGTTTAGTTTTTCAATTCATACAAAACTGTATCCAGGCCATCACCAATAATTCTAAATGGCAAATGTTTCTTCTAACAACCCCACAGTATCACCCCTTACCACAAAATCTTCCTTCAGTTTAATCACTCCCACTCTAGGTTCCCACGCCGCCCCTAATCCCGCTGGAAGCAGCCCTGAGAAACATCGCCCATTATCGCTCCATACCACCCCGCAAAAATTTTCACTGTCCCAACACTTTACCACTATTTCGTTTTATTTTTCTTATTAATATAAGAAGACAGGAATGTCAGGCCTCTCAGCCCAAGCTAAGCCATTATATCCCCTGTGACCTGCACGTACACATCCAGATGGCCGGTTCCTGCCTTAACTGATGACATTCCACCACAAAAGAAGTAAAAATGGCCTGTTCCTGCCTTAACTGATGACACTATCTTGTGAAATTCCTTCTCCTGGCTCATCCTGGCTCAAAAGCTCCTCCACTGAGTACCTTGTGACCCCCACTCCTGCCTGCCAGAGAACAACCCCCCTTTTTCCTTTACCTACCCAAATCCTGTAAAAGGGCCCCACCCCATCTCCCTTTGCTGACTCTCTTTTCAGACTCAGCTCGCCTGCACCCAGGTGAAATAAACAGCCTTGTTGCTCACACAAAGCCTGTTTGGTGGTCTCTTCACGTGGACGCGCATGAAACTAAGACCTTTACCTCTGGATTCACTTGAATGGTTCTCCCGAAAATCCACATAATCTCCAGATTCATACTACTATTTTAAAAAATCAAATAATCCTTACCTTACTTACTTCAGAGAGGCATTTAGCTTTAAGTCAATGTAAGTGATATACTTGTATAAAAGGGACATTTATGCATTGTAAATTATCTGGAAATATAGGATATTGAAACCACCTTGGCAAAAAATTATAACTGAGGCAATTATGACAGTGAAAGAGATAAGACCTCACTGATTCTATCTTGCCTGGGGACCGGTCTGCTTTTGTAGGATTAACAAATTAGCTAGAAGATTAAAAATTACTATTTAGCGGCCATGCGGCCTCTGGCTGCAAGAGGCCAAATCTCCGCAGGTTGCACCTAAGAATAACATCACTGTTGTAAAGCCTAAGATTGGTGTTTGAGATATTTTGCAGGCCCTGCATTCCGATGCACCAGCTGACACCACTCAGATCCATAATCTGGCTCAATCAGTTCTGCGATTCCACTCAGGAACAGAAGACAGCAAGAAGAACTCACTTTGACCCTTCATGATTTAATCTTCAACTCCATCAGTCAGCATTCCCCCACTTCCTGAGCCCCTTCCCACCAAATTATCTTTAAAAACTCTGATCCAATCCTTGAGTTTTCTCAGGGAGACTGATCTGAGTAATAATAAAACTCTGGTTTTCCACACAGCCCGGTCTGCGTGAATTACTCTTTCTCCATTGCAATTCCCCGTCTTGATAAATCAGCTCTGTCTAGGCAGTGGGAAAGGTGAATGCGTTAAGCAATAACACTACTGTTAATTAAAGCGATTCTGATGACAAATAAACACATGTCAAGATGCCCAACTTCATTAGTTATTAGAGAAATATGAACTAAATCCATAATGATATGCCACTTCACACCTATTAAAATGGCTGAAATTGTTTTTTAAATGTCAATACCGAGTATTGGTGAGCAGTGAACTCATATATTGCTGGTGAGAATGCAAACTGATACAACTACTTTGAAAAATTGCCAATTTCTTATAAAGTTAAATATATACTTATCATAAGACTTGGTAACCCCAGCAATTTACTCAAGAGATACGAAAATATGTTTCCGCAAAAACCAGTATATGACTGTTTATAGCAGCTTTATCCATAATTACTCACAACCAGAGATCCCAAATGTCTATCCACTAGTGGATGGATGAAAAAATTTTATTACATCCCATACCAATGAAATACTACTCAGCCATGAAAAATAATGAATTATGGATATAATCAACAATATGGCTAAATCTCAAAAGCATTATGTTAAGTGAAAGAAGCCAGAGACAAATGGCTACATCATATATGGTTACCTGTATACATAATTTTAGGAAAGAAAAAAATTATAGTATCATAAATCGTATCAGTGGTTTCAAGAGCTGGAAGTAGTAAGGGTCTAATTACAAGAAGGCACAAAAGAATTTTCTGAGATGATGAAATATTCTATATCTTGATTGTTTACACGATTTTACACACTTATAGTTATTGAACTGTAAACATAAAAGGGGTAGGTCTTTCTGTATGTAAATTACACCTCAATAAACCTGACTTATAAAAATAATGATAGGCACCATGTTCACTCAAAACACACAATAGGTGTTAAACGTGTTATTTTACTCATAATTTTTTATTTCATTCTGATTTAGGAGTGGCAAAAAGTTATGAGTGTTAATAGTGATTCTAAATATAATTGCCTATAGGCACTTTCAATGAACTATATATATACAGTTTTATAATTATTTTCTTTTACTTTATTATTTTTGTTTGCTTGCTTGTTTGTTTAAAGCTGGGGTCTCTGTATGTTGCCTAGGCTGGCCTCAAACTCCTGGGCTCAAGTGATCCTCCCACCTCAGCCTCCTGAGTAGCTGAGACTACAAGTATGGGCCACTGCACTTGGCTCCTGTTTTATTATATCAGTTGAAATGTAATTTTATATCTGTTGATCTACTAAGCATTCGAATTTGTGTTAAACAAAATAATATGATAATTAAATATTTAGGATCTCCACACTGGATTTGTGACAGAGAGGTATTAATTTTAAAGTAGATTTGTTACCATTGAAGTATGAATGACTGTATTCTCACATGCATTCACAAACTTACCAACTTTTATCTGTGCATACTGTATTAGTAGATCCTCTGATTAAAATAAAAAATAAGATATTAACCTTTTATTGCCATGGTGTTTCTGTCTTGCGGAATTTATCATGACTTCTATATTAAAGAACCTGTTTGGTAATATTTAAACCAAACCTAAAACCAGTTCTCTCTGTTGGAATCAATTTTCCATATAAGGCTTGTTTTCAGACAAGAAAATGTATTTTGTTGTTTCCGGCAGGGGTGAAAATACAAAACTCTGCTGGTGTAGCTACATTTTATTCCTGATTTATTGCGGCCATATTTAGATGTCTCGTCACCTGGCTGTGGACTAGCTTATCTCCTCTTGCCACAAGTGGAGACTTCATGCATGCTTCCAGGCATAAACAACACATGCAGAGCAACAAAGATGTTCCACGAACTAAAAATACCAACAGTAGAAAACTATGGGCATTAAATCAAATGGATATTAAATCAAATACCTAAAGCTTGTGATTTATAAACAATTCAAGATGTGATTTTAGCATTGTATTGTGAAAACTAATAAACATTATAACACTTGATTACTTAAACTTTTTGTTTTCAGGGGAGAGTGTTGAAGAACATGAACTTATCTGTGTTTTTAAGCAGCAGTAAAAATGTTTGTCAGATGAGTAGATTGCAAAAATTTTCTCCTTTCTGTAGGTTGCCTGTTCACTCTGATGGTAGTTTCTTTTGCTGAGCAGAAGCTCTTTAGTTGGTGGGACTGTAAACTAGTTCAACCATTGTGGAAGACAGTGTGGCGATTCCTCAGGGATCTAGAACTAGAAATACCATTTGACCCAGTCATCCCATTATTGGGTATATACCCAAAGGAATATAAATCATGCTGCTATAAAGACACATGCACACCTATGTTTATTGCGACACTACTCACAATAGCAAAGACTTGGAACCAACCCAAATGTCCAACAATGATAGACTGGATTAAGAAAATGTGGCACATATACACCATGGAATACTATGCAGCCAGAAAAAAGGATGAGTTCATGTCCTTTGTAGGGACATGGATGAAGGTGGAAATCATCATTCTCAGCAAACTATCGCAAGGACAAAAAACCAAACACCGCATGTTCTCACTCATAGGTGGGAATTGAGCAATGAGAACATCTGGACACAGGAAGGGGAACATCACACAATGGGGCCTGTTGTGGGGTTGGGGGAAGGGGGAGGGATAGCATTAGGCGATATACCTAATGTAAATGACGAGTTAATGGGTGCAGCACACCAACATGGCACATGTATACATATGTAACAAACCTGCACATTGTGCATATTTACCCTAGAACTTAAAGTATAATAAAAATATATATATATAAAAAAGTGTTTGAAAAGATGTTCATCCTTAGCCTAAGTGATAATTAAGTCATAAGTTGATGAATTTATTCAAACCAGATATGTGAACTCTGAAATTAAGTAAAGGGCTTATGTGTGGCACTACCCTTGGTACTAATAGTAAGGTATCTTATTGATTCATCATTTATTTGACCAATATGTTTTTATTAATTAATATATATGCCAGGCACTCTGATAGGCTCATGGTCTTCATAGTGGATGAGAAAGTTTCTGCTCTAGTGAAACTTACATCGTAGGGTCTGAAGGGAAACAGCAAGTAAGCACATGCATAAAACAGATAATTTCACAGACTGATAAATGAGTTAAGGAACAGCCATGATGTGATTTACAGGGACTGGGAATGAGTGGGAAATTCTTTATGTGAAATGTGGTTCTCAGGGAAGAACTGGGAGAAGGGGGCTCAGGCAGACAGATCAACAACAGCAAAGACCCTCAGGAAAGAACAAAACTGCATGATTTGAGGAACAGCAGGGTGCTCAGTGGAGCTAGAATAACAGCAGGGAAGGAGATTGTGGTAGCATGCAAACTATGAGATATTGTCAGGGTCCATATTAATGACAGTGGACTTTACTCCAAATGAAATAAGAAGACAGTGTAAAATTTCAATTGGTGGTGAAAATGAAAATGATCTGATTTACATTTCTAAATTGTCCCACTCCCTCCCCATTCTCCCACCCCTACCCACTGTCCCTCTTCTGCCTCATCAGTGCATTCTAAGGAGGGATTTTAAAGAATAGAAGTCGAAAAACCAATTACAACACTAACACAATAGTCCTGAGATAGACGATAGTGGCTTGAACTGGGGTCTTGGTGGTAAAAAATGGGGAAAAATATAAACTATGCACTTGAAACTATGAAATAGAAACTATGCACTTGAAACTATGAAATAGAAACTATGCACTTGAAACTATGAAATAGACTTGATAAAACATAGTGAAGGTGTAGATTAGAGAAAAGGTAGAGAAAAAAGAGAAACGAAGAACAGCTCTTAGGATTTATTTATTTATTTGAGATGGAGTCTCACCCTGTCGCCCAGGCTGGAGTGCAGTGGTGCAGTCTCAGCTCTCTGCAACCTCCACCCGCCAGGTTCAAGCGATTCTCCTGCCTGAATTCATTTTGCAATGGAAACTAGTTCCATCGGCTGAGCTGGAAATGGCCGGTAAAAGAGCAGGTTTGAATTTGGAAGTCTGGAGTTCTGCTGTAAACAAAATAACTTTCATCCATGTGGATATTTCAAGTTGGAAGTTGAAAAAATGAGTTTGGACTTCAGCGGATAAGATACATTATTGTAGTTTAGATCAGGACTAAGAAGACTTTTTTTTTGTGAATATATGTTGATAATTTTTCTCCAAAGTTGTAGTACTGTTTTCCCAGTCTACTATCAAAAATGTGGCTTTTGAAAAGAAACAAATTCAGTTAAAGTCTTCAACAACAAAGAAGTTGTTAGAGTTTGTCCATATATTATAAATTCATTCTTAGTGTGCTGTTCAAGAAAGCCAGACAAGAATATATTCACTGAAGAAAGCTAAGACATTTTCTTAAGAAAAATAAATAGTTGAAAGGAAAGTAAAATATACACAAGGGTGAGAAATTCTTTTGATCCTGTTGGCAATGAGATTCTTAAACAGCACCTCAAGTTTACAAGAAAGATAAAAATTAGGTCCTACATTTTCTAGAAAGCATTTAAATTTGGATGTTACAAATTCATTGCTACCACCTAGTCCAAGCCTGCCTTAAAAGAGATGGTTTCTTTCAAGTCCATTCATTTTCTTAGGATCTCGTCAAGTTTTCAAGCTTTGAGGAGCTCAGTTTATAATGTATGGATTTAGATAAGAAATCCTGAGAAGAAAGAAAAAATATTTATCACAGAATCAATTTCACTGAAAAAATGCTTCTCCGCCCACCCCCCCAAAATCCTAGATATTTGCAGCTTCTTTGAATATATATCGTTTCCAGTTTAGAAAGCATAATCCTTAAAGGCAATGACCCAATTCCATCAAAACTACCCAAGTGTTACTCTCAAATGAGTGAGGATGCTCGAATGTTATTTTGATTTTTATTTTCAGGTCATAGAAAATCACCAATCCTCTGGAAACAGTAAGTCTTATCTTTATGACTTGCTTAGCATGCATTTGGCTCTCTTCCCACTCTGTGGAAATATGCCTTGCTATGCTTCTAAAAGATGCCAGGTGCAGAAAGGCCAACCAAGGATTGACATCCTCAACTTGAGCCTGTAAGGAGGTGTCACAGATTTTACAGGTTATTGGAAATCAATGCTAATCGGAATTCTTTTTGAAGCAGCAGAAATATAACCTGGAGCAGCCTTGCAGACACAGCTAGATTTAAGTTTAAGAGTCCCCCCACTGAACTAAATATTGTCTGGAGAGATGGATTTTTGATCAGGCTTATACGTCAAAGGAAAAGTCCTACTCTTTGAATTTGTATCATATTTCTAAGAGTCTGCAAACCCCGAGAACTAATCATTCCTGGTTGATGGGACACAGAAAGCAGTAAGATTTGTTTTACAACCATATTCAATTGATGCTTTCTGAATCAGTGATGCTCAAATAATGCCTGTTCAAAAAGATTGCATGTGCATATTTGAAAGCATCGTCGACCTGGATTTCTACTACCACACGTAGGATAAATCCTAAAATTCTTTACTGGAAGCACATACACTCATGCACACATGCATGCGTCTGTAGGCACTTCAGAAATTGAAGCTTGCCCAGTGGACATCGTGCTGTTCCAAATTCAATAGCCCCCAAAGAAGCTGAATTCATTTTGCACTCAAAGAACTTTAAAAGAAAGAACCCTTCCCTGCCACCAAAATTGCCTGCCTCACTTTAAAACAAATTTTTGAAAATGAACAATTCAGTGGCTCCTATGACAGACCTGGAATGACTTTAACTTTTAACTTCTGAAATAATTATCTAGTACACGGCATCACTGTGCCTGTCTCTAGCACAGTGTACCATCTCTAAACATGCAAATTCCTTGGTTTTCAACAAAGCAGTCCTGGAGGAAGGGGACCCTGATTAAAGTTAAAGGCGTCCTAGAGTTGTATAAGTGCGATGAATTATATAAATGTAGCTATGTTTCATTCCTTATGACTAACAGAGTAAAAATGCATTGTAATTCTTAGGGTTATTCAAATACTGTTAAGATGATATATTTTTGTTGTGGAATTACACTGAAAGCCATAATATCCAAGTCGCCAGAATGATATGACTTGAAATATAACTTATTATGAACATACTTGTAAAAGAAAAAAAAATCCACCAGCAAAAAGTAATGTTAAAAATTATCACACTATTTTTACTTTTCTAGCTGTTTAGATCCTAAGATCCATTATAAAGTCTTATTTTATACAGGGTACATTTTTTAAAAAAATCTACGTTCAATATTAGCTTATGAAGTTTTAGAGTGTTAGTATGAAGCATTTTCTAAATAGATACTGTGCTTCCTAAAGTTTCCTTAAATATAATGGCAGAGATGGGTTGGCAATGGCCTTATTGCAAGTTTTACAGGTTCTAGCTCTGAAAGGACAATATGCTGTAGGGTGTAGGTTCTTGTCCAGTAAAACTATACCATGTAGCAAACTGAAACCTAGAATTTCTCCCTCCCATCAATTAGTCTAAAGACAGGAAATGTGGCTGCACCAGAAATCTGTTACACTACAAAATAAAGAAGACTGTGAAGTACATTTTCTGTTCTTTTTTATTTTATTTTATTTTATTTATTTATTTATTTATTTATTTATTTATTTATTTATTTGAGATGGAGTCTCACCCTGTCGCCCAGGCTGGAGTGCAGTGGTGCAATCTCAGCTCACTGCAACCTCCACCCCCCGGGTTCAAGTGACTCTCCTGCCTCAGCCTCCTGAGTAGCTGGGATTACAGGCACATGCCACCCACGCCTGGCTAATTTTTGTATTTTTAGTAGACATGGGGTTTCACCATGTTGATAAGGCTAGTATCAAACTCCTGACCTCATGATCCACCCAACTCGGCCTCCCAAAGTGCTGGGATTTCAGGCGTGAGCCACTATGCCCAGCCGTGAAGTGTATTTTTGTACTGGCTCTGCTTCATCTGGCATAGGCATGAACTTTCTGTAGCTCTTAATACCCTATTTTTATTTCTAGTACCACAGGATGCTAGATAATCTGAATTAGCAAGAAAAAAACTATACACTATTAAAATAATTTTATTCCATTTTAAATCTTTATGTTCATTTTCACATATTAAATGAGGAGGTTCTGTGTCAGATCCTAAAACTTTCATGGTTACCAAAAGCAGACATTATGATTTGATTTTATTGAGATTTTCATCTGGTAGAGAAAAAAATATTAATCAATTACTTACTAAAATAGATAGAAATTTGAAAGTGTACTATAAGAGAATATAATAGAATACATTGCAAGCATCATTGACCTGGATTTCTACTACCACACGTAGGATAAATCCTAAAATTCTTTACTGGAAGCACATACACTCATGCACACATGCACGCGTCTGTAGGCACTTCAGAAATTGTTTCCTGACCAAGTGTATGGTCAGGAAAATCTTCCCTGAGAAAGTAATACATTGAATTATAATTTGAGAACAGGTAGGAATTAATATGCTAACCAAAAATACAAAAGCCAAAAGAGAAAAGGGGAAAAAAAAGTATGATGTTGATTTTCATTTTGATTTTTTAAAGTAATTATTTAATTAGAATTGTTTTAGAATCACAGGAAAGTGTAAACATAGTTCAAAGGGTGCTCATATAACCATATTCAGTTTCCTCTGTCGTTAAGATATTACATTAGTGTGGTAATGTAATATCCACAATAAAGTAATAAAACAATACTGACATCCTATTATTTACTGTACTTTATACTTTACTTTGATTTCATTAATATTTCTTAATGTCTATCTCTGTTTCAGATCTCATCCAGGATACCACATTGCATTTAGTACTCTTGTTTTCCTAGTTTTCTCTGGATGGGGACACTTAATCAGACTTTCCTTGTTTTTATGATCTTGGCTGTTTTGAGGAGTGTGGGTCAGGTATTTTGTAGAAGGTCAGTCAATTGGGGTTTGTCTGAAGTTTTCCTCATATCTAGATTGGGGTTGTGAGTTTCGGGGAGGAAGAACACAGAGGTGAAGGGCCCTTCTAACTACATCATTTATAGGGTACGTGCTGTCAACCATCAACGTGACTGTTCAGAGATGATGTGAACCCTGATCAGCTGACTCAGGTAGTATTAGCCAAGTGCCTCCTCCATAAAATTCTTATTCCCTCCCTTTTCCATACTCCGTTCATAGGAAATAAGTCACTGTATTAATCCATTCTCACACTGCTATAAAGAACTACCTGAGACTGAGTAATTTATAAAAAGAAGAGGTTTAATTGACTAACAGTTCGGCAGGCTGTACAGGAAGCATGGTTAGGGCAGCGTCAGGAAATGTATAGTCGTGGTAAAAGGTGAAGCAATCATCTTCTTCACATGGTGGCAGGAGGGAGAGAGCAAAAAGGGAAGTGCTACATACTTTTAAACAACCAGATCTCGTGAGAACTCACTCACTATCACGAGAACAGCAAGGGGGAAATCCACCCCCATGATTCAGTCTCCTTCCACCAGGCCCCACCTCCAACACTTGGGATCACAATTCAACATGAGTTTTGGGTGGAAACACAGAGCCAAACCATATCAGTCACTAAGTACAGATTATGCTTGGAGAATGTGGCATTAAGGTCCACTTCCATGAGTAGGAAGTAAATTACATAAAGTATTTGGAATTCTTCTATATAGTACATTTGTTTTTGACATATATATGTGTTAGCATTTTAAAAGGCTCAAAACTTAACCATAAAGCATAACACATAAAATATTGAATGTGTCTCTATCTCAGCAACATGTTATAAGTGACTTTTCTTTATTTCCAACTTTTGTATAGTGGCTACGGTTATATTATACACGAAAAAATTTAAAATAAAAAATGAAGATGTGAAATCTTCTAGCATATTTAAATCCAGAATCTACACGTAATTGCTACTATTAGATTTGTCTTTAAGTTGTGGCATTTTTCACTCGATCTTAACCAAAAGGCCAAGAAGTGATGAGTTGTGGCATTTTGAAATATACACGAGTGTATATAAATTGGATTTACAGTATAAAAAAGAGAAATAAAAATTACAAAAGCATCAATGTACTCACCATTCAGATTAAGAAATAAAGGAGCTCCATGTGCCTCCTCAATTTTATTTTCTTTTATCATCTATGAGCTATATTAAAAGAAAAAGCATTTAGACAAATAAAATTTAGCAGAGTTCTTGTGAGCAAAGAAGGATCATAAATCAGGCAGCATTAGAACCAGAACAGGTTCATAAAGCTCCACTCAGCAATATGAGCAATGAGCTTTCATACGGACCATAGAAGCAAACAAGAGAAAACAGTTGATTGGCTACAGATTGGCCTCATTTGGAACTGGCATGATGAGGCATTTGTCTTATTTGGACAGAGTCTGAACATTTGGCTGCCTGTGATTGGCTTAAATCTAGCTATGTGTTACAAAAATATATACTCCAAAGTTAGCTTTTGGTTTGTATATGTATTAAATTAGATGAGGTTCGTTCCATAGTAACTCAAAGTATAAAGACAGCTTCAGGGTAATGGTCTCCTGTTTATTTAATTCTGCAACTGCCAGCCTGGTATTTGTGTCTCTTAGCTCCTTGTTTTGATTTATAGTTTTAAAATTTATTTATGTTTCCTTTAAGTTTATCTTAACAGAATATACATGGAAAAGTGCTTGTGTATTTTGCACATTATTTGTTAAAAATTCATTAATGTTTTTGTGCACAACTTTTGTTTATTCTTAGTGTTGTTATGTTATTTTGATATATGAGTATAACCACACACATATATACATAATTTGTTTTTCCTAATACTGATGGTCATTTTAATATTTTAACTTAATTGATATTATGAACGATATTTCTATAAATATTCTTGGGCACGTGTCTTGGTACTTGTGCATGAGAATTTCTATAAGGTATATATCTAGGAAGGAAACAAATTTGAAACAGCTACATTATTAAAATATACCAACTGCTTTCCAAATTTTTCTCCCAATTTGTATCTCTACGAACAGTATATGAGAATTATGATTGTACACACTCTTGACAATCCTTACTATTCTTAGACTTCAAAAATATCCCCAATTTCTGTTTGTGAAATGGACTTAAGCATGGTATTAATCTCTGATTCGTAATAAAATAGAGCATTTTTAAATTAGCCATTTATTTTTCCATACTTGTGAAATACTTTCTCAGCTTTAGTATAGAATGACGTTATTCATACTGACATAGTGGATTTCTTTATATATTCTAGACTCAATATTTTTATGGGAGTTATATAGTGCTAATTTTACCTCCTGGTTATTTTAATATGATTTATGACAGTTAATAGACGTTCTTAAATTCACCAGAAAGCAGATGGATACATTTTCTTATAATTTCTCTTCTCTTCTATGCACCAAGTATAAACATTATACCCTTTATGGATACTGTGGTAACAACTATATTTTGTAAATTCCTCATTTGTATTTGTGCTCCTTGTTTCTTTTCATTTCTTACAAATACTGTTATGATTTTCATGCATTTGCAAAGTTGACAATAAATTAACTTCAGATCTTAGTGATCACTGAGACAGCTATGGTTTCAGGAAGTACCACAATGACCTGCAAGCTAATGCATTTTCTTTCATTTATTTTTCTGTGTTAGGTAGTGTGTGAGTTTGTTCTTGCATTCCTATAAAGAAATACCCGAGGCTGGGTAGTTTATAAAGAAAAGAGTTTTAATTGGCTCACGGTTCTGCAGGCTGTACAGGAAGTGTAGTGTCAGCATCTGCTCAGCTTTGACTGAGGCCTCAGGAAGCTTCTAATCATTGCGGAAGTTGAAGGGAGAGCAGGCACATCACATGGCAAGAAGGGCAGCATGAAAGAGAGAAACACAAGATACTGGACTCTTTTAAACCACCAAGTTTTATGCGAACTAACAGAGTGAGAACTCACTAAATCACCCAAGGGATAGTGCTAAGCCATTCATGAAGGATCCGCCTGCATGATCCAATTACCTCCCACCAGGCCCCACATTCAACACAGGGAATCTCATTTCAACATGAGATATTGAGGGTACAAATATCTAAACCATATAAGGTAGGACGTTTTATGAGATTGTATTTCAACACATTCTAATTACTTCGTGGTACTTTTGAATTCATAGGTGTGTATACTATTTTTCATTGAGCACTGACACACTCATTGTAATCCACCAAATATAGCCTAAATCATTTGATATGCTAGGCCATTAAACACAACCAGACTTGGAGAGAACAGTTTTACGTAAGATATGGCTCACATGAGCCTTTACAAAATCATCTCCTAATGTCTGCTTAATCAGTGACATAAATCATTTGGACTGATGTTGAAATTTCAAAATTTATTAGGAAGAAGAAGGTAGTACATGAAAGTCATAATAGTTCTTTCCCCTGAAAGATATAAGTGAGAGATAAACTTCATGATTTTAATAAGAACATACCTGTTGTGACATTTTTCCCATAAAGCAATAACTAGATTTCTCTATTTCTAATTACTTTTGGCTTTGAAAGATATCATGGAACTTCCTGAACTGTTGCATCATACCTCTGTGAAATTTGGGGAAAGAATTTTATATTCCCCTCTAAGTTTGTTTTATTTAGGTAAAAAATAGAGGCTTTTAATTTGTGTTATATGACTTCCTCTTCAAGCAGTGCTGACACTTCAGTTAGTGATCTCATTGACTAGATAGAACACTTCTGATTTATTAAGGGCTATGGTTTTAAGCTGTGAAACTGTGCAATGCAATTTTGCACACAAGAAATAAAAATTCAGAGCTAATAAGGATGTCTGTGCAATACATAGCACTATAAACACTAATCCCAAGAGTATGCACATAATTATACTCAATTTCTTCCATTTTAATGAATAAAGGCATATATTAATATCTCCAGTTTATTCTTCAAATTTATTACCTTCTAAACAGAGCATCAGAGTCACTATACTCCAGCCTTTCAAGAATAGGTAGCTGGTGACTTGCCCTAATTACATATTCAGTCCCCGAAATATCTCGGTTTCTCACATAGTGGCTGTTCCACATCACTTCTGAATAAATACACTGTGTATAAGTACAATTTTCTCTACGTACCATAAGGCTTAGAAGAAGTAGGAGAATGGATAATGTTTCACAAGTTATTTATGTAGAAGGCAAGAGCAAAACTTTGAAAGAAAGTATGCTCAGTGCATTATCATAAAACACAGAAATACCTAATTGGGATATAATATTATCAAAAGTATTTAGGAATAAATCTAAAATATCTTGTGTTAATTACAGCCCTCAATACTCACCACACAAGACAATACACTCTGCTTTATGCATATAGCAGTCAACATCATTATCAAATGTTTCTTATGACTAGCCAAAATATGAAACAGACTCTTGAATTATTTTGACAAGTTTCTGCATATAGTCTATAAATTCAGATAAGTCCTGCTGAATAATGCACTTACGGACTTTTATTTAGGGGAAGACATTTTATTATTTAATTATTTGTCAGTCTTAGCTGTACTCACTGATTAAGTCCACCTGAGAACTTGCTTCTAACTTTTGTCTCAAGGCTTTTGAGAAAAATATTCTAATAAAAAGAAAGACTGTTTTGCTAGATACAAGTTAGTAATGGAATAGATTAGTGTGATTCTCACATTCTTCGACACTTCTTAGGACGTGCAGTAAAAGGAGATGTACAACACTTACATTTAGAGAAATGTAAGGCAAATGTGCAATATATATCTGAAACATCGTTGTTAGTTTTCAGTGGCTATGTCCTTCCTTAAGAATTAGACTTTCTTAATCATTTCATCCTTAAGGTTTGAAAATAGAAAACAGTGCTTTGGAGAACACATCAATTTCCAACCTTTACACAAACATCTTTATATCTGCCTTATAATCTGCCAAAAGGCTCTTATGGTTTGCTGAGTAACAGCCCCTCTATGCCAGTTACCCACAAAATGTAGTCAATATATTTGCTTTTTTTCTTTTTTAAATACATAGGTTATTTTCTGTAATTTATTTTAAATATAAAATAGACCCAAAATGTAAATTTCATTAGAATGTCACCATTGAACAGAGAAAACTAGTCCTACACTCTTACTAACTTTTAAAGTATTTTACCTTTCTACGAGCTACTGGCCAGGATATATTGTTTTATTCTCAGTAATTTTTGAGATATCTTACATCTCATAATTTTATTTGGTAGTTTCTAAGAGATGTATTTTCAATTAGTTTTAACTGATTGTAAAGACATGATAAGATTAAATGACAACACCAGAACTACCTAAAAATATCAAGGGATATGATTTAGATATAAGAGAAATTATATAGTCACGCTGCCAAAGCGTGTCACATAAATGCAAGGTAACAGTCAACATGCATGAAGGACAGAATGCTTACAGCACTAACTCTATATGTCTGTGGGTGAAATCACTGCACACAAATATTGATGTCAAAGACATTGTTTTACTTTTGTAGTTGAGATTTGTTAGTGCCATTTGGTTTGTTTTTCCACTATACCTGTATACATTATGATTTTGAAAAGGAAGGATTTCAAACTTTACACATATTCTGGTATGTGATGGCATCTTATTCTAACTATACAGCTCTTCCACTCTCTCCAGGCTTCAGGTTGAAATGCACTGTCGAAAACAGCATTTTTCCTTCCCTTGCCTAATAGTTTTGGGGATTAAAAGCGTGCAATTCCAAGTGAGGGACAGAAAGAGAAATGAAGTGTTTTTGAGCTGAGAGGTTTCATTAACTGAGACACTGCTGATATTGCAACAGTTCAACACCACCGTGTCACACCCCTCAAAAAAAATCAGAAAAAAAGTTGAGGTGCTATGAAAGAAATCAGTCTTTAAAAGAAGGATGAGCAATGTCAGAAAAATTCATGAAAAATGATATAACTATTCTGGTTGATAGTACAAATCATGAATAAATCATACACTGCAAGGGAAGCATGAAAATTGCTTGGTATCTAGGACATTGGATGCTGCATTCTTAGAGAAAAAAAAAAAAGTGATACACATATTGTCCCTTGCATTTCCCACGGTAGCGAAAGGAACTGGTCATTTGAAATTTTTTACTTCTGTTTAACTCTAATACAAATATATTGTTTTCCGAAGACTATTTTAGCTTATTTCTTCCTGTTTTAGAAATTTATATAGCATAACTTTAGTCATTGTCTTCCTTTGTATCTCAAAACTATTGTGTAATGACTTCAGGATAGTTTCAAATGTCCAAAAATCTCTTTTGTCGTTTACTCAAAGCAATATTTGTTTTCAATTAATGACTTCAAATATTAATTTCTAATTTTAACATTCCAACTTTCTAAATTATTTTCATTCAATTCTAGGGGTTAGATTTAATGTCCTCTGGTCCCAGGGGTATGAGTTTAAACTTAAAATGTTTGGGCCGGGCGCGGTGGCTCACACATGTAATCTCAGCACTTTGGGAGGCCGAGGCAGGTGGATCACGAGGTCAGGAGATCGAGACCATCCTGGCTAACATGATGAAACCCCATCTCTACTAAAAATACAAAAAATTAGCTGGGCGTGGTGGCGGGAGCCTGTAGTTCCAGCTACTCAGGAGGCTGAAGCAGGAGAATGGCATGAACCCGGGAGATGGAGTTTGCCGTGAGCCGAAATTGCCCCACTGCACTCCAGCCTGGGTGACAGAGCGAGACCCCAACTCAAAGAAAAAAAAAAAAACCATAAAAAAGTCTGGAGAAAGAGAACAGAGAAAGAGAGTGTTCTTAGGCTTATGATTTGCATTAATCTAAGAGTTGATATTTGTCCTACCCAGCAAGGAGTAGGGACTAGGTGAGAGTCCAACAGGTGGGTGAGATGAAAATTATGCACTAGTTTCCATCTCCTACAATTGGTAAACACAGTTAGAATTTCTTAATTTTATTTGCACTTAGATTAATTTGCATAAATTCAATTATTCATCTACACACAAATGTACAAAAATTTGAATCCAAATTATTATTATCTGCATTAGCATATTTCTATGAATGTTACTCTCTTATCTCTTGCTCTGTTACCTGTGCTGGAGTTTAGTGGTGTGATCATGGCTCACTGCAACCTCAAACTCCTGGGAGCAAGTGATCCTCTGTCTTAGCCTCCTGAGACTCTGGGATTACAGGTGCACGTCACCTCATCCAGCTAATTTTTTTTTTTTTTTTTTTTTTTTTTTTTTTTACTTTTTGCAAAGACAGGGTCTCACTATGTTGCCCAGGATTGTCTCCTACTCCCAGCCTCAAGCTGTCCTCCACCTTCCCCCTCCCCATTTGGTGGGATTAGGGGTGTAAGTCATCTCACCCAGTTCTTGAAGTTCTTTTATGCTTTCCTTGACCCCCATTTTTAAGCACCTGACACAGCAACCACTTATCAATAGACCACGTGTACAGGTTCAATATAATGAAGACAGGAGCTGGAATTGTTCCCATGACTGCCACAGCTTATTATACTAGAACTGTGAAGATGTAGGTTTTTGACACAAATAAATGAAAGGTGAGTAAGTTTCAAGGCTTTATTTGAAGCCCTACCATCTTTCATCTTCTCATATTCTGGGATGGAGAACTGCAATTAAGCCTCTACAACTTATCCTTAAAAACTTTTATGTAAGTGCTCTTAATTTCAAGATAAAAGGAAGATTCGTATATGTACTAGATTTGCAGATTTCGCAGATGCTACCTTGGAGTCAAGGTAGCATCATTTTGTAAAGACAGCGTGATAACATACAGTGTATACCTTTGGGTTGGATGGTCGGTTAATAAATGCTCTAAACCAAAAAAAAAATCATAAAGCAATGGTATTCTGCAGAAAAACTGTCCTGTGTACACTTAATATTTCTTCTTAATCTACAAAGCAATATTAGAATTCAATTTTATATGTCCTTTCTTCCTGAAGGAGTAGTAACATGGAAGAGAATACCATATTAAACATAGTTTCTGTTCTTCACCTCTTGTTATCATTTAATATAATTCGTCCTCCAGTATGTATTCACAGTCTTCTGTTTCTCTCCAAAACGTCTTTTTGTTTTGGTGATTTTTTTGAACTTGATGCCAATAAAAGTTCATACATAGCAATTAGATGATTGTGCCTTTAATCTAGGGCTTTATTGTACTTGCCATGCCCTTATTCCTCTATGACATTGACTTGATGAGAAAATCAGAGCAGTTGACTGTTAGAATGTTTAATATTCTGAAATTTTCAGATGTTGCTTGTGGTGTAGTTTAATTTATTTCTCTGTTACAAATATCTCCTCTATACAATAATAAATAAATCATCGAAGTTGGATTAAATTCATGTTAAACAAATTTGTCAAGAATACTTCACAGATAATTCTGCACACTTCTCATCGTATACATCTTGAGCTAAACAATGACCAGGTTATTTCCTTATTATCATTCATTAATAATAGCTTGGTAGGAATAAAATTTTCATACTACAAAGTGGATATTTTAAAGTATACAGTTTACAGTTTTAGAATATTCACAGAGTTGTGGATTCATAACTACAGTCTAATGACAGAACATATTCATCACCCAAAGAGAATACCGCTACACGTTAGCAGTCGCTAAAGTTCCCCTTTCTCCCAGCTGTGGCAACCACAAATATGCTTTCTATCTCCATAATTTTGTCTAATCTGAACATTACGTATAAATGGAGTCATATCAAATGGAGTCATACCATATGTAGCCTTTTAGGTCTGGTTTCTTCCATGTAGCATCATATTTTTCAAGATTTATCCATGTTGTAGCATGTATTAAAACTTTATTTCTTTTTTATGGCCTACTAATATTCCATTGTATGAGCATGCCTTATTTAAACAATGTATCTCTTCATTATTTGATGTCCATCAGTTGATAGATATTTCTACTTTTTTAATAATTATGAATAATATTCTATTACACAAGGCCAGAAAATAACCACGAGGGAGGACTAGGCAAAACAATTCTCACAAATAACACAAGCCTGGGAACAGTTTTATTCACATCAGACATCCTAATTTATATGACTTTGGGTAAAATCTTCAGAAGGCTATCACTTTAATAGAGAGGCCAAATTAGCATCAGATTAAAGGCTGCTCTAAACCTTTCCTGACAAAGCTTAAAAGTAAGGCTTAAAAGGATCCACTTCATTCAAAATCTAACTGCTTGCCAGAAACAACAACAACACTATCTAAAATAATACATTTTTAGATAATAAAATAATACAATATATAAAATAATACAAATATATCTAACAACAAACAATGTAAAACTTACAGTACCTGGCATTCAGCAAAACGTTACCAGGGGAGAAAGAAGGGACTTATGACACATACCAACAAGGAAACTCAATCATTAGAAACAGCTGTGAAATGACAGAGATAATGGGACTAGCAAAAAACAAACAAACAAAAAAAAAGTTTAAAAAATGCTCCTCTTTTGGCCATAATGGATAACAGAGACTAAAATTACCCTGTACTTTAAAACACTAAATATCCAGACAAATTATATATATAAAAAAGTTTCAAACATTGGACAACAGGCAACATACAGGAATAGTTTCTAAAAGAAGGAAAATACATGGGGTATAACTTAAGATTTTCAGGTTTACTATCTTGACAGAGATGCCAGGATGCAGCCTTGGGACCAGGAACCCTAAGAGAGCTCCCAAGTCTATCTGAAATTAGGGGAAAAGTGTAGTATTTGGACAAGCCAGGGTGACTAGAATCCGCAGGGCAGAGTGGCAGAGAGGAGAGAGCCGTGACGAGAAGAATGAGCTATCCCAAGAGAAAGATTCGCAGCTACCTTCAGAGGTACCTCTCTATCTTCTGCTAAGTAAGTCCCAATCAGTGTAGGCTATAAGAAAACCATCTAGGCCGGGCGCGGTGGCTCACGCCTGTAATCCCAGCACTTTGGGAGGCCGAGGCGGGTGGATCACGAGGTCAGCAGATCGAGACCATCCTGGCTAACATGGTGAAACCCCGTCTCTACTAAAAATACAAAAAATTAGCCGGGCGTGGTGGCGGGCGCCTGTAGTCCCAGCTGCTCGTGAGGCTGAGGCAGGAGAATGGCGTGAACCCGGGAGGCGGAGCTTGTAGTGAGCGGAGATGGCGCCACTGCACTCCAGCCTGGGAGACAGAGCGAGACTCCGTCTCAAAAAACAAAACAAAACAAAAAAAACAAAAGAAACAAAAAACATCTAAAGCTGGAAAATAAATCACTGGAAATAAAAAGTGGACCAATTATCAAACTTACATGTTTCGTAATTCTAGGAAAATTCAGGTTTTCTCAACAAGAAAAAACAACAACAAAACTTTCATGGTCATTTTTTAATAAGGACTTAAACACTTTCACATCTATTAGTATTACTGGTATCTGGTCATAATTCTATCTTATTATTCTTCATACATTTTTTAAAAGTTCTTGTTATTTCAGTTTTCTTTTGTAGATATGTTTTATGTATCACTGAAGTACTTATAGAAACATCCTTTCAACTTTTTAATACTATTAGATATTTTTAATGTGGGTCGAAAAATATATATTAACTGTCTCCTATACACCAGCATGCTACATACTACAAAAACCATGGGATTCTTTAAAATGCTTTCTTTAAATTACATCTTTTAAAATTCCTAGAATATTTGCACTTTCCTTCTCATTAACAGAAGAAAACTAACATCTGCTCACATCCAATTTTCAGTCATTGTTAACATAAACCAGTGGTTTACATTCAAATTAGTTTAATTAGATTACCGATTTTATGTTAGTTTCTTCCCCCAGAATATTTCTTGATGTCTATTCAGGTAGTACCCTTCCAATTCTCCCCTACTTCATCTCTGAGTCTTTTCATTAGAGTCTGGTGAAACAACTTTCCCAGAGCTATGAGGTAGGAGATTGAAGCAGAAAGTACAGGCTTTCTTCCTCTTAATTAAGGTAAACAAGAGTTTATTTATTGCCTTTTTATATTTAATACAGTAAAAAGTGCAGTATCAACAGAAAATAATTTAGATAAAGGCATTTGGTATACATAGTGCATAAATATATGGTAGGATTAGCAATAATACTGACAATAATACAAGAGAATATGCAATGATGTGTCAACCTGAACAATACCAATGGAAAAAATGTGTATATAGACTGGAACTTGAACAGAAACCTGCATAGTGCAGATATCAGCAAAAACTAGATCTTTGCAACTGCCAAGAAAGCTGTAAATATGAAAATAGCATGAGTGTGTCTGTGTGTGTGTGTGTGTGTGTGTGTGTGTGATGGCAAAACTGACATTGTGAAACTATTTAATGGGAAACAATACCACAGAACAAAGTGTCTCCCAGCTTCTGAGGAAATATTAAATGATTTCACAGCAACATGAATGTAAGTAAAAAGAGAACCACTGTACTAACTTGAACATATGCATATTTAATGCCATAGCTTCTGACTCATTATCATATTATTTAGAAAACTCTACCTTTTGGTCACCAAATTAAAATAGACAGATTGATAACAAATTTAAAGGTAATGCCTTTAAAGTGGCTACTTGGTTTACCTTTAGGGTCTGTAGATTACCGATTATAGTTAATACTATAAAATCTCATTAACATTTGCTTCTGAAAAGATGCTTTTTACATTTTGAGCCTAATCATTCTATTCATAAAATTGTAATTTTGTATACTGAATATACCTTTTCAAATGATATCACATTAGATCCAAATAAGGCTGGCATTAAGTGTTCGTTGGAATGCTCAAAGTTTACATGTAGGTAAACCATTCTTATTTTTCT
The DNA here is from genome assembly GCF_000001405.40 of Homo sapiens. NCBI lineage: Eukaryota > Metazoa > Chordata > Mammalia > Primates > Hominidae > Homo > Homo sapiens. Next base: position 64,707,778 of record NC_000018.10, read on the forward strand.
GCTTGTAATGTACTATGTGACACTCATGCATTTCATGATTAAGAATTGCATGAATTATGCTATTATTTTTATATAAAACAAGTGTGACTTTTCTTTCAAATGAGCATATTAAATCTTCCATTAGTAGTGTGGTTCTGTAGCTTTTTTTTTCTTTTTCCAAATACAAAGATCTTTAAGACATATTATTTTTTTTTTCTAATTCCCTGGGATTGTGAATAAATATATTTTATTGTTAGGAAAATTCAAGCTCTCAAAGGTTAAATCATTTGCCTAAAACCACAGTCACTAGTGGCCAAGCCAGAGCTCAAATTCAGACTTTATCTAGAAGATCACATTGCATTTCACTCCGCCACGCTTCCTTCATGAGTAGTTTAGTTCAGGCTACACTCTGAATTAATACAATTCTCATTAGATCTCTCCGTCTCCCAGCTGTCAGAAATTAATATGGACTTCTGGAATTGGCAGGGACAAATCTTTCCTCTCCCAATAAAAAGAGAGCCAGTTGATATTACATTTTTGAGCTTGAAGGAAATGTGATACTATATTAATCATCATATTGAAAACAAACAAGTTTTCCATTTAAATGATTGAATTTCACTAAGCTAGTAAGCTGAAGCTAATTCTCACCAAATACCAAATCCTTCAGCTACCCTGCACACCCAGTGTAGATAAGTACTAACTGCTCACCTGGAAAGGACGTTCCTTTCTTTCACGCATAATGTAAGAACATTCAAGTCATTGTCCAATAAGTTTACTTTTAAAGATCACTATAAATCTTAAGCGGTACACTTTATAGAATATATTCAAAACCTAGAAAATGATTCCTGGCAAACATATAAGAGCTAAGTACACTTGTTTTGATTTAGGAAATGCATTATCCAACCCTGAAGAAACTGTTCCTGTAATTGTTTTGATTTTTGGATTCTTTGTTTAAAAGTTGAATAAAATAAAATTGCAAATGAGACAAATCTCTTAAATATTTATTTTCATAGCTAAATACTGCTTAAATACATCGAATTCACGTTAATAAAAATTCTGCTGTTCAGGATGTTGTTAAAAACATATATTTTAATTTCATCAAGTATAGGTATAACTATCAACAAGATTAGTGTATATATATACATACACACAGTATATATTATATATGCACTATTAGTATTTATATGCTAATTTTGTTGATTCAATAACTCACCAACCACAGTTAGTATATACATATATATTCAATAAATCACTAACATATATGTTATATATAGGTTATATTATATACATAACATATATGTTAGTATACACGTTAGTATTCATGTGAGTATATACATATATACATAAGTTAGTATATATACATTAGTATATACATATATATTCAATAGCTCACTAACATATGTTATATATATTATATATGTAACATATAGATGTTACATATATAACATATATAACATCTAGATGTTACATATAACATATATAACATACAGATGTTACATATAATATATATAACATACAGATGTTACATATAATATATATAACATACAGATGTTATATATAATATATATAACATACAGATGTTATATATAATATATATAACATACAGATGTTATATATTTTAGGTATTTGGTAAGACTTAGTTTCAGCTTACTATCTTAGTGTAATTCAGTAACTCACTAATAGTGAGTTGATAATTAATGATAATTAAGCTAACAGTGAGTTATTGAATTTCACTAAGATAGTAAGCTGAAATTAAGTCTCACCAAATAAATACCTTATCCGCACCCTATACTAACTGCTCAACTGGAAAGGACGTTCCTTTCTTTCACACATAATGTAAGATAATTCAAGTCATTGTCCAATAAGGACAACACCTATACCAGATTCAGATTTGTATATATATATGTATGGATGAGAACATCATTTATTAAAAACTAGTATTATGTAATCTTCCAGGTTCTTTGTCACAAGACAAATTGGACTTATTTACTTCTTCATTTTGGAAAATGTAACTATTTCTAACCTTTTCTCTTAGGTTTGTTTTCTTTATCATCTTATCTATGATATCAGTTGGAAAGATGTAGATAAATGTCTAGCTCTGGATCCAGAATGAAAGGGATAACAGCTGGTTCTAAAGGCTTTCTCTAGCCTCAGGAAAACCTGAGGCTTTGAGCTTTGATATATTTTCTTTCTAATATGAATTCAAGATGTTATCAGGAGCATACCTATACCAGATCCAAGATCAGTGAAACTCAGGCCAAGAACATACACCTGCTTTGTGGTGGGGAGCGTTTATTAAGGACTGAGAATCAACACTGAGACACAGCTGTCCTGGAGGATGGTGGGGATGGGGGATGTCTTCCGCATCCCAGGGATTGTGAGGAAGGCCCCTTGTGCACACCTGTGGAGTTTAAACCTTCAAGGGACTCCAGAACTCTGAGCTGAAATCATAGGCACAGACTCAGCCTCATCTTTCATGACTGAGTACATACCAAAATCAGGATGATTTGGACATCAGATCGTAGGCCTAGGAGTCAGAAGAGTCCTGCTGTGATGATTCAGGATAGGCTGTAGTGTTTACTGTTCTCCATGCTGCCTTAAAAGTAAATATATTTGGTGCTGAATATAGCCCATTGTGCCTTATCCATGTGGTTATAAATCTGAATCCAAGATCACTGTGAATACAGTAAAATTGGTATTCCAAGAAGGCTAATATTCTTTATTCCTATATATTGGAATATTTACCTTATATTTTCTTACCTTATTTAAATTTCTGTTGATACTGTGACTCTTCATCAAATAAACACCACTCACCTCCTTCTCCAACACACTCACATAAAACCACACCCATTCATGCCCATGCTCTGAAACTCCAATATAACTTTGGGTTGACAAGAAAGAGAATGTATCCTGAGCTTCATTCAAATGTGTTTAGTCATCAGTATTATTGGAGAGCATGGCAGCTTTCAAAATTTAATGGACTTCACAAATCATCAGAAGTTACAAGTTCAGAGACAAGGCCACATCCCCCCACCTCTTACTGAATGGATTATAGAGGAGGACAAGAAAGTTCTTTTCTAACAAGCATTTCCTGTGATTCTGATATTCTCAAAATGCATACATTTCCATTATTTTTCATCTTCTAGTTTTATTCTCTTTATGTGGAAAACTTAAAGATTGGGGGGAACACCCATGAGATAATCTCTCTGTATATTACTATTTCCTAAGAGGTACACTGGGATTTCTTGATGTGACATAAAGATGGTTTTTATATATGTGGATTTTATTACTCCTCTTTCAATTTTTGACCTTTGGGATGAAATGTGGCTGATAACAACTATGGTAAGTAAACACAGTTTATCATTTCTCAGGTAATTGCATGTACTAGAAACCTACAAGACTTTAGAAACAAATATTTAAGCCTCCTGTCTCATGGGAAATATTAAAGGTCTTATTACCTGGTGCAATTGGTGGGAAGGGAATTACAATATGTATGTTTTGTTTGCTCTCAGAAGCAGCAGCAGATAAAATTCGCCGGCATAAAATGAGGTAGCTGAACAGAGACCACCGACTGGTACAAAGTATGCTGCTATGGTGCATGTCAACAAAGAGGCCGTTCCCCAGCACCATGGCTAAAATTATAAACCAGCTACATCATTCCAAATAACATGTAAAGACTTAGAGGGAATATTATTCCTAAGTTTTATACATACAATCAAAGAAATAATTCAGAATGGCTGATGGAAACCGTTGAATAATGTAAAGTGTAACATAGTGTTATGAGCCATATAACTATGCTTTGGTCAATGACAGACCACACGTACAATGGTGTCTTAGATTATAATGGAACTAAAAAATTCCTGTCACCTACTGATGTATTGATGATCCTTAACCTACTAGGTGAATGTGTATGTTTCTGTCTTAGTTTCTAACCAAAAAAATTTAAAAAGTAAAAAGTCGAAAATAGAAAAAATCTTACACAATATGGACGTAAAGAAGAAAACATTTTTACACAACTGTACAATGTATTTTTGCTTTAATCTAAATGTTATTACAAAAGAGTCAAAAAGTTAAAGAAATAAAAGTTTATAAGGTAAAAATTTTACAGTAAGCTAATGTTGATTTATTGTTGAAGAAAGACTTGTTTTATATTAATTTGGGATAACCTAAGTGTACAGTGTTTATAAAGCCTACAGTAGTATATAGTAATGTCCTAGGCTTCACATTCATTCACCACTTACTCACTGACTCACCCAGAGCAACTTTCAGGCCTATAAGCTCCATTCATGGTAAGTGCCATATACAGGTGTGTCATATTTTATTTCTTATAACATATTTGATAGTATATTTTCTATGTTTAGATATGATACACAAATACTTACCACTATGTTGCAATGGCCTACAGTATTCAATATAGTTGCATGCTGTACAGGTTTGTAGCCCAGGAGTGATAGGTGGTACCATACAGCCTAGGTGTGTAGTAGGCTATGCCATCTAGCTTATTGTCAGTACACTCTAGGATGTTTGCACAATGACTAAATAACCTAAGTACTCATTGCTCAGAATGTATCCCTGTTAAGCGACACTTGCTTGCAATAACAAACTCTAATATTCAGTGCTTTTTATATAAATTGATAATAATTCAGCTTTTATCTTTTATAAGCATGTTGTTTTGATTGTTTCTTTGCAGACTCTTTTGGCATCATGCAAGTATGTTAAATATACCTGAATCTCATTATCTGTCTGTGCAAGAAAAGAGATTTGCAGTGAAGAGTATTATTGGGAAACAACAGGAGAGGCAAACAAAAATTAGTTGTGTGAATAAAGGAAAGAATAGCTAAGTTCTTGATCAAGTAGATAGTCTACCCTCAACTTTAAACAACATCATGTTAAACAATTACATTCTTGGGAAACACAGAGAGTAGATGTTTTATCCTCACCACAAAAATAATCACAAGGTGAGGTAATGCATTTGTTAATTATCTAAACACTCCACAGTGTATATATCCTTCAAAACTTTGTGTTGTACATGATAAATACAAACAAAAATTGTGTTGAAGAACTAAAAGTATTTTCTTCTTTTTCTGGGACACAGTATTATTTTCTGTGAAATCTATTGTTGTACAGGAAATACCCACAGTCCCGAGTTACAACTGGAAATCACTGGGGAGAAAGATAAGGGGACGATGGATATAATTTATTGAACATTTATATATGATTATATTATAATGTGAATATATTGAGTGCATGTGTGAATGTGTATGTAGACACCTCCATACACATCTAACTCTCCAAACAACCCTGGAGGTAGGCATTAATCTTTATAGGTGAGAAATTTAGGGTTTAGGATACTTAAATAACTTGCTTGTGGTTACTCGGCTACTAAGTGCTGAACTGGGTTTAAAACCAGGTCTGTGTTGCTCCACACCCATTTTTTGCTCTTCCCACATATAAATGTTACTGAAACACCAGGGGTTCAGTTTAGGCCCTGCTGCTTGCTTTACAGAAAGCCAATCACTGGGAAAATGAGTATTGGCAAGAAAGAGGGTTTTAATTGGGTGTTGTAGCCGAGGAGGTGGGAGATCAGTATCAAATCCATCTCCCTGAGTAAAATGAGGGGTTTATATAGCAGGGAAGAAATATAACCATATGTGGCAAAACAGGATTTAAGGAGGCATAAGCAAGAGGAGTTGGTCAACAGGAAGCCGGTGCTCATGCAGGCAATTGTGGTGGGTGAAGGGTTTGGCATCTCATTGAATGCAATGATCTGGTAAGTTTCAGTTCCTTGATTCTGTCTGCAAGCCTTGATGATTGGTTTCCTGACAAAGGAACTCAAATAATACAAATGTAACTTTCTTAAGTTTTAAAACTGGGTGGATCAATTATTATGTTTATTCAAAGAAATAATAAACATTAGCTCAATGGGACAATTGGACCGGTTTCATAAGCACAGATGGCCTAAGCCTCATTATTGGCAAAGAAATCCAAAAAACACCACCAGACAGACATAAAACCATATTATTATTGAAGATCCAAATGATGCCTTAAAGTTAGATCCCATTAAATGAGATAAATTCAACGAGTTTCTCTTCTTTGGCAGAAAGGTAAATAAAATAATTAAAATAAAGTGCTCAGTGGAAAATAAGTTGTTCCCTCCAATGCCTTGGAAAATTAAGACACATGTAAACAAATAACTTCAATTCCATATTTAATAATGCAAGTAAGCATTCTGGGGTGCAGAGGGATGAAAAATCTAAAAATTGGCTGTGTTTGCCAAGGAAGAATTTACAGGGGAGGTATCCTTTTGGTGGGTATTCAAGACAAGGTAGGGATTTGTTAGTTGTAGAAAGAGAGAAGTTGTTTCCTTGCCTACACAAGAAAAATGACATTCTTTATTGACACCAGAAAGGATGAAAAATTGTGCATAATCTGAGGACACATTCATTTTTATAATCATTTAAATGACCCTACATTTCTAGAGAATTCTGTAACTTGTGAACCATGAAAGTTTAATGATTAACAGTTCACTGGAATGTATTAATTTACATCTCCAAAGTGGGGAAGAGGTGATTCTTTTTCATTTATCAACTTCCTCCCTCTAAATGGACCTCAGCCTTGCAGAAAGGGCTTCATGGCTTTTTCCTTTCTCTTACTGATCCATGTTGGCTGATACTGAATTTAGGGAGACTCAAGATAGATTAATTAAATTAACTGAGCCCTTTGCAAAGTCACATTGGGGGCAATTTAATATATTTTTTATTTTCTGTTTAGCTGGTTGAGAAAGAAAATTCAGGCTCAACAGTATAAAATACTGTTTTAATTAAATCCAAAGAGGAATGTAGCCTTGGTTTCTTGCTTAACTTCCTTAATTATGTAAATTAATTTTAAAAGTGATAGTAACTTTGTTTTATGAAAGTGAATATATTTTTGCAAAATTATTTTACACTGCCCATCAGGAGAAACGTCACAAGTCAAATTTTGCTTTATTCATTTCTTTTGATCAGTAAATAAAATCTCAAAGTAAGACTAGGTCATTTTCAGGAACTTCTTGAATTAAAAATAATCAGAAATAAATTTAAATCCCAAAGTGTTAAACAATTTTTCAAAACAAGAAAGAGCAAAAAGAGCACAAAGAGCACAACCCCATAGCTATGTATCCAAATACATTTCTGAAAAAATATTTGAGCGTACATTGAGGCAAATGCTATAGTTGGCTCTACCTCTTTCCTAATATATATGTGAGTGTATATATATATATATGTATATATATAATTTTATTAAATTAACAAAAATCAATAATAAATAACTGGATTGCTTTCAATTCTAAACACCTTTTCATCTCTTCAGCTGTCTAAATAAAGTATTACTGAAATTGCCTTTCTCAAAATATAAGTGAGTGGCTTCTATTCTTTGGCAACATATTCTTTCTCATCCCCACATATAATGAAGAAATATAGAACTACATGCCTCATAAGTTGCAAAATTTTAACTAGTTTTATAGTTTCTATATATAAAATGGACTTAATTACTGTTTAAATCATCATGAATCTGGAACAATTTCACTACGCCAAAAAATGTGATCGAACGAAAATATTTGCTGTGATATATCTGTAGACACCATAGTCAGCCTAACTGAACAAAATCAGTAAGGTTTGCTATTGGTGTAGACATTATACAGGACATCTAATCAGTGTATCAAGGAACTGAAAGTGATACATTGAAAAAGATTAATGAATAGAAGAAAGAGATAGGGAAAGCAAGAGAGAAAAAATATGTTTCAGACAAAAAATGTGCACACTTACATATTTGAATATTCTTTCTCCTCTCTGTCTCTCTCTCCTATATATGTAAATAGCAAATATATACATTTCTGTCCTTTATTATCATTTTGCACATTTAGGCTGCATTGTGGGAATAGTGCGTGAGTTTGATGATTAATTAGTTATATTTATGAAATTCACCGTTCACTAGATAAATGTTGGTAGATAGATACACACGCTGCTTGAACATGTCAATATGAACACAGTTTGAGATAATGGATTTCCAACTCACAGTTGTGAATTTCTCACACTTTCAGCAATTTTACCCACTATTTAATATTGACATTTATAATAGAGTCCTGTCAAAAGAAAGCATATGTAAAATTAGTTTTATTTCAACTTTCTATGAAATGGTGAAAGATCAGGATTTGACATGTAGTTTAACAGCCTGTTTGGTGGAAAAAATATGAACCTCAGGGTCCTATCTAGATTGAATATTTGCTTCATCACTTTGAACTCACATAACCTAGAGAAAGTTGCTTAACTACTCTGAAATACAGCATTCATATCAATAAAAAGGGGATATCATGTATGAGATGTTACCTCACACTCTATAAATATTAGTTAATTTTGAGTCCTTAGAACTGCTTATTTTTGTGTTGAATACACATATATGTATATATACACACATATTTATGTATATGTACACATACATATATATAAAACCAATGATACGAAAGTTTCACATTAAAAGAGAGATATATAGATATAAAATCACTACAGTAACACATATGAGTTTAATTTTTTTTATGTTTACATCGTTCCACTGTTGGGAGTGAGAAATTATCTAATTAACATAGTCTGAGGAGATAGTCATAGCATACCATGAGAAACAAAATGTAAGTTTTACATCGTCTTGTTTATATTACTAAAAAAGGAACAATGACAAAAATACTTGTTAAAGAGTGGTTTTCTTACTCTTTCACTGTCAATTACATCTACAAATTCTCCTTTAGGATTGAATTTATTACTTTACTGTTGTGAAGTACATTTGCCTTAATATGTCTCCAATTTTCTATCTTGTCTATTATATATGTTGTTATCAGATTAGGCACCTGTGGCTCAGGGTCATTATCTTCATGAGGAGGATTCACCTCTGTAACAATGGGAAATTGTGGGACTGAATGCAGAAAAAGTGAGGAAGAGTCCCTAAGATTATATGTTAAATTTTAATATTTCTTGCACAGAATAACTTTCTGAGTGTTCATAATATAGTATTCTTATCATTACCATTGACTACATTCCAAGGCACAATCTGGTACTAAGATCAATTAAAGGAATCACAATTTATTTTCTGAAGTATATATAGTTAAAAATTATTTCTTCTTATAAAACAAGGCTACAAAAATTGCTCAATCCAATACATTCTGTCACATATTTTCCATACTTTTCTCGTACCAATGAGAAGTTAAAGTTATGATAGGTTGGATATCTAAACTTCCCATAGAGGCTGGGAGCAAAGCCTCATGCCTGTAATCCCAGAAGTTTGGGAGACCAAGGCAGGAGGATTGCTTGAGGCCAGGAGTTTGAGATCAGCCTGGTCAACAGAGTGAAACCCAGTCTCTACAAAAAATGTATTCATTGGTGTGGTGATACACACCAGTAGTCCGAGGTACACAAGAGCCTCAGGTAAGGGGGTTGCTTCAGTCCTGGAGTTTGAGGCTGTAGTGAGTCACCACTGTGTCACTACATTCCAGCTTGGGTCACAGAAAGAGAACCTGTCTCAAAGAATTAAATACATAAAAATGAATAAACTTCCCAAAAGCCAAAAAATGGTGTTTATCGAAGTAACATCTTCCTATAAAATTGTAACCAACACAATTTTTTCTCATTCTAAAAAATTTCCACTCAAAACTAGGCACGTCAGTGTATCTCAAAGCCATGTTAATAAATCTAAAAGATATATGGGGCATGTTTGTACGTCTTTTTTTCTGGAAAACGCTGATGCCATCAATCTAGCAAAAGAATTTCATTTTCATAAATTCATATCAATTTATCTGCTTAATGTACTGAAAATCTAGTTATATGAACATAGTCAATTAAAAATTATTCACATTTTTTAGATTTACATTTTTAAAAAGTGAACTTTATATTTTCACATTTGCCAAAAGTTCTCTTACCAATATCTTGTGAGTAGTTAGAAAATAATAAAACTAGAGAAACTAAAACTATATTAGAGTTATAATTGCATATAAATATATAAATATGAAAAAAGATTGTTATAAAGTGGCAGAAACATCCTTGAGTATAAACTTGTGCAAACAATGCTACAATTCCACTCCTGAGGGGACATAGATTGTTTTAAAACCATTTCTAAATTTAATTCCAGAATGACGATATCTAGGGAAGTATATATTTTTATCTACTTTTATTATACAAAATGTGTAAGAGAACAAATAGTGGTGAAATGTTAAGTTCTCAATTTTCATAATGAAGTAGTTTAAGATGCATTCTGAACGTCAACAAGTAAAAGGTTTCAACACTTTTATTTAACCATTTAAGTAGCATACATTTTCAATGCTAAACAGAAGGCCATGGAAAATCAACACTAGTATATTATTTGTGCTTAAGTATTAATTGCTTGAGGATGTAAAAAGTTAAAATTCTTTATTTTTACACTAACCAACTGAAGTGGAAAATTGAGATAATTCCCACATGCAGAAATCACATTTGCTTCAATTATGTGGATACTTCAGATGAAAATAATCTTTATAATTACCTACATCATTCAACTTTATATCTTGATGCAACTTTGGTATGCTGGTTCCAATGATGGGGAATTTTTTTTTAATAGAATATATTGTACTTTATGAAGATTTATGTTCTAAAATTAAGTCTAGAAATCTTAGGTATCAAAAGACATTGGAAGAAATAAGGTAATTGTTTTGAAATTATCATAATAAGGTATAAGCCAGTGATGACTTACAATACAAGAATGCATCTGAAAGATAGTCTTAAAATTGATTATTTTTTTTTTTTTTTTTTTTTTGAGACGGAGTCTCGCTCTGTCGCCCAGGCTGGAGTGCAGTGGCGGGATCTCGGCTCACTGCAAGCTCCGCCTCCCGGGTTCACGCCATTCTCCTGCCTCAGCCTCCCAAGTAGCTGGGACTACAGGCGCCCGCCACTACGCCCGGCTAATTTTTTGTATTTTTAGTAGAGACGGGGTTTCACCGTTTTAGCCGGGATGGTCTCGATCTCCTGACCTCGTGATCCGCCCGCCTCGGCCTCCCAAAGTGCTGGGATTACAGGCATGAGCCACCGCGCCCGGCCAAAATTGATTATTTTAAAGGTCATTGCTGAAGTATCTAAAGCAACCAGATCGAATTTTGGAAGTAAATATCAGCAGTTACTTGCCAGAACATGTGGTTTAAAGATTTCTTACGCAAGGCAACATGTTGCACAGCTTTACAAGGGCATAAATATAATTTAGAACACACAGTGATCTAAACCCTAACCTGATTTGCGACTGCTGACACTGTCTAAGGAGAAGAAAAAAAGCAAAAAGGTTTTCCTCAGTGATTTTAATGCTTAGTGCTAACTTTGTGAGACTGATTTTGTTTTAAGTTTAGCCTGTTTTATAAAGAAGGTTTTCCTCCATTATTGTCCAAATTTTTCTGCATTACATTTCAAGAGCATTAATCTTTGAGACACATTTTTGGCTATTTAACTTTTCAATTTTTGGCCCTAGCTGGGATAAAGGACATATTTCCCCCCAAATCTCAGGAGACTGGTTTACACTGATGCCCAAGAGGTTTTTTTTGTTTTGTTTTGTTTTGTTTTGTTTTAAAAAATTAAGAGAAACATGTTAGCATAAGTGCTCTTTTCAAAAATATTTAGAACTTTAAGAGTTGAGAGCCTGTCTAGAAACACAATTGCCATAAGTGACATTGTGATTTGGAAGAGTGTGTTTATATATATATACAGACAGACACACACACACACACACACACACACACAGTTAATAGACTGTGCTATACAATAAATGTTAGTATATCAATCAAGTCTCCAAAGAGAATTGCATTATTAAGATTCATTAACTTTGTAACAGATAACTTAATCGTACAAATAACCCAAAGCTATGTAATTAGGATGTGATTATATTCTCATTTCTTTAAGACAAGATGAACTTATAGTTAAAGCAACTGGTGCAAACGAAAAGGAAAATGTGAAATGAGGTTATACATCAAACATTAAATACTTATTCTCCTTTGTTACTAACTGTAAAGGGATTGTTCAATTATCTGCGTTACATAACAATTTTCTATTAAATGGCTATGTGAAATTAAGCCCTCAATAGTTTCTTCTCTCATTATAGTCAAAATGTTCCACATTATTTGGGGATGACAGGACTGGTTCCTTGTTGCTTTAGTTATGTTGAATATAAATTCAACAGGCTAGAATAACTAAAATTTAAGCATTGGTGTTTATAAATGCAAATTTCCAGGGGGAGAGAGTAAGTAACCACTTAAGAAAGGCAAATTAGTCCTATTTTTTTGGTACAAAAATTTTGAGGATGCGAACATCTGATAACAACTGATGAAAGCTTAACTCTTGTTTCCAGGCAAAGTAGTTTTTTTCATCTTTTTGATTATCTCTATACTTCAAACTACTGGGAAGGAACATCCGTATTAACAAAGTTTACTAGAAATGTAATATTTATTTTTAGCACATCTTTTTAGATAATTTTCCTTTCACTCAAAGTTATGCACAATTTAAAATTTTTTTGTTTTATTTTAAACAAAGTAGTTTTACAAATACATTGACATCAGATAAATGTATCTCAACCCTGATTTATTAAATATAATATGATAGGAAGTAATATGTAAAATTACCTAACTCCTAAATCTTTATGAATTATGGCAGCACAAATTAGTGATACTACTGATAGGGATACGAGGCAGAGAAATTCTAGTTAGAAAAGGGTGGGTCCCCAAAAAATCCCACACTCAAGCCAAAAAGCCTGAAACTGTGCCAAAAGTGAGAACTTGTATCCCTGCTTTCTTGCTCAAATGTTGCCTTTTCTTAAACTACCCATGGCCTGCCCCACCCCCATCCTGTGCCTGTAAAGACCCCAGACCCAGCTTGCAGACAGGAGAAGCAGCTGGATGTCAGAGAGAAGCAGCTTGACTTCAGAGGAACAGCTTGATGGTGTAACTTAAGAGAATCTCCAGGGGAGGATTACCTACCCACCCCCCCATCACATTTTCAGCATCCCTTCCCACTGAAAGCCACTTGGAAATAAATTCTTCAGCATTTACCATCCTTCACTTCGTTCCTGTGACCTCATTTATCCTGGATGCCGGACAAGAGCTCAGGAGCCAGAAGTGAGGATACAAAAGGCTGTCACACTGGCCCTTTGCCCTCACTGGTGGAGGGCAGCTATCTCACACAAAAGGGCGGAGGGCCCACTGAGCTGTTAACACTTAAGCCGTCTGTGGACAGCAGAGCTAAAAGATCACTGTAACACGCCCCTTGGGGCTTTTGGAGTCGCAGGCATCCTGACTGGACGCTGCTGTGGGTCCTGCACGGAGTTTGCTCCTGCTGGAGACCAAAAGTGCTTGTTCCGGAGCCCAAAAGTGCTTGTTCCGGCTCCTGCACCCGCTCACCTGTGCGCTCCCTTCCATGACGGGTGGAACGCAGAGGTCTGCATGAAAGGAGTTTGATCCCACCAGTGCCTAAGCGGCCAGCTGGTTCCAACACTCCAGTTCCCTTCCGCCAGGAGTTGACAGTGGCAGGCTGAGTAAACAAGGCACCCCTGTCATGAGTCCAGCAAAGGGATCAAGGAAATACTTTGCTTCACTACATTTTTTTTTTTTTTTAGACGGAGTCTTGCTCTGTCACACAGGCTGGTGTGCAGTGGCGTGATCTTGGCTCACCGCACCCTCCACCTCCCGGGTTCAAGCAATTCTCTGCCTCAACCTCCCGAGTAGCTGTGATTACAGGTGCCTGCCACCATGCCCGGCTAATTTTTCTATTTTTAGTAGAAATAGGGTTTCACCATGTTGGCCAGGTGTTGAACTCCTGACCTCATGATCCACCCCCCTTGGCCTCCTAAAGTGCTCAGATTACAGGCATGAGCCACGGAGCCAGCCCACTGCCTTATTCCTAACAGAAAAGAAAAAAAAAATGTGCATTATCCTCCATTACCAATGTTTTTGTAGTCTATAGCTTCTTTTAACATAGGTGAAATAACTCCATTTTTCTCATACTCATTTGAGCATATTTTAAATTTCAAATCTATGTGGGGAGTCAGACTTTCCACAACTTTTATGCCTGTCTCCCTTCTTTAGGTTTTGAGTGTTCATGTGTCCCCAAATTTTACATGCGGAAATTCTAATTCCTAAGGTGATATTAGCAGGCAGGGCCTTTGGGAAGTGATTAGGTCTTGGGGGCAGAGCGCTAATGAATGGGATTATATAAAGGAGATATAAAGTGCCCATATAAAGGAGATCTCGGAGACACCTCTGCCACTTCCACCATGTGAGGACGCAGGAAGAGGGGCTTCACCTGACACCAACTCTGCTGACACCTTGATCTTGGACTTTTCTTATGATGAATGCATTTCCTTTATGAGAAATGAAGGTCATCAATTTCTGTTGTGTGTAAGTTTCCAAGTCTATGTTATTTTGTTATGAAAGCCTGAATGAACCAAGACTCTTCTAGCAAATTTTCCTAGATCCACCTGACTATGAAGAGATAATTTGTGCCTGGGTCTGCAATGTGTCTGTGTCCTAGGTACGTGATTCATCTATGGCACCAGCTACTTAAAATCATATTTTTTTTTCTACTCTTGAAACATAATTTGTCATTTAGCTTGGTTATTTAATGTCATGTATACTAATTTTCAGCGCAAAGGTAAAATTTAGAAATGGTCATGAAGAGTATGTTTCTTTCAACTCTCTCTGGTAATACTAGAGACAACAACATCCAATGCTTGAAAATCTAATCTTTTTTTTTAAATTTTTTGAGACAGGATCTCACTCTGTTGCCCAGAATGGAGTGCAGTGGCATGATCTTGGCTTGCTGCAGACTCTGTCTCCTGGGTTCAAGCGATTCTCCCACGTCAGCCTCCCAAGTAGCTGGGACTACGGGTGCACACCACCATGCCTGGCTAACTTTTATATTTTTAGTAGAGACAGGGTTTCACCATGTTGGCCAGGCTGGCCTTGAACTCCTGCCCTCAAGTGATCCACCCACCTTAGCCTCCTAAAGTGCTGAGATTACAGGCCTGAGCCACTGCACCTGGCAAAAAATCTAATCTTAACCTTATGTTACACGATTGTGCAGCCACTTAGTGTATTTTCCTACTTTAACAAACCTAAAACTTCTAAATATAAGTTTAATTTTATAAATGAAAAATAATATGTAAACAGAAAAGTGCACATGTATTTAATTTGTAGTACTCAAAAGTATAAATTGAATTCTTGCAGAATGAACACACCATGCTAGTATACGTAGGTAGGAATTATGAATTTGAATATTATGACCAACCTAGAAGTTCCCTGGCATTCACTACTGCCTCAAGGATAGTTGATATCCTGATGTCTAGCAGTATGCTTTTTGCCTATTTTCTTTCTTTTCTTTTTTTTTTTTTTTTTGAGATGGAACTTCACTCTTGTTGCCCAGGCTGGAGGGCAATGGCGTGACCTTGGCTCACTGCAACCTCCGTCTCCTGGGTTCAAGCAATTCTCCTGTCTCAGCCCCCCAAGTAGCTGGGATTATAGGCATGTGCCACCACACCCGGTTAATTTTTATATTTTTAGTAACGATGGGGTTTTACCATGTTGGTCAGGCTGGTCTTGAACTCCTGACCTCAGGTGAACCACCTGCCTCGGCCTCCCAAAGTGCTGGGATTATAGGCGTGAGCCACTGCATCTGGCCTATTTTCATTCTTTATGTATGTAAACTCATAGATATATTTGAGACTTCTTTTACTCCATATTATATGAGGCCCATATAAGTTTTTGCATACTATTGTAATTATTAATTCTCTTTGTTAAATAGCGTGTCATTAGGTGAATAATTCACTATGTATTTATCCATTGTATTGCTGATGGCCATTTAGGTTACACCTGGTTTTAAGATACTATGAATTGCACATATTTTTCTTACTGTTTTGTTTTGCTTTGATGAGCATATATATTTATCTTGGGTACATAAATAAAACTAGAATTGTCATGTAGTATAGTATTTGCATATTTAATTGATTTTTAGAAATACTTTCATAGTAGTCTAAAAATAGTGTAAGCAATATATGAAAATCCTTGTTAACTCCAGATATATGCCAACACTTGGTACTTTCTTTTTCATTTTAGCCATCTTGATGTTTGGAGTGGTTTTAATTGTGTCTTAATTTGCATTTCCCTAATAATTAATGATTAATGCTCGACTTCATATAAGTTGAGCGTATTTTTGTTTACTGTCCCCAATATTTGGATAAATATATCTTCCAGATCAACTTAGATGTAGCTGACTCTGGATGCTTTTGGGTCCTTGTGTTTTGAATATTTCTTAAGAATTTTGAAGTAGTCTAACTTACTTCAAAAGCTATTAAAATTATGATGTGTGAACAAAAGTTCTCTGAAAAAGAATTTGGAAGAAAGAGATTTTTTCTTCTATTGAACAGTTTGCAAATTCAGGAGACAGCCTTCAGTGGAAATCGAAGGTGCTGTCCAGAGAACAGAGGGTTCAGGTTTTTGTTTGTTTGTTTTTGAGACAGAGTCTCGCTTTGTCGCCCAGGCTGGAGTGCAATGGCACAATCTCAGCTCACTGCAACCTCCGCCTCTTGGTTCAAGCGATTCTCCTGCCTTAGCCTCCAGAGCAGCTGGGATTGCAGGAGGCTGCCACCACGCCCGGCTAATTTTTGTATTTTTAGTTGAGACAGGGTTTCACCATGTTGATCAAGCTGGTCTTGAACTCCTGACCTCAAGCAATCCACCAGCCTCAGCCTCCCAAAGTGCTAGGATTACAGGCGTGAGCCACCTTGCCCTACCGGGTTCAGGTTTTATAGCAGAAATTTCTAGCCCAGTTCCCAATTAGGTTTGTTTATGTAAAAAAAGAATTCAAATTCAGCTGATTGATCAACACAACTGAGTCCTGAATGGTCACTATAGCTGAGCTCTGAGCGGCAGGGGCAGGTCAGCTCTGATGATTTAGTTCAGGTGAACTCGGACTGGTTCCTTTCCAATCCCCGAACCGTTGTGTCCGGAACTGGTGGGTTCTTGGTCTCACTGACTTCAAGAATGAAGCGGCGGACCCTCATGGTGAGTGTTACAGCTCTTACGGTGGCGCGTCTGGAATTTGTTCCTTCTGATGTTCAGATGTGTTCGGAGTTTCTTCCTTCTGGTGGGTTCATGGTCTCACTGACTCAGAAGTGAAGCTGCAGACCTTGGCGGTGAGTGTTACAGCTCTTAAGGCAGCGCGTCTGGAGTTGTTCGTTCCTCTCGATGGCCCCGTGGTCTTGCTGGCTTCAGGAGTGAAGCTGCAGATCTTCTCGGTGAGTGTTACAGCTCATAAAATCAGTGTGGACCCAAAGAGTGAGCAGTAGCAAGATTTATTGCAAAGAGCAAAAGAACAAAGCTTCCACAGTATGGAAGGGGGACCCAAAGGTTTCTACTGCTGGCTTGGGCAGCCTGCTTTTATTGTCTTGTCTGGCCCCACCCACCTCCTGCTGATTGGTAGAGCCAAGTGGCCTGTTTTGACAGGGCGCTGATTGGTGCCTTTACAATACCTGAGCTAGATACAAAGGTTCTCCACCTCGCCATCACATTAGTTAGATACAGAGTATCCACACACAGGTTCTCCAAGGCCCCACCAGAGCAGCTAGATATTGAGTGTAGATTGGTGCACTCACAAACCCTGAGCTAGACACAGGGTGCTGATGGGTGTGTTTACGAACCTTGAGCTAGATACAGAGTGCCGACTGGTGTGTTTACAATCCCTGAGCTAGACATAAAGACTCTCCACGTCCCCACCAGACTCAGGAGCCCAGCTGGCTTCACCCAGTGGATCCCGCACTGGGGCTGCAGGTGGAGCTGCCTGCCAGTCCTGCGCCATGCGCTCGCACTCCTCAGCCCTTGGGCGGTCGATGGGACTCGGCGCCCTGGAGCAGGGGGCGGTGCTCGTAGGGAAGGCTCGTGCTGCACAGGAACCCACGGAGGCGGGGGAAGGCTCAGGGAGGGCGGGTTGCAGTCCCGAGGCCTGCCCCGCGGGAAGGCAGCTAAGGACCGGCGAGAAATTGAGCGCAGCGCCGGTGGGCTGGCATTGCTGGGGGACCCTCCGCAGCCCCTGGCCCGGGTGCTAAGTCCCTCATTGCCCGGGGCCAGCAGGGCCGGCCGGCTGCTCCGAGTGCGGGGCCCGCCAAGCTCACGCCCATCCGGAACTCCAGCTGGCCCGCAAGCGCCGCGCGCAGCCCCGGTTCCCGCTCGCGCCTCTCCCTCCACACCTTCCCGCAAGCTGAGGGAGTGGGCTCCGGCCTTGGCCAGCCCAGAAACGGGCTCCCACAGTGCCGTGGTGGGCTGAAGGGCTCCTCAAGTGCCACTAAAGTAGGAGCCCAGGCAGAGGAGGTGCCGAGAGCAAGCGAGGGCTCTGAGGACTGCCAGCACGCTGTCACCTCTCACCGTAAGTCTCTGTCAGACATTTCTTTCAAAGACTGGGGACAGGTGGGTTCTCACTGTAATTTATCTTGGCACTGACAACAGGAGCTGGTTTGGCTGCTTGTAGACAAGGAGGTCCTGTGATAATTTTACAAAATCTTTCTGAGAACATGGTATGTGACTGCCTCCCTCACCCAGCTGCCTGGTTCTGTTTTAACTCACTTCAGTTAGCCAGGGAGAGTCCAGGTCGTCTGTTGACTAGTGATGCTTAAACATTGTTCAGGCCTCTTTTATTCGTATGCAAAGATTTTGGCAAGGTTTAGTCCTTGGAGACACTTAGATTTAAAACAAATCCTGTTGAAACAACTCTTCATAGCATTTTAATACTGCAGTGACACAGTGTGTCAAATACAGTGTAAAGTGGGTTCCATGGGACTAACAGGTTCTTCTGGTGAGCCCAAGTCATGCTCTGTGGCTTGGTCAGCAGATATTCTGGGATTGAATGGCTAGGTAAGGGCTCCTGTGATATTTGAAAACTCACAGAAAGCTGTATGGCAATCATATTGGGGAATTTAAGAAACAAAATAATTGCAGACTGAAAATAGCATTTTAAATGTTTTCTTTCAATAAATAAAAGTTAATGGAGTGTTTCCATGTCAAGCATTTTCTGACTCATTATTATGTCTAGTACTCTTCGTTACATGAACTGAGTGGCTGTAAGATTAAACAAGTGGATTTTCAATGGATATACAGACAGGATCAAAATTTTTAAGGACTGCCAAATTTCTACTCATTCATTGTAAAA
This sequence comes from Homo sapiens, assembly GCF_000001405.40. Lineage (NCBI taxonomy): Eukaryota > Metazoa > Chordata > Mammalia > Primates > Hominidae > Homo > Homo sapiens. The sequence continues at coordinate 64,726,977 of NC_000018.10, forward strand.
GTATAATGCATATTTTAGGTAGATTTTTTTTTTTTTGGTTTTGTTTTTGCACTTGCATGGCAATTAAGGACTACAATTTAGCAGGTAAAAGGCATCAGGACTACTTGTTGCTTTCATGGAGTATATCAACATTTCTTTCCCTTCTATTTTGCATAATTTCTTAGTGTGTGCGGAGAGAATTAAATAAACAAATAAACACATTTTTCACAATTGATTTAAATAAAATCTTAGATTTTTTTAAAGCTTTAGAATGGGGACATGGTTCAAAAAACTCGTGAATTTCATAGTCATGTATTTGTTTTAATTTTAGGGTTTTCTGCTTCTAGATTATCTGTTACTTAAGGACCACAAATAACCCAGTAGTTTTTCATTTTTTCAAGTATTTAGAAATGTGCTCATTGTTGCTCTGTTGCTTCTTTTTCTTATATTTTTCAATTCCAAATTACATTCATGGGAAATAGAGCCTAACTGTATTTTGGAAAAGTTTTATCTTATTGTGCAATTCTCAATTCATAAGAAAAGAAGCATGCATTTAGAACTATTACTGAATTTAGGAGGGTTATTCACAGAGACTTTTAAAAATACCTGTTCCATCCTTTGTATTTCCATGACTATTGTCCTATTTCAATTTCTCATTAATTTTCATATTGTCTTATTAAAACACTTCAGTACTTGAAACACTATTACCACTTTCTCCAGCTACTAATCTGTTTACTGCATTGCTTCCAACTTATATTGTGTGTGTTTTTTTTCAATTTAGTTTGAAACATTTGAGCATGAGCAATGTGTCATATGTGCATTTACCTAAACCAGTTAATTCTAATTTTCATGTACGCCCTGTGGTTGGTTGCTTTATTAGAAGTACTTTAGGTATGCTACCATCTGTGGGGCTTGGTTGCAGAAGGTGTAAAAACCACTGACATCAACTCCATTGGGGGTAGTCCTTTAAGTTTAGAGGATTTTGGCCTTGGCTAATTCCTCATCATGCAAGCTCCTGCTGTTGAAACTGACCGTAAGTTTTGTCAATTCTGCTGGAAGAATAATCTCTCCTCTGTTTTGGAGCAAATCTCTCATTCAACGTTTTTGGTGGAGATTTGACATTGGAAATGTGATCGTTCTAATTTGCTTTTGTTACCAAGCACTGTCTGTCATTGAGGACGGAGATGGGAAAAATTAGCACCCTCACCTTGTTGCCCCCATTTCTGCCTTGCTTAGAATCGAGGCTATTGCTATGCACCAAAAATCTGACTTTTGTCAAGTTATCATGTTTGCTTCGATAAGTCAAAGACATAGGCTTGGCTTCCTGAAAATATCACTAATCATATGTTAGCAACTCCAGAACAATTCAAGGCTCATCTTGTTCTCTAACCATGCATTCAAGAATCTTCCGTTTTCAAAGTCCATTCCTAATTCACCTGTAATTATTTCTTCTCACAGGCTAACCTTAAGCCATATCACCCAACCACCATTTCTTGAGTATCCTCCTGGTGGCTTGTTTTTTCCAATATTTGCTCAGGTTCTGCTTTTGAATTAAAATACCTTTTCTCTCATGATCTCCACTTACCCAAAATCTACTACTGTTCTAAGTGTTTGTCGGTCTTGCCACCTTAAAGGGCTATCCTCTTTGTATTCCTTGAGCACATTTTAAGAAAACTATACCACATTTTCTATCTTCTCATAGAGGACTTACACTTAATACTTGACTACACAAGTCTTGGTGGCAGCATATTCTTTTGATAAATTCTAGCACCTACCTCAGCTTCAGGTACGTAGTGAAGTTCAATAAAAATTACAGTACATTGTTTAAGAGTTTCTTTTCTCATGTAATTACATGTGCATGATTATTTTACAATCAATGACATTTTACAATCACAGTGGCTAAACAGCAGGTGTAACCAGTTGTCCTTGCCTATGCATGTGAGAATTTGGTCAAACTTGTTAGATTTTCATCACTACAATCAAGTTGTATGGATTGTTGTCACTTTGTGTGTTGGTTTAATTGCCAATAAAATCTTTCAAAGATTTCAAAATGTCTCATCACTGAAACGAAAAGTTATTGTGTTCACAGAAAGGAAAAGAAAGGGAGCAGTGGGGCATAACATGATATTAGTAAAACAAATAGTCTTCATAGAGAGAATGACAGATATTCCATATTGTTTCACAAAGCCACATCCAAGTGCTTTATGGTAAGAAAGGAAAATACCCACAAGCAGATAATGTTTAACTATTAACATACATGTAAAATGATGGCCAATCCGATGCTAGGGACTGTAAACTAAACAGAGATAAAAATCACAAAATCTCTTGAAATAGATAAAATAAACCACAAAGTAATGAGAGGATTATGCAACTGATTCACGTGTTGACTAGGCTTATTAATTTATGCTAGACTTGAATTCACTGTTTTTCCTTTATAAGTGATTCATAAAATAGTATATCTTATAATTGATGGCTTATTAAAGTCAAAGCTTATGCTGAGTGAATAAAGAGATGAAGGGATAAATGATGAAATTTCATCTAGATAATACAATTCTGAAATTATGTTCACAATACTGCAAATCATCAGTTTGGGATGTGATTTGGGTTGCACTTTCTCAGCGTAGCCAAAATATAGGACATCCAACACATATTGGAACGAAATAACTTCTTACTCCCAAAGGAAAACAAGTTATTCTTTTGAAATCTAGTGTATGCATGTGTCTATGTATGTGTGTGCATGTATATGAAATATGATTATAGATGTACACATTTGTCTATCACTGATTATACTGTTACTTCACAACATGAAATGGAGTTAAGCAAATGTTTCTCCTAGTGTGAACATTAGAAGTCAGGAGATGTTCTGCTGTGGCCCAATACATAGTGGCTCCATACATAGAAAACAATCATTTTCCAAATTCCCCAATTCAATGTGCTATCTAAATACTTAACAACTACAAAATACTGCTGGTGGCTCTATCACAATCCAAACTACAATATTATTCATAAGAAATAAGTGACACAAAATAACATTTACAAGTATGTGTCTTTGAGATGTGTACACTAAAATATATTTGTTGAGAAGTCTCTCTACGTTTAAATGAATAATTTTAACAGTGGAAACAGTTGCAGGTTTTGTCTACACCTGTGCCCTCCCTGAGAATTTCTTGAAGGTATTTCCACTGCCATTTGTATTTTTGAGACATAACATTCTCAGGCTCTTTTCTCCTTGGTTAGTGTTGACATCTGTCTGCTTTCCCTATACCTTTAGTATTAAGTCCAAACTAGTACTCACTCCAAACATGTGGGGAAGGGAAGTGCTGACTTATTTATCACTTTAGAAGCATAACCAAAACCAAATTGTTTTATGATGCTATGATGTCACTTTTGACCTCCTGATGATCCACTAAAATTTAGTTTAGTGACCCTGGTGAAAAATAAAACCCTTAGATGAGAAGAGTATTAGTAAAAAAAAAAAAAAAAAAAAAAAAAATTGTTAAGTTGGTCCACATTTGGAATTAGGCGGAATTTCAGGCTGGAGGGAATAAGAGGAAGGAATGAAGAGAGATTGCCAGGACACTTGGCGTGTGCCTTAAAGACATTTAAGAACAGAGGTGTTCTTAACAGAGGTGAAGTTGGATATGCTTCTGAAGATAGCCTTCTCCCCATAAATATTCCTCCTTCCTTCCTCAAGCCTATACTTCCTCTCCTCACTTGAGCCACACTCCACCTCAGCTATCTCAGTGATTTTCAGTAAACGCTGTTGCAGAGAATTATTTGGAGAGAAAACTGAAGGATTTCATGTGTGTCTGGAGGTTCAGGACATGGCTAGGTTTTATATGTGGGTCTGAGATATAGGACACCCGTGAGGGACAAAACATGCAGGAGAACAGCCCAGCCCATCAGCAAACCTGATTCGGCAGAAGGAGAAGAAAAGCTCCACAGGTCCTCATGACAATGAAAGCCCCTGAGGTATCCACAGAAATCTGAAGGCAGGCATGGAACTTCTACATGGTGTGGAATTCCAGTGGTTCAAAATGGTTGAGGCCAACAGGTTGGTAATGAGCTTATTCACGTCTCAAAGGCAATAAAACCTCAAAAGACATCTTGGCTATATTTATATGACAGGTGCAAGGAATTGGGCTGAACTGGCCTAGCCAGACCACCAGTTTTTCCTGGCCTGTGCCAATTACCCTCTGATAGAAGATTATTTATGTAAAGATCAATTGTGTCAAACACATAAATATAAGAGTAGAATAAAACAACAATCTGGAAACTAATGCATATTTTTAAAGAATAACTATACGTTAATATGTTGATTTTAAAAGTGATGATGAACATGTTTTCATAGATACAGTGAGAGAAAAAATGAGTTATAAAAACACGGAATACTTAGAAGTAATGCATTTAGTCATCAGTCAAATTCTCTTGACTTCTTTTGAGAACTTGCCATACAAGATGAATATTTGTATTAGATTCAAAGAATAATCATTTTTGAAATGATCAAAAATTATATCCTTTCTCTATTCCTGAAAACCTCTATCAGTTATCTCTGCCTTACTTTTAGCTCACTTTGGTGGTACCTGGTTGATATGGTTTGGCTGTGTCCCCATGCAAATCTCATCTTGAATTGTACCTCCCATAATCCCCACATGTTGTGGGAGGAACCCAGTGGGAGGTAATTGAATCATGGGAGCAGGTTTTTCCCATGCTGTTCTCATGATATTGACTTAGTCTCATGAGATCTGATGGTTTTATAAAGGGCAGTCCCCCTGCACATGCTCTCTTACCTACTACCATGTAAGGCGTGCCTTTGCTCCTCCTTCACCTTCTGCCATGATTGTGAGGCCTCCCCAGCCATGTGGAACTGTGAGTCCCTTAAACCTCTTTCCTTCATAAATTACCCAGTCTCAGGTATGTCATTATGCCAGCGTGAAAATGGACTAATACAGTAATAATAAGATAGTAAATACTGTATACAACTTTCACATTACAGACTGGGTGCCAATTGAATCGTACCCCTCCCCATTTTAATCATAAATTCTATTCTCTCTTTTCAATCCTGTCACTTTCTCACTTGCTCAAAACTTCAAATATTTAAGGAATAAAATTTAATTTTATTTCAAAATTTTTTACGGTCAGTACTTTAAGGTATAAGAAGGAGAAACAATCTTCAAGTGGTCCAAATTAAATGTGTGTCTGCATAAAGTCATTTTTAGTGTGTAGTGAAAAATATTCAATGAGATTGACGTGTTAAAATGAATGAATTCTCTCTGTGGAGGCAGTTTATTCAGAATCTATTAATTGATTTAAGATTGACTGACAGGACGAGGCAGCTTCTGCCAACCAGTGACTCTCAGGTTAATTTTAGAGTTCCATTATTCATGTAATCTCAGAATCATTATGTAGCTTTATCACAACACTTGTGTTTGTCTTCATATATGAAATTAGTGTCCTTGCTGGTAGTGATGCACAGCTGGTAAATTTTCTATTGTCCCTATAGGCCTTTAACTAATTTAGACTTAGTATGCAGTAACTTATTTTGTAATTTGTGAAAGTCAAATTAATTGAACGATTGGCCTTTTTCAGAATTCAGTGCTATTTTAAGTAACCACTTTCTGATTTTAACACCAAATTCTTATTCAAATTTAAAGAAGATCATTATTTAAAGGAGACTATTAATAGTATTTGGAATGAAATTTGATGTTAAAAGATTTTATTAAGAAACCAATTTACATATTCTAGTTTATTTTAAATACTACGGAGTCAAACTTAACTGTGCAACACTAATTCCTGTCCTGTGGCCATGAATTGACCTATTATTGTTTATTCCTTTGTATACTTCCTCAGTTGTAGCCTACACTACATTATCCCTGTAATAGTGTGTGTAAGCATTTGGAGGTTCTAAGTTTGTTCTTTTTTTTTTCTTAGGCAGGCTAGGATAATCATAGCATGATCAAGGGAAGAATCACATGAGAACTATCAATACACTGCATGCAACACATAAATATACTGTGTGTTGGCACCTTTCATTAGGTCAAATTTTGAAAGCAGTATTCCTCCCAGGAAGTCAAATGCTATAAAATGGTTTTTCACCCTTTGAAAGACATAACAGATAATTATCCAAATTAGCAGCATATGCAGTATTTTAATAGCTCTGATGTATCTTATTGACAATATCTTAGCATGCTGTAGAAATTTAGGCTTCAAAAATAAATAGCAATGAAACTCATGATTGGAGATAGCATATTAAGAAGATATTAAAATGGGTCCTGTAATTATAACAAGATAATGTTATTGTGATGAAGAAGATAAGAATAGAATAAAACAATAATGTGAAAACTCAATATGTATTTAAAAAAATAACTTTATGTTAATATTTTGATTTAAAAGGCTATGATGAACATGTTTGCATAGATGAGAAAAATAAGTTATAAAAACATCTAATATTTAGAAGTAGTGCATTTAGTTTGAAAAAATTATCATCATTTTAATATAGTTTGTCATGGGAAAGTTTTGTTTTTAAAGCTGTTTAGCTTATCTTTAAATAATTACTGTAGGAATATTATATAGCACACATGCACGCATGCACACACACACACACCCCCCCATGTTAGAAAGCCAATAGCACATAATATGCTATTTCTAATGTGGTTTGATTGTAGAATGAATATACAGAGTTCAAGACATACAAAGAAACGTTGGCTCTTGGCACTGCATGTAGAAATATTTCATTGTAGTTTCATTTGCACACATACAGATTCCATTAAAATATATTTATTTAGTACTTTTGATTGATTTACGTTAAAAGAACCGGGATTATCTCTTTTAAATATGTGAATATTCCTCTAACATGTGAATATTCCTCTAAAAATATATGAATAAGTAAGTAATTCCAGAAGATGAACATTTCAATATACTTATTCCAATTTGGAAGCTTTTAAAAAGTATGTCACTTCTATTTGTTAATAAATTAGTCTATAATTTTAATATTTCTTGAATAATATCATATAATTTAACAAAACAAATAATACACAGGATTTAGAGAATACAAAAATAATCAGTTCAACAAATAGAATAATTTAATCATATACATTGATAATTTTTTATTGTTATTCATGAAGAAAGTACAATGTTTTCAGGAATACAAACCTACTTAAAATATTAAATTTTACTTCTATAGGAGTCAGCAGTTACTACCGAATGGCCTTTAATTTTTTTAAATTGAGATGAAATATTAAACATTTAGCATTCTTATGTGAACAGTCCAGTGACATTTAATTAATTTCACAATATTGTGCAACCATCACCTGTATCTGATTTCGAAACATTTCATCACCCAAAGAAAAAGATGGAACTGACTTATTTTAATGTAGATTTTACAGTGGATTTGTTATATAAAATCTACTTGCCCACACTGGGAACATTCAGAAAATAAACCTTTTACTGATAGTGTGAGAAATAGACTTGTCTGGGGAGTCCCAAAATGTTTGAAGAGCCCTTTTATACTTGTAGGCCAGACCTCACAGTAGGAACTGCAGTCATTGCATTGTTGAAACATAAAAGCAATGGGAGTAATTGGTTCTTATGATAGTAGGGGCCAGGTGGCAGCCCTTAAAAACCAAAGGCAAAGGTGTGGTCACCACGATGGACAACAGAGTTAAAGCAGCAATCAGAATGATCTGACTCCCATTTCCCTATAATGTTGGCTAGTTCATCATGGTGATTCTTGAAGTGAAATAAATAAGAAACTTACTAAAATCTTACTTGTTCTATAAAAGCAGAAAAACACTAAGTCAAGTGAAAAAAAAGTCTAACTTGAATCATAAAAGTGGAGTCAAGGGGCCGGGCTTGGTGGCTCATGCCTGTAATCCCAGCACTCTGGGAGGCCGAGGTGGGTGGATCACGGGGTCAGGAGATCGAGACCATCCTGGCTAACACGGTGAAACCCTGTCTCTACTAAAAATACAAAAAATTAGCTGGGCGTGGTGGCGGGCACCTGTAGTCCCAGCTACTTGGGAGGCTGAGGCAGGAGAATGGTGTGAACCTGGGAGGTGGAGCTTGCAGTGAGCCAAGATAGTAACACTGCACTCCAGCCTGGACGACAGAGTGAGACGCCGTCTAAAAAAAAAAAAAAAAAAAAAAAAAAAAAGTGGAGTTGAGGACCCTCAATCAATTCCCAGACTTGAGTGAATTCACGAACCCAGAACCCCTTGAATGAAGGGGAAGCTTGGTGTCCTTGAGGAAGGACGTCATCAATACCGTATCAATTTTATACTCTTAATCTTTCTCCTATACTTTATGGCATTAGTAATGCCCTTTGCCAGGGTGACTGCATTAGGAAAAATGAAGTAATCAGTTCCTTCTGGGAATACTGGACACTGCCTTTGAACAGATACTAATTCCAGGAGATCCAAAACATCACCATGGTCCACTAGTAAGAGTAGGAGTTTAGGGAAGTCAGGTAATTAATGGAATTTTAGCTCAAGTCTATCTCACAGTGGACCTGAACTGCTACTAGAACTACTTTTACCCAATAAAATAGTAAACTGAAAGCAATCCAGCACGCTTCGGGGAATTGCAGAGATTAGTGCTACCATGTAGGGCTTGAATGATGCAAGGATGATGATTCCCACCACATCACCATTCAACTCTTCTATTTGGCCTGCATGAGAGACAGATTAATTTTGGAAAATGACAGTGGGTTATCATAAGGTTATCCAGGTGGTGACTCCAATTTTAGCAGCTGTTCTAGATATGGTTTCATTGCTTGAACAAATTAACACATTCCTTGGTACCTGGTGTGTAGTATGGACCTGGCAATTTTTTTTTTCAATGTCTGTTAGTAAAGACCATTGTAAGCAGTTTTGTTTCTGTTAGGGCAGCAATACATCTTCACTGTCTTACCTCAGGGGTATATCAACCCTCTATAATTACAGCATAATCTGTTTCAATGGGATCTTGATCAATTTTCTCTTCCAGAAGACATCACACTGATCCATCACATTGATGACATTATGCTGATTGGACCTAGTAAATGAGAAGTAGCAACCACTCTAGACTTAATGACAAGATATTTGCATGTCAGAAAGTAGAAAATGAATCCACCAAAAATGTAGGGACCTTCTACTTTGGTTAAATTTCTAAGGGTCCAGTGGTATGAGTAATGTCAAAATATTCCTTCTAAGATGGAGGATAAGTTGTTATATCTGGACCCTCCTACAACCAAAAAAAATAGGCACAATGACTATTGGGACTCTTTAAATTTTGTAGGCAACATATTCCTTATTTCAGTGTGTTACTCTAGCCATTACCTAGTGACCCTCAAAACCTCTAGTTTTTAGTGAGGCCCAGAACCAAAAAAAAATAAAAAAAAAAAGGCTTTTACAACAGGTCCAGGCTGCTATGCAGGCCCCTGTGCTGCTTGGGCCATATGATCTAATAGATCCAGTGGTGCTTGAGGTGTCAGTGGCTGATAGAGATGCCGTATGGAGACACCGGCAGGCTTCTGTAGGTGGATTACAGCACAGGTGCATAGGATTTTGGAGCAAAGCCCAGCCATCAGCCACAAAAGCCATTTCCTTTTAAGAAATGGCTAATGGTCCACTAGTGGAGCTTAGTAGAGACTGAATACAACCATGAGCCATCAAGTTACCCAGAAACCTGAGCTGCCCATTATGAACTGGGCGTTATAAAGTTTGGGATGGACAGAAGCACTCTATCATCAAATGGAAGTGGTATATATAAGATGGGGCCTCAGCAGGCCCTGAAAGCACAGATAAGTTATAGAAAAAAGTGATCCAAAGGCCCATAGTCTCCTTTCCTGCTACACTGCCTTCTCTCTCCCAGCCCTCCCTATGGGGAGTTTCCTATGATCAGCTGACAGAGGAAGAGAAAACTCAGGCATGATTTACAGATGATTCTTCACAAAATGCAGGCATCCCATGGAAAGTCAACAGCTACAGCACTATATACCTTTTCTTGGACATCCCTACATGACAGTTTTGAAGGGAAATTTTTCTAGTGGGCAGAACATCTATAGTGCACCTGATTGTTCACTTTGCTTTTAAAGATAAATGGATAGACACGTGATTATATTGTAATTTTGGTTGTGGCCAATGATTTGTCTGGATAGTCAGGGACTTGAAAGAAAATGAATTGGAAAATTGGTGACAAGGAAATCTAGGCAATAGATACGTAGATAGACCTTTTACATAAATATGAATATATTTGTGTTCTGTGTAATGTTCATCAAAGGGTGATTCCAGCAGAGAAAGATTTTAATAATCAAGTGGATAGCATGGCCTATTTGGTGTGTATCAGTCAGCCTCTTTCCCCAGTCACCCAATGAGCTCATCAATAAAGTGGCCATGGTGACAAGGATGGAGGTAATGCACAGATTTTCACTTATGAAGTCGACCTGGCTTCAGCCATTGCTCAGTACCCAGTCTACCAGCATCAGAGATCCTAAGTCTGTGATATGGCAATATTCTTTAGGGTGATCTGGCAACTACTTTGTGGCAAGTTAATTACATTAGACCACTTTCAACATGGACGTGGCAGTGTTTTTTCCTTACAAGAATAAACACTCTGAATACAGATTTGCCTTCCCTGTGTGCATTTTTATACACACATACACACACACACACACACAAATGTGTTCATAATGAAATAAGGAGAAAATGCTACTCATGACATTATGGTCGTCATTTTTGTAACTGGTCATGTGGTCATAGCTTGTGTTATAACTACCTTTTTCTACTACTCATTTGGCAATCCCTTTGTCTTCAGCAAGCATCTCAGCTAGTCATGGTCCTTTTTGTGGCAAGGTAACTGAAACCTTCATTTCTAGAGCCTGGGTCATTGGTAATTCTGTCACTATGGTGTAGTTGTGGTTTTCCATTGACCTTATCCACAGAACATGGTAATACTATGAGATGCTTGAAAATGGCATTGTGGGAATTCTCGGCCTCCATAATCACATGAACCAATTTTTTCCAATAAGTTTCATTCTAAATAGATTGATGGATGTAGATACAGATGTGCAGATAGATCCCATTGGTTCTGTTTCTCTGGAGAACGCTGAGTGATGCACTCAATAAGCAGTCATTTCCCTTTCCTTCCTCCTACCAGCCTCTTGCAACCACCAGTCTCCTTTCTATCTCCAAAGATTTACCATTTTGAGTATTTTATATAACATTTTGATAGTTACTAAAAAGTTAAAAAGAATTACCATATGAACCAGTAATTCCACTCCCAGTTATAGACCCCCCCAAATTGAAAACAGATAATCAAATACATGGACACACATAGTCATAGCAGCACTATTCACAATAACGAAAAGGTGAAAACAACCAAAATGCTCATAAATGAATGAATAAATAAACCAATTGTGATTTTACATACAATGGAATATTATTCTGCCTTACAAAGAAATCAAGTACTGTTACATGCCATGGTGTGGATGCACCTTAAAAATATTATGTTTTCATTACTATGAAATAAGCCAGCCACAAAAGATCTCATAATATATGGCTTTTTAATCTGTAACATCTGTCGAACTTAAAATCAGGTTTCCGTGAATATCTGATAATTTTGATTATGAGATTGTAGACTACTCAAAAGTAAATTTAAAAAGTCAAGATTCTGGTAACTAGCTTCAGAATTAATAATAAATTTCATGCTGAAACAAATTTCCCTTGAAGAAAAGAAAATAAAGACTAATATTTTAAGCACTAATAATCTTTAATTAAATATTTTATTATCAACATCATAGTTTTTAAGACCTGTCATGTGTACAATAATGTTATAGAAAGCTAAGATAAAAATCTACATTCTACCTAACCAAATGCTTTCACACAACAGAAATTCTTGAACATTTCTTTCTGTTAACTCTATTGTTTATCTCGTCTGTAAATTGAATTGATTTGGTTAAATTAATTGCTAAAAATTAAATTGCTTATTGTATGTAAAGTTACTAGAACAATACTAGGCACTTAAGTTTACACATATATATACACACATATATGTGTATATATGTGTATATATTCACACATAAATATTTGTAATTATTATTCATTTATTATTATAGCTAATTTAATTTTTTAAAGAATGTTATATTTACATCATAGCTAACTTTTATGCCTTAAATATATTTTTCTCACCTTGTACTTTTGCATTCTCTCTCTCTTTTGCTCCTCACAGAACTCCTTTTCAATAGGTAAAAGACTTTTTTATAGATAATCCACCTGAATTCAGAGCTTTAGGGACTGACTCATGGTTACTTACCTGGTAAGTTGAGCAGCTGTGTTTTAAACTCAAACTCCTGAGGTGTTGAATACGTTCACTAACTTGGACAATGGTGTTATGTCTGCATAAATATGCCAAAGTACTTCAAATCTTACACATTAAACAAGTGGCGTTAGTTGTATGTCAGTTATAAAACAATATACGTGTACATATATGTGTATATTTTTGTATTTAATTGTTAACAACAAATATATATTACACAAGGAGAAAAAATGAAGATTCTCTTGAAAATATAAAATGCACACATTGCAAACATTTTATTCAACTCTGTAGTTAATGAGGGAACTATTAAGATGTTTAAATTGGTTTAAAGTACATTTGAAGAGCTGAATATTTATAGGCAATTAATAAAGAAATATTAAGATAGGTTTGCTGAGTTAGATACAAAGCTGGTTTGAGCTGGGTACGGTGGCTCATGCCTGTAATCCCAGCACTTTGGGAGGCCAAGGCGGGCGGATCATGAGGTCAGGAGATCGAGACCATCCTGGCCACACGGTGAAACCCCCTCTCTACTAAAAATACAAAAATTAGCTGGGTATGGTGGTGTGTGCCTGTAATCCCAGCTACTTGGGAGGCTGAGTCAGAAGAATCGCTTGAACCAGGGAGTCGGAGGTTGCAGTGAGCCAAGATTGCGCCACTACACTCCAGCCTGGCGACAGAGTGAGCCTCTGTCTCAAAAAAAAAAAGATACAAAACTGGTTAATGTCTGACAGGGTCATAAATAGTAAATGTTGGGCTTATTTTTGAGTAAAATATGTTTGTACTTCCACTAAACAGCAACATGTAAGTTCAAATCAGCCTTTACAGTGTTATAAAATAGCCTAATTTATAGTGAGTTGATCAGAGGTGCCAGCCCAGAACTGCATCAAAAGGACTCTCAATAATATCTTTTGTCTATTTCCATATTTCAGGTAACTTTTCTAAGAAAGATTTCCTTGTTTAATATTCATGTTTTCAATATGCTTTTAATATGCTTTAAATCATAATTTGAAGCATTTGCTATAAACAAGATGAATTTTGAACAGGCTCTCACTATAATTCTCAAAAGCTGTATATTCATTTTACCTAATATTTTGTTTAGCTCATTTCGTGAGAAACTATATTTGTCTTTAATGCATAAAACAAGAAAAAAATTTTTATATCACTGATCAAGAAGACCCTAATGTGTAATGTACCTTGCTAGGACCTATGTATATAATACCTTTTTTTACTTACATTTAGATTGAAAAAATTAACTTTGCTATGCTTTATTTTCTTTTATTCCATAAATCTGTTAAATAAATTTTATGCGCTTCCTGCTAATCACTTAAATATTACAAATTAGCTCACATTCCCATGTGCTGGCAATATTTTCTCATATCGATGTAATACGGCCTGTACGATACATGTAATATGGCCTGTACTCTGGAAACCATCTGTGTATAATATTTCAAATAATAGTTATGTGGCAACTTACTTTTTATCCTCAAATGAAATCAGTTTTTACAATAAGAAAAAAATCATTTCCTCAGACTGTCGTATGCTTTATTATTGCAAATAATACTATTACGCATGAAGAGGGAATTTAAATTAATTTGTGCACTAAAGTTAATTAAGTCAAAGTCTTGACCTCACATTATTTGTTAATACTTATTGGAGTTACACAGCATGTTCAGTTACATAGCAAATATTTATTTGATGTAATCTATGAGCCAGGCATTGTTCTAGGCTGAGATGTGGCAGCGAATGTAAAAGACCAAAACTTCTTGGTGAGTACATTCCAGTTTATGGCAACATATCAGTCAGGAAGACTACCTAGGATGAAAGGTGGTTCTAAGGCTAGCAAGGGAAGAAAGGCTGGCAAATATTAGGGAGTGCAGGATGAATAGCTGCTTTTCTTTCTTTTTCTTTTTTTTTCTTTTGAGACGGAGTTTTGCTCTGTCACCCAGGCTGGACTGTAGGGGCATGATCTCAGCTCACTGCAACCTCTGCCTCCCGGGTTCAAGCAGTTCTCCTGCCTCAGCCTCCTGAGTAGCTGGGACTACAGGTGCACGCTGTCTTTTTTGTATTTTAGTAGAGACGGGGTTTTACTGTGTTGCTCAGACTGTTCTCGAACTCCTGAGCTCTGGCAATCTGCTCACCTCGGCCTCCCAAAGTGCTAGAATTACAGGCGTGAAGCTGCAATTTGAAACAGAATTTTCAGAGAAGGACTCACTGGAGAAGTGACCTTTCATTTAATAGGAAGACCTGCAGTAAATGAACAAAGTAACTACAGGAATATGCACTAAAAGTGCAGGGGAAAAGAGCTGGTGAGAAAGCCACAGTGAAGAGCAGAGCTTGCTGATGATGAATGCATAACGCAAGTCTTTGTCAGTAAATAATTAGCTTTCCTATGTTTACAAACAGGACATAATCCTTGATGGTTTGTTAAATAACATATTGGCAATAAGAAAATTCAAGAATTTGGATTTCACCTTATACAATATTTTATTCCACTAGCCAGAATTAATGTCAAACGTAACCATAACAGATGCCAAAGCAATTTCACACACGACAGGTTAAACAGTTCCTGGAAGTGGCATAATTTCTGGTTTGGGAAACCAAAGTCTAATTCTGAGGCATTTATGCTGGTAATCACTACTTTTCTCCATTCTAAATAACAACTCCAGGAGGTTATCTCAGGAGAGAGAGCAGTTTATACTTTTTCAATATAAAATAGATCAAATTTTCATGATGTGGTAGCTGTAGATGTTGTATGAGTAAACACAAGCTATGATGTCTATGGCATACTTCATTTTTGAAAACATATTATCGAAAGCACTCATTTAAATAAATTTTAGATTAAATGAATACATCATAGGAATTATACATCTAATTCATCTTGGACCCTATTATGTAGCACTGTTCCTCCTGATACATTATGAAAATTTAATTAACATTTAAAAAAATGAATGAATAAAGTAATTCAAACAGAAACCATATAATATACTTTTTGGAATTTATTGCTCTACTTATTGAATGATAGATATACAAAGGAATAAAAACCTATGAATAGCAAACACAAAAAGCCATGCCTATAAGTGAATAATGCTATTCATTAATCCTTAAGTTAATTTTTTATTCAGTCTCTCTTTTATCTTTAAAATATTTTAGAATACAAATTAACATCTATGTTTCTCTCATCATTGTTTAGTGCTCCGTAACCCTAATAAGTATTGAATTTACTTTTGTACCTTCAAATGAGTGGTTTTTTAACTTAAGATTTTTATTTACAACTTTTAACTTCAGATAGCTTGGACTTACCTTCTGACTCATAGATTAGAGCAATTAGGAGACATGATTAGATAAAGGTCAACTCTTAGTTACCCGGAACTACCAAATAGCCACCATCCATTACTTTCTAGATATAATAAATTATATAACTTTTCACTGGAAACTTGTATAAATTCTTATAATCTCCAATTTTATCTCTCTAACCCCCTTTTTAAGTTATCCAACTTCATAGGACTTCTTTTTCATGATGAACAACACATTACAAGGGAAAGTTATTTGGGCTTATAACAAAGAAAATAACACATAATTTTATAGAGAAATAGTTAAAAATAACAAAATGTTGGCAAAGTAGGTTACAACCAAAAATGTAAGCCATTGCTCATTTTTTCTGACATGACTCTTACTGTGAAAAATAGTATGAATAAAACAGCATAACAAAGAATTGTATTTTCAAAGTGCAGAAAAAAAATAGACTGAAACTTTACCTTTTGTATCCCTGATAATAACATCTCCTCCTTCATCAGGCAACTGTAGGATACTTAGTGCAGTATTTAACCTCTCTGGGCATTAGAAAACCAAACTAGCTAAACCTCTCTGAGCCCTAGTAAAACCAGAGCACTGAGCTAGAGATCTCCAGTGTCACTTTCATCTACAATATTTCAATTTCTTAAGTTTCCCCAAAACACTAAATTTTAGAGCAGTACAAATCCAACCCAAATTTTTACACTATTTGCCTGTGTTTACTGCTTCATTAGATTTGATGTTCTGAATCATGAGTTTAAAGCAGTATAAAATTCTAAATTAAATATTGTGTTTTGGATATATACTCAGAAAAGGGATTACAGAATTATATTTTAGTTCTACTTTTAGTTTTTTGAAGAACCTTTATATTGTTTTCTATTATACAATTTCTATCCTAATTTACATTCCCACCAAAAGTATGCAAGGGTTCCCTTTTCTCCACTTTCTGACCATCACTTGTTATCTTTTGTCTTTTGATAATAACCATTTTAAGTGGTGTGAGGTAAAATCTTCTTGTGGTTTTAATTGTATTTCTCTAATGATTAGTGATGTTGAACATTTTTTCATATACCTGTTGGCCATTTGTATCTCTTCTTTAGAGAAATGTCTATTCAGGTTCTTCAACTGATTTTTAAATCAGGTTATTTGTTTCCTTGCTATTGAGTTGTATCCATTCCTTACATATTCTAGATACTAACTCCTTATCAGAGGTACAGTTTGCAAAATTTTCTTCCATTCTGTAGGTTGTCTTTTCACTCTGTTGATCATTTTCTTTGCTATGCAGAAGCATTTTAGTTATCAGATGTACAGTTTGCAAAATTTTTCTTCCATTCTGTAGGTTGTCTCTTCAGTCTGTTGATATATATATATATATATATATATATGTATATATATATATGTATATTTTTGGTGTGCAGAAGCATTTTAGTTTGATGTATTTTCATATGTCTGTTTTTTGCTTTGCTGCCTGTGCTTCAGCGGTCATATCCAAAAAAAATCATTGCCCAGACCAGTCATGAAGCTTTTTTCATATGTTTTCTTCTGGTAATTTCACAGTTTCAAATCTTACATTTAGGTCTTTAATTCATTTTGAGGTGACTTTTGTATATGATAAGAGATAAGGGTCTAATTTCATTATTCTGTGTGTGATTATCCAGTTGTTCCCACACCATTTAGGTGTTCTTTGTACCTTTGGTGAAAATAAATTGACTACAATAAATAGGTAGATTTATTTCTGGGCTCTGCAGTCTATTTCACTGTTATATGTGTTTGTATTTATGCCAGTGCCATGATGTTTTGATTAACATAGCTTTGTAGTATATTTTGAAGTCAGGTAATGTGATGCCTCTAGCTTTTTTGTTTTTGTTTTATTTATTTATTTATTTTCCTCAAGATTTCTTCAGCCATTCAGAAACTTTTGTGGTTCCATCTAAATTTTAGGACTGTTTTTATCTATTTCTGTGAAAAATGTCATTGGAATTTGTAGATTGCTTTCAATAGTATGAACATGTTAATAATATTTAGTCTTCAAGTTCATGAGCATGCAATATGTTTCCATTTATTTGTGTCTCCTTTAATTTTTTTCATTAATAGTTTTCAGTGTATAAGTCTTTCATCTCCTTGGTTAAACTTATTCCTAAACATTTATTTCTAAGCATTTTACTATATATATTTTAGCTATTGTTAATAAGCTTTTTTTTTTCTTTTTCTTTTTTTGAGACAAATTCTTGCTCTTTTGCCAGGCTGGAGTGCAGTGGTGCCATTTCGGCTCACTGCAACCTCTGCCTCCCGGGTTCAAGTGACTCCCCTGTCTCAGCTTCCCAGTAAGTTTGTTTTTGATTACTTTTTCAGATAATTTATTCTTAATGTATAGAAACACTATTAATTTTTGTGTGTTTATTTTGTTTCTTGTAATTCTGCTGAATTCTTTCATTAGTTCTACAGTTTTTGGTGGAGTCTTTAGGGTTTTCTATAGAAAAGTTTGTGTGATCTGTGAAAAGAGACAATTTAACTTACTCCTTCAATTTTAATGCCTTTGGTTTCTTTCTCTTGCCTAAGTGCTCTGTTCATTTCTGCTCTTATTCTCCAGCTCCAATTATATTTGGTTGGTGCAAAGGTAATTGTGTTTTTTTTGCCATGACTTCCAATGGCTATCTTTGCACGAACCTAATACGTATTTTATAATAGCTTATCTTTTATGGATTATTAAGACTGTTTACATTTGTTTTCAGTTTTTTGTTTGTTTATGTTATTCCTTGTGCTTTAGTTTTAATAATTGCTCTCTACTCACCTTGAAGTTCATTGGTCCTTTATTCTATATTTACTAATCAGTTGGCTCTTTGTTCCATGTCATGTATTTTCAATAACAGATATTTTAATTTTCAGATCTAATATTTGCAACTGGTTCTATTTGTCATAGATATCCTGACATTTTCTATCTTTTTATTATTATACTCTTTCTTTCCTATAGTTTTTAATAACATAGTCTTAGGTTTATTTAAAAATTCCTGCCTTTTTTATGTAATATAATAATTACTCCTAGTTCTATCTTTCTATTTATTCCATAAGTCTGATTATTTTTTTTCTTACTGGAAATTGTGGATGTTATTGTAAAGAGAACCTGGATATTTTTATCTTTCTCTAATGTGTTGATTTTTTTCTCTAGGAGGAATTACTTTACTGACAGATAACCTTCATACTCTAAAAGTTTAGTTTTAGACTTGGTTCAGTTGGCTATATTTCAGTTTTTCTCCAAGTTATTAGTAGTGCAATAAAATCTTTATTCCCAAGGCATGGCTTTTTGATGGTTTAAATGGAAATTCTAAGGTATTTATCTAGCCCCTAAGTTTTTTTGGTTTGAACTTTAAAATATAACTTTTCTGGAACTGAATAGCTGTTGAAATCTCTGCTCAGTATTTTTAGCCTTGCTACCTATTTTTTTTTTTTACTCTGGATTTCTTAGATTTATGCCTGTTATACATGCAGTTCAGTATTCAGCTAAGTGTTAGAGTGAATTTTGTATGTAGGAAGATTAGGCTTTCCCACTGTAGCATCTTCGATTTGGGATTTTCTGGTCTGAATTTTCTGCCACTCTGATGGGCTTAAATCTTCATCTCTATTCTTCAATGTAGTAATACTCTTACTTTCTGCATGAACTGTATTATCTGAGTACCATGCATATCAGTGAGTATCTCCAGAGAGAAATTAGATAAAAATTGAGTCTTAAGCACTGTGAATTCCATCCTTGAAGGACTTTATGTCTTTTAGTTTCTACCTGTTATTGTATGCTTTCTAGTACTTTCAGATAATGGATTTTTATATTTTTTTCAGAATTTGTCATTTTTGATGGCAGAAAAGATAGTCTTATATAAACTATTCATTCATTATTATCAAAACCAGAATTTAATGCCCACATTTGGAGAAAGGAGACACATGACACACGTTTAAACGTGTATAGTCTATAGTCTTCTTTGAATCACTAGCCATTTATTACTTTTTATTTTATTTATTTATTTATTTTTTAGATGGAGTCTCACTCTGTCACCCAGGCTGGCATGCAGTGGCATGACCTCAGCTCACTGCAAGCTCTGCCTCCCGGGTTCATGCCATTCTCCTGCCTCAGCCTCCCGAGTAGCTGAGACTACAGGCGACTGCCACTGCGCCCGGCTAATTTTGTGTATTTTTAGTAGAGACAGGGTTTCACTGTGTTAGCCAGGATGGTCTTGATCTCCTGACCTCGTGATCCACCCACCTCAGCCTCCCAAAGTGCTGGGATTATAGGTGTGAGCCACCGTGCCCGGCCTATTACATTATTGAGAACATTTTGTACATTTGATTGATCAATAGATTAATCTAGGAGTGTGAGAATTTGATTGGAAATTTTATTTTAATCATGTATTTTTTTAATTTTGTAATGCTGTATGTAGAAATGACAAGATAATAATTTTCTCTTTATCTAATGACAAGCTCATTTTCACATGATGATTTCAGTATATCTTATAAAATATCATGAAGGAGATATACAAACACTTAGAACTATTGCAAATAAACTTTTGTGTAAATTTATTTGGAAAGTGTAATGATTATAATGAGAATGTGATTGACGATTCAGGTCATATCCTTGAAAGGAAGCATCATATTCAAAACAGATGCTTACATCTGATTTCAACTCTAGTTTTTATTGGAAGTGTTTATTAGTAGAAATTGGGCAAAAATGTCATTTTATATTTTACATCTACCCTTTCACAGTCTGATATCAAGCAGTTTAGTAGTTCCCAAAGGGTAGTGTTGTTTTGAGAGCTGGTTAACAATGAAAATATATGAGGAGCCTGGGAATTCAAATTTATGGTAAGTTTCTCAGGTTATCTTCATGTACAAAATTTGAAGACAACTGATTTCAAAAGTAGATCATTCTCCAGTTTGGTCATAAAATCATGATTAATTTTTAAATTTCTTTCTCTAGGAACTTCAAAAATTCTCATGTCATATTGATAAAATGCTTACAAACAATAGCACAAAGACCAAACTTATAAGGAGAAATTGACAACGGTTGGTTCACGCAAACTCAAAATAATAATTCAAAAAGCAGGTCAAAAGGAAGATTGGCAACCTGCAGCATATTATACAAACTACAGCTCTTGCTTTCCATGAAATGCTTCTCCTTATATTTACAATGTAAAAGGACTACATTGGCCCAATCTTCAAGATAAATAACAAAACCGACAATTTTTTAAGCACTTGCCTAAACAGGTGGTGATGAAAAGCAGAAACTATATTTACAATACTAAACAATAGAAAAATACTCAAAGTAAACTTAGGATGGTTAACAGAATCTGAGACCTGGCACTGATTAAAAGAAGGGTAGATATGACTTCCAGCCCTGGTTCTTGGCTATATTGGGGGTTAAAAAAAAAAAAAAAAAAGCTCTACAAGATCTGTATCTTTCACTTCAGCCCACCAGAGGGAGAGCAGATAGGAGTCTGTTTTGACTTAAGCAATAGCTGGGAATATAGAGCATACTCTCACCCAATATCCCCTGAGGCTTTATCACTTGGTCACTTCATGGAGTATTTACTATTTGGACATAGGTTTATTATGCCTAGATGTGAAGACAAATTCAAAAGAACAGGATTAAATATTAATCCTTTATATGGAGTTACTTTTTGAGCCTTTAGGATATTCTGAATAATATTCAATAGATGACATTCTTTCAACATTTTAAAGAAATTAAGAAGATATAATTTCTTTGCACAGAATGCTTATCTCTTTATTCTTTGTTTAAACGTAACAATCGTTTAATGTAGAATGGATAACTTCACAATATATAGAAGTGAGATGTACAAGTCTCTTGCTCATGTGGTAAAGGTGCCAGTTTACCAGGATGTGGTACAACTAGTAACTTCTTAGGATCCATATTCCATGATATGCCTCATGCTGTATCCTCAAGAGTTTATGGCTTTCTTACAGGTTTTGGTCTCTGGAAGATACCTTTTCTAACAGCTGCGTAGATGTAGAAAAAGGATGCTAATGTAAAAATTTGATTAATACAATGAAAATTCCTTGATTATTTAATGGTATTAAACAAAAGTTAATTTCTTAGCTTTGACAAATGAACCATGTTTGTGTAAAATGTTAATATAAGAAGAGTTTGGAAAAGGTACATGGGAATTCTCTATACTATCTTCATGAAACGCTAATCTAAAATTATTTCAAAACTTCAAAATTGTTTAAAAGTGTATCATGTGACACGAAAGTAAATTTACTTGGGGGATTTTCAGATAATTTTCTTCAATATAGATGGGAACAGATTTTCACAGCTGTCCTTCATTCCATTTTTATTTTGGCCTTTAGGACTCTTTAAATCAATGATTTTCCCCTGGTTCTATTGATCCTTGTGGAATAGGCACAGGATAAATGCTTACTGAATGAATCAGTCCTTTTGATGTATTTAAAGAGCCCTTTTTATTGGGATTTGTATTGCCTTGAAAGGTGCTCCTAAAATTTTCTTTTCACTCACTTAAGTTTGAATTGCCCCTGACCTCCCACATTGTGTGCTTTTTGGTTCTTTTCATGAAAGACACCCATGATGATTTAAAAAGATACATACTGCACTCAGCCTTCTCCCATTCAGCTGTCATGATGGATTCTTTTAACTTTGCTAGTTATCTATCCCTACATGCTTTTTATTTTACAATATGGCCTTTGATATGAAATGTACATATCAATACAGATCAAAAGAGAATAAATCAGGTCACTGACTAGAGAAAATAGAATAACTTACCGAATGCGGTAATACCTGATCTTAAAATTCTTTTTGAAATGCTCCCTAGGTTTCTGTAGGGTTTTCCAACATTCTTTACCATCCAGGTGAATGCTATTTTCATGCTTGATTTTCATGTTGATATGTACAGATATTCTCCTTACATTATTCATGTGTAGGCCATTCTGCTCTTTAAGGCTAAACATTTTTTTTCTGTATTCTTGACTCAAGCATTTCATTCAGTGATTTCTTTAATATCGTAATTTTTCAACGATTTTCTCTTGCATCTTGAAAAACACTTCTCTCTTTTCAATCTTTCTATTCAGCCATTTTAAAAGTACTAAAATCTCACCGATTTGGAAAACACACATCATCCTGTCTTGTATTTTCCACAACAGATAAAAATCTTAAAAGCAGTATACACTCACGATCTCATTTTCTTTAGCAACTAACACTTCTTTAATTCTGTAGCATCTTTATCACTATTATTCCATTGAAGTGTCCTTTGAAAAGCCCCAATTACTTGCTACTACCAAATTCCTGAGTCCTTCTGCTCATTGATGTCTCCGGCTTATTGACATGATTGAACTCCCCCTTCCTAGAAATCCTTCTTCACTGACTTCCACAACGTTTGAATCTCCTCAAACTATTCTATCCTCCTCAATTGCACTCTTTATCTCCTCTGGTTCTACTCTTTCAGCCTCCCTTTACCTTCTTTTTCTGACTCTGTTCTATTACCCCTTATCTATATTGGTTTCTTTATCTATACAACTGTGCACATTGGCTTTACTGCTCACATACGTATGATGACTTTGAAATCTATCTCTGTCCTTGACATGGCTCCTGAGCAGCAAACTTGACTCTCTAAACATAGTTTGCTACACATTTCTACCAGGGTCATCTGTAAACATTTCATACTCATGCTATTCAAAATTGAACTCATTCTTTTCATTCTATGAACTGGTCTTGTATGTATTTCTCAATGTGAATGATACTAACACACATTTTCACAGTTACCCTTAACAATTGTTCTATATTCTAGATCTGTCTAATTTGCTTATAGTTTTTGCTTCTCTACTACTTCCACTTCCACTTCCCAAGAACTCATTACCTCTCCTAGAATGTAGGAGTCATCTCATTACAGGGTACTCTTCTTAGTGGATTCATCTTTTTTTTTTTTTTTTTTTTTTTTTTTTTGTAAGCACATCACAAACTTTGAAGTGTTTAGCTCCAGGCCTACCTAGTAATACTTGCTTTGCCATTCTTATTCCGATAGTGGTTTGGATTTGTCATCAGAGTTTCAATGCCTCTGGTGGAACACACATCATAAAAAATCATTGTATTTTTTCTGAGAATTAAAGAAATACACAAGAAGCACAGAATGTCTAAGAGTGATGATTCTTTAAACGTACTCAATTCATTCGACTTCAATTTTATCTCTAAAATCCTTCAGCTTTCATGCTCATTTTTCTGCCCCTTCCTCCACATTTCTTCATTTACTACCAATTCTCCATCATTGTAGCCACAGAAAACTTGAAACGACTGTCCACCCCCACACCTAAGCTATTCTGTTGGCTCAGGCCAGGAAGTGTGTGGAACATTTTGAACAAATTAGGTCTGAAGGATGAGGTCATGGCATTGTGGGAATGAGGAACCAAAGTCAGCACTGGAAGAATGGTTTTGGGCATCAGATTAAAGGAGAAAGTGCAAATGCACAGACAATAGAAGAACAAGGCAAGATAAGAAAGAGAATAAGAAAGAAAAAGAAAGAAATGGAAAGAAGAAGAAAAAAGTCAGAATGTGAAGGGATTTGAATCAGCTTGAAAAGTAATTGAATATCTGCATGTATTAAAATATTTAACAGATAGGCCTAGACATGTGAGACTAGGAGATAATTTGGCTGAAATGTAAATAGGGTAAAGAAAATAGGTAGCCCTGTATTTTTTTTTTATATTCTTTGTGTTTTTAATTAACGTATTCGCTTAGTATTAAGTTTTCTGGACCTTAAATTGCGGTTTATTGTCAGTGGACTCATGAGCCCAGTGTAAGCTATCTGTTTCTTAAAACTCTTTCCTTACGTTCTTAAGCAAGGTTAAAATCTGTAGATTCTTTCTTATCCCAGTAGAAATTATTTGGTTTTGACAGTCACCTTCCTTAAATCTTTCCTGTAAGGTCATATATTTTATGTCCAGGGGCCTGACCATTAGCCCTAAAACTCCAAATGCCATTTCACTATAATGTAGGAATTTTTAACAAGAAGATCAGTGGCTCCAGGAACCCCATCAACTCTGAAAGTGCATTGCATTTCTGGATGTCTTTGCAAATGTTCATGTTTCTGAGTGTCTTTTCAAATATTCTAACAGCTTCTTAAAGACATAGGGAATTTAAAACGGCAGCACTCCCTGAGGTTTCCATGTGAATAAGATGATAGAAATCTTAAAAACCATAAACCTTATCATGCTACCCCCTATTTTATAACCTGTTGGGTTCCCCTTGGCTCTTAGAATGAAGAGTGAACATACAGAACTACATGTATCCTGTAATAACTGAGCGGTTAGTGAGTTCTGAATTCTCTTCACAGAGCTTGCATCAATTTCCCTTTTGTTCTGTGGTTTACAAACAGATTGCTTTATTTCAATTCCTTTAAAAGGCTGTGCTTTCTTTCATCTCAGTGTCTTGCATATTTTTTGTGGGGGAGTGGAAAGGGCGAACTCTTTCTGTCATCATTCCCCAGCAAGCTCCCTCCACCCCTTTCTCCCCATTGCCTTCCATCTCACTTATCATCTTAGCTCAAACTGTACTTTCTTAGTTAACTCTTTTGAGACTCTTTTGAGACATAATCAGGTTCTACTCTTCCAGGTGTTTATAATGACCCTCTACTTCTGTACCATAACAATTATCATAATTTATAATTATAAATTTGATCTATGATATTATTAATTTCTTATTCTCCCCTTATTGGCTCAAGAGGTCAGGGTTTTGTCTGTTTGTTTTGACTGTATTATTTGTAGCACCTAGTACAGTGTCTAGCATTTAATACATGGGCAACAGAGACTCATTGAATGAATGAATGCATGCTTGCTTTAATACCTTAGAGCTCCTGATTTGAACATTTAGTTACATTTATACACAGCATGGCATCCTCCACAGGATTTTAGTACACGGTAAATCATAATTCAGTAATTGTCAACTGAATGACAAGATGTTTTTGTAACAGAAAAATCATGCTTTCCTGCAGTTACTCTTATCATCTGTTCTTTTATTTCCCATATGTAAAAATGCTAAATGATCTAATTTTTAGGTTGATTCTTTAAACAAAATATTTCCAGAAAACAAACACTAATGATCATGTCTAAGTCTTTAAGAATTTCACACATTTTTCACGTGTCCATGAGATGTTTAATTTTATGTGTCAAAATAAAATTAATAAAATTTGACCTGGCTAAGGGATGCTAAGACAGTTGGTAAAACATTATTTCTGGGTGCCTCTGTGAGATTGTCTCTGTGAGATTGAAGAGATTAGCATTTGAATCAGCAAAGTAAAGATCCATCTTCACCGATGTGGGAAGCACCATCCATTTTGTTAAAGGCATGAATAGAACAAAAAGGCAGAGGAAGAGCTAATTTGTTCTCTTTGCTTGAACTGAAACATCTGTCTTCCCCTGCTCCCAGACATTGGCACTCCTGGTTCTCTGGCATTTGGAGTCAGACCAGGACTTAGACTGCTTCTCCCACCCCCCAACACACCGGCCTCCCATTTTCAGGTTTTTGGACTTGGACTGAATTATACCATTGACTTTTCTGGTTCTCCAATTTGCAGATGATAGATTGTGAAACTTCTCAGTCTCTGTAACTGTGTGAGACAATTTTTAGTATTTACATATATAAAAATGTATATTTATTTTGTAAATTATATTTATATATTTTGTATATATGTATATTGTACATATTTAATATATATGTATATTTTTATATATATATTTATTTACTTATCCCCTATTGGTTCTGTTTCTTTGGGGACCCCTCCCTAAAGTGTTTGTGCACATGAAAGAGGTTATCTTTTTTTTTTTATTTTCCCTAGTCAACATGAGTTGATAACGCACAGAGTATAATGAGACCATATAACTTCCTGCACATTTTAAAGAATTATATGCATGTGCCTCACTGTGTGTTAACCGAAATATGGAGGCCGTAAATATGGACAGAAAGCACTTAATTGCTTAAATCGTCATCCTGGCATAGTGAGCCTTTCATAATTGTTGGTAATATGTTTCTGATTTTTTGTTGCCTGAGTGCCATATCATAAGAACTGATGTGAATGTAAGAGTCTGTCTGTACTTACGGTTATACGGCATTTTATGTAAGTAGCTATAAACCAGCAGTATTACTTTGGAATTAAATGACAAGAAGTGATACATAAATATAGAGAAATTAATGTTTTCTCAGTTATGCCTCTTCAACATTGCCACACATACCATTTTTAGTCCATAGATGCCTTTACTGATAAGATTGAGCTTTTGCAGAAATTTCCATAACCTTGTAATGTCTGAATAATTATTTCTTGTCTCATAAAAATAACTTAAAGTGTAGTTGTTATTAGGGAGACAATGCAATGTATATTGATAAATCAAAGGGAATATGAGAAAGTAAAGCCCACAGAAATGTTTTGTCTATTTTTTGTAAAATCATTTTGTAACTTGTCAATGCCTAGTGGCTAAACTCAGTATCCAGGATCTATTGAAAAAAATTAAAAATGAACCTCTAGCAGTCACAGTATCACAATAAGACAGTTGTCAGGATGTGAAAACCTCGTTTTGATGGTGGTTTGTTGAAAGTTACCCACGAAGGCTGTGGCTTTATTGAAGAGCCCCATATATGCATCATCATTCAGTTGAGCTGAGAATTGAGCAGTATGATCCCTGGCCTTTCAAAAGTAAATACACTCTCATTGACGGCTCCTCACCCAGCCTCCCTGTGACAGTGGATCTGAAACACCTGCCCCCAGACCAGCTTCACAATGGCAATTCATTGCAAAGATGAAAGATTGGGTAAGTGTATTGAAAAACAGGATTTTTTTTTTTATAGTATACTAGTAGCTAAAATGTACTGAGACTTCTTAGGAGTCACAAATTTTTCTGGAGATTTCATAAGGATTTTTATAACTACTCACAACACAGCTGTGGAATAGATATTACTATCATACTATATTATTATCTAATTTGATAAAATGAGGGTCAGAAAAAAGTTATGCAACTGACCTTGGGCCTTACAGTTTACATGGTAGAACATGGACTATAACCCATGCTCAGAGTTAAAAGGCTAGCCTCCTAATCACAACACAAGGAAATGGGACAGAACCAAGATGACTATTCATGAAGATAGCTACCACAGACTATTTGGGAAAACTACTCTTGAAACTACATGGTCTAAATCGCATTAAAAAAAAAAAAAGTAGTTGACCTAAAGCTATTGAAGTTAGGGTTTGGAGAATTAAGATAGAATAGAAACCAGTAAATCTTCTTAGCATTCTTATCCTTCTTTCATTCTCATTTTCTCTCTTACCTTTCTACACATACAAAAATGAATGAACCAAACCTATAAATCCCATAAAAGCTATCCTTAATCTGTCCCTCTTTTACTGTGCTTATATATAAAAAAAGAGGCCAATAGCTTTCAGTGATATATGATATGAACTAAAGGAGAGAACTCTGCACAATTTTCAGGATTTGGCTTGCCAAAATCTGTTCATTTCTCTCGGGAGCAGGAAATACATACAAGGAAGTAAATTCATCCAGCGCATAAACAATTCAGAGTGCAAGTTTTACCTGAAAATTGATTGATAGTACTATATCATCAATGCAGCTTTATATAGCTGTTGTCAAACAGATACTTTATTTTCTAATTTCCAGAGTTATAAATTTTAAAAGGGCCTGAACTTTGATGCTATACATTTAAAAATATTTCAATAAAGGTTTTTCATTTTATTAAAAAGTGAAAACAGTGCTATAACTTTTCTTGTCTATTTTAAATCTATCACACTTAGAAATATATATGTGTATATATGATTTTTAATCCAAAAAGGGATTTTACTATAAGGGTATTGGGTAGCTCACAGAAGTGTGCAGAAGGCTAGAGGCTAAACATGTAAGATTAGTTGAGTCTAAACTTACAGGTACAGTACTAGGACCGTGCATCACAATTGGCCTGATGAAGAAACGTCAGCTATTGCTGTTGCCCACTGAACACTGAAGGAGAACCCTGCACCGGCTGCCCTCTCATTGTTGGATACATCTGCCACCACCCTTGCCAGCAAAATGGACAGCCCCCTGCCCCTAAAACTTGTCTTCTCAGGTTGCTTGTTTCCAAACCAGCGATTCAGAAGCATGTGACTGACAGGCAAAATCTAGTTCAAATGCTTCTGGTTTAGCTGCAAGGAATTCTGGGAACTTGAGTTTTCTGGATTCTGCCCTGATGAAACCAGATCAATAAGACTGCACATTTCCTAAACATAGTGATCACGTGAGAAAGGTGTTTGGTAGCTTGAAAACATGGCAGTTATACATAGATGGAATACACTATAGGAAGAAAAACAGACAACTCACTGGCCACAATTGAGTTGATCATATTATTCTGATGGTGTCAAAAAGCAAAACTGGAAACAGCTGATGTCCTCCAGGCTAAGGTGTTAAACTGGATTACAATTTATATAGGTAAAAAAAATCCTTTACCCCAGCATAACATTGCTTAATCATATCTTAATTTCAAGTCTTTTTCAACAAAAATTCTACTAGGCATGCTACGAAGTTGAAGGAAATATCACAAGGGGTGAAATAAATTAGCTTAACTCTGCAGTCTTTACTACAGGCTAGGGATGGGAGTTCCCGTGTTCATCATTTCCTTTCTCTTGATTGATCCTGTGATCATGAACAAATAATGATGATGAAGATGATGATGATGATGAGAGTGATGATGGTGAGGTGATAATGATACCGACACTTACTGAGAGCTTATTAAGTGCCACGACACTCTTTTAAGTACTTCATTTATATTAATTTTTTAAAAATCCGGTCGGGCGAGGTGGCTCACTCCTGTAATCCCAGCACTTTGGGAGGCCGAGGTGAACGGATCATGAGGTCAGGAGATTGAGACCATCCTGGCTAACACAGTGAAACCCCGTCTCCACTAAAAATACAAAAATTAGCCGGGCATGGTGGCGGGCGCCTGTAGTCCCAGCTACTCAGGAGGCTGAGGCAGGAGAATAGAGTGAACCCGGGAGGCAGAGCTTGCAGTGAGCCGAGATCGCACCACTGCACTTGAGCCTGGGCGACAGAGCGAGACTCCGTCTCAAAAACAAACAAAAAAATCCTTACAGCAAATGCTATGAGGTAGGTAATATTATTATCTAATTTTACAGATGAGGAAACTGAGGCACGAACTAGCCCCACAGCTAATAATTGGCAGTGCTGGAGTTACAACCTAAAAGCTCGAATGCGTTAAGCTCTGTAATTAGAGTGGTTGCAGTACTGGCTCCATGTTCTAGGGTGTTTCTTAGTGTGTGGGGTATGTCAATCACTAAGAAGTATCTGAAATCATGAAGTAATTTTCCATCAGGTGTATTTGTGCCACTGTCCTGTATTTATAGACAATATGGCAGTCTTTTCTCTTGAGCCTGGAGTTAACTTTATCATTATTTTAAAACCATGTTCCAGGCAGATGCTAAATAATTACTGGCAATATTGGGGTATATGAAACCTATTGTTTCATCCTGCCTATTAAAATACTTAATTGATTTCCCACTGAATAGCTTTTTCATGAAAATCTAGAAAGCCAAAAAGAAAAGTAGCTTGAATATTGAATACACGAATAGCAAAATCATTCCAAATTGCACTATACATTTGGGCATGCAATTTTCCCCAAGCTTCCATTTACTAAACTTGTTAGAAAAAGTAATGTAATTCATGGGGTTAGTTCAGAAGTAGGTAGATAATTGAATAGAAAGACATTTGGCCGGGCGCGGTGGCTCACGCTGGTAATCCCAGCACTTTCGAAGCCCAAGGCGGGCGGATCGCTTTGAGCTCAGGAATTCGAGACCAGCCTGGGCAACACGGCAAAACCCCGTCTGTATTAAAAATACAAAAATTAGCCAGGTGTGGTGGTGCGTGCCTGTAATCCAAGCTATTCCAGAAGCTGAGGCAGGAGAATCGCTTGAATCCAGGAGGCGAAAGTTGCCGTGAGCAGAGAGCGCCACTGCACTCCAGCCTGG
The DNA here is from genome assembly GCF_000001405.40 of Homo sapiens. NCBI lineage: Eukaryota > Metazoa > Chordata > Mammalia > Primates > Hominidae > Homo > Homo sapiens. Next base: position 64,757,561 of record NC_000018.10, read on the forward strand.
GCGAAAGAGCAAGACTCTGTTTCAAAAAAAAAAAAAAAAAAAGACATTCAAACAACTGATTAGGAGAGGCCAATATAAACCAATTACTGTTGCTTTAATGAGAGACAAATCACAGGGAAAATTTCCATTTAAAATGTATAATCTTATAAATATACGAATATACATTAGTTGCAATAATATATGTTGTATCTAAGAATCCACCAAAATCTTATATTTTTGTGTGTGTATTTTAAAGTAAAGTTTGTCCAGGCACAGTGACGCACACTTGTAATCTCAGCACTTTGGAAGCCTGAGGTGGGAGGATTGCTTAAGACCAGGCATTCAAGACCAGCCTGATCAACATAGGAAGACTCCATTGCTACAAAAAACAAATTGAAAAATTAGCTGGGCATGGCAGTGTATGCATTTAGTCTCAGGTATTCAGATGGCTGAGGCAAGAGAATCATTTGAGCCTAGAAGTTCAAGGTTGCAGTGAGCTATAATCACACTAGGTTACTCCAGCCTGGGTGACACAGTGAGACCTTGTCTCTAAAAAATAATAATAAATAAAATGCAATAAAATAAAAATGAACATGAAGTTCAAAGAAACTCAAAAATTTAAGTCAGGATGATAAAAATTATTCCAAATCAATATTTAGCAACATTAAACTGATTTTGTAATTGGCTTAATAATTCTCCCAAACTTATAGATATTTTATTGACAGTAAGCATATGTATCCCAAAGGAAGATAGATGGAAAACATTATATAATTAATTACGTTATAATTGATATTATAACTAAATTTCTACTTAATTCTTTTCTAATGTCAGCCTAATAAGCTTCCGTGGTATAGATACTGGAGCTTTTAAGTTTCCTTCTACAATTAGTACTATCTGTCAATAAAACTAAAACAACTACAGCAGCAAGAAACTCTAAACTATTCAATGCTTAAAATGTGTACAGGAAAACAATACTAGAAATGTCATTTTTGATATTTTAGATGTTATACCTTTTTAACATAAATGAGACATCATATACAAAATCTTTCCCCTTGATAATTTAGTTACTAAACTGCTAATATTAGTGATAGCAAATTTGTCTGAGTTGTATTGAGTCTTGGTAGAATATTGTTATCATCAAAATAATTTCATTGAGAAAAGTAATTTTAATTTTTTGAATGAGCACAAAGGAGGTAGCCCCATTCCTGCCAGCTCCCCGCCGTAGCTGATAAGCGTGTACCCCACTGCGACATGTGAATGATCACAGATCCAGTTGACATCATAAAGAAGTACTTTGGCTGGCACCACCCATTGGAGTGGTGTGGCTGGTGGTCTGGGAACACTTTGGCCCCTCTAGAACAGCAGGTTCCTGACCTCAAGGGAACAAAGAACAAGGCCGCTTCCCTAACACAAGGCCCACAGCATTAGAGCACACAGCTCAGGAGAGCTGACCTGAGCCTTGGCCTCCTAAAACCTTCCAGAAATAAAAAGTCAGTTGACTGAACCCACCTTATATCATAATCAAACCCCCAAGGGAATGAAAGAAGACAAAAGCAAAAATAAACACATCTAAAGGACAGCAACTTCAATGATTGAAGGAAAATCAGCTCACACCGATGAGAAAGAACCAGTGCAAGAACTCTGGCAACTCAAAAAGCCAGAGTGTCTTTTTACCTCCAAATGATCACACTAGTTCTCCATCAAGGGTTCTTAACCAGGCTGAAATGGCTGAAATGACAAAAATAGAATTAAGAATATGGATAGGAATGAAGATCATTGAGATTCAGGAGAAAGTTGAAACCCGATCCAAGGATTCTAAGGAATACAATAAAATGATACAGGAGATGAAACACAAAATGGTCATTTTAAGAAAGAACCAAACTGATCGTATAGAGCTGAAAAACTCATTTCAAGAATTTCAGAATACAATCACAAGTATTAACAGTAAAATTGATCAAGCCGAGGAAAGAACCTCTAAGCTTAAAGACCAGTTCTCTGAAATACACAGTCAGAAAAAAATAAAAAAGAATAAGAAATATGAGCAAAACCTCCAAAAAATATGGTATTATGTAAACAGACCAAATTAATGACTTATTGGTGTCCCAGAAAGAGAGAGAGAGAAAGCAAACAACTTGAAAATATATTTGAGGGTATTGTCCATGAAGATTTTCTCAACCTGCTAAAGAGGCAAACATTTACATTCAGAAAATGCAGAGACCCCATGCATGATACCACAAAAGATGAACATCCCCAAGACACATAGTCATCAGATTCTCCAGGGTGAAATGAAAAAATAAATGTTAAAAGCAAATAGAAAGAAGGCAGGTCACCTACTGAGGTGATTAATATTTTAACTTCAGATACAATATATTTTAAAGAAATAAAGATCAAAAAAGACAAAGAAAAGCATTACATAACGGTAAGGGTTCAATTCCACAAGAACACTTAACTATCTTAAATGTATATGTACCCAAAACAGGAGCATTAAAATTCATAAAGCAAGTGCTTAGAGACCTATGAAGAGACTTAAATAACCACATATTGATAGTGGGAGATTCGAATACCTGACTGATAGTATTAGATTACAGTGGCAGAAAACTAAGGAAGACATTTAGGACCTGAACTCAACACCTACCTAATAGACATCTACAGAACTCTCGACATTCTTCTCATGTACACATGACACATACTCTAAAATCAAACACATATTAAGCCATAAAACAATCCTCAGCAAATTCAAATAAACAACAACAAAAAAATGAAATTATACCAACCACACTTTTGGATCACAGAGCAATAAAAATAGAAATCAATTATAAGAAGATCACTCAAAACCATAAGTTACATAGAAATAAAACAAACTGTTCCTTAATGACTTTTGGATAAACAATGAAATCAAGGCAGAAATCAAGAAATTATTTTAAAATGATGAGAACAAAGGGACAGCATACCAGAATCTTTGGGACACAGCCAATTCAGTGTTAAGAGGGAAGTTTATAGCACTAAACACCCACATCAAAAAGTTAGAAAGATCTCAAATTAACAACGGAGTTCTCCTAGAGGAACTAGAGAAACAAGAGCAAACCCACTGAAAGCTAGCAGAATACAAGAAATAACCAAAAATCAAAGTGGAACTAGAGAAAACTGAGATGTGGAGAACCATACAAAAGCCCAACAAATCCAGGAGTTAATTTATTAAAAGAATAAATAAGATTCATACACCATTAGCTAGACTAATAAAGAATAAAAGAGAGAAGATCCAAATAAAATCAGAAATGGTAAAGAGGACATTACCACCGACACAACAGAAATACAAAAACTCTCAGGCTACTGTGAACCCCTCTATGCACACAAGCTAGAAAACCTAGAAGAAATTGATAAATTCCTGGAAACATGCAACCTCCCAAAATTGAACCAGGAAGAAATTGAATCCCTAAAATGACATAGAACAGTTCCAAAGTTGAATCAGGAAAAAAAAAAAAAAAAGCCTACCAACCAGAATAAGCTCAGTACCAGATAGATTCATAGCTAAATTCCACCAGATGTATAAAGAAGAGCTGGTAACATTCTTACTGAAACTCTTTCAAAAAATTGAGGTTGGGAGGCTCCTCCATAACTTTTTCTATGAGGCTGCCAGCATTATTTTGATACAAAAACCTAGCAGAGACGCAAATAAAATGAAAATTTTAGGTCAATATCCTTGATGAACAGAGATGTAAAAATCCTCCACAAAATACTAGCAGACTAAATACAGCAGCATATCAAAAAGCTAATCCACCATGATCAAGTAAGCTTTCCCCCTGGCATGCAAAATTGGCTTAACATATACAATCAATAAATGTGATTCATCACATAAACAGAGCTAAAAACATAAAGCACGTGATTATTTTAATAGATTCAGAAAAGGCTTTTGATAAAAGTCAATATCCCTTCATGTTAAAAACCCTCAACAAACAGGTTATTGTAGGATTATACTTTAAAATAATAAGAGTAATCTGTGAAAAACCCAGAGCCAACATCATACTGAATGGACAAAAGCTGGAAACATTGTTTTTTAAAACTGGAACAAGACAAGGATGTCCTATCTCACCACTTCTATTCAACATGGTACTGAAAGTCTTAGCCAGAGCAATCAGGCAAGAGAACAGAATAAATGGCATCCAAATAGGTAGAGGAAGTAAAATTGTCTTTGTTCAGAGATGATATGATTCTATACCTAGAAAACCCATAGTCTCTGCCCCAAAGCCCTGATTAAATTACAAATATCAGCAAATTTTCCAGATACAAAATCAATCAATGTACACAAATTAGTAGCTTTTCTAAACAACCACCACCACCAAGCTGAGAGCCAAATCAAGAATGCGATTCAATTTTCAATTGCCTCAAAAAGAATACAATACCTAGGAATATAGCTGACCAGGGAAGTCAGAGATTTTTACAATGAGAGTTACAAAACATTGCTCAAAGGAATCAGAGATGACAAACACAGAAGGAAAAGCATCCCATGCTTAAGGATAGAATAATCAATATTTTTAAAATGGCTCAACTGTCCAAATTCATGTACAGATTCAATGCTATTCCTATGAAACTACCAATGACATTCTTCTCAGAATTTGAATAAACTATTTTAAGTTTCATATGGAGGCTGGGCAAGGTGGCTCATTCCTGTAATCCCAGCAATTTGGGAGGCCAAGGTGGGCAGATCACCTGAGGTCAGGAGTTTGAGATTAGCCTGGCTAACATGGTGAAACCCTGTCTCTACTAAAAATACAAAAATTAGCTGGGCATGGTGGCACACAACTATAGTCCCAGCTACTTAGGAGGCTGAGGTGGGAGAATTGCTTGAACCCAGGAGGTAGGATTTGCAGCGAGTCAAGATCACACCACTGCACTCCAGCCTGGGCAACAGAGTGAGACCTTGTCTCAAAAATAAATAATAAAATAAATAAATTTCATGTGGAACCAAAAATGGTTCTAAATAGCAAAGGCAATTCTAAGCAAAAAGAACAAAGCTGGAAGCTTCACATTACCCAACTTCAAGCTATACTACAAGGTTACAGTAACCGAAACAACATGGTACTGGTACAAAAACAGACACATAGACTATTGTAACAGAATAGGTAGCCCAGAAATAACACTGCATTCCTACAACCATCTGATCTTTAACAAAGTTGACAAAAACAAGCAATGGTGAAAGGACTCCCTATTCAATATACAGTGCTGGGTTAACTGGCTAGCCATATGCAGAAGTTGGAAACTGGGTCCCTTCCTTATACCATACACAAATATCAACTCAAGATGGATTAAAGACTTAAATTTAAAACCTCAAACTATAAAAACCCTGAAAGATAACCTAGGAAACACCATTTTGTACGCAGAACCTGGCAAAGATTTCATGCAAAGACTCCCAAAATAATTGCACCAAAAACAAAAATAGACTACTGGGACCTAACTAAAGAGCTTCTGCACAGCAAAAGAAACTATCAACAGAGTGAATGGATAGCCTACAGAATGGGAGAGAGTATTTGTAAACTATGCATCTGCCAATGGTCTAATATCCAAAATCTATAAGGAGCGAAAACAAATTAACAAGCAAAAATAAACAATGCCTTAAAATAGTGGGCAAAAGACATGAACAGACATTTTTTCAAAAGAAGACATACACATGGTCAACAATCACGTGAAAAAATGTTCAACGTCACTAATCATTAAAGAAATGGAAATCAAAACTACAATGAGATACCATCTCACAGCAGTCAGAATGGCTATTACTAAAAAGCCAAAAAATAACATGCTGGTGAGGTTGTGGAGAAAATGGAACACTTAAAATACTGCTGGTGGGAATGTAAATGAGCTCAGCCATTGTGGAAAGCAGTTTGGAGATTTCTTCAAGGCTGAAAGCAGAATTACCATTTGACCTAGCAATCCCATTATTGGGTGTGTACCCAAAGGAATTTAAATTGTTCTACTATAAGGATATATGGATGGGTATATTCATTGCAGCAGTATTCACAATAGGAAAGGAATGGAATCAGCACACATGCCCATCAATGGTCAACTGAATAAAGTAAATATGGTACATATACACCAGGGAATATTACGCAGCCATAGAAAAGAACAAGATCATGTCTTTTACAGCAATATGGACAGAGCTGGAGGCCATTATCCTAAGTGAACTAAACAGAGAAACAGAAAAAAACAAATACTGCATGTTCTCACTTGTAAGTGGAAGCTAAACCTTGAGAATATATGGACACAAAGAAGGAAACAATAGACATCAGGGCCTATTTGACAGTTGTAGGTGGGAGGAGAGAGAGGTTGGAAAAGCTACCTATCTTGTTCTATGCTTATTACCTGCGTGACAAAATAATCTGTACACCAAACCCTTGTGACACACAATTTACCCATATAACAAACCTGCGGATGTACTCCTGATCCTAAACTAAAAGTCAAAAAACGTCAGCCTACAAACTCAAATAATAATAATAACAATAATAATAACAAAATACACACTAGAAATATTTGAAGAACACTAAAAGAGAAATCTATGAATAAATTATTTTTCTAACTGGCACTAATTTATTCTCACATTCACACACTTAAAAACTATCTCTTACATTTATCAAATTTAGAAAAATGTGTTTGTTTCTATAAACCACTTTAGCCAAATTTACCCTAAATGATTAATCTACATTGTTTTAGAAAAACAAAACTCCATTTTGAAGACCTACAATTTATTTTCATTACTCCCATGTTCAGTTTCCTGCCTTTGATCTCTGCTGTGGCCTTGAGCACAATGTTCGTTTTGTTTCCCTTTTGTTCATTTGTATAATGAATGCCATAATTGGGTGTTTGACAATGCGAATCTACACTTGTAGGTAACTGCTCTGTACCTTCTCGTTACCATGTCTGTTTTCCTAAACAGATTGCAAATTCCTAAAGGTAATGTTTTATTATTTAAATTTTCTCTGGTGCCCTTCATTATAATCTGAGATATCTTTTATTCTCTTAGGTACTTGATACATTTAATTTCATTTATTAAAAGTTTTGGGGGGCAGAAAATATATGTCAATCTTGCCTAACAGCCAAAAAAACTTTTTCAGTCATTCTCTTTTGATGCTCTAAGACCTTGTGAAATGCATGACTTGGGTATCCCTTTTCTCCCTGTACTTCTGTTCATCTTTGGTAGCAGCTGAATGTAACGTAAATTTCATGCATAATTCACAAGCTACATAATAGGATCATGGATCTCCTCTATTTTGTTTTAGCAAAGTTCTAAGTAATCCATGACCATAACAAATATTTAATAAAAGTTACTCACATATGGAACCACTGAAGGTTAGATATAATTTAAATCCACCTGACCAATATGTCTTGAAGATTAATAACATCTTAAATCTTAAGAGGTCTCTAATCTTTGCAATCTTTTACAAATTAAAATTTTATGTAATTACATTTCAAAATAATTATCAAGCATTGTCTATATAACAGTTATGGCTACTTGTTCATGCATATTTTGCTATGACTTTCCTATCAATGTTTATGATATATTTAAATGTTGAAGAATTGAGGAGAAATGTAGATGTAGTGTTCATAGTTTCCTTTTTGAATGTGGTTGCATGTGTATGTATCTCTGTCTCTATCTCTCTTTCTCTTTTCTCTCTCTGTTTCCCTCTCTCTTTCTCCAGCTTCCTTTGGGTCTGAGATGATACAGAATGTCACCTTAAAGCATCAGATTGAACAAGCAAGAGCATCCCCAGTACAGTGAGATGAGGAAACACTTCTTTCTGCTTCATGATTGGAAGCAGAACAAAATCCAGAAAGCCCCAAGTGAGCTTTCAGGGCACAGGCTCCTTTTACACTTGCTAATCCTTGTTAAGTAATCAGTCACATCACTGAATCTTTACCGGTCTAACAGAGGTTTCTTTTCCTCACATCAACACCTTTTGGGGGAAGCTGGTAAGGGGGAAGGAGGAGCAGAAATAGGCACAAAAATTAATAAGACTCCTGAAAGAAGTGGGATTTAGATTATCTTTTCTCTTTTGTTGGAATTCAATAATATTAAAAGCTCTACAGGAGATGAGAGATGGCATGTTCCTGACTTAAGACAGATACCCCTTTCCCCACCCACCCACCCACCCACCCACACACACACACACACACACACACAAGGTCTTGCGTATTCAAAGGAATCATATCCATAAGTGGATCCAAATCCAAATTTAGCCTAAGAATATAGACGCTCATGGAATCCATCTAGACTCAGCCACCCCATCAGAGTGTTTGCACTTCAGGAACAATAGATGAACAGTATAGGTGAATTACAAGAAGCTGAGACTGGCAGTAAAAGGATTAGATTAAGATGAGCATTAGTACTGCAGCAGGATGAAGAGACACTCTACTTCTTCCTAGTTGATGTTTGAAAGCAAGCCTATATCCAAAGACTACCAGGGTGTATGATAAATCTTGAAGATAGCTGCAGGACTTTGGGGCGAGACACTACACTACACAAAAATAAGAATTATGCAATCACTTATAAAAATGAAAGAACTGTGTCCTTATCCATTTTATAAGACGTGGCAGAGATTTATATGAGTCATAACAGTACTGTGTTCTGAAAGCAAGAGAGGACTGCATTTTAACAAGGAAGGCACATTCGCTAGGGCAATTTTTTTAGAGTGGTCACAAAAAATGAGACCCAAATAAAATGTCAGTTTGAGCCTTTGAAAGTCAATGATGTATTACAAGATTTATTAAATTGGTGGCAACAGAGTATCTACATATCCAGAGATTAAGCAGTTAGATTGTGAGAGAAGGGACCTCTAACAAGCAGAGACTACTCTTTGAGATATTTTATGGGGGTTAAATGGGAGAATTTTTTTTAATGTGGTTATTGCCTTTCAAATGACAAAGTAGTCAATGGAAAACAATAATGTGGCTTTTTAAAACAAATTATCATGTAAATTTCTGAGTTTTTAGTATATATTTGGCACTGTGCAATTTGTTAAGTATAAGTGTCAAAAGAATAGACATGAATGAAAATGATTGATGAAACCATTTCCTAAAATGTAAGATGGGATGAGATCAAGTTTATATTCTTAGAATTTTTAGGTAGTAATGAAAGTCCAGTTGAATTTAGAAAGAGGCATTTATAATTGGAATCATTACAGTGAATATAAATAGCATGGAATTTGAAATCAGCTTTATTTGAATACTGTTTTAGAAAATTTTTCTAATACAGGGGAAATTTCACAGGGCACATTGGGACCAAGAAAAGGGAAGTATGGTTTTAATGTCATTTAAATAACGTGGGATATGTTGGTTTTTACTTTTCTAGCAGGTACGAGAATACAGGGACAAAGCTTCTCCATATCAAATGATAAAAAGCAAGCAAACAAACAAAATTTTTTAAAATAACTAACTTGTAAGGAAATATTTTGTTTATATTCAAGAGGGTGTAAGTAAAATTTTGAATTTTGCATGCTATAAATAGGCCAGAGAACTTTCCTTCATCTCATGACTGAATTACTATATTTTATAATTTAGTTTTTTAAATCTTTTACAGAATTAAAATGCACCCTAAAGAATCATTTCATTCTTTTTTATACAGACAAAAATTGAATTTCAAAACTCTTCTGTATAAAACAGCAGCAACAACAACACCAACAAAAACTGAAGTCCAAAAATTTTTCATGGCTTCCTCTAGTTTATTTATTTTTTGTTACCTTTTCTTTTAGATTCAGGGGTACATGTGCAGATTTGTTACATGGGAAAATTGCGTATCATGGGGGTTTGGTATACAGATTATTTTGTCACTTGGGAAATCAGCAAAGTACCCTGTGGGTAGTTTTTCAATCCTCACCTTCCTCCCATTTTCCACCAAGTAGGCCTCAATGTCTCTTGTTCCTTTCTTTGTGTCCACATGTACTCCAAAGTTTAGCTCCCACTTATGAGAACATGCAGCAGTTTATTCAGTTTGAAAGAATCTGGTATATTTAGTTTTGGAGTTCAGTGCTCTGCGTCTCAGTCCATTATTCTTTACTGAAGTGAGTGTCAGGGGTTTTCTTTACTTTTCTTTTTTTTTGAGACAGAGTCTGGCTCTGTTGCCCAGGCTGCAGTGTAGTGGCGTAATTTCAGCTCATTGCAACCTCTGCCTCCCAGGTTCAAGTGATCCTCCTGCCTCAGCCTCCCAAGTAGCTGGGATTACAGGTGTGTGCCACCATGCCTGGCAAATTTTTGTATTTTTAGTAGAGACGGGGTTTCACCATGTTGCCCAGGCTAGTCTCGAACTCCTGGCCTCAGGTTATCCACCCACCTTGGCCTCCCAAAGTGCTGTGATTACAGGTGTGAGCCACCATGCCCGGCCAGCAGTTTTATTTTCTTAGTGTACCATATTAAATTGTTATTATCTAGGATTTTATTTTATTTTTTTTGGAGAGGGACATGAATGATATACAAAGGAGAATCATTATGTTCTACTTTTGTGAAGTTGCTTGTTTATTTGTGTTGATTCTGGTATTTCCATATCTGAGACAATTTTATTTTCAGAATACATAATAACATGCCAAGTGTGGTGATTTTTCCTTGACTAGTTTTTATACATGATTAGAATACCTTTTCAAAATTCTGGTTGGATCCTGTCTGAAATAAATGAGTAACCTCAATTGAATACTTAGGTTTCTTTTGAGCTCTTTGAATTAGATTATCCCTTTCTGCAACTTTCAATTCAAATGGGAAAAGCCGCAGGAGATGTCTCCGATTGTTAATAGTAGAGGTATCTGATTCAGGTACAATTGAACAATCATTTCTCACATTATATTTTAAAAGTTGACTTTTCAAGATATATAGCACATTTTATAGCTACATATTTGTGCAAGTTTGCTATTAAACACCTATAAAAGGCAATTGTCCATTTAAAGTTGGACACATTTAAAATGTGTAATTCTGTATTTATGGATCTTAATTGCATAATGATTCAATAATATAAGGCTGAATTATTCTATGATCTTTTTTTGGAATAAATTTAGAAATAAAGAGTAATTTTCTCGTAAAATTGTTTAATATTGTATGAACGGAATCTCAAATAATCTACATGAATATTTCACTAGAGAATTTAAACAATGCCACCCCATTTGTTTATTATCTGACACGTGATTATCAGATTGCTTTACTAACTCTGAATATATCAACTTCTGACCATTTCAACATGCAAACTTAAATTGATTACTGGAGTGTCCAATGCTCTAGTTAATCCACTGTAAATGGGAATTGTGAAGCCCAATTTTAGAGTTTGTATAGTTACCAATGTTCATTGTATAAATACATATTTTCCTCAATGATTGCTTCTTTTCAGAGTTTGCATCAAATCAGTCCACAAACTTAAATATCACATAATGATAGTCTTTTGAATAATGTGTATATAAATATATATATCTGTATATATTTACATGTATATTCTCATATGCATCTTATTTAATTTGTAGAAATGTGTGTCTCTGATATCAATATGTATCTATCTTAGCCTGAATAAAAATAGATTATCAAAGATATAAAAATGATTCCAACATTATTTATAATGGTTTACTGCTAGTTTTACCCATTTGAAAATATTTTTGTGATGACATACTGTAAAAGGGATCTGTGGGAAAGATCAACTTGCTGTTATAGATTCAGTTAGAACAGGTATTATTTCTTTTGTTGAAACACTAACGAGAAGGACTAAAATAGAAGCAATTATTGAGCTCTTACTACATTTCTTTCCCCTTAACAGATATTTCACATATATTATGTCATTTCATATTCATTACTATATTAATTTGGCATTATTTTCAGATTTTAAAAAGGAGGAACTGAGATTTAGGCAGGCAAACTATCTTGCCTAAAATGGGTGTTAAACCTAGGATCCAAGCCCATATCTGTTTGACTAATGATGGATCAACTGTCATTTCACTTTAGTATATTTAACTCATTTTGTATGCTGATAACTTAATGAATCTGTGGGAGGAGGCTATTTCCTTCTACTCTTTGTTATTTATACTTTTATGATAAAATGACTGCTGCACTATTTTTGTAAGTATCTTAACACTTCTTAAAATCTGAAACATTAACAAGATTAGAAATACTCTTTCAATTTGGTTGGCAAAAAAGATTATCGCTGTAAGTGAATTCCAAAATGAGTGTGTATGAATGAAAATAAGAAAAAAAAACTGAGGCAATGAGAAGAGTGAAAAAGTGTGAGGGCAAAGGAAAAGTAAACCCAGCAATGATTATTGACAGGAGCCTCTTTCAGAATGGTCTAGAAGTATTAGGCTGTATAGCTCTCTCTAGTTCATCCATACACTTGCTTTTTCTGAGAAGGATGGGTGAATCCAAAAGCTTTGTGCCAGATTATATTCACTGTGCAAACTTTCTGCCCTGTTTGAACTGGCCAAATATAAAGAGATCTAACTCTTGAGAACAGATAATGAAAGAAGGATCGTATTAAATCCTGTACAATGGTGCAAAAATCAAAGCTTTATAAAAGTTTCCTTACTCAAGAAAATATATGATGCTTTCACAAAAGAACAAAAATATTAGATCGAAATCACAAAAAGAAAAGCTGTCGTTATAAAAAGAGTCTTTAATTTAAACCATATTAATAAATTCACCATGAACTCCCAAAAACGGAAAGGTGTCAGTCACTTGAAGCCTGTTCTTCTTTTCATATTTTAGGCTCCTGGGCCAGTGTTCAAGTGGTTGTGAAATTTTAGTTGTTGATGACAGTTATTGCTCACCTTCCTAAAACTGGCCTTTAAAATGACTTTTGTGCTTTAATGCAGATGGAAAAATCCTTCATTCTGGTGATCAGTTTCACAGCCTCAGAAACAGTGCAGTCAATCACATGTAGTGCCTGATGGATGTGTCAGGCAATAAGCATAGCTATAGCTGTTTCAAGGCCACTGACTTGAAATCTGCAATTTCACCTGATTCCTTTAAGCCTATGGCTTTGAGGTAAACCAAGGGTCAGCAAAAGTGTTCTCTTCTGCACAGATCACTTGAAACACCAAAGAACGAGTTAAGCAGATTGAATATTGATATAGAAAGCACCTTCAAGTTATTAATAATTTCAACAATTCCAACAATAGAAAAATAAAATTTCATTAAAAGCATTTTAACTTTATTCATTGTTGAAGAGTTTATTACAAAGTATTTCTGAGGACAATGTATTTGATTCTTGATAAGTAGCTTATTACACTGAGTTCTTTATTTTTATGGACAATGACAGAAGAAAAACTCTGTTTATATTGTTAAACCAAGGCTAAACATATTATAAAATGTAAAATGAAATTATCCAAAGAAAATGCAACAATAAAAACATCTATGCAAGCCACATCTTGAGTTTTAAAAATCCAAATAACTGATATAAAAATACTATTTTTTACTTGGATTCGCATTCAATTTTTTTTTTGTTTTTATACATACTTCTAACATTTTAAAACACATTTTATAATATGTGAAATAATTTTATTTCTTTTGCTTGAATTTTTGTCTTTAATTCAGCTTTCATCGTTTTATTAAAAAATATTTATTTTATGCCTGGTATATGTCAGACACATTGAAAAATTACATTTTAGGTTCTGAGATTAAATGACCAAATATTATATTTTTTATTCATAAAATATTGCTATTCAGAGATGAGTCAGAATTACATATTACAGACATATTTTAGTAACAAAAGAATGTAGTCATTAAGCTATGTCAACTCTCATTGTTATTTTAAATCCAGGTGAATCAATAAGAAGTTTTACATTCATCTATAGAAAGAGCAATAAACTTTAAATTGGTCTTTAAATTGTTCCTCTACGTGAAGAAGTAATTAGGTTCTCAGTTTTGGAGAGGTCAAACTTTCACCAACTGTACAAGTGTCCATCCCTGAAGCTGTATTCATTAACGTAGTAATGAGCTGTTGAAATAGCAATGCAGAACAAAGCTACAATGCAAGGAAACTAATTGGCTTAAGGATATGTTCAGCTATCCTGCTGTTCTAGAGACAGATGCTTTTTTATATAAGATGGACACTGAATTCCATTATTGGTGAAACATGATGCTCTCTCTGTTCACAGGTCCCAGACTCATGAATTTCTGAAAACTTAAATTTTAGATCTCCTGATGTTGTTCAGCAATTCGAGCAAAATGTCCCGGAAATCTTCTTTAGTGTTTTCCAGGGAAGTCTTGTTAACAAAGCAAGGTCTTCTTGAGTCCCATGTTTACAGAAGACCCTGCTCACAGAACGATCTCATCTGTTTTATCTTCAGTGGTACCTCAGTTACCTTTCCTTTGCTGCATGGCCCCAGATCATACCAATAAGCCATCAAGTATAGGTCATCAAGCAACAGTTCAAAGAAAAAAAAATCAGTAACATTTCTATATCACCCTTGGAGAAAAGAAGACATCTTAGAGCACACAGCATTCTGATGGTGGCTGAATGCCAAATGCCACATTATTATTACAACACGTTTTGGTAACAAGTGGCAGGAGCTTTGTTTCTGTCTTGAAACACCTCTTCTGCATATGTAGACGTAAATCCTATTGGAGTCATAGTTTCAATAATAATTTATTTTCATGTACTTGGCCATTTAGAAACCAGCCTGCTAGAGGCTAGCTCTTTACATGCATGGACTTCTCTCTTCCTCATTCCTATGCCCCTTCCTTCTAAATCTAGAGCTCCCTGTGCCAATTACTTTTTTATTTAGGAATCAGAAAATTAAGCCTTATCCTTTATCTCCTATCCCCACCTCAATCCACACAACCATACAAACTTTCAATCCCTTGATGTCTAAGTTGATTTCACAAATATTTAGTAACCCATGCTCTATGATTTGCATTGTGTTATAGGCTGTAAATCCAGATACATATAGCATGATCACAGTGTCTGAACAGTGTATAACCTTGTTCTGTAAGTGCAGGAATGACATAAACCAGTGGTTATTCTCCCAAAGTCTCTAAAATTGCATGTAGAGTGTCTTAAATATACATTTCTGGTTTAATGAATTAATGTTCCTCTGCATTAACAAGAAGGATGACTTCCTGTACAAATGTTCTGATCTCCTTAACCTTGATAATATGGTCTAAGTTTTTCAGATTTGATAAATTTGGACATCATCCAATACCTAGCCAGGTCATTATGATTTATGTATAATGAGAATATTGAACGCAGATTAAAATGATTAAATACCAACATTGTGTTATGCGTCACTATTAAACCTTGATGTAGCCTCATATTAACATGTTTCTTGCCATTTTTGCTTTGTATTTTATAGCACAGCTTCTCATGATTTATTTTCCTTATAAATTGTGCTATTTGCTGACTTGATGAATGTTAAAATGAACTGGAGATTAGAATAGAAAATTACATAATTAGAGTTCTAATCACAAAAGGCTTCCTTTTGAATTTTACTAATTAGCAAAATTTAATATTCTTTACAATCGTGTCCCAAAATTAAAAGTCACACTTGTTACAGTATTTTTAACAAATAGATCTTAGTAATAAGAATATAAAAGAAGCAAAATTAGGAATAACTTCTAGGTGGAATGCATCTCTTTTGATTTTTCATCTCTACTTAATTTGTTGAGTTGTATATTGGAATGAAAATATTGGCATTTTAGTTAGATGTTCCTCCTTTTTTATCAATTGTTTTTCTGTCTATATTTTTGCTTTTGTCTATTAAATCTCTCTGATAATGAGGCATTGTGTTATTTTAAAATACCTCTTATAAGTCAGTGTGACCCTTCTGTCATGAAGTGACCGTGTATATGCAAGGCACAAGTCAAAGAAAAAGAATCACACTATTTGGGAAAGAGAAAGGGGAATCATAAATTGTCTTTATTGTGCCATTTGAGCATAAACTCTAATCTCAATGTAAAGAGACCTAGATGATGGTATTATCTTGCCTATGGCAGCTAATTTTAACCTACCCTACCTACACTTTCTTATTCACCTGACCTACCTACTTGCATACAAGACAAGACTTCTAAGACAGACATCAAACTTGTTTTTTCCAATGAGAACCATTTTCCCTCTGTCCTTTGAAGTATACTTTTATATGAGTTGAGTAATAAAAATAAAAAGTGTTTTTTTTTTGTTTATTGTGGCATACAGGCCACTCATTTCAAAACATAGTATCTCTTCCCCCAAACTATCAATTATGAAGTTTGATGGATTTCTAGCACAAATTGGAAAATTAGTGATATGTCATTCAAGAAGGTCTTTTAAAGAAAGATTTACGTAACAATAGTAACAATATGGGTGAATTAACTTCTCTGAAGAAGAACAAGGTTAAATTGACATGAAATGCAATAAACTCTGCTCCCTGGCTCTCTTACGGTAGTAGTTTGCCAAACATTTGCATAGAAAAATATTGTCATCTGCTTAGTTTTCATTCATAGAAAAACTGTTTGGCTGTGATTTAAAATATTTTTATCTTATGATGTTGGAGCAGACAAAGGTAGGAGATGATTAATATCTCTTCCTTTCTTCACTTCTGGGCCACAAACTGAAATTCTAGTTGCAATAGTCCCACAAAGCTGTAACTCTGTAAACTGTAAATCTGTCATGATAGATGAGCTGAATTATCAGGGCATGCAGATGATCAAGGTACCTAGGATTTTAAGATAGTAGAGATAAAGGTTCAAAGGTTCTATTTTAATTTTTAAAAGCACATTATTCAATCATTTTTGTAACTTTTTTTTTTCAGTGTCTTGCTGTGTTACCCAGGCTCTGGAGTGCAGTGGTGCAAATACAGGTCACTGTAGCCTTGACCTCCTGGGCTCAAGTGATCCTCCCACCTCAGTCTTCAGTGTAGTGGGGACCACAGGTGCATGCCACCATGCCCGGCTAATTGATTATTTTTAGTGTTTGTCGAGACAGGTCTGGCCAAGTTGCCCAGGCTGGTATCAAACCCCTAGTCTCAAGCAATCCTCCCTCCTCAGCCTCTTGAAATGCTGGATTACATAAGTGAGCCGCCATGCCCAGCCTATAACTCCTGTTAACAACATTGTATCCTCTGCTTTACTTCCTGGGTTTCCCCTTCTTTCTTTAATTATATTTGATTCTGTTCCCATCCTCAGTCCTCACTCATCCTGCCAGTGTCCTAGGATCTCTAGCTACAAGGTTCTCTTAGAGACAAACTCTAACTTCTGAAATCTGGCCTCCATTGCATTCACAGAATATTGTTTTTCATTCCGTAAATAGGCTATAATATTACCTCTCAAGAGTATTATAAAAATTAAATGAAACAAGGCCCATGAGTGTACTTTATAAGCTAAAAAAGTCCCAGGAGATATTACTTCTATTTATTATGGATTCATATGCTTTATAATTTTCTACTAGCAGCCACAAACAAATGTCTTTAATGAGATAAATCTGCATAGCCAAATTCTAACTCTTTATTATTAATTATGTCCATTAGGTAAGATCATGTAAATGATGCATCTTATACATTGTTTTGGATCCCTGGTAATTCCCTTTCATATACTTTTCCCACCTCTACCTGCCCCACTTTATCGTCTTCTTCCTGAGAAATTTTAAAAATAGGAGCTAGTGAAAAAAACAATCTCTAAAAGTTTTCTTCTTGGGAATATATGTGTAAAATGGGAACTCATGAATTTATTTTTCCTTAAACTTCCCCTGTTAGTTTACCCGATTCACTCATCCACATAAACTTTACTATCGTTGATTTAGCCTTATTTAGAATTGCATTTTCCCCTCTACTTTTTTTTTCATTTTGTAACTTTTAATTCCTCTAAATAAAAATAGCAACAATTTCCCAGTGCTTCTAATCTCTACAATTATTTGACCGCACAACTACAATGTTTCCTATTACAGAAACAGGCTCAGCATAATAAATGCTACATAATTTTCTCATATCAAGTTTTACACATTTATTTTACTACTTTAATAAGTCATGACTACCACCAATGACAGTAGTACTAAATCAAATACAAAGAATTTTTGGTGTGCTGTGATATTTTACTTTAACATTTTATAATGAAACATATTCTGCAATTTAAGTACACTTTCCATTACTGCCAAAAGCTGATTATTTTATTTTTACCACTATCTAAAATCTCCTATTTGCAAATGTCATTTCAGACAAAATTAGCAAACAATTCTTGTTCCATGAGAACAAATAGGCCAAATAAAAAGGGCATATTCATAACTCAACTGCCATAAAAGCACAATAAAATAATTGAGATCAGAAGACATTGTATGAAAAAGAGTTTTGATTTAAAAGTGTAGAGACAAGGGTTCTTATTTGAACTTTCTACCTAATTGTAATATTGGGAAATTTATTCAACAGTCAGATATTATAGAGTATTATTGATTAAAAGCACAAAAAACTTGAGTTAGGGAATTTGGGTTTGAATCTCAGTGCCGGCACTTATTAGCTTAAGTCACTTTCTTGAGGCTAGTCTTCTCATCTGTAAAATGGGAAGAGTGATAATTACTTTCTGAAAATATGTGTAAGTACAAAGTGCTATACTTTATTCTAAATAATTTCATGATTCGTTCATATGTGCAATTTTATTACTATAAAATTGTTAATAAATGTAAAATGATTTTTTCATCAGAAATTATACTTTTCAATTTTATGGCTCAGAAGGTGCTATTGAATTGATAAACTGCTTAGTGGTTAAATAAGACATTGTAAAAAAACAAAATGCAATTACTGTGATAAAGGTGTTCATATAAATGACTCTTTCCATGCACAAAAGTCAAAATCAAATGAAATGTAAAACCTAAGTTTATGTACATAATATGCCATCAGTTATTTGTGGTTAAGTTGTAACAAAACACAATCAACCACATGAAATTAATGTGTAATTTAATTAATGACTTGAATGCTTTTAAGAGAATACATTTTAATTTTATTAAAAATAATGATCTTGATAATTATATTAATCAACTTAATATAATTGATTTTGTAGTTTTACTTATATTTATGTTTTAATTATTTTGTTCTTATAAATGTGGAAGAGCTGCAACCATGAGTATCTCATGCCAATTTTTATATATGACTATTTTAAATAAAATAATTTAACTTATTTTCAAGCCTACACTCAGGTTTCACATAACATTTTCTGATTTTCAGCAAGTTCTCAAATATGATAGTATTGCCAAGTCTTTATCTTGAATAGTAATTTCTTGAATT
This sequence comes from Homo sapiens, assembly GCF_000001405.40. Lineage (NCBI taxonomy): Eukaryota > Metazoa > Chordata > Mammalia > Primates > Hominidae > Homo > Homo sapiens. Next base: position 64,776,730 of record NC_000018.10, read on the forward strand.
TATCTTTGGATATCAAGGCAAAGCTCTTGTTTTCTAGCTCAAGAGTAGTTTTCTCTACTTTCTATCTACAGAATTTGCTTGATAAGGGGCCGGGCGTGGTGGCTCACGCCTGTAATCCCAGGACTTAGGGAGGCTGAGCCGGGTGGATCACGAGGTCAGGAGATCAAGACCTCTTGGTTAACGCGGTGAAACCCCATCTCTACCAAAAATAAAAAAAAAATTAGCCAGGTGTGGTGGCGGGTGCCAGTAGTTGCAGCTACTCGGGAGACTGAGGCAGGAGAATGGAGTGAACCCGGGAGGCAGAGCTTGCAGTGAGCTGAGATTGCGCCACTGCACTCCAGCCTGGGCAACAGAGCGAGACTCCGTCTCAAAAAAAAAAAAAAAAAAAAAGAAATTGCTTGATAAATATCCATGAATTCACTTTTTCCCCCCTGCAAACCAGCATATATTATTCATTAAAGTAAATATTAGAGACTCAAAAGGACAGAATTTCATTTTTTACCCAGTTGCTTTCTAGTTGGTGAGAGAGAAGAATAGCTAACAATTAAACTACAAGATGAAATAAATAATAACATAGATGTGCACAGGATATATGCACAGATTTATCATCATTTATTTCAATTCTTTTGTCTCAGGCAAATTAAATATGTACAAGATACAAATATTTTAAAGAATGCTTTGGTTTTTGTTTCGTTTTGTTCTTAATCATCAGGAAGTGTTGTCTGGTGACATTTTCCTTCTATCAACTCATTGCATTTCTGGTTATTTGTCTTCTAAATTATTATCTGCAAAATGATAAAGGGCAGAAAAAGCACGATAGCAGAGGTTTTCCTCCATGAGAAGTTCGTGTTCCAGATGAGACTGACCTCTTTGTATTGCCTAGTTGGAACTGTGCTGTCATTGCCAGGGTATTTATGCAGCTACGAATAAAGGTAGAATCAACCAAACCCGGAAATTATTTGTCCTTTGGGTGAGGATGAACTTGTTCTCATAGTAATTCTAAAGCTCCTGTGGTTGCGTAACATACCCAGATTTATCGGCCTCGGGATCTGACATAAAGAAGAGGTTTAGCTATAATTGTCTGAGATATATCTCAGACAATACAGTCACATTTTCTGATTCCAAAGAATATAAAATGTATGTTTAGATTTTAATGAAAATGAGTCATATGTGGTTGAAACTTGTCCCAACAGACCTAGTTTAACTAATTCCCTGGATCAACCTGCCTACTCCATTTCTTCTGTGAAGCATATGGAATTATGCTCTTGGAAGGCTGTGTTTTCACTACTCCTGGGCCACTTTTTAACGTGCTAGTGAACTCTGCTCTCTGCAGTTGAGCTGCATGTTTGTGGAAAGTTAGTCACATTTGTTCCCAAACTGGTTTGTGCCTTCTGTTCTTGTTATTGAAATTACATAACTTAATTACATCTTATATGAACCAAATTTTAAAAAGAATAAATGTTACTATTGAAAAAAGTGAATCTTTGAAAATTCTTAATGTCATGGCACTAAATTTAAAATTGTTAAACAACTTGAGTCATACAAATATTAAAGGGTACAATGTGCATGCTTACACAACACTTTAAAGAAATCTAAATTAAAAATTGTAGATGATGAATTATGGGTATTTTTACTAGAACAATGAGTCAGAACCCCCATCAACACTAATATTGCAAATGAAAAGTCCCCATGTTTCGTAGTAATAAAATGATGTTGTTTTACTGATAAATGTTCAGAGTTAAAATATTTGAGATCTCTGCACAGCTCATTATTCACAGATTTAACTTGATTTTGATTAAATGATCTATTGCCAGTCCAAAATAGTTTTTATAATGGCCAATCTTTAAAGAAAAAGGTGGAAATATGATAAAAAGAACAGCATTAGACTACATAAGATAGTTACTATATTAAATAAAACCAATGCTTTTTAAAATAAACCTATGGAATTGGAAAAAAAGATAGTTTCACCGATATGAACTCCACCATATATATACTTTAGGTGGAGATTGATATTTTGAGACTGTTTTCCCCTTCCTTCCAAATCTCTGTGAAGCAATTTATTCATAGACCTGGAGCTTTCAGGAAATTAAATCACGAACATCATGTCTTTGATAAAATCACCCTGCTGATTTTATTTCTTGCTTTTTTTATCAACGTAAATTTTGTGTACATAATACAAAATATATGTTATATATGTATAATATACATATGTGTGTATATTTTATGCTTTATTTCTTTATTTTACTGGAACAGAGTTATTAGCACACTTCTTATTGAACTCAATATTTAAATGTAAAATAATCTCATTCAAAAGCCTACAAAATATCCAAAGACTCATTATTTCAAATGAAATTCAGGATTATGTATGAAGACATTAAGAAGTAAACTCAATAAAATATCTTTGGTTTTTAAGTTATACTTTATAACAATACTACTCAGTAAAACAGTAATTATATTCATCACATCTTGAAAAAGGTGGTCAGTGAAGTTATGGTAAATTAATTAGAAATCATATATAAATTCACAAAATATTAAACTTAATGCACCATCAAAATATTTGTTTTCTAATTTAAATGAGGTCAGTCTCCTATCCCAGAAATCAATTGAGTGAAACATGAGAAAGACATTTTTCTGCAATTCAACACATTTACATGAGGACAATTTTTGTTTTCTTATTCAGAATCAATGAAACAAAAACCTATAATATAGTCCCTAATTTCAGTCTATTTGATTCAGCGTATCATAACCAATCTTAATAATTCAGTGATAATTTTTATTCTGTCCTCAATAATTATGGTAATTAATATTACTTTCCTCAGCGTTATTTTCTTTCTTTATTTTTTTAAAAAACCAAGAGTTTTCCAAAAGACAAAGAAAGTTAATGCCTGCAAAAATGTATATTATTCCTCTTAATTGGTAATAAGTTGTTTTCTGTATTTTGTAAGTGTTATTCAAATAGCTTATGTCTTCACTTAGTGTTGTTTCTATGTATTGGAATAAATTTTAAAATATAGCATACATGCAGAGAAGTACAAAGATCAGAAATGTACAGTTCTATAAAATGTTACAAAGTGACCACACCTGTGTAACTAGCATTTTGGTCAAGGAAGAAAACATTTCAATAACATATAGTGCTTCCTGTTGTCTTGAAGTAAGTTTCCTCTCAAAGGTAAACACTATACTTATTTCTAACCCTAAAGATGAGTTTTGCCTATTTAAAAAATATAAGTGGAATTATGCAGTTTTTAACCATTATATCTAGACTCTCTTACTAATTGTTTGAAATGATATGTATTGCTGTGTTTATTGGTACATCACTAGTTCTCATTACTGTAATATATGCTATTGTTCTTTTGGAAGATATTTTCTTGACTCTATCTTCTGTCCATATAAACATTTTAAATAGTTTTTTTTGCATATATAAGTGACAATTTGTATTATGTATAAAGATAAACTGAGTGTTATGACTGGCACACCAATTTGATCAATAAAATAATAAAAAGTATTTGATGGCAAAAATTGATTCCTTTATGCATCTCTGATTATCCATGGTAACATGTAAATGATACATTGATATGGTAAGCTTAAAAATGTTTGTTGAATAGAATTAGGCACCACGTCATCAATATTATTATTCAGATTAATATTGTAATTTTATTAGCATGGGAAGCTATGTCTGAAAAAAATCAGAACACATGCCATAACTTATTTATAATAATTAGGGAAGTCTCAGCTCTGTCTAAGGTCCTTGACAATGACAGCCCACTTAGGGTGTTACATCTATGCCAAATGCTCCTTTTGTTACATGAAATATTGATTAGAAAAGATGTTTTACATCTGGTTAAGTGTATTAATATGATATTTCTATGGGCTTCCATTGTTTTATGGCATTTTCAAATATCTGTATTTGAAATAACTGTTCTAAGCACCAAAAATTCATCAAAAACTGACTGACATGGGAAATTATGCTTTCATTTCCAGATTATGAAGATCAGAAAAAAGGAAGAAAACTAATGTTACTAAATTATTTCACGTAAGTCATCACTCCAGTTGAAATTCAAGAAATTTTTTATATTAAGCAATGTTGATATAGTTTGGCTGTGCCCCCACCCAAATCTCACCTTGAATTGTAATAATCCTGAAGTGTCCAGGGCAGGGCCAGGTGGAGATAATTGAATCATGAGGGCGGCTTCCTCACTGCTGTTCTTGTGGACGTGAATAAGTCTCACGAGATCTGATGGTTTTATAAATGGGAATACCCCTGCATAAGCTCTCTTGCCTGCTGCCATGTAAGACGTGACTTTGCTCCTCATTTGCCTTCTGCCATGATTGTGAGGCCTCCCCAGCCATGTGTAACTATAAGTCAATTAAGCCTCTATTTTTTAATAAATTACCCAGTCTTGAGTATGCCTTAATTAGCAGCATGAGACTAATACAAATATGTATGTTGGGAGAGATAGGCTTGAGAGTGTCATGTATGCCAAAAATAGTGACAAATAGTGGCAAAAATAGTGAGGAAATGGAACTGATGACACTAGTATCAGAAAGCAAAAACAGTGCAGCAAATATGATAATATGTAACTGATGATGATTTTGGAGCATCTCACTTCATAGGAAGAGTTTAACATAATTAGGGGAACTATGCTGCAGGTAGTTTCATTATTTATTAAATTATTAGGTTTTCCATTATTTAATAAAGGTTTCTTTTTTTATTTCCCCCTCTTAAGCTTCTTAACATTTATAATTTGGTCAAGGTTATAAAATGATTACTATTTGGATTAGGTAAAGTAGATAAAAATAAAAGCTTAATTAGTCTTTTAAAAAATGTGTGAGATTGTTCAGGAAATTATCACTTGGCATAATAGAAATGAGTTCTCCACTGTGCACATCTAGAAAAGGTAAGTAGTAGTTTCTTTCTGATGTAATGAAGCTAATTACAAGCTAGTGAAAACGTATTTCTATAATTAACATTTTATAATCAACACAAAAATAAAGTGTTTTGAAACAAAAAAAATCTGGTGTTGAAAAATTCAGATTACACACAGACACACACACAAACACACACACACACACACACACATCTTAGTAAACTCATCAGTTATCCCGAAGGCGGATTTCTGGTAACTTTAACCAGTCATCCAATCATTCATTTATGTGTCATCATAAAATATGATAGGTAAGCAAGGTAATGTATATGTTAATTAGCTTGATTTAATCATGCCACATTGTTTATATATTTCACAACAGCGCATTTTACCCCATAAATGTATACAACTATGACTTGTCAATTAAAAACACATAGACTGCCTATTACATGAAAGTTGCTTTGTTATGTGATGGGAGTGCAAAGAAAAAAAATACTGCTTTTATTCTCCAGGCTGCAAAACATTATTGACAGGGACAGCTACTTAATATAATAATTATAGTTCAGTTTCTAACAATAAAATACAATAATAGGGCTATGGGCAAAGGTTTTAGAAGTAAAGAAAATAAACACATTTGAAAGTGTTTTTTAGATGCAGTGTCCCAAAACTGAGTGTTAGCTGGAGGACAGTAGAGAGGTAATGGCATAAGTTTTAGTATTTCACAGAGCTGGGTGCATAACCAAGCTCTACAATTCACTCCCTATAATACCTATATCCCCTGCAAACTACTAAACCTCTGTTTCCTCATATACAAATGTTGATAAATTGCATGCCTATGATGAGGATTAAATGGAATAAAACATATGAAGGATTTGGCAAAATAATAGTAGCTACTCACTATGTGCCAAGCACTCTCAAGCTGCTTACAAAGTTAATTTATAGAATTCATTTGATAAATCTAAAAAACAGGAAGGTTCATGAGTCCCATGTTGCAAATTGGAGGTAAAGAGGAGGTATGTAAGATGGATTTGCGATTTGAATACAGTCTAAAGCTAGAGAATGCTTTTTAAACAATGTTGTGTTTGGCTCTTCTAGGACCTGTCACATAGCGAATGTACATATCAATGATGATGAGGAGGATGCTGAGGATGAGAATGGTGTTGGTGTTAGATCAGTAGCGATTACCTAGATCAAGGAAATGGGGCAGGGAAAATGATAGTGAAATGTGTTTCAAGCAGATGGAAGAATAGGAACAGAGGGATTTACTCAATCAAGAGTGAGCTGTGTCTAGAGTTCCTCGAGTGTAGCATAGTGGTGGAGAGGTATGTCTCACAAGTTTATGCCAGCTCTTATGCACAATGTTCAGGTGTTAGGATTTATTGTGAGTGACAAGATGTTTTGAAGAAGAAAATACACTACTGTTTTGCTAAGTCTTTAATATGCTTTATTCCATTTGATCCTCCTTATAGGCATGCAATTTGTCAAACTTTTTATATGAGGAAACAGATATTAGTAGTTTGTAGTAGCTACAGATATTATAGGGAGTAAATGGTAGAGCTTGGTTGTGAGCCCAGCTCTGTCTAATGTTAAACTTGTGCCATTACATCTCTACTCTCCCTCCAACTAACAGTCAGTTTTGGAACATTGCGTCTAAAAAACACTTTCAAATGTGTTTGTATTCTTGATTTCTAAAACCTTTGCCCATAGCCCTGATACTGTACTGCATGGTTAGAAAACTAAAGAAGTATGTTGATGGTAATTTAGTGGGAATAGCATTGAATCTATAAATTGCTTTGGGCAGTATGGCCATTTTCACAATATTGATTCTTCCTATCCATGATCATGGAATGTTTTTCCATCTGGTTGTGTCCTCTCTGATTTCCTTGAGCAGTGGTTTGTAGTTCTCCTTGAATTTACATTCTTCACAGAATTAGAAAAAATCTATTTTATAATGTATATGGAATCAGTAAACACTTTGCATAGCCGAGACAATCCTAATCAAAAAGAGCAAAGCTGGAGGCATCATGCTACCTGACTTCAAACTATACTACAAGGCTACAGTACCCAAAACTGCATGGTACTAGTGAAAAAACAGGCACGTAGACCAATGGAAAAGAATAGAGAACTCAGAAATAAAAACTGCACATCTACAACCATCTGCTCTTTGACAAACCTGACAAAAACAAACAATGGGGAAAGGATTTCCTATTTAATAAACGGTGCTGGAAGAACTGGCTAACCACGGGTAGAAAATTAAAATGGGATCCCTTCCTTCCACCTTATACAAAAATTAACTCAAGATGAATTAAAGATTTGAATGTAAAACCAAAATCTATAAAAATCCTAGGAGAAAATCTAGGCAGTGCTATTCAGGACATAGGCATGGGCAAAGAGTTTATGATGAAGTCATAAAGCAATTGCAATAAAAGCAAAATTTGACAAGTGTGATCTAACTAAACTAAAGAGCTTCTGCATAGCAAATGAAACTATCATCAGAATGAACAGACAACCTACAGAATAGGAGAAAATTTTTGGAATCTATGTATCTGACAAAGGTCTGCTATCCAGAATCTGCAAAGAACTCAAGCAATTTTACAAGAAAAAAACAAACAATCCCATTAAAAAGTGGGCAAAGTACATGAACAGACATGTCTCAAAAGAAGACATACATGTGGCCAACAAAAATATGAAAAAAAGTTCAGCATCACTGATCATTAGAAGAATGAAAATGAAAACCACAGTGAGATACCATCTCATGCCAGTCAGAATGGTGATTATTAAAAAGTCAAGAAACAGATGCTGGCAAGGTTGTGGAGAAATAGGAACACTTTTACACTGTTTGTGGGAATGTAAATTAGTTCAACCATTTTGGAAGACAGTGTGTGAATTCTTCAAAGATTTAGAACCAGAATACCATTTGACCCAGCAATCCCATTAGTGCATATATACCCATAGGAATGTAAATCATTCTATTATAAAGATACATGCACATGTATGTTTATTGAAGCAGTATTCACAATAGCAAAGACATGGAATCAACCCAAATGTCCATCAATAATAGACTGGATAACGAAAATGTGGTACATACACACCATGGAATGCTATGAAGCCATAAAAAACAATGAGATCATGTTCTTTGCAGGAACATGGATGAAGCTGAAAGCCATTATTCTCAGCAAACTAATGCAGGAACAGAAAACCAAGCACCACATGATCTCATTTATAAGTGGGAGCTGAACAATGAGAACACATGGACACAGGGAGCGGAACAACACATATTGGGACCTGTTGGGGGAGGGAGGGGGGTAGTATTAGGGAAAAGAGCTAATGCATGCTGGGCTTAATACCTAGGTGATGGGTTGATAGGTGCAGCAAACCACCAGAGCACATGTTTACCTATGTAACAAATATGCATATCCTGCACATGTACCCCAGAACTTAAAGAAAAATAAAATAATTTTAAAAAGAGAAAACTGTAGAAGCTGGTAGAGGATGCACTTAAGAATGAAAAAATAGTAAAAGTAAGGACTCCTATTAGGGGACTGTTGCAGTCCTCTATGAAATAAGAAAGAAGTGAATGAACTTAGACTTATTCAGTAATATATGGGTCAGTGGGGAACTACCTGTTAAACATCTAGGAGAGAAAATCTACATGACTTGGAGTAAAAATGATGCTTGAATGACTGTACAGCAATGGATTTTATACACCGTTGTTGAAATGAACCACTATCTGAAATCCATCATAAGTAGCTCTTCTATATATCCACAATGAAGATGAAAATCATGGAGATAATGTGTATGTTTGTGGTTTTTGGAGAATTTTATAGAACATACTTGAGGAAATGGTGATAATCATCAGAAGTATAATTCATGTGTATAATTTACCCTCTGTTTCTTATTTTATCTGATTAAGATGTTCTTTCCCAGTTACTCCTTATTACTGATTACTTCTTAGTCTTCATTTCCTATATCAAATGTCACCTTCTCAGAGAGATGTCTACAGTGAACAACCTATCTAAAGAAGCCCAAGCCACCTTTCCTCGCACACATTCATAGGATTTCAAACTATATATTTTCTTCGTAAGTGATATGATTTTGATCTGTGTCCCCTCCCAAATTTCAGCTAGAATTCTAATCCCCACATGCTGAGGGAAGGACCTGGTGGGAGGTGATTGGATCGTGGGGCTGGTTTCCCCTATGATGTTTTTGTGATAGTGAGTGAGTTCTCATGAGATCTGATGGTTTAAAAGTTGCACTTCCCCCTTCGCTCTATTTCCTGCTTACTTGTGAAGAAGGCGCTTGCTTCTCCTTTGCCTTATACCATGACTGCAAGTTTCCTGAGGACTCCCCAGTCATGTGGAACTGTGAGTCAATTAAATCTCTTCTCTTTCTAAATTACTCTGTTTGGGGTAGTTCTTTATACAGTGCAAAAATGGACTAATACACTGATATTGCGTTCATTTTTATTTATTTGTGTTCTTGTTTATTGTCTCATCTCATTGCATAGAATGTAAGCTGCCTAAAAGACTGTCTTTCTATTTAATTCTGATAACCCTGTCACCGCAATACAGTCCTTTCTCTATAACAGTGGGTTCCACATGTGTGGATTCAAAGAACTGCGGATGGAAAATATATTTTTTAAATTGCTTCTGTACTGATCATGTAAGGATATTTTTATCTTGTTACAACTCCCCAAACAATGTATAATGTTATATGCATTATAACAACTATTTACTTAATATTTACGTTGGATTAGCTATGATAAATAATCTAAAGCATTTTTAAAGTATACCTGAGGATGTACATAGGTTATATGCAAATATATACACCATTTTATATTTGGTACTTGGGCATCCTTGAATTTTGATATCTATTGGAAATTCTAGAAAAAATCCCCTAGAGGTATCAGGAAATGACTATATCTAGAAGAAATTTTGTAAATATTCATAGAATATATTAAATAATGAAAAATGGTTTTAATTATAAAGTACAAAATGACTCCCAGACTGCAGAAATATCTCTCAACCTCTTATTGTCTATATAATTTTTGAGCTCCCAACTATCTTCCACAACTTTCTCATTTGCTGTTACTAAATAATATAGACACTAGGGAAGAGGGATTTTGTTCAATGCAGTATTTCCCCATTCACCTTTATAAATAATATCCCATAATGTTGTTAATTCATGTATTAGAAATATCAAACTTTTATGAGATTAACAGAGTTACTTTTTTAATGAAGAAACATTTTAGACAGAAACTTTTTCTAAGAGTGTTCTTTGAAGAACAAAAACTGATATAAAAATATCTTATGAACACAGAACTAATCAATGATAGAATTTATTCTAAACTGAGCAACAGGAAAACATCTTTATGCTGTGATTTTTAGTACCCCAGGTCCCTGAAAGTTTCTTTGCAGTAAGCAGGAGAACACAAATCAACTTGATTTTTATGATATACAAGGTGTCCATGCTTCTCTTTCAAAGTTTAAAAAGGTGTTTGCAATTTGAAAAAGTTGACAATAACCATATTACAATATAAAACACCTCTGAGTCTCCTGTTTCTCAAGCTGTCAGATCTTTAGAGCATTGTAGAGTTGATGAAACTACATTAACTTTTAGAAACGTATGCACTAACATATGAAGTGAACACCTGAGATGTTTCAGGGTGGCATTTCCTGGAGCTATCAGACTAGAGTCTCTTTTTGTCTCCAGGGCCCTTATATAAGTTACTTTTTATAAGAAAAAAAGTTATAATAAATAAAAATGATTCAGAAGTCTTTGTTCATCTCCTAACTGCAATGGCTTTCTTTTTGAAAACACTTTCTCAACTTTTAGTAAGGTATGGGTCAGTGGGGAACTGTTAAACATCTAGGAGAGAAAATCTACATGACTCTGAGTAATAATGGCACTTGGATGACTCTACAGCAATGCACTTTATACATCTTTGTTGAAAAGCACCGCTATCTGAAATCCACCATACACAGACACTTTCATATACCCAAAATGAAGACGAAAATCATAGAGTGATATGTGTGTTTGTAGTTTTTTAAACAAAGCCAGATGTTGTTGAAAGAATAATTGATGTCCAAAAACCTAAATACTAGCCAACTATTCGTGTAAATTTTGTAACATCATGGAGACACTGACTCTATAATGCAGAAGAATAGGTGATTTCATATCCACTGTAGTCATCCAGAGTCTTAGGTGAATGTTGATGGTTGATTTTCATCCACTCAAAAATATTTTCTTACAAATTACTATTATCAAGACATTTAACTTCTAGCAGCGACAGACAACAAAAAGCACTCAAATATTCACCCTTGTCTTTATTGTGGCTCATTACCTCCTGCTGTGCTGTGTGTGTATTAAGTAGTTAGGACGCAATACAGGACCTCACAACTTCATAGTCTCAAAAACTATAAAAGATATATTTATTTTCTCTCTTCCCCTTCTTCTCCTTCTCCACCAATTTTAACTAATAGGACTTAAGAACAGGATATATAAATATGTGATGTTCAAGAGAAAAAGTCATTTTATGTCTGGGGCAATATAGGAGTGGGAGACTGGAGTTCATGGAAGGTTCCATGGAGAATGTGGCATCATATATAGGTTTTAAGAGGTAAATAAATACAGTTATATTCTGTTAGTCTAATTCTCAAATATGTACCATAGGTATTCCAAAAAGAACCACTGAAAGAAGCAAATATATAAGGGCTCTGTAGACTTTGAAGTTACTTATTTGTTTTCTTTTTCTGCATTAATACAGCATAACAGAAAGTTCAGTTTGGGATTATGTCCTGCCTGGCACAAATAAGTTGATCATTGGAGCTATGCGGAAAAGGGCAAATGGAAACTGTTAATTGCTCACTGATGATTATGACTTACGATGCTATTTATTTCATTTCGTCCCTCCTTGAGGGAAGAATATATTCCAGCTATAAAAGGACAAACAGACGACATCCATTCTTATGTTCTCTTTTGTTCAGATTTATTCTAAACAAAAAGACAATTATTGGCCTAGAAGTGAGCTTGTCAACCAACAAAACAATGCAAGCCTGATGTGTTGATGGAATAAAATGAGGTAAATTGACTCAAAAGTGCAGATTTCATATTGAATTGGTGAGTAGAATATGAGGTTCATCTTAATCTGAGACCCATTAAAGTCAGTGTGGACTTTGTCTTGTATTGGTGGTGGGGTTGGAGGGGGTGATTACGTTGTAATTAGTTATGAGTTTTATGTTTTAGAACATAGTTTTAGAATTTAGTGATAATGAAGAGCATTGTTTCTTAAATCTGATGTTCCTTAGAATCAACCTGAAATCGTGTTTAAAGAAAGACTTTTGGCCGGGCGCAGTGGCTCACGCCTGTAATCCCAGCACTTTGGGAGGCCGAGGCGGGTGGATCACGAGGTCAGGAGATCGAGACCATCCTGGCTAACATGGTGAGACCCCGTCTCTACTAAAAACACAAAAAAATTAGCTGGGTGTGGCGGCGAGCGCCTGTAGTCCCAGCTACTCGGGAGGCTGAGGCAGGAGAATGGCATGAACCCGGGAGGCAGAGCTTGCAGTGAGCCGAGATGGCGCCACTGCACTCCAGCCGGGGAGACAGAACAAGATTCTGTCTCAAAAAAAAAAAAAAAAAAAAAAGGAAAGACTTTATTCAGTAGATCTGGGGTGAATTCTAAGAATCTGCATTTCTAGCAAGCAACCAGGAGATAATTATGCTGCTGTTGCTGTGACACACTTTGAGTAACAAATATATATAGACAACATATTGAAAAGAGTGATGCTGAGTGAAGGAGATAATTTAGACAGTGCTTGCGGTTGCCCAGGAGAGAATGCGCGGTGTAAACTAAGGCAATGGGAAGAGAATACAGAGGAGAGAATAGAAACAAGTTATGTGAAGATAGACTACTCAGCAGGTGGTGACTACTCATTCACCTTCAGTGCTTTTAGTAAACCTCCTGGCCTTGTGTTAGAAGATCTACACACCTCCTCAGGTGGAGACATTTGCGATGCTTCCGATTGCTGCTCACTTTTTCCACATGAGTTTCTCTCCTCAGTGGTTTCCAAATAAGGATATAATTGTCACTTAGACACTAATATGTCTTCAATTTTCCCTTTTAACACTTGCAAATGTATTAACTAGGAGGCCTGCTTCAGGATGGGACTATCTATTGACAGGAGCAGCTATACTTAGCAATACTTGCCATGTGTGAATATTTGATACTTGAGAACTCTGAAAGCAAAGTCTAGAATGCTCTCCACACATTCATTACACAGGGTTGTGTGTTAAGTAGGAACTCCCTTTGTAATCTTGTGTTAGTAAATGCGACCAGGGCAGACCTTAGAGGGTGAAAGGGTGTAGGGAGGTTCCTTGGCAGAGTTCTGAGCAGCTGCAATCTCGGATCTGAATAGTGGCACTCTCTCCTGATGCTTTATTCCAACAAGTGCTCCACTCTATACTTTAATGCCCCTCTGAATTGCTTGTGGCCAAATCTATAACCAAAACAATCATTCTCATGCTTAGACAGTTATAAGATCAAAAATCCTCATGTTTGAGATTATTAAACTATATTTTGAAAAGCTGAATCAACCTTCTTTCAATGAAACAAATTAAAACCTCTTACCAAGCCATAGAGATGGGAATAAAATATAACAGTTATAGAAAAGGTACATGTAATACCAATAATTCAAACAATGACTACGTTTAATCGCTAAATAGATGTGATTTAAAAGGTTATCTACTTTTCAGATGAATTCAGATAGCTACGCCAATCATTATTTTTACTCTAAAAAGATAAGTTAAAACACAGAGATACCTCAAATTCACTGAATGTATTTTTTTTGTCATTTAACAAACTACCCCAAATGGCCTAATGTCTAACTTCATTGCATACTATTTAAATATAGATTATATAGAATTTCGGTAAGGCATTAAGTTTTGATTCATTGCCATTTCCTGCAGGTGCTGTCCAATCCTTTTAAAACACATGTTTAAATCTTTTGATGCACATTTCCAAACGGTCTTATTATTAGAAGGCAAATGAGTCAGAAAAGACGAGAATGATTTTATATGCACTAAGCTTAAATGTAATTAGGATCTCTCTCTCTCTCTCTCTCTCTCCTCCTCTCATCGCTCTCTCATCTCTCTCTTTTCTTCTTCATTTGGTTTTCAAAGAATAAACTAAGTGCTATGGCTTCCAAGCTAGGCACTAAAGCCCAAGAGGATAAGGGTGTAATTGGTAAAACCTCCTGTGACTTCTTTGTATCTATTTCTTCAATAGCAAAATGGAGCTAAAAATTGGATTCTTAATGAAATTATATATGCACATTTACACACAAACACATATACACATATTAGGAACATATTGCTGTTATTTGGAGAATTTACTAGCTTTCTTTAGCTAAAAATACCTTGGTACCAGAAAAGTTAAGCTTAGCACTAACATTTCGAACTCAAACTTTTTCTTATGCCCTTCAACCACTTTGCATATTAAAACCTGGGATATATCAAAACCTTCATGCCACCTCTAAGTAGAATGTAAGATGGCTATTATAAACTCGAGTTTTAGTCCATTTAAGGATTTAATGATCTGTCAGAAACTTAAATTGACTTAAATTTGTGAAGAAAATATATTCCTGGTGAAATCTGTGAATATGTGAATAGGTCAGATTCCGAAGCAGCCAGGGCTTCAGCTTTCTCCTTCCTTGTGTCTTCCATGGACGTTAGCCTGGACTAGGCTCCCACGCTCTTTCTTCTCATCCTTGCCCTACTCTGCCATGAGAGTGCATGCCAACGTGCATCTAGGGCTGCTGAGTTTTCCCACTTAAAGCTATTCAGTGTTTCCTGTTTCCTCATGTCTTAAGGAATGTGGTTCACTGACAAGTAACTGATTGCTAGTGTCTCCATCAGCTATTAAATGTGCAACCTTAGGGAAAGAACTTGAATTTTTGTGGTCTAGTTCAAGGGCTCTTTTTTTTTTGTTTATAAAAAAGCTGTTAGCAAATGAGTACCAATCCACCTTTCCCTGCCTAAAAGAATGGTAGCTCTTTACATGAAACTGTGGTGAAGCTCAATTGTTTATTTACTATTTATTTTTCAACACATTTTAAACTTTCTTATGTATGTTTGCGTGTGTGTGTGCTTGGCCCTTTGCCTACAAATCTTTATTTTCTATCACTGAATTCTATTTACTCCTCAAGAAGAGGGTATTCTTCCCTCTCATATGAGGCTTTTTCTCACAACCCCAGTGAAAGGAATGTCCTGCCTTCTAACACTGTTAGCATATATGCGGGACTCATAATATAATGTTTTATTCTAGTAGATGGATACTCTTTAAAATAATAAAAGGAATGCTTTGTGTAAATTTTACCTAATCGTTAAAAAATTGGAATACCGAAAAATAATTAGTAGAGCCCTTAAATATCTAAATCACATTATTTAGAAAGAATTGCCATTAAGCTGTCATTAAGATAACACCATTGTTGATACACACACACACACACATACACACACATATGTTTATATACAAAAAAAGAGACAAAGGGATCATAGAGATATACATACGTGCATTCACATATAAGAGAGTTTAACAAAATGAAATCATATTATTAAGATTTAACAGTAATTGATCTATTTTCATTTTCATTTTTTTGAAAGACATAGAGTCTCTCTACGTTGCCAAAGCTGGACACAAACTCCTGAATTTAATCAGTCTTTTCACCTCAGCCTCACTAGTAGCTCAATTTTATTTTACTTAAGCAAAAAGAAATGAAAATGGAGCAAAACAAATTGCTCAAATTATGATAAAGTCTTCTTTACAAAATAAAGATATTACTTCACTTAAATTCTTTCCACTTAAGAAAAATCATTTACTAAACGGATTCAGAGCATGTTGTCATTCATTGCATGGGTGTTTTGATTTTAGACCTTGTGGATTGTCTGCCAATATGAAATAGGAGAAAGTATTGCGCTTACACTTTCTCCCCTTTCCCTACCCTCACTTCTCAATTTTGTTTTTCATTGACTATTTTATATAGCTAAGTTCAATAATATTTATGTAGATTTCTGTGAGAAATATATTCAAGCATATTTCTAACAGTTCTTAGTAGCAGTTCCATGTTTCAATAGATGTACATTATTCACATTTTTCTACATCTTATTGACAGTCTTGTTCCCATTATAAGTTTCTGCAAGCTCTGTTTCTATTGCCTAGAAAGTTACATCCCCATATGGTTAATGCTATCTAATTTTTCAGGTCTCAGATCAAATATCAAATCCTACAGAAAGCAAAAGTCCTAAAGTAGATAGCCTTAGTTAATCTAAAATATAATAAATAAATCAAGCATTGTCAAGTTATTTAACAATACAAAATTCTCACTTTATATTTTAGAGTAATAGTTATTAATTTTTAAAAGAAAAAGGAGAATGCAGATACTTAAATAACCTAAAGTACCAATGTATTTGGAGGGAGAAAACAGGACTTCTGTGTTTGGAAGACAGAGATCATGAAGAAGAGATAAATTGAGGAAGCAGTTAAATGTCAGATCACACATATGCTTAAAAGCCCAGGTGAGAGCGTTGGGTTTAAGTTTTGGAAGTGCATCAGTCTCATTAGAGCTGTAGGTAAAGAGCTTATAGGTTACTGTTTAGATATTGTTCACAAATAAAAAGTGAGTAGGAGATAAAAATGAGCAGGATGTTAAATAAATTATGTATTTTAATTTAATTAAATTTAACAGGAGAATATTTCAAAACCAAAAATAATTCCTATCATAAATAAATGTATTCATTTTTAGAGTTTAACATTTTTTGGACAAATCAAGGTGACTGAAGTTACTAAATTACTTTGGCAAATGCATGAGAGACTTACAGACCTGTCTGCAGACAAATTATTGTAGTAGCAGTTTGCAGCAGCAGTTAAAAACAGTCACTTAGGGACCGGGTGATAGCTCTGATATTTCCAGCACTCGAAAAGAAAAAAAAAAAAAGAAAAAGAAAAAGAAAAAAAAGAGGATTTGTGAAGGGGAGACAGAGGCTTCCAAAACAGAAAAACTTTCCTACTATCTCTGTCCCTCTAGCTTATGCAGAATAATATTTTATTAAGTTGACACAAAATAGGTAAGCATGGGGATTCAGAAGCTGCCTCAGTGCAAATTTTGCCTAAAATACCGTAAGGCTGAGAGACCTGGGTTCTGAGATAAACCCAAAAAGTTCATCTCAATGTATTTTTTTCCCATTACATGTATATTGCAGAGTTCTTGTCATCTTTAGTAAACTCTATTATTTATCATTTTTCTTTGTAGTGTTTGTAAATGCTGATCAAATTCCTTTCTTATGCTGAGCTGTCATTGCCATGTGTATGTTTTTGATTTTGCTTGAAAAGACTGTGTGGCCTTGTAAATACATACAGAAAATCTAGAGCCACAGTCAACAAAATCCATCAAGATTATAAGAAGATTGAAGCCAGAAACTTACTTATATAATATTTTTATTCCACTAAGTGACCTGTTACTAAATTGTTGAAATAATTAAATTAATACATTTAAATATTTGCATTCTCATTTTTAAAATAACAAAATACCCAGGTACTACACCTAGCAGAACATGCTTCCAAGAGTACCTTTATATTTTAAGTGACTTGGAAGAACACCTATTTGTCAACAAATTATGAGAATGAACAGAAATGATAATAAAGTGAGAAGATGAATCAATTTTCTTAATTTATTTGCCTTATGAATTTTACATATCCACCAAATGGAGACTTGTGTTGAGTATGTCAGAAACAGTTCCAAAGGAAGAAATGTTTTTGTCATACACACACACACATGCATATATATACATTAACATACACAGACACGCTCACACATCGGTATTCAAATTCTTATAACCATGAACTCTTAAAGCAAATTCAGCTAATCAAAATTTTAAATAAGGTAAGAAGTTAAACTATCACTTATTTTTAAATAATGATTAAAATAAGAACGTATAGAAATACATGTTATAAGCTGATAATTTTGTTAAAATGTTCTAGAAAATCTCGAGTTTCTAAATAAAGATGTTAGTTTTATAATTCATCATCAATTGTGGAAGCACAGAGGTGTTCACTGTATGACATTACATTCCAGACTGGTTATCACATTTATTGCCTTTGAAAACTTATGACTTGCGACTTTTAGTAGATCTTATTACTACATAATTTTGGGAAAATACTGAATACAAATGGTAACTATGACTTCCAGTCAATTCACAAAAACTTATGATTCTGCTTATTTTTAAATTGTAATGTACTTATAATATACATATAGACTATATGTTATATAAGTGTACATATGCACAATACGTTCTCAGTTTTCTTAATTTTTAAACCTATGCTTTTCTTTGTGTTTAAGGGATGGGTGGGCATGTTAAAATCTAATCTGATGGCTTTCTTTCTTCCTATTTCTTCTATAGAGAACCTAGAATGCCTTATATTATCCCACTATGGAAACAATTTAAGATATTTACTCCAAAGTGAATTAAAATACACAGGCAATTGATCTCATTTTTTAAGTGGAAATTAGTTTGACCGACTCTCTTCATCTTAGAAAGTCATCCAAGCTAGTTTAGCAAACCTCATATCTTTTATAAGTAAATATTAATGAATTCCTGGTTTTTGAGGTGTGATTAACTTATGTCAAGTATATTCTGACCTTTAGCTACAGATTCTCTCATAAAACTTTGTTAAGTTTTTAGTTGCTTTTGAAATGATTCACCATGGGACCTGGTCCTGCTGTATGTCCCTTAACCTCCTAATAGATACTCCTGTCTACAAGATTGATTTTTTTTCCAAAAGTTATGCCACACTTATACCTGCAAAATACAGGTGTTTGCAGAGGAATGACTGATATTTGTCAAGAATCTTGCCTCCGGTTTACTCCTGTTTGATTCTGGCCAGAACAATAATTCATTTTCTGATAATGTACTTTTATAAATGTTACATTTTCATTATATATTAAAATTTTACAATGAGTGCTTGTCTCAAAAACCTTAACATAGGATAGCCTATGTTATTTATTGGGAAGACTCTAAGATAAAACTATTATCTTTTTTTTTTTTCACTGAACTGTATTAGATGAGGAAAAAGAAGAGAAATAATAAATACAGTGTGTTTGCCTCATAATAACCAGGCTAAATGCTACGTATATTTATCTAATTTGTATTTTTGTATAAATTACTGTCAGTGTGCATTAAATGACATTTAAGTATTAAAAATTATATCTGTTTACTTGGACATTGGACCTGAAAATTTTCAAATGTTACCATTTTTAAAAGTTAAAGAAATGAGAACCCCCTACAAGTGAGGCAAGTTATATATTTTTTCTTAAATTTCAACAGTAAATGAATTGGTTAATTTTTTTAGTTCTTGTAGCTTTGTCTAAAAACGAAAGATGTTAATTGTCTCCGTAAACTGAAGATCACCTCTAGCATTTATAAACGGGCACCTGTCCCACAGGGTTTGCTGAAAAAGGCCCGTGCAGAACAGGCCAACCATTAACACCCCCTGGCTCCTACTAAACCCCAGGTCTAATAGGCTGGTTTAGTTTGGCATTGAGGATTGCTATGTTCACAAAGAGACGCTTTATTTTCCCATAAATGAAGAGGATAGAAAGGAAGACCTCAAGAAGAAGACTTATAAAATTGGTGGTGCTCCTAAAGAAAAACACATTTCTTCTCTGACTGGGTGTTTGCTGTGCTAGAAAAAATTCAGACCTACTCTGATGTAGCTTCTGCAAATGTTATTAAATGAAAGTTTTCTTAGGCAAGTGGTCTGAGTCCTCAGACTATTAATACTGCCCATTTAGTCCTCCCCAGTGCTATAGAGAATAGATAGATAACTTATTTCCCTTAAGACTGGGAGGTAGATCTGAATGTAGATATCTGCATGCATTTTTGGCCTGGACATTTTTGAGAGGAGCAAACATATTGGAGTACTGTGGAGCAATACTCCAGGACACTGTGGTGGCTTGAAGATAAGGATAACCCCTAGATTGTCTCTTCTATTTGCAGTGCTCTCTGCTGAGGCCGATGAAACTGGTGTCCATGAATTCAAAGAAGGAGATAGAGAGAACAAAGAGACTAGCAGTGAGAATGGGTGGAGTTCTCTTTCTAGGTGGCCAACAGCCAAGAAAATCAATGGACAACTTGAGTAGAGGTTGGAAGAAGGGCTAGGAAAAATACTGCTCTTCTGCTAATAGAAAAGCTGGTAATGGGAGTGGAGTTTATGTTTATCTTCACTGTAAAAGTATCCATTATATCATCAACACAAAAGATCGCCAAATCCTGAGGTGCTAGCTGAAAATAGATGGAACTAGACTGAAGCAAAAAAGGAATACCCCCAAAACTGACAAGTCTTTTCTAATCTTCCCCTGTGCTCCCACGGCAGAAGTTAGCATGTAGGAGACGAAAGGACAATGCCGTTCCAGATTTGAGTAAAATTCTCACCCCATCTCTGTGCCCCCCAACAGCAAGCAATCAATAACACACCCCCATTCCGTGCTTGAAAGAGAAGGGTTGGAAAGGAGAAGGAAATGTTAAAATAGGATTAAAAACAAAATTTTAGAAAGTATTTTCATCTTTAGCATCATTTTGTATTAAATATCTGGAATAGTACTTTTGCTGAAAACAATTTAAAAGCTTTAAAAGCTAAAGAAAATATTAAAAAGAATATCCCCTTCAAACTAGAAAGGAAAGTGAAAATTCTAAAGAGACCAAAGCATGGACCCAGGAAGCTGAATGAAGACTACAGTGGGCTTTTATCATTTATACGCCAAACACAGATGTATTTTAGCCTGCATTCTGTGGCCGTCCATGGCACAGGGAAAGGAGACAATGCCTTAGAAATTTCCCAAGGCAGTAAGTCTAAAAGAAAAAAAAAAAATCTAAGAAGCTGGGAGGCCAAAGGTTAAATCAGACTACAGCTACCTCCTACTCCTCAAAAAAAAAAAGAAAAAAAAAAGTTACCAGATAACATTAAAAAACAATTACCAAAAAAAAAAAAACTCCAAAATGTACACCGTACACACCCATATAAGACTCCCATATAAGACTCCAAACTGCCCATATAAGACGAACTTGCCATGTAAGACTCCAAATTGAATTGATAAGTGTGCTCTGACTATTCCAGTGACAGGTCATGGTCATACTCTTTTCTCTTTCCTTCTCCTCAGGCCTATTTCTTGAGCTACAGCAATATTGAAATTAGCCCAAACGGTAACCCTAAAATGACTTCTAAGTGTTCAAGTGAAAGGAAGAGTGACATGTCTCTCACTGTAACTCAAAAAGTAGGAATGAATAAGCTTAATGAGGAAGGCATGTCAAAACATTTTCAATTCAGATGAAATAGCTTTATATTAAAAAAAAAGATGTCATCTAAGACTTGCATGGCTAGAGAGAAGTCAATGATGGCTTCAAAGCTTCAATGGATAGGGTGACTCTCTTGTTAGTGGTTAATGCAGCTGGTGACCTTAAGTTGAAGGCAATAATCAATTACCATTCTGAAACTTATAGGCCTTTAAGAATGATGCTAAATTTACTCTGCCTGTGCTTTATAAATGAAACACAAAGCCACGGTGACAGCACATCTGTTTACAATATGGTTTATTAATTATTTTATATCCACTGTCGAGATCTACTCCTCAGGAAAAAATATTTCATTCAAAATATTATTGCTCATTAACAATGCACTTAGTCGCCCAAGAACTCTAATGGAGAAGTACGAGGAGACTAATGTTGTTTTCATTGTTGCTAACACACCATCTATTCAGCCAAAAAATAAATGAGTACTTTTGACTTTCAAGTCATGTTAGTTAAAGAAAACTTTTCATAAGGTCATAGCTGCCATAGATGGTGATTCTTCTGATGGATTTGGGCAACATAAACTGAAAACCTGAACATTTCACCACTCTAGATGCCATTAATACCATTCATAATTCATGGGAAGGGCCAAAATATAATCATGAAAAGGAATTTGGGGCCAGGTGGGGTGGCTCACCCCTGTAATCCCAGCACTTTGGGAGGCTGTGTCGGGTGGAGCAACTCAAGTCGGGGGTTCAAGAACAGCCAGACCAACATGGAGAGAAATGCTGTCTCTACTAAAAATACAAAATTAGCTGGGTGTGTTTGTGCATGCCTATAACCTGCTACTCGGGAGGCTGAGGCAGAAGAATTGCTTGAACCCCAGGAGGCGGAGGTTGCAGTCAGCCAAGATCTCACCATTGCACTCCAGCCTAGGTGACAAGAGCAAAACTCTGTCAAAAAAAAAAAAAAAAAAAAAAAGATGAGTTTGGACTAAGTTTATTCAAGCCCACATAGATGACTTTGAGGGTTCAAGACTTTGGTGGAAGAAGTAACTACAGATATGGTAAAAATAGCAAGATAACTAGAATTAGAAGTGAAGTCTGATGATGTTACTGAATTACTGCAATTACACGATAAAACTTGAATGGATGAGAAGCTGATTTTTAGGAAGGAGCAAACAAAGTGGTTTCTTCAGATTGAATCTACTCCTGGTGATGATGCTGTGAACATTGTTGAAATGACAGCAAAGGATTTAGAATATTAGATAAACGTAATTGATGAAGCAATGACACGTTTTGAGATGATTGACTCCAGTGTTTTTTTATGCAAGCCCTCAAGCATTTATCCTTTGAGTTGCAAACAATCCAATTATACTCTAAGTTATTTTTAAATGTACAATTAAATTATAATTGACTACAGTCAGCCGGTTGCGCTCTCAAATAGTAGGTCTTATTCATTATTTCTAATTATTTTTAAAATTCTACTTGTGGATAAAAGACCATTAAACAGCATTCCATGCTGAAGAGAAATCTTTTGTAAAAGAGTTAATCAGTACAGCAAGCTTTGTTGTCTTATTTTAAGAAATTGCCATAACCACCCTAACCTTCGGTAACCACAAGCCTGATCAGTCAGCAGCTGTCACCATGGAGGCAAGAGTCTCCACAAGCAAAAATATTATGACTCGCTGAAGGCTCAGAGGAATATTAGCTTTCTAAGCAGTACTTTCAAATTAACGTATGTACGTTGGTAGTTTACACCATTTAATGCTATTGCACATTTATAAACTATAGCATAAGGTAAACATAACTTTTACATGCACTGGGAAACCAAAAAAATGTGTGTGACTTACTTTATTGTGATATTTGCTTTATTGTGGTGACCTGGAAGTAAACCCATAGTATCTTTGGGTTATGCCTGTATACGACCATAAGTTAAAAGTGTACCCAAGAACAAAAAATATTACTGAAGATAAAAGGGAACAGGATAAATAAAATAAAAGGATCAATCCATCAGGTAATCATAAGGATTCTAAATGTGTATGAACCAAGTAAGCAAACCTCAAAATAAATAAAGCAAAAAAGGATAGGATTGAATGGATAATTAGACAAGTCCACAATTATAACTGGGGACTTTTAACACCCTCTTCTCTGCAACTCATAACTAATAGAACTACTAGAAAGTAAAATGGCAAGTATCTAGAGGATATGAGCAACACCATGAGAATCTAATCAACATTGATAGAAACTCCACCTAGAAATAGCAGAATATACTTTTTGTTTTCATGTACTCATGGGATATTCCAAAAGGCATCTTGGATCCAAAAAACTAACCTTCAATTCATTTAAAATAATTGAAATCATACATGTTATTTTATCTGACCATAATTAAGTTATATTTGAAACCATGGTTTAAAGTATAATTTAATTATGGTCAGATAATATAACATGTATATTCCAGAAATAAAACAGGAGAATCTTCATGCACTTAAAAATTAAATTATGTACTTCCAAATAATCTGTATGCCAAAGATAAATCCTTAACTAAAATATTTAAAAGGTGACAAGACTGAATGAAAATACAACATATCAAAACATGTGTGAGCTGGGTAAAATAGTGCTGAGAAAAAAGAATTATACCATAGCATCAAAAGCTCATATTATTTAAGAGGAATATTTAAAATAAAAAAATCTAAGTTTCTGGATCAACAAACTAGAAAAAGAAAAGCAAAATCCCAAAGAACAGAAGTAAAGGAACAAGGTATAAGAACAAAAATCAATGAAACTGAAAACAGAAGAAAATTAATAAAACAAAATTCTGTTCTTCAGAATAATACATAAAATTCATATAACTGCAGAAGAACTGAAACATTAAAAAAGGAAAAAAAGAAATACATCACTGATATCAAGGATCAAATAGGAATATCACTACAGATCTTACAATCATTAAAGAAATAATAAGGGATTACTATGAGCAAGTTCTTGTTCATAAATTAAACATCTTAGAACAAATGAATCAATTTCATGAAAACCACAAGTTACCAAAATGAAACTAACTAGATAATACTATTAGGCCTATAACTATTGAAGAAATTAGATTCATAATTTAAAAGCCCTCTAAAAAGAAATCTCTAGGCTGAGATGTCTTCACTTGGGGATCTTCTAAACATGCAAAAAATAAAAACATAAAATTTACATAATCTCTTACAGAAAATAAAAGAGGAGGAAACACTTCCAAACTGTTTATGAGGCGGGAACTACTCTGATCTGATCAAACAGTGTAAAAAAACAAAACAAAACAAAATACACGATAAAACTCTACAGGCTGCTCTCTCTCATTAACTTAGAATAAAAACAAAAAAATTGCTTTAAGTCTGGGAGCTGTGGCTTACGCCTGTGATACCAACACTTTGGAAGGCCGAGGCAGGAGGATTGCTTGAGCACAGAGTTAACCGGCATGGGCAACATAGCAAGACCCTGTCTCTACAAAAGAAATACAAAAATTAGCCGGGGGTGGTGGCTCGTGCCTATAGTCCTGGCTGTTTGGAGAGCTGAGGTGGGAGAATCCCGAGTGCAGGAGTTCAATGCTGCAGTGAGCTAGGATTGCGCGAATGCACTCCAGCCTGCACTGCACTCCAACAGAGGGAGATGCTGTCCCTTAAATAAAAGTAGCAGATTAAATCCAGCAACATACAAAAATTATTACACAACATGACTAAGCGTGAAGCATTAGAGGCATGCAAAATTGACTCAACATTTGAAAATCAACCAGTGCAATCCATATAGCAAAAGACAAAAAAAAAAAATCATATCACCTGAAGAAAAACTCACTCTTCAAGATACAACACACATTCCTTTAAAAGCACTCAAAATGTTAAGACTAGAAATGAATTACCTTTACTTGATAACAAATGTCTACAAAAACCCTACAGCTAACATCACCCCTAATGTTGAAAGAGTGAATGGTTTTACCTCAAGATCATGAACACGGAGAGACTGTCTGCTTACAGAACTCTTGTCACTCTTATTTGACATAGTACTGAAAGTCTAGCCACAGCAATAAGGAAAAAAAAAGCCTACTGATAGGAAAGAAAAAATGTTTTAAAAATCTCAATTTTCAGATGAGTATCTTTATGAAAACCCCCAAGAAACCTACAAAAATCCTCCTACAACAAATAAATGACTTGAGCATGGTTTCAGGATATCAGATCAAGATGCAAAAAGCAACCACACTTTTAAAAATATTTTTATATTATTTATTTATTTGTTTATTTTGCGATGGAGTCTCACTCTGTTAGCCAGGCTGGAGTGCAGGGGTGTGATTTCAGCTCACTGCAACCTCCGCCTCCCGATTTCAAACAATTATCCTGCCTCAGCCTCCCAAGTAGCTGGAACTATAGACGTGTACCACCATGCCTGGCTAATTTTTGTATTTTTAGTAGAGATGGAGTTTCACCATGTTGGCCAGGCTGGTCTCGAACTCCTGGCCTCAAGTGATATGCCCTCTTCAGCCTCCCAAAGTACTGGGATTACGGGC
Organism: Homo sapiens; assembly: GCF_000001405.40. NCBI lineage: Eukaryota > Metazoa > Chordata > Mammalia > Primates > Hominidae > Homo > Homo sapiens. Next base: position 64,802,469 of record NC_000018.10, read on the forward strand.
ATGAACCACCGCACCTGGCCAGCGATCACATTTTTAAATGCTGGTAGTGAACTGTATAGAAGATGAAATTAAAAGCATAAAAACATGTAAAAATACCCCAAATGAAATTAAATAGCACTCTACAATCTTAACAAAATATACGGGATATGTATTCTTAAAATTACAAAATACTACTGAAATAAATATCGCCATTAAATAAACAGAGACACATATCATGTCCATAAAACGAAAGACTCAACGTAGCAAACATATCAATGTGCCCCAGCTTGAGCTATAAATTTAACAGCATCTCAGAGTTTTAAGACATAAACTATTCAAAATGTATATAGAAAAACAAAGAAACTTGTTTAGCAAAAACACTCTGGAAATAGAATGAAATTGGAGGGATTACTTTATTAAATATTATGGTTTAATATGCAACTACAGTTACCGAGACAGTGTGGTATTGGAGAGGAACAGGCTCACAGATCAATAGAACAAAACAGAGAACTTAGAAATGAACCCACAAATATACGTTCAAGTGATTTTTGATGAAAATGTGTAAGTGCTCAAATGGAGGAACAATCACCAAATGGTGCTGGAACATATGGACTTCTGTAGGCACAAATATGAACCTCAACTGAGTACTTGCACCCTGCATTCAAATAAACCAAGAATGGATCGTGAACTTAACTGTAAAATGCAAAATGTAAAACTACAAAACTTTCAGAAAAAAATTCTTGAGACCGAGGCTTATCAAAGATTTCTTGTGTTTGACAACAAAAGTATAATCCATAAATATTAAATCAATATATAGGACCTCATCAAAATTTTCTGTTCTGCCTAAGACCCTGTTAAGAGCATAAAAGCCAGCCTACAGATTAAAAAAAATAATAATAATTGCAAACCACAAGTAACTTTTCACCTTTTAAAAATCTTTTCATTTTGAAATAATTACAAACTCACAGGATGCTACAACAATAAATAGAGTCCTAGGAGCCCTCCTTTGGCTTCTCCAATGTGACTTTTTCTTAACTTTTATTTTAGGTTTGGGGTACATGTGCCAGTTTGTTATATAAGAAAATTGCATGTCACGGGGGTTTGGTGTAGAGATTATTTTGACACAGGTAATAAGCATAGTACCTGATAGGTAGCTGTTTGATCCTCACCCTTCTCCACCCTCCACCTTCACATAGGCACCAGTTTCTGTTTGTTGTTCTCTTCTTTGTGTCCACATGTACCCAATGTTTAGCTTCTGCTTATAAGTGAGGCTATGTGGTATTTGGTTTCTGCTCCTGAATTAGTTTGCTTAAGGTATAAAGAACTAGTGTCTGGTATACATAAAGTACACTCAAAACTCAATAACTACAAAGCTGATATTCAAATCAGAAAATGGACAAAATTCATAACTAAGCACTTCACCAAAGAAGATATACAAATGGAAAATCAGCACATGAAAAGATATTCAGCATCACTAGCCATTAGGAAAATAAGAATTAAAATGAAAATTAAATATTACCACATACCTATCTGAGTAGCTAACATAAGATTTAAAAAATAATAGTGACAACACTAAACGCTGGCAAGGACACAGCATAACTGGATTACTGATACATAAAAATGCAAAAATAAAATAGTGCAGCCACTCAAAAACAGTTTAGCAGTTTCTTATGAAACTAAATAATGCAATTACCATACAACCTGGTAATTGCTCTCCCAGGCATTTATCCCAGAGAAATGAAAACATATGTTCATATATACACAAATGCTCATGACAGCTTTATTTCTATTAGCAAATATTGGAAACATCTCAATGTCCTTCAAACTGTTGACTGATTAAAAAAAAGTAAACAAACACAAATCAACAAACTGTGCTACATCTATGTGAAGACTTAGCAAATAGTGAAAGGAAACCAACCACTGATACACACAATGACTCGGATGGATCTCAAGAGAACTATGCTGAGTGATATAAGCCAATCCCAATGAGTTACATACTGTATTATTTCTTATATATGATTCCTTTGTACATAGGCAGAGAACAGATTAGTGGTAGCCAGTGGATCATGACAGGGGAGTTGAGGTAGAAGGGTAGGAGGGATATAGTTGTCTTAATAAAAGGGCAGTATAAGGAATCTCTGTAATGACAGAATTGTGATGTTGGATATACCAATCTATACCTCCAATGAAACTGCATATAACTAAACATATGACACACACACACACACACACACACACACAGAGAGAAAGACAAATACATGTAAAACAAAAATGTGAACAAGAGAGGTTAATTGTGTCAATATCATTTTTCTGCTTGTAATATTGTACTATATCAAGTTTTTACCTTTGGGGAAACTGGGTAACTTTTGCACAAGATCTCTGTATTATTTCTTACACTTGTGTGTTGATCTAAATGTATTTCAAAATAAAGTTTAGGCCCGGTGCAGTGTCTCATGCCTGTAATCCCAGCACTTTGGGAGAGTGAAGTGGGTGGATCACCTGAGGTCAGGAGTTCGAGACCAGTCTGACTAACATGGCAAAACTCCAACTCTACTACAAATAAAAAATTAGCCAGACATTGGTGGCACACACCTGTAGTCCCAGCTACTCAAGAGGCTGAGGCAGAAAAATCGCTTGAGCACAGGAAGTGGAGACTGCATTGAGCCGAGATTGCGCCACTGCACTCCAGCCTCGGGGACAGAGCGAGACTCCATCTCAAAAACAAATGAACAAACAAAAAATAATGTTTAATGAAAATTCCAGCTAGGAAGACACTATGGAGGTTTCTCATAAAAATAAAAATAAAAATGAAACTATCGTATCATCTAGTAATTCCATTTCTGGGTATATAACCAAAGAAACTGAAATCAGCATCTTGAAGATTTACCTGAATTCCCGTGTTCATTACAGCATGATTCACAATAGCCAAGATATAAAATCAACCTAACTGTCCATTGATGGATGAAAGGATAAGCAAAATGTGGTGTACAAGGGGATATTATTCAGTCTTTAAATAAAAAGGAAAGCCTGCCAAATCCAACAATGTGGATGAACCTAGAGGACATAATGCTAAATGAAACGTATCAGCCACAGAGGGACAAATACCACATGATTGCGCTTATATGAGGTATCTAGAAAAGTCAAACTCAGAGATAGAGAGTAGAATAGTAGTTGCCAGGGCCTGGGAGGAGGGGAAATGAAGAGTCTCTGTCCAATGAGTATAAACTTTCAGTTGTGCAAGGTGAATAGGATCAGTGTACAACATTGTACTTACAGTGCATTATATACACTGTGCTAAAACTCTGCGACAAGGGCAGAACTTATGTTAAGTATTCTTACCACAACAGCAACAAAATATAAATCTATAAATAAAATCTAATAGCAGTGTATGAGAATTTCTTCTCACATGCTTGTCAGTGCATAGTATTCTCATACATGTTTTAAAAATATCATCAGTATTGTTCTCATTGTCTTAATTTGCATTCCCTTTATCTGTTGGGAAGCAGACCCTCTTTTAATACATTTGTTCATTGGCCATTAGAACTTCATTTTCTGTGGATTTCTAGTTCATATTGTTCACTGTATTTTAATTTGGGTTTTGTCTTTTTCTTACCGATTCATAGGAATTCTGTATGTGTTCTGAATACTCATATTTTGCTGGTTTTGGATAGTGTATATTCTCCCATCTCTGGCTTATCTCTTTGTGTCTTTGTTGCTATTGTGGTGGTGGTTGTAGTATAAGCACTTCGTTTTTATGTAATCAAAATTATCATTATTATTTATGTTGTATGCTTTAGGGGTCTTGATTTAAAAATCTGTTATACCTTAGGATCATAAATATGATCTACCAAAAAAATGGTAACTAGAAGGAAAAGAGAACTTACCTACCATATTTGGTAGGCTTATTTAAAAGGATGAGGAGCAGCTAGATACAAAATTGTAGATATGACCTACTTGTGAGGAGTGAGATGCTGCAGGGAGGTGACTCAGCTTCAGGAGGATCCTGGCAGATTGGCTGAATCACCCGTATTTAAGTTATGTGGCGAATACTAGAGATTTAGCATTATTCTCACACTTTCATGTATATTCTTTGTGTGAATTCCTTAAATATTCAGATAATTTTTGATAAGAGTATAAGATAGGATGAAACAAAATGACAATAAATAAAACTAAGGATTAAATACTGAAATCAGACTAGAGTAGTAAGTGTAGACACTGACAAATTACAAAACCTGATCAAGTTGTCAATAGGTGAATTCAACTCAAAGGGAAAATGTAATTATAACATGCTCATTTAAAGGAGTAACAGTATTTTCTTTCGTTGTTTCATTTCAAAGAAATGCAATCCCTCACTAATCCAATTTTACTTGTATTAGTAGAATCTCTTGTGGAAAATTTCCTCGCCAACCCCACCCTGTTTCACAGACAGCCCTTCCAAGTTTAGGTCAGACTCTCTTACGAGAATCTATTGTTCCCTGTTTATAGCTCTGTCAGAACAATTACGCATGCTGCTTTGTCACTAACCTTTCAGGTCTTTATCAGCAGGTGTCCAGTGCAATCATTCTATACTGTAGAAACTGTATACATATTTGCTGAATAATTAAGGAACAAATACATGTATAAATAAATGACAACGAAGCAATTGCAACTTATTTTCTGGTGATTAAATACAATATATTCAGTAATTCAAATACAATTCAAATATATTTAACATTGTATTTGAAAAATTATTTGATCCAATGTCTCCCTACATATTTTAAAAACCTTTTTTCATAGGAAAAAAAAAACATTGATGGGGCCTCAAAGATATGTCTCAGGTTTTTGAGAGATGACTAATTAAAATAAAAAGGTGGGTATACGTGTAATTTATGTCAATAGTGCTTGAAATAACTTAGGAAAGTGCTTAGGCCACTGGGGGTCTCTTAATAATCCAGTGCAGGAGTTTCAAAGCATCCATCTCTTGCTCAAGGCACAATGGTATGCCCTGATCTGCACTCACTTTGAACCAATTGCATGCATCTAAATATTTAATTTACAAAGCTGTCAGTAAGCATTACAATTGTATGAAAAGACTAAAGGTTTCATTCATTTTTATGTAAAGCAAGATTATGAAAAGAAAAATGAACGTAAGATTCCCAGTACACTTCTGGCAAACTGGAAGCAACAGGCTTCATTTGCAGCTAATGACTGAGTAGACGTAAAACTAAGCAAAGAAAGGATGCAAGGCGCCCGAAACAGAAAGCACACAGATGGAGCAAGCAGGTGGCATGAACGCAGCAGGAGCTGATGATGAACAGAATACTGATGGTAGGAAAATATGACCAGATTCCATAAATTCAGATGTATTTCAGCAGAGGCTACTAAATTTTAGAGGACAGAATCAGAAACCCATCTGGGGCACTTATGGTTGATATAGGAAAGTTGCCAGCACTTGAAAACAATGCAATGCCTCTGTCTTATTGAATAAGGAATTGGTGTAAGTCACCAGGATTGAGTCATTATTTCTAATTTTGTTGTGGACCTTGAATGGAAACCTTTTGGTTAGGTAAGATTTAAGAGGATATTTTTGTATACAGCTAAAGAGATGAATATGTATATTCTATGAAGTGCAGTAGCCTGAACTATTATAAAATAAAGGACAAAAGTAAAAGAAATATGTCTATCTTCAGCCTAATTGGTAATAACCCTTGATGTGTCACCAAAGTTTTGAATAAGTCTCTTGCAAAATAAAACACATTCATATAGAAATGTGTCAAAGAACATTAATAAACACTGAGAGCTTGCACGTACTATGAAATACTGTTCTTTGAGATAGAGGTAGGAAGAGAAAGTTGAACAAAATCATCCTCTTCTTTTTCCTTTAAAATATTTTGGACTACGAAATAACTTAAAAGTATTTTAAGTAGTTTATCACCAAAATGTTATTTCAAACCCTAATTTAAAAATCAGCTTAAAGTGATCTTGAATCACTTAACTTTAGCTTATACATTGCATAATATTAATGTACCATCTATATCACCTATGAAAACCTCTGAGGAATTGTCCAAGGCTTCAGTGGATGTAATGACAATGACACTGACTCAGACAGCTCTTTTCATAGTTGTTCCTCCTGTTTGCTCAGGAAAACAAATTGTTATGCTTTCATGCATATTCTAATTTTATATAGATTACTAAATAATATGAATCTGGTCTACAATTAGCACAGTAGAGTCAATAAATCTGTAAAAGTGATTTTACAAAAAAAGTTGATTTATCAACTTCATATGAAATGTATACCTCATAGAGATTAATGCCCAGATCTTTTGGCCTGGTAAATCAGTATGTAAAAAATACTAATATAACATGTAAACTAAAAGAATCATTCATCTGAGAAATAAATATGCAGTTCAGGAACAATTGGGATAGAGCATAGCAAAAAAACACATGTGGTATAAATCCAAATTCCAGGTGTTGACTTAAAAATTGTGATATTTGGTACATTGTAAATTGTAAAGATTTTTTCATTGGTAAATTTTCTTTCTGAAATACATATTTGGAAAATCCAAGGATCAGATATTATAGTTTATGAACACAAATAAGAAAGTAATTTAAAAATAATTTTAAAGGGAAATCTAGAATTTGCTTATCTCCCTATTTTGTGATATGAAGCAAAAGGCTTAATCCCTCATTATGAAATCTGGCATGCATAAACCTTAAATGATACACTCTTGGCTCTCAGGCTACTTTCAATCTAGGAATATATAAAAACCCATCATATATATTTTAAATGAAATAAGTGATTATCTAATAATTAATATAGGAAAATCAGACGAATTGTCTTAATGTTTTCAATGTTTTATCTCATATATGCATTGATTTAATACATTTATTCCTCAAATATTACTATATGAAAATGACTTTAAAATGATCTTACACACATAAATAATATGTACAATTTCCCTTTTAAAAAAATCTTGAAATGCATTTATTGGGAGAAATACTAGTGATAATACTGCAATGGGAAATGTATGACAAAGTTGCAGTACTGGTAATAGAAATGAAATGAAAGACATAAATTAGAATTTTCTAAAGCTTTTTACATTTATAAAGAATTGTAGCAAGAGGAGTGTCATGAGTTGAATTGTGACCCCTAAAAAGACACATTCAAATCCTCATATCTGGGACTTTTAAATGTGACCTTATTTTGAAATTACATAACCAAGATAAATTGAGGTCAGACTCAAGGTAGATGGGCCCTTAATCCAATATGACTGCTTTCCCTGTGAAATGAAGACAGAGACCAGACACGCTGAGAGGGAAGATGGAGTGTGTGAAAACAGAGCCAGGGTTTGGAGTGTTGCAACTTCAAGCCAAGAAACACCAAGAATCGCTGGCAACCACCAGAAGCCAGGAGAAATGTATGAGACACGTTCTCCCTCTGAACCCCCCAAGAAGAAGCAACCCGACTGACACCTGGATTTTGGATGTCTGGCCTTTGGTACTGTGAAAGAATAATTTTTTGTTGATTTAAGCCACTCAGTTTGTACTGCTTCCTTATGGCACCCTTAGCAAACTAACACAGGAGGAGAAAAGTCTCCAAAATTTCAACACTGAGTTAAAGAGTGACTAATACAAAGTTAAAGAGGGACAATAAAACTGGCAGAAGGAACCGTTTCTTCGTGTGGACTAAACTTTATTTCTTTTAGAAATGTGGATGCTAATTTTGTCCAGTGAGATGTAAGAGTTAAAAGTATCCCATTGGCATTTTTAAGAACATTTCCTTTATGTTGTAATGGCACTTTATGAGCTTTTATGTCGTATAATTTACCTGTTGAATGACAACTGAGTATTTGTCTTGTTTTTTTTTTTTCATTTTACTGTGGATCATTAAAGATAGAGCCTTCACACTTTCAAATTCTAAGTAAACAACACAGTGTTGGAAAATAAGTGAGTGGGCGATAACAGGTTTATATTAATGGAATGAATGAATAAGGGAACAAAAGCTAAGCTTTGGAATAGAACTTTGGGAATGACTAGTATATGCCCTTGGAGTGATGAGTACAGGCCCCCAAAGATATTCAGGTTCTAATCTCTGAGACCTGTAACTATGTTACGTTGCATTGCAACAGTGACTTTGCAGAGGTAATTAAAATTACACATCTTAACATAAGGAAGTTTCCTTGGATTATCCAGGTGGGATAAATCTTATCACGTGAGACCTATGAAGCTGAGAATTTTCTCCAGTCAGAAATAGCAAAGATTCAGCAGAAGGAGAAGTCAGATAAATTAGAAACATGAGAAGGTCTTGATTCTCTGTTGCAGGTTAGGAGAAAGGGGAGAGAAGGATGAAGACCCCAGGTGTATGTCAGTTGCTGAGAGGCTTTCAGATGACAGCCAGTGAGGGAACGTGAAAGTCATCCCCACAACCACAACGAACTTAATTCTGCCAAGACAGGAATCATCCTGGAAGAACATTCTCTCCTCAGAGCTTCCAGATAATATCCCAGGCTGGTGGGATATTTGATTTCTGCCTTTTTGGAGAGGAAGCTGAAAAACTAGCTAGGTATACCTAGACCCCTGATCTTCAGAAACTGTGGGAAGAAAACCTTTTTAAAATGTGTTGTTTAAAACTGCTTAAACTGGTGATAATTTGCTACAGCAGCACGAGAAAACGAATACATAGAGAACATTTACATATTCCAATGGGTAAAAGTCCCAAGTAATTTAAAGAATACCATAGAAGCAGGAGAATGTGCAAAATCAGGCAAGAGAATAGCAAAAGGAATTAAAAGTTGGATAAAGGGTGGAATGAGTAAAAGCAGGAGAAGCAAGGTGAAGGGGCAGATGAGCAACAGGCAAGACAAGAGGCAAAAGTTAGGCAGCCAAAACAAAAAGTAAGATTAAAAAAAAAAAGTGGGAAAGGACACCAAGGTCAGCAAGATCTAGATCAAACCAGTAAGGGGCAGATTTTTTGGGGATAGTTATGTGCATTAGAGATAAAAAGTTTCCTTAATATAACACTATGTGATAATCAGTTCATTATAGCTTATGCATCAGGACTGCATATCATGCATGCACTTAAAATTACGGGATGGAGGTGACCATCCTCCACGGTCGCAAGGGCCAAAGAAAGCAACACATCTTTTAATCAAAAAGGCAGACACCGGCTAGAGATTAGGCAGCCATGGGAAGAGAAGGAAAAAAACCATCACATGAATAGACCCAAAGCACACCAAACTGAGGCTGATCTCATCTCGCAGAGGTGAGGTCAGTCCGCTGTCCCCCTCCAAGAGTGTAAGCCTGCCCTTAATACACTTCTGCTGCTTTGCTTTGCTATCTGTAATTGTCGCATCCAATTCTTTGTTTGGGAAAACAAGATCCTGGACCTGCAAAGCACCATCTGGTAAAAGAAGTTTGAGGACAACATGGGAATTTCAGAGCCAGTCTCCCTGGTTTCAAATTGCAGCTCTGTAACCCATTGCTTTTCACAGTGGGGGTAATTTATTTACCCTAAATCTTAGTTTTCATATCTGTAAAACAGGGAGACATTTTCTGTCTTAAAAAGTTCTTGAGCAGGTAAAATCAAAATTGATTAATGTAAATAATGAGCTTAAAATAATGCCCAACATGTGGTAACTAACAAAAAAATGAGTTATTTTCATTATTGTTATTATAATGATCATTTAGGGGCAAGGGGATTATACCCCCAGACTAGTAAAATAAGAATCCAATGTATGCTTATTAAACAAGGAAAATGAATATGTTAATGAAAGAAATAAAGAAATGAGAGTAAATAGCAGTCATAAAGGTCTGAACTTCAGCCTAGAAGAGTATAAACAAATTTGAAGCAAGAAAGACTTTCAAAAAATGTGACAGTAAAGAATATTAGAACCTCTGAAGAAAAACTCTGATTTTATTAGGAAGAATTTTGAGGTAAACCACTTACATATCATCCTCAGAAAATTTACACTATTTATGTGTTATAAATAGACAATATGTATTTTGTGAATGACAGAAAAGAAAATATGAAAAAAAAGAGTTTGGATGTGGAGACCAACAAGATTGTGTATTGACAGTTTCTGTGTACACAGATACCGAACTAAGAGAAAGATGGGTGATATGGTTTGGCTCCGGGTCCCCACCCAAACCTCATCTTGTAGCTCCCATAATTCCCACGTGTTGTAGGAAAGACCCATAGGAGATGATCGAATCATGGGGGTTGGTCGTTGCCATGCTGTTCTCATGATAGCGAACTCTTGTGAAATCTGATGGTTTTAAAAATGGAAATTTATCTGTACAAGCTCTCTCTTTACCTGCTGCTGATATAGGAATTCAGAAGAAATAACTTAGGCAGATAGCAAGGGTATGGGAGTCCTCCATAAGGCTTTTCTTTTTAATGAAAAGCAACCCTAAATCATTTTCTAACAAAGAACAGCCTGCAAGCTGGGAGCTTGCATAGGTGAATGCCAGCAGGAGCTAAGGACTAGATATTTTCATGATGGTGGCTCCATCTTCCTTTCTCTGCTAGCTGCATGTACTGTAAAGGAGCAGACAAGATGGTGCTGATCAACTGGAAAGCTCATTTGAATAAGAAGATTAGGGTGGAGTGACCAGCCTTCTCCATGCACTATGTAAATGTCATGCGTGATTGAACCAATCTATGAGCCCCATGTAAATCAGACACTTCCTCCTCAAACTGGACTATAAAACTCAGCTGCCAGCCAGTCCTTTCCACTTGGAGACCCCTTCCTCTAAAGAGGAAACTGTTTTTCTTTCTCTTCTCTTCTACTTATTAAACCTCTGCTCCTAAACTCCTCATGCGTGTTGTGTCCTAAATTTTCCTGGCATGCAACAACAAACTCCAGGGTACAAACTCCAGACAATGTAGCTGCTTCATACTGGGGGCTCATCTGGGATATCAAGGTACAACATTCATCAAACTGTGAGTAGAAGAGTGGACTCGAACTCTCTCCTTTCATTCCAAGGCTCTTGGTCTCCATTTTAGAAACAAATCAAATCAAATACTGGGACCCCTTCCGCCATTTTAAAAACGATTAGTATGGCTCCCAGCCTTATAAGACTTAGGGAACAGGCTTATTGGGGAGAACATGGAGAATCTCTCAGCACCCATGGGTTGCTTGGTATATTGGCCATGTTTAAACCTGCTTCCTTTCATGGAGGACTTAGCCATTGTATGGGATTGGAAGAAGTCCTGGGGCAATTGAGGATTTCTGGCAGGGGCTATCCCTCAGTGTTATCCAAAGGCTTCTGGACTGACCCCAGCCTCCGACTGCCTCCGACTGCCCCAATGGGGTGTCAACAACCAGATCTCTAACTTTTCTATCCTAATTTCCTCCTTTCCTGTTTGTGACCCTCATACTTCTTATCCTCTCTTATGCAATGTGCAGGAAGTTTGACAGTTCAGAGAAGTAACTTTGGCAAGATTAGAGAACGTCATAGTAACTGGGGATACAACTCAAGGAAAGGTGTTTTTGTGATTTTTTAGGAACAGAGCACCGCCCTACTCCTGCCAACAGTGAGTGTCTCTCTCTGCCCTTGGTCTGGACAGCACATGGCAATTCCAGGTCACTCTCTGCCCTTGGTCTTGAGAGCACATAGCAGGTCAAGGTCACTCTGCCCTTGGTCTGGAGAACACATGACATTTCAAGGGCAACGGCGAAACCTAGTGGAATAGGGATCCTCTCCATGAAGCACATTGTTGGTCCTTCTCCAAAACACCCTACCTTCCCAATTATCTCCCCTTTTTGTGCCTCTCTACTAGAAACCAGTCTTTATGCTACTTCTGTACAAGGGAAAATTCTGCCTTCAACAACTAGGAGTAAACTATCCTCCCAAGCCAAATTTTAGTCTCCATATTGTCCCATCAGCAGGAAAACGGCCATTTGGTCCCTACATTTTTTTAAGGCAGTTAGTCTGCCTCCAATTAGAATGATACTTAATTAGTAAGGAGATTTTAAGTTTGGAAGCTAAACCAAACCAGAACCATTCTCTAAGAGTAAATGCTTTAGCACGTAGCATAATAGCAGGGTATAGAGTTCAAACCAGCACACTTCCTCCATTAAGGAGGGAAGTGCAACAGTTGCCTAAATGCAAGTGTCACATAGTCTCTCCCAAGATCCATTTTTCAGGGAGCCTGGCAGTTCACACGAGTCTAGGAAGTCAAAGGGAAGTCACAGGCAGAGGACTAGAGCCACTTGGGTGTGCATGACAAACCCCAGTTGCTTACTTCATCTTGTTTCATGTCTGGGGGTTCACACCTGCAACCATGGGTGGCACTTTCAACAAGGTGCTGGGACCCAGGGACTACAGGGGGAAAACAGCTGGGGGGATGCCCCCATTGTCTTCCTTTCCACCCTGGGTCACACCAAAAGGAAGGAAACTGAAGAGAGGCCTTTTCTCACTTCTCTTTCTAGGTGGGTACCATCTTCAGTCTGCACTTCCCTGGAGTGCATTCAGAAGCACTGGGGCTCCTTTTATCCTGAGACTTTAAAGAAAAAGCAGCTCATTTTCTTTTGCACGAAGGCATGACCTTCTTATCCTCTTGAACCAGCCTGGTCTGTGGAGGGAAGCCATGATTTTAAAACTGTCCAACAATGAACCTTTCCTGCAGACTGGAGGGCAAATGGTTCAAGGACCCTTATGTACAGACTTTCTTTGCCATGTTAGACAACCCAGACCTTTGCAAGCATTGCACAACTGAACCAGCCCTTTTAGCAATCATATCAGGCAGGCCCAAAGATAATAATACCCCAAAATTAGAGAAGCAACTTCCAGGAGAACCATCTGAGGATCCCTCTTATCTGGGGCCCCTTCGTGATCCCTTGTCAATACAGCACCTTAGACAAATAAAGGGAGACTTAGGCCAATTTTCTAATGACCCTGATAGGAATATAGCTTTCCAAAATTTAACTCACGTATTTGACCTCTCATGGAGGGATGTTGTGCTGCTCCTAAGCCAAACCCTAACAGCAGCTGAGAAGCAGGCAGCTCTGCAGGCAGCGGAGTAATTTGGTGATGAGCAATATATTTCCTACTGCAGGCCTAAACGGAAAAGAGAAAATAAGAAAAGTGAAGAAATAGGGGAAACATTTCCAATATGAAGACAGGCAGTACCTCTTGACAAACCTAATTGGAACCCTCAGACTTTTCTATGGTGTTTTTCCTTCTTTCATGGTTTAAAATTGCTCCTTTCTCTTCTTGTATGTTCCTCCAAACTAGGGAAATTTAATTTCTCCAAACCTTAAAATGCTTGGCTTAGAGTTGAGGTAGGGGGAAAGGAACCCAGAAGCCTGACTTGCTGGCAAAAGGGTTAAAGTTTCTTTTTTTTGTTTTTGTTTGTTTGTTTGTTTTCTTTTTTTTTTTTCTTAACAGTCAAGCTTTTGGCTTCTCTCTACCTATGCACACTGGCAAAATGGATAGTAAGGATCACTGTTTATATTCTTTTTAAAGTTTTAATCAATGAAATAGGATTCTAGTGAAGTTGGTTGTAAGCTGTAGGCACTCTGGCTTGCTTTGCATGTCTTTCTGTATGGTGCTGTCAAAAGAAAGGGTACCTTACATTAGAATGCAGGCCCAGGGTACCATAAGCCTACTGTTCAAGGCAGCCCCATAAAATGGTCAGTTACAAACATGGCTATAGGCCTCCATCTTGTTTCACATCCTTGGCAACATGACCTGTAACCACGTGGCAATACTTTTTTTAGTCTCTACTATTTTACAATGGTGGCTGTCTCCTTGTGCTAAGTCCATTTCTGGGTGGTGGCCACAAAATCAGGTAAGCCAGTTTATCAGTGTGGGTGGTGCCAGCTGATCCATCAAGGGCAGTGTTTATAAAATGTCTTAAACAATGATTGAAAGCAATTTTGGGAGGGTCAAAATCTTGTAGCCTCCAGCTCTGTGACTCCTAGGTGATGGTTTCTAATCTTGCAGCTATTTTTTTGGTCTGGTCCCCAGGAAAGAGGGAAAAATATTTTTAAAAAGGGGCTGTTACCATCTTTGTTTTAGACTATAAACTGTAAACCAGGCTCCTCCCAAAGTTAGTTTCGCCTACGCCCAGGGATGGGCAAGGACAGGTTGGAAGCTAGAAACAAAATGAAGTTGGTTGGGTCAGATTTTTTTCACTATCTCAGTCACAATTTTGCAATGATGGCTTCAAAAGCTGCTTATCACCCCTTTGAAAATTCCTCGTACACTCGAAATTAAGTCATAACCTAATTAAGCCATGTTGGTTTCACCTGTGAGGTTACTTTTAGTAAAGTTCAAAAACTGTCTCAGTCAACTGAATTATTTTTCTCTATTTTTTTGTCTTTCCACTCTTAATGCACACATGAGAGGCCCTAAGATAACTTCTGGTAGCATGAGACTTTTTTTGGGAAAAACAGAGGATGTGCCACAGACTCTGTTTTGTGAAAAACAAATAAACAGACAAACTCTGTTTTCCTCATGAAATCCCAGAAATTAAAGGCGGATAGATCCTTCTCAAAATCAAACGCTCTCTTTGGTTTTGCACTGTTTTATCTGACAATTTTGAGTTTTGGAGTATACCCACTTCGGGAAAATGTTTGGTTTAATTGCTAAAATTTAACATGCATATACCCCATGACACAGCCTTTCAATTAAAATCAAAATCGGTACCTATATTTACTAAAAGACAAATACAATAATGTTCACAGCAGGTTTATTACCAAACTGGTAACAACAAAAACATTCCACTTACATTCACTTAGTTCTTTTGTACAAATTGCCCCCAACCCCATCCTGTAGTGTCTTAATATCTAAATTAAAATATCTATTAAGATACAATTTTTTAAAAATAATAATTGACATACTATTCTATGTGATTTCAGTCAATGACTCTTACAGTTAACAATATTAATTAAAATGTAACTTTCAAATAAAATCTGCAAATACTTGACAAGTGTTTTGCATCTTGTTGCTTTTCCATTTCATGGATAAGCCAAATTAAATGCAAAGAGTAATTAAGTGTGCACTCAGAGTAATAAGGTGGCTCAAGTGATGGTGAAGCAAGAAGCTGGAGTAAATTAGGAGGAAGTAGAGAAAAGTCCTGAAAGACAGAACCGGAACTTCCGTGTCACTCAGACAGGACTTGCATAAAGCTGGATTTATAATGAGGCAAGGACCACAAATTGGAGTGCTACATTACCTTGTCTATCTATATTCCCATGTACTAACCAGCTCCTGCAGCTCAAAATCGCCCATGGATATGACAAAACACAGCAGCTTCCACAGGGTGAATTACATAAAAAGTGTCAAGTTGTACAGATATGACTATTTTTGAAACCTGCTTTCTCTCAGAAAATTATGCATATTTTTCTCAATGTATTTCTTCTTAAATATAATAATTTTCTTTCCTATTTCTGTAGAGTAGGTCCAAATTGCCCATTGCTGCTTTTCACCCTTGAATCTGACCTCTAGGTATCATTATTTTCTCCCTGTTTTGCTTGACTTATAGGCCTCATTAATCATATATTTATTATTCTATGTCAATAAAAATCAATACATTTTTCTTTATTTAAAGCACTTTTTTTCCCCTCAGGAGAGAAGCATAGTCCATATTCAATTATACACAGAACATGAGGTATAATTAAGTGTTAAACGTTTGTAATATGGAGGTCCATGGCACAAATTCATGTGAAAGCAGTAGCCAATTTTTCCCACTAGAATGTCAGGACTATAAATGCATGATATTTTTTCTATTTTGTTTACGCTTGCATCTCCAATACTAGGACAGTTTCTGGTACATAGATGGTGCCCAATCATATTTTATTTTAACTAATTTGTGACTCAGAGGCTTATGAGAAGGAAAAAACAAAACATACGCCATGGAGTGAAGCAGAGTCAAGGATTCTGTGAAGAGGATCATGGTACTTGAGAGATAGACTCAGGCTCGCCTAGAGATGAGAATTTAACTGGAGACAATCCAAGACATAGATCCTTTCTGTCCACAGATCACCTATCATTTTAATCAAAGGGAGGAAAAAAACAGGAGGCGTATTCTTAGATTCCCAACATCACAGGGAACAGCCAAACTCCCCGTGTGGCACAGGTGGAATCAAGTGCTCTTCCATGGTAGTGTGGAATTTAAAAAACAAAACAAAAAAAAAAAGGTTGTACATTTCTTGCCTGACACTAAGCCTCTACCTGTTACTGTCATCTAGAAAGAAAAATGATCTGAATTCTAGCATTTTACTCTAGCTGTGTACATGTATCCACCCATTCCCACCACCATTACCATCTCAGAGAACGGCAAGCCCGTTTTCTTCCTCAGTTCTTATTCCTCCAGCTATTTATGTAGTCTCGCCTTAAGTAGCTTCTACCTCAGGACCCAGAACCCAGTAACAAGGAAGACGTGAGTTCTCTGACTCCTCTTGTGCAAATATTTCTCTAAGAAATTTCCCATTTCCCTCTCAAATGCCAGTGAAAGAGGAAGGGGAAAGATACTTCCAAAGAGTCAATGGTCAAGAAGTGGCTGAGGGGAATCCTGGGATGAAAGAAGGAAATGGAAGAGAAGAAGCTAGACCATCCATCCCACGGCATCTGATTCCTTGGAGAGAGATAATGATGGTAGCAAGACAAAAATGCCAGTTCCTCACTTACTTAAGACATTACAGGTTCACTTCATTCTCATGTCACAATACAATAAAGATCAGTAGGAAGGTTCTGTAACATGATCTGATTCAGGCTTCTTCCATGATGTGGATTCACCAAAGCTGTGGATTTAGAATCCTCCCCAGTATGCTTTGAATCCAGCCAGGATGTAAAATGAGGGACAGAGCTGTGGAGGCTTGTGCAGGTTTAGTGTTCCAGGCATAGAGGTGTCTTTCATAGTTACCCCCATTCTGTTGGCCAGTCACATGGCCCTCCCTGCTGGGAAGTATATAGGAAAGATAGCATGTGTGTACAGAAAAAAAAAATGGGATTGATTAATTCTGCCAGAATCTTCCCTTCTAGTTGTTAAGTATTTATTTCATTCTTTATCACACACAGTATATGCTGACTTTTTGCAAAGAAACATATCCCAAAGTTCAGTGCAGGAAGTAATTTCATCCATCTTTATATTAGGATTTCCAAAAATTTATTCCCATTTTGACCAGACATAGCTAAGGCACTTGTATTTCAACTATTATAGAAGTATATGCATAAAGAATGTATATGTGTAGTACCTAGGACAGTATTAATAGTAGCCAATATTCCCACTTGGAATAAAAGAGGTATGAAATGTTAGAGAAACAGAACAAAACCAAACAGTAGTCACTGGTTCACAACTATCTGAACTGCTCTAGGTAGACATTGCAAGGATATCCTGCCTTGGGAGTGGGGAAATTACTTGATTACTCCCTGATCCTGCATTATTTGCTAGGTTCGTGTCTCCCTTGTCCATTTCCTCTGTAGCTGAGGAGGATATTTCTTTGGTTAATCTGGGTTCTTTGCATCTCCATATGAATTTTAGGACAAACTAGTAAACTTCTGCAAAAGAAGAAAACTGGATTTTAATAGAGATTAAATAAAGTCTGTAAAAGAGTTTAGGAGGTATTACTGATTCAGAAATATTAAGTTATCTGATCCATGAATATAGAATGTCTTTCCATTTACCTGGGTCCTCTTGAATTTATTTTTGCAATGTTTTGTTTTTTTCAGGGTACAGATCTTGTATTTCTTTATGAGGTTTATTCCTGAGTATTTTGATTTTTGAAGCAATAAAAATATAATGGTATTAGTAATTTCATTTTTGGATTTGTCATTGCTAGTGTACAAAATACAATTGATTCTTCCCTATTGATGTTGTATTCTGCAACCTTACTGAAATCATTCATTTTCAAGTTGTTTTTTGTTTTGTTTTGTAAATCCTTTAGGATTTCCTCTATATAAGATAATATCATCTGCAATAGATATATCAATAGATACAGATCTATACTTTATTTCTTATCTGAAAGTCATTACTTATTTTTTATTTTCTGCCTAATTGCCCTGACTACAGCTTCCTCTACAATTTCGAAAATAAATGATGAGAGTAGTTATCCTTGTCTTGGTCTTGATCTTAGGAGAAAAAGTTTTCATTCTTAAACCATTAAATTTGATGCTAGTTGTGTGTTTTTCATAGATACATTTTATTGGGTTGAGGAAGTTCCCTTCTATGCTTAGTTTGTTGAGTGTTTTATCATAAAAAGCTCAGATGTTATAAATGCTTTATATATATATATATATAAATGTGGTGAGATTTTTGTGGGGTTTTTGCTTTTTATTATATTAATATAGTGTATTATCTTGCTTGATTTTTCTAATTAAACCTATCTTGCTTTCCTGGGATGAAGACAACTTGGTCATGGTATGTAATCTCTTCTATATTTTGCTGGATTTTGTCTGTTAGTATTTTGTTGAGGAATTTAATATGTATATTCACATTGTATGTGCAGTATTGGTCTGCAGGGTTTCTTTTGCCTAATTTTGGTATTACTATTTGTCTGATTTTGGAATTATTTGTCTAATTTGTCCAATTATTTGTCTAATTTTGGTATCAGGGTAATAATGGTCTCATAGAATGAGTTGGGAAATATTTTCATTCTCTGACTTTTTGGAAGACTGTATAAAGGGTACATATTTTCTCTTCTTTTTTAAATTATACTTTAAGTTCTAGGGTACATGTGCACAACGTGCAGGTTTGTTACATATGTATACATGTGCCATGTTTGTGTGCTGCACCCAGTAACTCGTCATTTAACATTAGGTATATCTCCAAATGCTATCCCTCCCCCCTCCCCCCACCCTACAAAAGGCCCCGGTGTGTGATGTTCCCCTTCCTGGGTCCATGTGTTCTCATTGTTCAATTTCCACCTATGAGTGAGAACATGTGGTGTTTGGTTTTTTGTCCTTGCGATAGTTTGCTGAGAATGATGGTTTCCAGCTTCATCCATGTCCCTACAAAGGACATGAACTCATCATTTTTTCTGGCTGCATAGTATTCCATGGTGTATATGTGCCACATTTTCTTAATCCAGTCTATCATTGTTGGACATTTGGCTTGGTTCCAAGTCTTTGCTATTGTGAATAGTTTGAGAGAGTCCACCAAGGAAGCCATCTGGTCCTGGCTTCCTTTTTCTTTGTGTGATTTTTTTTTCCCTCCATTTTAACTAGTTAAGTAGACTTTATATTTGGAGCACTTTTAAATTTACAAGTTTGGGGTTTTGGGGGTTCTTTTGGGTTATTAATTCAATCCCTTTACTTGTTAAAAGTTTATTAAAATTTTCTATTAATTTGATATCAGTGTCAGTAGTTTGTGTCTTTGTAGGAATTTCATTTAGTCTGTATAATTAGTTGGTATACAGTTTCTCAGAGTTTTACTTAATAGTCCTTTTTATTTCTGTAAGATTGCTTGCAATGATCCCTCTTTTATTGCTTATTTTAATCATTTGAATCATTTTTTCTTTTGTAAGTCTAGATAAAATTTTGTTTTTTAATCTTCTCAATAAATAATTTTTGGTTTCATTGATTCTATTATTTTTCATTATTTGCTTCACTTTTTCTGCTCTAATTTTCTACCATCTTGCTTTGAGGTTAGTTTGCTCTTTATTTTCTAGTTTCTTATGTTGAAAAGTTAGGTTCTTGATTCAAGATCTTTGTTCATATGTATATGCTTATGGCTATTTTTTTTTATCTAAGCACAGTGTTAGCTACATCCCAAATGTTGTGGTATATTGTGTTTTTTGTTTTTGTTCGTCTCAAAATATTTTATACTTTTATTCGTTACTTCTTTTTTTGACCCATTGAATATTTAGCAATGTGGTGTTTAATTTCCATATATTTGTGAATTTGTGATCAGATATTGTGATCAGATAACATACTTGATATGATTTTATCTTTTTAAATGTACTGAGGCTAGTTTTAGGTGTTAGCATATGGTCTATCATGAAAAATGGTTCATACGCACTTGAGAAGAATGTGTATTCTGCTGTTAATTGGAGGGTCTGTGTATGTCAGTTATGTCTCTTTCAATTGTCTATTTCTCTTTTCAAGTTCAGCAATGTCTTCTGTGCATTAGCACACTATTTTTATGTGCATGTATTTCAGTCCTTTCCTCTGTTAACAAATCTGTGTCCTAAATACTTTTTAAAAAATATTAATATAACCACTTCAGCTTTCTTTTGTTTCTGTTTATATGGTACATTATTTTCCATCTTTGCACATTCAACCTGTTTGTGTCTTTGAATCTCAAGTACATATGTATGTATATATATCAGCCTTTGTGCTATCTATCTATATAGAAAGATAGATAGCAAAGGCCGATAATTTTATTGTATTCAATTTTTCTTTCTATATCTGTCTTTGTATTCGAGTGGCTAATTCCTATTAATGTAATGATTAGATACAATTTACATATGTAATTTTGCTGCATTTTTATACCTGTCATTTCAATCTACATTCTAACATGGACGCAGAGGATAAAGTTAACGAATTCCATGCTTATGAGGGGAAGAGGAGAACATAGAACAGCAGCTGTGGTTCTTCCAATGATGCCATAAGCAACTGAAGCTTGTTCTCTATATCTCACAGATTTTTCCTATAGTGTCCAAATACAATGAAGATATTGTCATTTAAATTTTTTATTAGTACTTACTTTTAGGCATTTTCAAAATACTTTTGCCAGTATATGTTAATAAATGAATTAAAGATTTAAAATATGATTTGCTGACAAACATGAGTGGTGATTAGAATCTATCATTGAACACAAACATGTTTTATGTAGAGATTTGGTAATAGTTGGGTCTAGTGTGGAGTCTAACGCATAATAAAAACACACTAAATATTTTTTCCAGTGAATGGAATCCAGTGCTTGCACATACTGTGTTTTTCATTGAACAACAAAAGTAATAACTTTTTTTTAATGTGCCAGGCATTTCTACAATACTGGGATAAGGCACTGAATAAAACCAACAAAAATCTGCCCTAATGGAGACACATTCAGGAGAAATGAAACAGACAATTTTCAAACTAAACAAGATAAAATGAATGGGAGCTGTGAAATAAGTTTTTAAAAATAACCGGGGCACCATTTTAAATAAAGTGTTCAAGTCAAGGCTCTATTAGAAAGCAACAGCTGTTCAGAGACCTGAATGGATGGAGGGAGTAAGCCATGTGGACACCTGGGGAAGAAACTCCAGAAAAAAGGCCCTGCAAGGGTGTCAATAGAGACACACATGGAATGCTTAAGGAAGATCAGGAAGGAGTGCGTAGCTAACGCAGGATGAGCCAAAAAAAAAAAAAAGAAAGAAACATAAGAAATAAAATCAATCAGAATCCCCTTATTTCTCCATGTTGTTATATCAATTGGCATGTTCAAAAGTTAAACTTGTTCCCAGAGAACCTCACTGCCATCAGTACGTTACTATACTTTCAGTCTTTCACCTCTCAATAAGAGCTTGGTCAGGGCTATGAATGCCTGTGTCTGTGAGAGTAGTTTTGCGTCTGCAGAGAGACTCTCACAGCATCACTTGTACAACTTTTGAAATATCCCAGCTTCCCTATGTACAATTATTCTTCCTTCAACGAGGGCAAATGACAAACTATAAGATATGAAGAGGGTTTTCCTGACTCCTTGCTCATGAAAACAGAACAATTAATTAAAATTTTGATCTTCACCAAGTTGCCTAATTTGAGAAGAAATCTAATAACCCAGCTTCCAGGTCAGTATATGAATGATTTTATGAGTCAGAAATCTTAAGGAAAGAGACCTCTCTAAATCACAGAAGCAGAGGTAGAAACATAGCACTCCTCATTATCTGTTTCTTTCCTGTGTTTAAATAACTGTAATCTTGTAGCCCTCCCATGCATTTCTGGTTTATTCAGACTAGTACTTGGGCAGCTATTAGAATTTTCAAAAGCTTTGTTTTAAACACATATTTTTAAGCAATCAAAGCTGCATATAAAACTATTCCATTTCACATTTTTGAAGACATTTGTAGCCATGATACTTTGCTGTTGTCTGTGGGCCACCTCTTTTTGAAGTGTGTAGTTAACTGTGCTCCTGTAATCTGTTGTCTGTTGACTCAAGTCCAAACCTGTTCTGCGTGGCATGTTTCTTCAACTTGATGTGATGCTATTTATCACTGTTCTTTGAAGTTAAGTCTCTATGTCTTTGTATTCTTTCTGTGTACCCAGGGATATGTTTGTGCATGCACACGCATAAACACACACACACACACACACACACACAGAGACAGAGACAGAGAACGTCTACAATGTCTTTGTGAGTCTATCAGAAACAGTTTTTGTTTCATGGAAAGGTTATTTCCCTGGTGTTTATATTAGGGCAAATAAAATGAGCACATAATGTTTAAATTCTACTTTCATTTCTGAGAACATTACACCTTGTGCCTCTAAACTGAAATGTTTGATATAGTCTATTTGCAAAAAAAGTTCTCTAGTATTATTATAGTTTGTTACTATGTGTATCTTATTTAGCTTTTCAAGACTCTATTATAAATTCTTAAATTTTAATTAGGTCCTCAGAGACATTCATTTGGCTCCTTTTAAATATATTTTGTCTTTAAAATATTACACTTAAACTAATGACCCCTTAAACCTTTATTTGTTGTTAAAAGTATTATTTATAATGTGGCTCAAATAGTAAAATGCCAGATGGAAAGAATATTAATCCTAGTAAAACATTCTTACTCCTACATTTTTCTGGCAACAAAGAAGTTCCTTCAGTTCCTTGAAGATAAAGATGTTCTCCATATGGAAACATAGCAATTGGGAGAATAAAAGACTTTACAGAAAGTATCTACATAAAAAATGTTCTATGTATGCAATAAATTACATATAGTTTGCCTTAGACAAGCCCATTATACTCTGAATCAGTGTATGAAATGTCTTTCCAATAGAAGCCCTAAGTGCAAATACTGTTGCACTTTACTTAAATCGTATTCTGAGCTTTCTCATCTCTTAAATTCTATCAGAAAGTTGTTTTTTATAACTATTTACATGACACACACTTTATTAGGCTTTTGAAGTTTCACCTTGGTCGTGTGACCTTGGGAGAATATAATGGCAACGGTCCATAACTATGTCTAGTTCTCTGTGTCTAATTTCTCTGGTTTTATGTAGTACATTACAAGTGTTTATTTTTCTTCTCCCATACCAAGCTAGAATTTTTGTACAATTTCAATACACAATATGTATAGCAGGATAAACTATTAATACCATGATGAAATTTAAAATGAATTATAATATGAATCTTCTAAGGAGATGGTTCTTAGGTAGCTTTGTTGAAATTAGAGCACCGCTAACATATATTTCCTAAGAAACATATCATGAAGGATTTGAACTTGATTAAAAATAGTATTCGGTTGCTCATATAATTTTAAATTTCCTCAAAGATGCCTGGCTAAAAGAATTTAGGCAGTGCTTAAATATGCCTAGAGAAGAATAGGGGGAAAACCAGTCAATGTGATTCATATTAAACTGTTATTGTGCATAATTCATCCTTTGATTTAAATCTCTCACTGCCATAACACCAATCAGAGAAATCACATTGGATTTCCTATTTGTCAGTTGGCTGGAATTTATTTTATTTATTATTATTATTATCTTATATTGCTATACTATTACCTGAGATTTAGTTGAAGGATTATGACTGCTGGACTTTCTGGTACACTTTTTCTTTTCCATCTTATTATTCTTTCTAGTGACCAATCTGCCTTTCAAATGTCATTCACTGGTGACCCACATTCCCTAAAGTGATTTCTTCCTGAGTGACCGCTGAAATATGAACA
This sequence comes from Homo sapiens, assembly GCF_000001405.40. Classification (NCBI taxonomy): domain Eukaryota; kingdom Metazoa; phylum Chordata; class Mammalia; order Primates; family Hominidae; genus Homo; species Homo sapiens. Next base: position 64,826,237 of record NC_000018.10, read on the forward strand.
GCGAGATCCTCAGCAGAAGCTGTGACTTTGCTTTGAGACACTGCTGAATTCCTTAATTTTCAACATGCTCTATCTCCGGTTAACAGACAGTTGACCATTCCCTTTATTGGATTTTGTGTTAATTTATGTCCCCTTGGAAGTACATCTTGAGATCAAGATTGAATTGTTTATTTTGTAATATAACTTATTTTATAGGTGATCTCGGGAAACACCAGTAGGAGAGTGAACAAGGTAGAAAGGGAATGGAAATGAGCAAATATAGACCATGCAGAGTTCTTCAACAAGCAACTTATTCCTGTAAGTGGAGAGTGGTCTTGGTAACGTAAAACTTGTATATTGGAGTTATTCTGCCCAACGTTTGAGGGAGGTGGAGGGAGCTGGGGTTCATATACATGAGGAAGTCTTGTGAGTCACTGGTTAATACTTGCTCCTGGGATGACATCAAATCCTGGGAACTTCAAGCTGATCTCTAGGTGGCAAAGCCAGATTGGGTTCCAAAAAAGTTTCTCAAGCAGTTGATGTCAGGCGTATGTATATCGACATGCGGAGTGTGAAGGTAAATGAGTAGGACACTGACAACTGCTACAGGTTCCACTTTGGTTTTTCTGGCATTTTCTTTCCTTTCTAAACTCTATCTTCTGTTATAGTCACAATAACATGTTATGCCTTTGCTTGTATGTTCATCTCTCTCTGTGTACTAGCAGTCCATCCTAATAATGATCTTATCATCTGGAATATAATTGAATATTACAATTGAGAATAAAATAGATTATCCAGATTATTTCAGTGAATATAAGTCTAGCTGACTAAGAGGGAAAAATAATTATAGATACCGTGATATCCCCACACCAACTTCTTGTAACAATGAGATGAGTGAAACTTTAATGAAACAGTGTTATCATCAAAGACCTGCCAACCTAAAATTATCTGTTTTGATGAATTGTCATTAAATAAATGAAGACGCCAAAATAAAGATATTTTTATACAAAAACTAAATCCCTTATTCCCTCAGAGAGTTTGTAGGTTTCATTCCAAAAAGCCACAATAAAGTGAATATTGCAATAAAGCAAGTCACACAAATTTTTTGGTTTCCCAGTGCATATAAAAGTTATGCTTGGGGCTGGGCACGGTGGCTCACGCCTGTAATCCCAGCTCTTTGGGAGGCCGAGGCAGGCGGATCACAAGGTCAGGAGATCGAGACCATCCTGGCTAACACGGTGAAACCCCGTCTCTACTGAAAATACAAAAAATTAGCCGGGCGCAGTGGCGGGCGCCTGTAGTCCCAGCTACTGGGGAGGCTGAGGCAGGAGAATGGTGCCAACCCGGGAGGCGGAGCTTGCAGTGAGCCGAGATTGCGCCACTGCACTCCAGCCTGGGTGACAGAGCGAGACTGCATCTCAAAAAAAAAAAAAAAAAAAAGTTATGCTTACATGATACTATAGTCTATAAATGTGCAATATCATTATGTCTAAAAAAGCACATGCCTTAATTAAAAACTACTTTTTACCAAAAAATGCTAACAATCATCTCAGCCTTCAGAGAGTCATAAAAATATTTTGCTGGGAAAATCTTTCCTTGATGTTTGATGGTTGATGACTGATCAGGGTGGTGGTTGCTGAAGCTTGAGATGGCTGTGTCAATTTTTTAAAATAAGACAATGACGAGCTTGTGGCATTCTTTCACAAAAGATTTCTCTGTAGTACATGATGTTTTTTGATCGCATTTTACCCGCAGTAGACCTTTTATCAATGCTAGAGTAAATCATCTCAAAAGCTGCTGCTGCTTTATCAACTAATTTTGTGTAATATTCTAAATCCTTTGTTGTCATTTCAACAATGCTCACAGCAACTTCACTAGGAGTAGCTTCTATCTCAAGAAACGACTTTCATTGCTTATCCATAGGTAGCAACTCTTCACCCATGAATGTTTTATCATGAGATTGCAGTCATTCAGTCACATATTCAAGCTCCACTTCTAATTGTAGTTATCTTGTTATTCACACTACATCTTCCACCGAATTACTGAGCCTCTCAAAGTCATTCATGAGGGTTGGAATCAACTTCTTCCAACCTCTTGTTCATGTTGATATTTTGATCTCCTATGCATCACAAATGGTGTTAAGGACATCTAGAATGGTGAATTTTTTTGAGAAGGCTATCAATTTATTTTGGCCAGATTCATTAGAGGAATCACTATAGCTACTGTAGCCTTATAGAATGTATTTCTTAAATCATAAGACTTGAAAGTCAAAATTACTCCTTGTTCCATTGGCTGCAGAATGGATGTTATATTAGCAGGCATGAAAACAACATGAAACTCCTTACCATCAGAGATCCTGGGTAACCAGGTGCATTGTCAATGAACAGTAACATTTTGAAAGAAATATTTTTTTCTGACCAGTAGGTCTCAACAATGGGCTTAAAATATGTATTAAACCATGCTATAAACAGTTGTTATCATCCAGACCTTGTTGTTCCATTTATAGAGCACAAAGGAGATTTAGTATCATTCTTCAGGGCTCTACAATTTTCAGAATGATAATTGAGCATTGTCTTCAACTTAAGTCCCCAACTGCATTAGCTCCTAACAAGAGAGTCGACTTGTCCTGTGAAGCTTTAAAGTCAGTCATTAGCTTCTCTCTTGCTATGAAGTCCTAGATGGCATCTTCCACTACAAGACTGTTTTTGTTTTTGTTTTGAGATGGAGTCTTGTTCTGTCACCCAGGCTAGAGTGCAATGGCACGATCTCAGCTCACTGCAAACTCCACCCCCTGGGTTCAAGGGATTTTCCTGCCTCAGCCTCCCCAGTAGCTGGGATTACAGGCATGCACCTCCACGCCCGGCTAATTTTTGTATTTTTAGTAGAGATGGGGTTTCACCATGTTGGCCAGGCAGATTAATCTTGAACTCCTGACCTCAGGTGGTCCGCCCTCCTCAGCCTCCCAAAGTGCTAGGATTATAGGCGTGAGACACCACACCTGGCCAAGACTGTTTTGTTTACACTGAAAATCTCTTATTTAATGTAGCCATCATCACCACTTATCTTGGCTAGATCTTCTGGATAACTTGCTGTAGCTTCTACTTCAGCACTTGCTGCTTCACCTTGCACATTTATGTTATGGAGGTGGCTTCTTTCCCTAACCCTTATGAACTAACCTCTGCTACACTCAAACTTTTCTTCTGAGCTTCCTCAGTTATCTCAGCCTTCATAGAATTGAAGAGAGTTAGGTCTATGCTATGGAGTAGGCTTTGGCTTAACAGAATATTATAGCTGGTCTGAACTATCTAGACCACTAAAACTTTCTCCATTATCAGTAATAGGACTGTTTTGCTTTCTTATGATTCATGTGTTCACAGGAATAGCTATTTTGATTATCTTTAAGAACTTTTCCTTTTCATGTGCAACTTGGCCAACTGACACAAGAGGCCTAGCTTTTGGCCTCTCTGGGGTTTGACCTGACTTCCTCACTAAGCGTAATCATTTCTAGCTTTTGTTTTAAAGTGAGAGGTGTGAGATTCTTTCACTGAAACACTTAGAGGTCATTGTAGTTTTATTAATTGGCCTAATTTCAATGTTCTTGTGTCTCAGGGAATAGGGATACCCAGGGAGAGGTAGAGAGATGGGGGAATGGCTAGTTACTGGAGCAGTCAGAACACATACAACATTTATCCATTAAGTTTACAGTCTTATATGGGTGATGTTTATGGCCCCAGAACAATTATAATAGTAACAATAAAGATCACTGATTATAAATTACCATAACATATATCATAATAAAAAATGTTTGAAGTATTGCAAGAATTATCCAAATGTGACTCAAAGACATGAAATGAACACATGCTTTTGGAAAATTGGCACCAATAGACTTGTTTGACATAGAATTGCTACACATCTTCAATTTGTAAAATACACAATATCTGTAAAGCACAATAAAGCAAAGCACAATAAAATACTTCATTTTTATCTCTCTCATTTTATTAAATCTCTCTCCATATAAGATACATATGAAATAAATATATATTTATATACAAATAGATATAAAATACATAATATTTTGATGCTGTAGTGAGACTGAGTTTTCATGGGGTTTCTAATGAAGTTTATATCCTACCATCAGAAAATGCTTGTGTTTCACTAAGGCCACAATGTACTAGTCACTTCTTGCTTACCTGATTTGATGAGTATGAGATAATCAAGATAATAGACCAGAGTGATTCTAGATGGTCTAGAGGTCGTGAGTTTATATTATGATGGGGTGGCAAAGTTAACCTCGTCTGGGGCAAAACTTTAAGGATATATTATTGTCATTTCTATATGAAATATATCTAATTGTATATTCTTATAGAAGTTAAAAAGGACACATTTGCCAGTTGAATGGCTGTATACCATGCACATGAAATTTTGTTTATGTGCTTCAGAAAAGATACTGCATTTGATATAGTGGCTACAATTAGGGCTATTATTTGGTTAAGTTGACAATAGTCCACTCACATCTTCTACGATCTGTCTGATCCTTTGAGTTCTGATTGGTGAATTAAATTAAAATAGACTGAATATCTAGTTATATACCTTTTAGACTTGAATTATATATACTTTTAAAAAATCCCTTCCTGGGATATGATAGTATTTTTGACTTATTATTCAGAGGGGGTGAGATTTCAGAGGCTTTACCTTTTTTTTCTTACCGTAGAAGCTTTTACTCCACAGGGCAAGGATATTACACAGCTTAGGAACTATGCCAAACATCTAGTATGTCTATTTCAGTTTGGAGGATCAAAGAGTAACTACTAGATAGCAGGCCCATCACGAAGTTAGCATGGCTCTGGAATCCTGTATTAGTCAGTTTTCACATTGCTATAAAGAACTGCCTGAGACTGGGTAATTTATAAAGAAAAGAGGTTTAGTTGACTCACAGTCTCGCTTGGCTGGGGAGACCTCAGAAAACTTATAATCATGATGGAAGGAGAAGGGGAAACAAGGCACACCTTACATGGTGGCAAGAGAGAGAGAATAAGGAGGGAAGTGCCACACTTTTATAATCCGCTCTCATGAGAATTCACTCACCATCATGAGAAGAGTGAGGGAGAAATTCATCCCCATGATCCAATCACCTCCCATCAGGTCCCTTCCCCAATACGTAGGAATTACAATTCAACATGAGATTTGAGTGGGGACACAGAGCCATGCCACATCAACTCCATTTATTATTTTCCTACGTATGCCCCCAATATTTGGGGAGGGAGCATGATGATGATGATGACGCTTTGAGTCTCTGGCTATTGTGGTCATCTCTAACCCTGTGTTCACGAGTCTTCAAAATGTTTGAGTATTTCTGTTTTCCCAGTGCACAGCTAACTAAGAAAATGTCCAGAAATCCCTTTGAGGAATGTCTGGAGAAGTCATCATCACATGCAATTGATGTGATACTTCAGTTTCCTTCATTCTGGACCTAGTTTTGCTTTCAGTCAATTGCACCTAGTTTTGCTTTCAGTCAGTAGGTCCTAGTTTGAAAACTGGAACAGGTCTGAAAACTGGGAAGGGAACTACAACTTTGTATTGGGGTAATTGCTCTCCTCATATTCAATTTTGTTTTAATTTTACAGATTGAGGAGCCTTTTTGGGTGTCCATCTATATTGCCCCCCAAAAAAGATACTATCTTCTATTTTTATCTTCATCACCATCTACAGTTGACTCCTGCATGTCTGCAAATCTTTCCACTCATAGGTAATTGTGTTCACTGGGAGTTGGATGTTCCCTGTCACACCAGGCCTCTATTATGGGAGGGAGACAATCATCCCTATTGCTAACAACCATAAACAGAATCTCCTAATGTCAGCCCTGGTGACAGAGCAGAACACTTTGTTTTTCCAGCATATTCCTTATGTCTTTGTTGGGCAATGTGTTATTTGGCCTTGCATATTATATTCACTTTAATATGCCTTCTTCTCTCAGCCTTTAACCTCATCTTTCACCATGTGCCAAGACAATTCTTGTATTTCTAGATCTTGGATGTGGGCCGTCATTTTCCCTTCCTCTAGGAATTATCCTATGCTGTGTTTACATAATCTCCTCTGTTTCTTGTCAGTTTGTTAAATTCAGCATCTTGGGAGAGTTCCTCAGATTAATAACTCTCCTTTATGTTTCTTCATATCTTTGTCTTCTTGATCACATACCTTCTGATATAATATTTTCTTACTTAAAGCCTTTTATCCATCAGACCGTAGTGAAAGATTGTAAGTAAATTTTTGAAAAATTAAATTAAACATTTTTACTGACTAGTTGAGCATAAATATACCAGATTCCAAAAATGTTTACATTGTTCCTAAATTTATCTTTAGTTCGGGATTATTTCTCAACAAGTGATCACACTTTGTACTCCACATAATATTTCATACAAAATATCTATAGCATGTGAGTCCTTCTGTACTATGAGTTTCCAGGCCCAGTGATTTAAAAATTTACTCTCTCTTTCTCTCAGTTGTCCCAAACATGCAACCTGTATTCCACTTATCCAGAGCTATTTACATTTCCCAGGTGCATTGTGCCTGCTTATGCTTCTTTATGTGCAAATTGATTTTCTATACCCTGCCTGGAAAATGCATGCTACCATCTGATTTTTCATTAACTTATATTCAAACTTCAAATCAAAGCTTCTATCTCTTTTACACTTTTTCCTGAAAATATCCTCTCACCTTTGTAGACTGTGTCATTGTCTGTCCAGTGTGATTCAAAACCACCTTCTTGAATATGCTGTTTGTCACTATTTTCTTTCTCTCTCTCTTTACTGGTGTTTCACAAAAAATTGATCTACAGACATATAAGAATTTATGTCAAAGTTATTACCGTTTTACAGAGAAAGAAAAACGTTAGAAGCAACTTAAGGAGTTTTTCATAAAGCCACATTTGGAGATAATAATGCACTATTATTCATTCTCAACTAAATTCTTTCTCAATTTTGTTATTATTAAAATGCTTTTTTCTTTATCAAGTAATCATGATGACAGGCGTCATTGTTCTTTTCTTCCTTTTTTCCTTATTTTTTTTTCCTTTCAAAGTCTTAACGTGTCATAATAAAAAGTTTGTAACATCATATAGGTCTCATTTTTTTTTAACAGTTCTGTTGCACAGGACTCTGAAGTGTGTGTGTGTGTGTGTGTGTGTGTGTAAATGTTATCACTATTTCCCTGGTATCATGATCAGTCATATCTAACATATGACAACATATGTTAGATAAATGAGGGATTACACCCTTACATATGCCAAAACAATTATAATTTAATAATTTAACTGGAAAGAGAATGGGATAACTACAGATACTTCCAGCACTCAGGGGCAGTAATACAGCCTGGTTGTAGGCTAAGTAGGTTTATGTGCCTAAGCATTTTAATGATCCTGTAATCCCTTGTCCAGTGATTTCATTGCTTACTTTGCTCAGGACCCTAATGAAGGCAATACCCCCATAATTAATCCTCCCTGTTTTTGGAACAGCCCCATATATTCAGTGCTGCACCACTGCTGATCTGCTTATAAACTATGGAGTTATATGAGTATTTTTTGACTTCAATCCAGCACATAATTAGGGCCCACCTCACAACCTCGAGGAAAAGTAATAATTACAGAAAAAGGGCAGTGGAATGTTTTAGATCCAACATGCCAGTTCAAACTCAGCAGCAGATTATAACAGCAACAAATTGTGACCTTTTGGTAGCACCTGTAAAGTGGTGACTGAAGATTGTTCTCTAATTGCTTCAATCATTGGCAATTGGGTGAGAAACAGTCCAATACAGAGCAGATAAAGTGATTAAATTACCTTTCTTTCCTTAAATAGCTATTTTCTGTGCTGCATTTGACTCCACCTACAGGAGCCCATCTATATGTCTATAAAAATAAGAAGCCAAATTATTTGGGAAAGTATGGAAAAAATGTGCAGACACCATCAATCATGTAATAGAGTGAACTCATTACCTATCCTGCACCCCCACTGAAGCAAGGTGAAAATTCAATTTTAAAGAATGCTAACGCGTTTATTCTATCTTTAAGCAATTTCTTACCTGGCAGATTGGTAACTCTCTCTTTACTGTATTTCTCGAGGTGCAAATTAATTTTTGGTTCAGGTAGTAACTCATATTTGTGTAAGGAAATTGTAACAGTAAGGGCTGATCTCTTCTCAGGAAAGCAATTGAATTGAACATAAATATACTGGATTCCAAAAATGTTTGCATTGTTCAAAACTTTATCTCTAGTTCTAGGTTATTTCCCAACAGGGTGATCATGCTTTTTTTCCCCACAACATATTTCAATCCATGTATTTATTTATTTTTGGATATTAACAGGGCAAAAATATATAAATATTTTATGCACTACTCTAATTGCAAAGACAACTGGCTAATGCAATTCTGAATTAAGCAAAATATATATTTTATTTATAATACAATAAATTTTTGCTCCACATATTTTTCTGGTGTAATAAGACAAAGCATTTAATATCTATTCTTAATTTTGAATGTTTAATATGTATACTTTTACATATAACTTTGAAAAAGATATTTTCAGGATAATTTCAAATAAAACACTTACCCCCTTACTCTGGGGTGAGATTTTGTGTGTATTTGTTGGGCGGACACTTTCCAGAATTGAGTATTTGCAACTAAGTAATGTTAGATATTTTAAAGTTAAACAGCAAATAATGTTTTTGTATTGTGAATTTACAGTTATCAATATCTATGAAATATTTAGTTTGGTTAATAGGAGAAAGGCCAAAAGTGAGAAATCAGATTATTTCAAAGCTTTGAATATTGATTAAAAAAAAGATGAAGTGGAATGAAGTCAAGCCTATATTTGAATGCCCCACCCTAAAGAGACCTTGTCACCATAATAACTCTTCTTAGGGAAATGTCTGTATTTCCAAAAAAAAAAAAAAAAAAATGAAAAGACAAACGTCTATTGACTTTTTCAAGTTGGATGAAATGCCCCATCCTATAATGTGAGGGATGCATTTGCTATGAGTAAATTTTAAGTTGATAAAGGTCACTCACCTGCTTAAAAACTTTATTTTTCTTTATTTACACTACAATAAAAGTTGAACCCCTAAGTACTGCTTACATGATTTAATCTCACATATATTCCTTTCTTACCATCTGTCACCACACTAAACACTCCATGGTCACTAACTCCAGCCCCCTTGGCCTTCTGGCAGTTGCTCAGGGCTGTTCAAAGCTAGACTCTGGCTGGTGAACTCCTCATTAGTTCCTCTTCTGGGTATCCCCAAGTCATTTCTTCTCCTACTGATCTAAATGTCACTTCCACAGAGAAATAATTTTCACTAAGACCACTGCTCCTGATTATTTTCTACTATGGTTTTCTCAAAACAATCCATTCTTCTTCATAGAACTTATTATGACTTGCACTGATAATTTATGCATTTATTTGTGTGATGTCTGTCTCCTGCATTCAGTCTCTTCTGTGATAGAAAGCCTCATATCCATTGGTTTTACATTATATATGAAAAACCGAACCCACAATAGTTACTCCTTAAACATTTATCAAATACAAGTTAAAACATGCTGTTATTGATATTATGAATAACATACATAGTAAAAATAACAGAAGTTTTATGTATTTTCTTAATTCATATTTATCAACTGCAGCACATGGAGTGCTGTACACTCTCCCCAAATGTTGCACTGAAATTTCAACCAACATGTAAAACTTAGTTTTGCAACAACGGGTATAAGTAGTATTAAGGTAGGATCTTTAAATGAAAACAGCATGGTTGTAAGCTATAATGATGTACTGGCTTCTGTGAATAAAAAGCAACATTAAGATACCACTAAGGAATAAGACCATCACTGGAACATAGATGAATTGTGTGTTTTCAATCTATGAGGGTGTAACCAAAGTAGTAAATGAATCTACTCAAATACTGGCAAAAAGTAAATATTGATAATAATCATGAATGCCCTTAGAGAAAAGGTAAGAATTTAGTTGTGATTATGTTATGATTGATCATGCTTATTCACAAAGTACTGTTTTTAATTTTTTAATCTTTAGAAATATGTTGTACAATAATCTAGTATCTTACATATGCTTTAAAAATAGAATGGAAAAAATCATTGTCTAATGTGATCTGTGTGCTTTCACTAAACAAGTATTCTGAGCTTCGCTGGTCTGATAAATGTTATTGGTATGTGATTTATTTTACTCTTCCAGAATTCTTCCATAAATATTAATCAAAATAAGGACATAAAGCCTCAGGCATGAAAATTATAAATAGATAGGAGAATATACCAATTTGTCTTGTTTCCCCTAGATTGAAGAATTGAAATAATATTCATTTATTAATCGTTTCTGCTAAGAATGAAAGTATTTTGTTGGATGTCTTCTTAAACTTTACGTTGATCCTACCAAAAATGCTGAAGTAACAGTAGATTCACTTTAAAAATGGCAAACTAACTTAAATAAAGGTTAATAAGATTAAGAAATTTTTATAAAAGTTTTATCTATTAGAACTAGAGTGGAAAATCTTGGTTATCTGATTACAAATGAAGACATTTTGCCTTTTCCTTTGCTTTCTTCAAATCTCTATTTGAAATAAAACAGGTAAGTTTCACTTCATAATCTTCTAATTACGATTTTTTTTTTTTTTTTTTTTGAGATGGAATCTCGCTCTGTCTCCAGGCTGGAGTCCAGTGGCACGATCTTGGCTCCCTGCAACCTTTGCCTCCTGGGTTCAAACAATTCTGCCTCAGCCTCCAGAGTAGCTGGGACTACAGGCGTGCGCCAACACGCCCAGCTAATTTTTGTATTTTTCGTAGAGACGGCATTTCACCATGTTGGCCAGATGGTCTTAATCTCTGGACCTCGTGATCTGCCTGCCTTGGCCTCCCAAAGTGCTGGGATTAGAGGGGTGAGCCACCGCGCCCAGCCTATGATGTTAATAATTAATGTTAACATTTAATGTTTATTATTTTACTTTATTTCTTCAAAATATCAATGTTCTTTTCACATATGCTTCTTAAGTTTTACTAACTTGATGAATAGTTATACAAAGTAATTTCTATTGACCGCTTGTGAAAGCGGCACACACACGATCATAAAAGGAACATTTCTTCAGAAATATTTTGAAAATGTCACAAATCATTAGCATATGATTCTTCTGTTATTTGCTGAGTGATTCTCACAATAGCCTCAAGACAACTGGATCAGTCATGTCCTTTACACAAATAAAGAAAGTGAAACTCAAAATAGTTAACTAAATGTATTTTAAGCATGTGTAGCAAAAATAAGATTAAAAAATATATATTTTTTCTTTTAGTAGAGCCCAAGTCAAATCTATGTCAAAACTTGAAATAGTCCTTAAAGCAAAATTTGAACAAGTCCCTATGAATTAATGAGATAAATGTACAACATTACTCCCAGCTACCAGATGGGGCACAGAAAAGTTCCTAAAACATGAATAAACCTAAAAAATATGTAAATTATTTTTTGAATAAAGTGGGAAAACTTACGAAGAGGAATTTTTGTGTCCACAGAGACCTTGAATGCCTGCCAAATGTAAAGCTAACAGTAAAGACCACTGCATTGATAAAGATATCTTCTATGTTTTCTAGGATGATTCTTGCAGCAATACTGTATTACTCTCACAGTCTCTCAATATGGGACGGAGATACCAAATGAATAGAATGGTGGCAAATTAAGCATTGGGGGAGAATATAATTTAGAGGCAATCTGGTGTTTCTCTCAATAGAACTATGCTTTTGGAACAATGATTTTGTTAGTCATTTACCCAACTTAATTAAAACAAAAAAACACGATTTATCATCCTTTTATTATATTTCAGAAACAAAGAAACATCTTTTCAGCCAGTTTCTACTGTGGCTTCATAAATGCTGAGTTAATTTTTGTTTGCCTTGCATATTTGAGATATCTAATTCAGAATTTTTCTCCCAGCTTCTTAGTTGCTAAATGCAGTGTTAAACCCCTCACAAAGCAATTCAACAAATTGCTGATAGTTTGATGCCCGCATATCTCCAAATCTCTAGGTATATACCCTATTTATGAAGCCCTATTAAGAAATTTACTCCTTCCTCACTACAGTTTTACTGTTGAAATGTTTCATTGTAGGCTGTAACTTCAGGAAAAGAAATTGTTTTTTGCATAAGCTAGATGGGAACAACTTCCAGTATAGACTTCACAGTCTACTTTCCATTGAAATAAATAGCTTTCAGATTCCAAAAGGTCTTAGATCTCTCGGTTCCTCATTGTGGATGGAAACTCTCAATATTACCTATATAAACTAGTAAAAACAACAAAAATATCCTATGCAATAAAAGTGCATTGCATGATATTGTAAAAGTGAATTCTATTTTCAATATAATATCAAAAATTCTAGAGAATTTTATTTAAATTAATATGCTATAGGCTATATTCTATATATTACTAATCACACATTTGGAAAATATTTTGATTAGAACTGAAAGATTGAAAGAGATAGTGATTTAAGCCATTTTTGTGTTGCTATAAAGAAATACCTGAGACTGAGAAATTTATAAAGAAATGAGATTTCATTGGCTTGCTGTTCTGCAGGCTGTAAAGGAGGTATGGTGCTGGCATCTTCTGGGCTTCTGGTGAGGCCTCAGGGAGATTATTGTCATGGCAGAAGGTGAAGCAGGAGCAGGCACCTCACATGGTGCGATCAGGAGCAAGGGATGAATGTTGGTGACCTACTGTTTTAAACAACCAGGTCTTGCGAACACTCACTCACCATCATGAGGACAGCACCAAGACATTCATGAGGGATATACCCCCGACCCAAACACCTTCAACCAGCCCCCACCTCCAACATTGGAGATTACATTTCTACATAAGATTTGGAGGGGACAATCACCTAAACTATATTAGATGGAGTAAGATGCATTAAGTGCTATAAACCAAGAGCTCAGGATTAGCAATCATAGAGTTGTTCTATTCTCTTTTTTACACAATCTGCAAATGCACACACACACACACAGCCATAAACATAAGTACATACATACACATGCCATGTACACCAAAGGGCTTTCAGCAAAACAAATGTTTATTCATTTAGGATAGGCTTTGTAAAATTTTGTCCAGGCTTCATTCAATTATTCAAAAAGCTAGTTGACATTGCCAACCTTTACACAGTTCTAGAAGTTTAGTTAAATGTTAAAAAATCTTAAATTAATGACTCCATTTGCCCATATCAGATAAAAAATTCATAGGTTAATTGATTAATATAAAACCACAATGATATAAACAGGCATATTTCTCTGAATCATTGAGTTCCTCATCTGTGAAAAAGGATGAATATTCATCTCATAGAATGCTGTGAGAATTAAATCAATGTGCTATGCAAAATGTTTGATAGACATGCAGGCAGATATTGCTAATATAGTATTATAAAATTTTTTTTTGTAAGCTAAGGAAAGTATTTTGAATCTATTGACCTTAAGTGCCTAAATTAATGTTTGACCATGTCAACCAATATGAGTTGCTTTGGGGTGAGATCATTTAATTTTCAACTCACATATTTGAGATCAGTGTGACAATTGATCATAACTGCATGATATTCTCCTAGGAAGCATTGTAAGGTGTTGTGGCATATACTCCTACTTAGCTATTCATCTTCATTGATCAAATTCTGATTTTGTTCTGTGTGGCACTGTTCTCAGAAAAAAAAATCTGAATTATCAGCCTCTCTTGCTGCTATGGATACCCTTGGGATAGATTACTTGTGGACAGAAATTTTCTAGGGAGGACCAGCAGATAATTTGCTTTTCCGATACAGACATTTTCTCCTTCACCCACCAATTTTCCTTCCTTCAGTCTGCAAAGTGGACATGGCTAGAGTTAGGTCAGCCATTGTTCTCTGAGAAAGTAGCATACATCAGAAAAGGCCAAATGCTGTAAATGTTAGAGCAGAAAGATAAAAAGGTTATCAGGACACTGGTGCTAACAAGCAGCCCACACCAGACCTGTGCCCTATGCCTAGTACTATGTGAGTAAAAACTAACCAATTTTAATTAAGCCATTTAAAACTGGATTTTCCTTACAAGAACAAAGTAGAATCCTTATTAACAGAGGTTCTTTTGCTCCTATAAACTTTCATTGCATTGTTCCTAACACTCAGAATTATTTAAAATAATTTAACATAATTTGTTAACAAATTTTTTAACATTTTTAAATTTGTTTTAACATATTTAACAAAATAATGTTAAAATAATTTAACATTATTATTTAAAATAATAATGTTGCAACTGAAGTTATTTTGTCTCTCAAATAAGATTTAAATTATGGTCACTAAAATTTCGTATTTAAAAATCAATATTTATTATCTGTTTTGTCATAGAAAAAAAATCTATCCTGAGCACTGAAATTAGTCTTCCAAAATAAAGCCTTCCAGAGATGGATACTGAGAATTAATTAATAGCATCATATTTAATAGATGGTAAGTCTCAAGATACTTCTAGTACATTGAAATGATTTTCTGGTCTGTTTTTTTCCTGTGAACTCACCTGTTTTCAACTCTGTGTCCACTTTCTGTTTATGAAGCAGTTCTCCAACCTTTACAACATTTGATCTTCCCACATTCCTTTATAATAATAATATATAAATCTTATTATAATCACTTTTTTATAGTGCCAAATCAAAAGTTACACCAAAGTTAATCAAGCAGGAAATATTTCACTAAAGGCTGTTACAATAGGGGAGAGAATCTAGAACTCAATCTGATTCAATGTTGATGAAATAAAAGTTGTAGAGTTTTTAAGAGCTGGGGTCAGAGAGATCGTAGACTATCTGTGTTTGCTAACTGGCTTTCCCCAGAGGAAAAGTAAACTCTCCTATCTTCATAACAAGAGGTAGTTTTACAACTTGTAGCAAGACTCCAGCTGAAGTTAGGCTCTACCCTCCCACAGAAACTGGGACTTAGGGGGCCTATTTCCTTGATAATTACATTGCAAAAGGATGATTCCCAGGTACATGAGAAATATATTTCTGGATATCAAAACTGGCAAGAAGCTTTAAAGATTTACATATCAAAAGAGAAAGGATTTTACAATTACAAGTTCTCTGAAGTAAATGCTCTTAAGAAAAAGGAGGTCAGGTTCCTAGAGTCCTAAGGAAGCCTGTCTAAAGTTTAATCAACCTGAGAGGAATGTTAAGGTCTTCTTGGTCAATGAAAGAAGGAGATAAGTATTTGAACTTTTCTTTTTTTTCTTCCCCCCCACACAATCAGAAACAGTAAGTTAGGGTTGAAACACAGGTCTTTAGACGCTGTAATCTATCCTAGCTCAACTTTTCTGCCTGCCTTTCTTCTTCCTATTTCCCCTCCTGCTTTGCTCTACTGATTCTGCATTTTCTTATTCATTTTATTCTATGATATAATTTCTCTTTCTAGAAATATGTTTTAATTTTTAAAACAAAATAAAATTTTCCAATGATTCCCAAGTTAAGAAATAACCACTAGTAATATACTGGTATGTATATTTCCAGATGTTTTCAATAAATATAGTTATATAAAGGTACTTATGCTTGCATATGCATATAGCTATAAAATATACCAATATACTGCATAAGTTACACATGTATAAAAGTATAGTGATCAACCTGTATAAAAAGTTCACATGTTAAGGGTTTGTAAAGCTTGATGAATTACTTTTACCCCTTTCCCAGTATTGACAAAATCTTAAAACCTTAAAATAAACTATAACTTGTACGCTTTTCTATGTTTTAATGCTTGCATACATGAGACCTTTACATGTATTTTAAACTTCACAATATATTATAATGAATTACTATGTTTTACTGTCAATACTCATTTATCGTGGCTCACATATTTACCTTTCCAGAGTTCCCGTTTGTATTTCTATGCTTCCAAATGGATTAATTTTTCTCCTTTTTTAAGATTTGTTTAATGCAGGAATGTTGAAAGCAAATTTCCATAGCTTTTGTTCATTTGAAATATCTTTATTTTACTTTTACTTTTGAAACTGATGTTTGGAGATATTTTGTTTCAGCAATTTAAATATGCTGCTCTTAACTTGTGGATTTCATTGTTTCTATAGGAAAGTCATTTGTTAGATTTAGTGTTGCTCCTTTAAAAAGAACTTGTCTTTTCTTACTCTGCTTCATTTTAGAGTATATTATTACTATTATTATAATATATGAGGCAGTGTCTCACTCTGTCACTCAGGCAGGAGTGCAGTGATGCAATCTCAGCTCACTGCAACTTCCACCTCCTGGGTTCAAGAGATTCTTGTGCTGCAGCCGCCCGAGTAGCTGGGATTACAGGCATTTGCCACCATGCCCAGCTAATTTTTGTATTTTTAGTAGAGACGGGGTTTCACCATGTTGGACAGGCTGGTCTTGAACTCCTGGCCTCAAGTAGTTGGCCCGCCATGGACTCTCGAAGTGCCGGGATTACAGGAGTGAGCCACTGAGCCCGGCCTAGAGTATATTCTTTATCTATGTCTTTCAATGGTTTTATTCAAATGTTTCTACTTGTAGTGTTGCTTGCATTTATCCTTCTTTGGGATATACATTCACAGAGTTTCTGGAATCTATGTTGCAAAGTTTTTAGCCATGTATCTATCAATATTACTTCTGCCTCAATTTTGTTTCTGTCTTCTCTTTCAAGGCCTCCAATTATGCATATATCAATGCTATTTTTCTTTTTTTCTCATTGTTCTTCAGATCATCAGTTTTATGTTTTGTAGTGCCTAGTCTGCTGTTGCAGCTATCCATTCAATTCTTAATTCTGAGATATATATATATATAGATATATAGACATATAAACACACATATTTAAAGTTACATATATATTCTTAATTCTGAGATATATGTATGTATATATACACACACATATTTAAAGTTACATATATAGTTAGCTTATTTATATATATGTGATATTTTCTGTCCTAGAATGACTACTTAATTCTTTTATATAAATTCAAATTATCTGATAAACTTCATCATTAGTCTACAATGCTTGTGCTTTTACTCTATTTTTTAAAACTTAATAACCATATTTTAAATGCCTTGCCTTTTAAATTTGAAGCCTGAATTATCTGTGTGTTAACTTCTATTCACTGGTAGTTTTATTGATTATTTGTTACATGCTTTTATGTCTTTGCGCATCTAGTTATTTTAGATGTTATTTTAGGAATTCACATAGAAGCCATAAGATGGGATTCTGATCACTAAATTAATTATCAAGCTGAGTCATAGCTAGGTTTAAGTTTTGTAAGTCTCAGTCTAGTTTAGCTAACTTACGTGCCTAGGGCCTGGCCTTGTTAGAATTTGGGCTACAAGTTTGGTGGGTCTCTACCTCTTTAGTGCTAAAAGATTATGGGAAATTACACTGTGATCTTCAGAGTTTTTAAAATTAGGTTCTTTATTGTAACTCCATATGCAGTTATACAACTTGTTAAATAACTTGAGGAGAGATCAACTGTGTATTCAAGGTAGTTTTCTTCTCTCCGAGAGGTCCTTTCTTTTTTTGCTTCCTTCAAATATGTTCATCTAAAATTTCCAGCTACCTGTTAGAATCCCTTATCTTCAGTCTCCTGTGTCATCCTAGAACTCAGAAAGTATTCCTCAGAGGTAACTGGCCATGTACATTATATGCAACATGATGTTAATTAGTTATTCTAGTTCAGCGGTTCTCAGCTATAGCTATGTTGCCCCCAGAGGGACAATTAATAATGTCCAGAGATATTTTTATTTTTCACACTGTGAGTATAGAATCCAGCATTTGCTAATTAGCATCATACAAGGCACAGAACATCCTGTAAAACAGATAATAAATATTTATTTATTTATTTATTTATTTATTTATTTACCCAAGATAGACAAACACTGAGCATTGTGGAAGACAGGGGACAGCTGGCTATTATCAACTCACCTTGGAACAGTTATGTTCTCTCTAAAATTTTCATGTAGCTAGTCTTCATTGCTTCCATAGCCCTCTGATGCTTTCAAATAATATTTTATTTCATAACTTCTATCATTTTCTATTCTTGGAGGAAATTCTTCTCTGCAATAGCATGCTGTATTATACCCTGGTGTGCCAAAGGGTCACGGCTATACACCACAGTGCCACACAATACAAATGTAATACAGGTTTATTTTGGATAGAACTTGCATAATTGAAGTGAAGTGTATGAAGTTCTCCGCAGATCTCATTGCCTCACAACTTAGGCTAATGAATGACAGTTGCATGTGCCATTGACCAACATTCTAGTATATAGTGATCCTGCACTTTCATGGTCTAAATCTTTATATAGATGGGAAGCCAGAAAAATCACTCAAACCACTTAAAAATATAAGAACGATTAGAGAAGAGGTGTTGATAGACAAGAAAGCCTCCACCATCTAAGAGGTAGATTAGCCTTTTTCCTGCATTGATCTAACTCAAACCTGGTTGAGCCAGCTGTCAGCAATGTTACCACAATGGGATGGGATAAACTTCAATGATGTTATTCTACTATCAATCTATTCTCTTCTCCTAGATGGCTCATTAAATTGGGTCTATTTTACATCAGCTATAGTGGTTTCTGCAGTAATGTCTAGGAGGCCTTGTGCACCTTCTGAGCTCTGTATCTTTACTTTAAGAAAGCTGTCAATCTCTGCTTGTATCTGCCATCTGCATTATTGCTAGCAAACATTTTTAGAAGCAATCTGGGCAATTGTAGGGTTCCCCTGATTAGTTTCTCTTCTTTTAAACATCACTGACTTCCATTTTCTGCTGCCCGTTGTCTAGAAACCTTTGTTTTATATATTTGTCCTGATTTTGAGTTGATTAAAATGGGAGGATAAATCCATTACTCATAACTTCATCATGACCTATTGTGGAAGTGTCTGATACAATGTCTTTGAAGCCGTAACTCTGTTACCCTTTTTTCCCTTAAGGTCTTCCTTTTATTTTATGTATAAGTTTTAGGTATTTTAAAATCAATTTTAATAATTTGTGTTTTATTTTTAAAATGTCTAAATTTTTGTGTTGTTCAAACATGTTGAACTAATGCTGACAGAGAATGTCAAAACCAGTCACTCTGAGCATGTGTGTAACACAGATGTCACTCAGAAGCCAATTTGACTCATTCCTGCCAATAATTTGATGCCCAACTTTCACTCACACAACTTGAAGATGCAATTGGAGGGAAAAAAATCACATGATTATATCAATAGGTTTGGGATAACTATTTGACAAAATCAAATCCATCCATGATAAAAACTCTCAGCAAACTAGGAATGGGGAGAACTTCTTCAACTTGATAACACACATCTACAAATCATGTACACATAACACCATACATAATGGTGAGAAAGTTGAAGCTTTCTAGCTAAGATCAGAAACAAGACAAGAATGTCCCCTCTTACCACAATATTTCAACATCATCTAGATATCCTCGCTATCACCATAAGAGAATAAAAGGCAATAAATATATACAGATTGGGGAAGAAGAAATAAAACTTTGTTCACAGATACATGATCATCTATGTATAAAATCTGAAAGTATTGACCATAAAAATTCCTGGAACTAACAAGAAATTATTATAACAAGGTTTCAGGATACAAGGTTAGTGTAAAAAGTCAATCACCTTCCTATATATCAGTAATAAGACAAGGATCTTTGAAATTAAAAACACAATACCATTTGCATTACACACCCAAAAATAATGAAATGCTTAGGTATACATCTCTCTGTTATCTATCTATCTAACTGTATCATCTATCTATCAGACCTATGTGAGAAAAACTATGAAACTCTGATAAGTTATAAAAGAAGAACTAAAGAAGTCGAGAGATATTCCATGATCATGGATAGAAAGACTAAATATTGCCAAGATATCAGCTCTTTTCAAATTAATCTATAGATTCAATGCCTTCCCAATCAAAATCATAGCAAGTTATTTTGTGGCTATTGGCAAACTGACTATAAAATTTATATGTTAGGACAAAGATCCAGATTAACCAACTCAATATTAAAGAAAAAGAACAAAGGTGAAGGATTGATACTACCCAACTTTAAGACTTGTTATAAAGCTACAGTAATCATGACACTGTGGTGTTTTCAAAATAATAGACATTTAGAACCATGGAACAGAATAAAGAACCCGCAAATAGATTTACGTAGATATAATGAACAGATCTTTGACAAAGAAGCAAAGGCACTATAGTGGAAAAAAGCTTTTTCTGAAAATGGTGCTGGGACAACTGAACTTCCACATGCATGAAATGAACCTAGACACAGATTTATATCTTCACAAAAATTAACTCCAAATAGGACATACACCTAAATGTAGAACACAAAACTATAAAACTCCTAGAAGATACCATAGGAAAAGGCTAGATGACCTTGAGCTAGGTGGTGACATTTTAGATACAACAAAAAAGTCATGATCTAAGAAAGAAATAATCGATAACCTAAACTTCATGACAATTAAACACTTCTATTTTGCAAAAAGTCAAGACAATGACAAAGACAAGATTCAGACTAGAAGAATATATTTGCAAAAGACATATCTGATAAAGGATTGTTGGCTGTAATATACAAAGAAGCCTTAAAGCTCATCAATAAGAAAACAACCTGATTTAAAAAATAAGCAAAAGCCCTGAACAGACATGCAACGGACTGAATGTTTGAACCCTCCCCACTGTCCCCAAATCTGCATGTTGAAAACCTAACCTGAATGTGATGGTATTTGAGGCAGGGCCTTTGTTGTGAGGGCCGAGCCTTCGTGAATAGGATTAGTACACTTAAGAGGCCAGAAAGCTGCATAGCTTTCTTTCCCCTATGATAAGATACAATGAAAAGTCAGCAGCCTGCAACCTAGAAAAGGGCCCTCATGAAAGCTGAACCATGCTGGCACTCTAAGATGCTTGAGCTTCCAGCCTCAAGATCTGTGAGAAATAAATTTCTGTTATCTACAAGTTACCGTGCCTAGAGTCCTTTATTACAGAGTCCTGAACTGACTATATATACCTCACCTCACCAAAGATGATATACAGATGGCAAGTAAGGATACGAAAAGATGTTCGACGTCACATGTCATTAGAGAATTTCAAATTAAAATGACAATAAGATACCGCTACCCATACGATTGAATGGTCGAAATCCAAAACACTGGCAATACCAAATGCTGACAAGGATGTGGAGCAACAGGAACTGCAGGTAGGAATGTGAAATGGTACCGCTACTTTGGAAGTCATTTTGGCAGTTTCTTATAAAGCTAAACATACTCTTACCACATGATCCAGCAACAACACTCCTTGATATTTACCCAAATGCACTGAAAACATATGTCCATGCAAAAACCTGCACACGAGTGTTTATAGCAGCTTTTTTCAGAACTGCCAAAACTTGCGAGTAACCAAATGCCCTTTAGTGGGTGAACAGATACGTAAATGTGGTTCATTCAAACAATGGAACATTATTTGGTGCTTAAAAAAGCGGGGGAGAAAGCTATCAAACCACGAAAATACCCGGAGGAAACTAAAGTGCATATTATTAAGAGAAAGCACTTTATTTGAACAGGACTGTATGATTCCAACGATATAACATTTAGGAAAAGACAAAACTATGAAGAAAGTAAAAACTATATATCAATGGTTGCCAGAGGTTAAAGGGAGGGGGGATGAGTAGACAGAACACAGAGGATTTTCAGGGCAATTAAACTATTCGGTATCATGCAACAATAGTGGATATATGTCCTGATACATTTGTTAAAATCCATAGAATGTACAACACCAAAAGTGAACACTAACATAAACTAGGGACTTTGGGTAATAACGATGTGTCAATGTAGCTTCATTGATTGTGAGAAATGGATCACTATGGAAAGGTATGTCATAGAGGGGAGGTTGTGTATGTGTGGGGCAGGAGGTTATGTGGAATCTCCCCGTATTATTATTATTATTATTATTTTTGAATCTTGCTTTGAAACTAACACTGCTTTACAAATAAATTTTGTTAATTAAAAAATAACCCCACATGCAAATTTTAAAAACACTAGAACTCTTTTAGAACTGCTTTATTTTAGATTGTGCTTTTTAATTTCCACTGTTAAAGCAGTATTTCATACTTTAGGGTAGAATTTAATTGTTTTTAATAGCTGAGAGCCTTTTAGATTTTAGTCTGGTAAATACGGTGAGCAATCACATTGAGAAAATCTCTTTAGAGTTTAAAATTAGGTATGAATTTAAAGTAATTGAGATTGATTTTCTTAATTCACCAGTAAAATGTCTCTGAAAGTGTTTCCAAAAGAGGCCTCCTCAGATTTTGAGCAATTTCAGCAAAATGAGATTAAGTGTCTCTTAAGTCAATATTTTGCAGGACAACTGGCATATACATGTATTGCATTGTGTTATTTCTAAGAATTGTGTCAAATTTCAGGCTTTACCCTATAAAGTATAAAGTACTAATACCAAAAATTTATTTGGATTTTTGTTATTTTTTTTCTAGATAATTGTTTCATAGATATAGCCCAAGTGATACATGTGTATACAAATAAGTATGTGTATATGCAAATATATAGAAAACTCCCATAAATCTAATATGCATATGTTTGAGGTAAGAATATATTGACAGAGGAGTTTTATTCCCCTAAATTAGAACAATCACTTACACATCACAAAGCTTAGAGCCTTTGAAATGCTACATTTGTGTTTTATTATTCCATTTGTTACCCAAAACTAGATATTTTAGAAAATGCTTGTTCTATCGTTTTTGTAACCATAAATCCTCTAGCAAATTATCTTGTCATTATAAATTTTATTTTAAATGATTCTCTGAAAGACACATGACTTCTTAGTTAGAAAAAGAAAAAGTACTTGCAGTTTGTTTAAATTCACTTATCGAGAAATTGTAGGTTCATCTCTCTATGGAAACTTTTACAAAAGGAAGGGCAACAGAATGTCATTTAAGCTATATTTTGCTAAATGTATATTTGTTGGAGTATTGAGGGCAAAGGTTTTCCTTATCTGAATTAATCATTGTTTAAACTCTCTTTTATTTTAAGCCTCACTATCACACTCAGATCTAAGAAGAAAAAAATCAAAATATTTAGGAGATTATGAAGCCTAACATTATTAAAACTAACTTCCCCAGGTCAACTTTCAATTTTTTTTCCTATTCCCGTTTGTAACTCCATTTAGATACTGATACACTCATATCTTGTGTAACATCTTGCTGTAAGAACTTGAAAACTTTCCCCCTCTGGGTTAAGGATTCTTCTTTCATTATTTCTGCATGGGTTGTTCCATGGACAATGTTTTATAGATGCTCATCACCTCAAGTTCATTGTTGTTAAGCCCTAAGTATTTCTTGCAGTTTCATTTTTTCTGAATATTAAGTCTTTGTTTGCAATATGTAATGGTCAGTGATCACATGTTGCCTGAGTATACTACTAATCATAGGCAGGAAACTGAATTTCTCCCTTTCCTGTTAAGTCCACAATTATTCTATATGTGTTCCCTTTTGCACTGATACTATGTAGAGACATGTTTGAATTTTTTTAATTATGTAGACATTTATTGAAAGTGAGTATAATGATGAATATATCTCTCTCCTTACTTTTACTTTTCCCCTTTATCTTCCACATTTAATAGTCCACAAATTCCTGTCATTTTTACTTCTTAAGTGTGCCTTAAATCATTTTCTTGAGTCGAGTCTCATTGTTACTAAGTTAGTTTAATGTTATATAATTTTCACTTCAAGAATTGCAAGTCTTTCCCCTCTATCCCTTCTAGTTGATTCACAATATTGTGACTAGAATTATATTTCTGAAACACAATTCCAATCTGTCATTATTCTAATTAAAATTCTTTGAATAGTTGTCATGGCAGACAGAACAAAATTTCAAACCCAAAGTAAGATACCCAAGGCATTTTACTCTCTTGTCACAAAATAATATTTCATACTTAATTCCATGGGTGCCTTTTCACATTTGTCACAATAAGATTTAGGAGAGTTTACTATGTGTCTCCTCTAGACACAGTGAATGATCAGTGACTTCAGATATTATTTTCTCTTAGAAGGATGTCATGAATTTTTGTACATATGTCTGTCAAGTGCTTACACTTTATACTGTGAACATTTATTTACGTGGTGGTTTTTCTTAGAGATACGTTGGTCTTTCTAATTCTGAATGGCCTAGCTTCATAAACAATACTTTAGAAGTGCTATTTCCTTCAATTTATGCAAAATATCAGATATTTATGTCATTCATAATATTCTCTGAGATCTCAACCTGTGTTTGCAATGTCTAATAAACCAGAGACACCTCAAAATTGCATATCAAATGAGCTTGTGCTGAGTGGGCATCTTAAACTCTATCCTTCAGACTAAAACTGTTCAATAATGAATAAATTATTATCTATGTGTATTTTTAAAGATGCTATTAGTATCATCAGTATCAATATCAAACATACATAAAATGCCTGCCTTATTTGTACAAGATACTGTGATTTAGTTGAATTAGTCTGAATATCTAGATTTATTGTAGTTTAAATTGGCAAGACATCTGGGACATTTAATTCTACTTGCATATTCATCTGCCAAATTCAAATATGAAAAGTGAATTTCACCTCTGTACTTGTAATTCAATGTCTGCAGAGTCGCATTCATGAATGTCCAAAAAGACAAATTGTTCTCATCTATCAAATAGGATTTTGGCAAGGAACTGGTAGTAAAACCAAAAGACCTGCCAAAGTGTAGACTTTGCAGAACTTTATGCCTTCTTCAGACTTTACTGTAATCTGTCACCATGTGTCATTTTGAATGTGTTTCCTTTAAAACTGGCTTGGATTCATATTGGCAGGTAAAACATAACATTTATTATTGTTATACTTTATATTTTATTAAAATGAGTGAGAAATTCAAAAGATGCACCAGTGTTGAGGATTCATTTTCAAAGGTGAAACTTATTAGGAATGTTCTTTGGCCCAGGGCTTAATCAGTGCGCTTATATCCCAAACGCTATTATGCGTGGGTTGGGAGCTTATTGGTAGGCTTTGTCAATAATTAGCCAACTATCCAGCTAATACTCTTGAGTCCTGAATATTCTATATAACAAAGATAACTAATTTTGTATGCTTTATATCATTTAATATTCACAACATCTTAGAGGAGATACAATATAGTTGTGAAAACCTCACTTTTTATGCTTTCAAATAGAGACATATACTTAATTATTTATCTTAGTAAATCAAAAACTTGGACCAAATCTTGATAGAGTTTTTCTTCCTTAACATTATAGTTGGTATGATGGTTGATATTGAGTGTCAACTTGATTGGATGAAAGGATGCAAATTATAGTTCCTGGGTGTGTCGGTGAGGGTGTTGCGAAAGGAGATTAACATTTGAGTTAGTGGACTGGGAGAGGCAGACCCACCCTCGATCTGGGTGGGGACCATCTAATCAGCCGCCAGCACAGCTAGAAAAAAGCAGACAGGAGAGGATGGAACTGCAGGCCTGCTGAGTCTTTGGCCTTCATCTTTCTCCCGTGCTGGATGCTTCCTGACCTCGAACATCAGACTCCAAGTTCTTCAGCTTTTGGACTGTTTGCCAGAGGCTGTCAGGCCTTCGGCCACAGACTGAAAGGCTGCAGTGTCCGCTTCCCTACTTATGAGATTTTGGGACTTGAACTGGCTTCCTGGCTCCTCAGCTCACAAACGGCCTATTGTGGAACTTCATTTTGCCATCCCGTGAGTCAATACTCCTTAATAAACTCCCTCTCATATACACATCTGGCATATTTGTTCTGTCCCTCTAAAGAACCTGACTAATACAGTTGGTATGTTCTAAGTCTTAGTTGTACTGAACTAAATAAATGATTGATAATAAAAGGGAAGAAGCAAACATAAGCCACAGGCTTTCACTATGTTAGAGCGAGTATTAATGTATCACGAGTACTTAGAGTTTTGAATTACACATCCCAATACAAGTATCCAACAGCTAATTACATGATTTCAGAATGCACTTAGGAAGTATGTAGTTGTCAGCAGTAATTTCTAAATAAGGTGCATAGTTAGGAAGACAAATCCCTTAATTCGTGAAGCTTTTAGTTTAGGAATTACCAAATTTAGTTGATGGAGATGATGGAGATGTACAGGACAAAATGTCAGCAAAAACAGCAGGGTGTATATTTAATGCCACGGTTAAGTAGCAGCTGATCAGGCCTTGGCTACTGAGTACATGCTTTCAAACCGGTGAGTATTCTGGGCACTCAGCTAATCTTTGGTGTCCAAAAAACAATATTTATAACACACAGAACCTTTCCAATTTTCATCTAATGTGTGTACATAAATGTAAGCCCAAACTGGTCCTCGTCCTACTTAAATCTATTTTGCGTGACTTCCCATGTGCAAATATAGCAAGGCACAAAAAATTTGTTTGCTTCTTGATTGAGAGAAGCTGACTGCCTCTCTTGGGAAGTACTCTTGTTCATTGTAGAAGAGGAAAGGCTTCGGCTGCAAAAGAACCGGCTGCATGATTTTTTCTGACATTTTGTCTTTATATAACTTTTGTTCTAAAATAATCATTAAAGTTATAGTACAATTTTAGATTGAGTAAAAAATGGTGAAGCTACTACAGAGATCTCATGTACTTCTTACTCAATACACACCATTATTATTAACACCTTCAATTAGCATGGATACATTTAGTAAAATTAATGAACCGATATTGATATATTACCATAAACTTAAGTTCATATTTTATTCTCATTCCCTTAGTTTTCACCTAATGTTCTTTTTCTATTCCAGAATGTCATGCAGGATACCACATTACATTTAGCCATCTCTCCTGAGGCCCTCCTTAGGTGTGACAGTTTCTCAGACTGTCCTTGTTTTTGAAGCCCTTGACAGTTTCAGAGGTTCTGGTTAGGTATTTTATAAACCGTCCCTCATCTGAAATTTTGTGAAAAGTTTTCCCATATGATTATGCTTGCATGATGAGTCTTTCTGAGGAATCGTATGGAAAAACTTCATTTTAATCATATTAAATGAAGGGCACGTATTATCAACATGACGTAGCTGTTAAAGTTTACCATGATCAGCAGGCTGAGAGAGTATTTGTTAGGTTTCTTTTCTTTATTTTTTTTTTTCATTCCCACTTACCAATGTACTCATTGGAAGGAAGTCACAGTGCACAGCCCACACTTAAGAATGGAAAGTTATGCTCTGTCTTTTTGAGAACAGAATACCTACGTAATTTTTTTGAGATTCCTTTACGTGGAAAGTTTGTCTATTCTTCAGCATTTATTTATATTTTATTTATTTATTTATATCTGCAGAGACTCAGATAATTATTTTATGCTTGATGTTTTAATTGAATGTTGTCTTTTTTGATGCTCATTATTCTTTCAGCTTTTGCAATGTGGGGGCACTTTCAGTTGGCTCCTATGTCTCATTTATATGCCCCCATCATTGTGCTTTTTGAGGGTAGGGGACGGTTCTTTCTGACATTATCACGAGATGCTCCAGGCTCATTTTGTATATTTCCTGCCTATTCAATGATTCAGTCATTTCTTCATGGAGCTTTAGTCTCTTTTTTCAGAGAATCATATTAGAAACCAAGTCACGAGCCTGAGGTACCCTTAAGGCTACTGGGGTGACATTGCTTCCACATTTCCTAAGCTGATAGAATATGGATACATACATACATACATATGTGTGTGATTATGTGTTTTGTGAACTAACTCATGTATATACTTATGTCTATAATAATTATTTCTGTAATTATCTGTATCTATATTAAGCAAATCATGATTTTATGCTGTGTCTCCAAGTCTAACACTTATCATATAGATTATTCTCACTCTTCTCTTTGCTTATCTGTATATGCCCACTCCAAGAGTGGAAAACATGGTTCTTAGCACACATATCCAATTACTTAATTTATTCCAATACACATGATGTATATCAATATCCAAATTGTTCACTTGCGCCTCCATCAAAAATAACTTTATCAACTATAATACAGTACTAGTGTGCTGTTTCTTTTGCCTTTAGTCTTAGCATCTCCACTCATCTCCAAAGTTGCTTAGCTAAGCATTTTCCTGCTCTTCCCTCCCCCATCTTAACTACAGTTAACTCCCCCTCACCTTAACTGCAGTTGTTTCATGTATAGTCACTCATCACTTAATGACAGAGATACAGTCTGAGAAATTTGTCCTTAGGTTATTTTATCATTGTACAAATGTCATAGAGTGTACTTATACAAACCTAGATATGATAGCCTCCACTTAGGCTGTATGATATAGCTATGGTATCTAGGTTACAAACCTATACAATATTTTACTCCATTGAATACCGGTAGGTGATTGTAACACAAGTAATTGTGTATCTAAAAATATCTAAATATAGAAAAGGTAAAGTACGTATGCTGTATTACAATCTTATAAGAACACCATTATATATGTGGTATCTTATTGACTGAAACATTGTAATGCAGTGTATTAATCTGTTCTTATGCTGCTAATAAGAACATACCTGAGGCTGGGTAATTAATAAAGGAAAGAGGTTTAATTGACTCACAGTTCCAAGTGGCCAGGGAGGCCTCACCATCATGGTAGAAGGGGAAGGAGAAGCAAAGTAATGTCTTACATGGCAGCAGGCAAGAGAGCATGTGCAGGGGAACTCCCCTTTATAAAACAATCAGATCTCATGAAACTTATTTGCTATCATGAGAACAGCATGGAAAAGATCCACCCCCATGATTCAGTTACCTCCTTCTGGATCCCTCACATGACATGTGGGAATTATGGGAGCTACAATTCAAGATGAGATTTATGTGGGAACACAGCCAAACCATATTATGCAGCATATGATTCTATTTTTAATACTGTTAGATTCTTTTGTCAATGTCTACATTATTTTCTGGGACCTGGAAACCTTCTAAATTGCATTGTCATTTTTTTTTAGCTTTTACCTATGAAGTAATATTTCATTGTTTTAATTTGCAATTACCTAATGAAAATCAGTGCACACATTTTCCCATGCTAATTTTCTATCTGAATACATATATTTTTGATGTACTATCTGTTTAGGTCTTTTGTCCACTTTTTAATTTGGTTGTTTGTTTTCTTATTGTTAGTTAAAGTATCTTTTGTGTATTTTGAATAGAAGTCTTTTAGTAGATGGTGTTTTGCAAACATGTTCTCCTGGTCTACCATCTGTCTTCTAATTCTCTTAACAGTGTCTTTATAGAAGGGGAATTTTTACTTTTAATAATGTATTAATTATTAATTTTTTCATAGTTTGTTTTATTTGGTATTAATTCTAAAAACTCATCACTAAACCCAAGGTCAACTGGATTTTCTTGTATGTTATCTTACAGAAAATTTTAGAGTTTTGCACTTAAACTTAGGTCTACAATCCATTTTCAGCAACTTTTTGTGGAAGGTAAGAGCTGTGTCTAGGTTCATTTTTTTCTGCTTATGGTCATCAAATTGATCTGGTTGCATTCATTTAAAAGAATATCCTTTATACATTGAACTGCCTTTGATTTTTGAAAAAAGTTGTAATTGTTTATGTTTGTGTGGGTCTATTTCTGAGTGCTACTCTATTTCATTGATTAATTATTTTGCCAATACCACAATGTCTTTAATTTTTTTTTTTTATTTTTTGAGACAGAGTTTCACTCTGTCACCCAGGCTTGAGTGCAGTGGCATGATCTTGTCTCACTGCAAACTCCGACTCCTGGGTTCAAGCCATTCTGGTGCCTCAGACCTCCTGAGTAGCTGGGACCAGTGGTGTGCACCAGCAAACCTGGCTAATTTTTGTATTTTTAGTCCAGATGGGGTTTTGCCATGTTGGCCAGGCTAGTCTCGAACTCCTGGCCTCAAGTGATCCGTCCACCTCAGCCTCCCAAAATATTGGGATTACAGGCATGGGCCACTGCTCCTGGCCTGCCTTGAATATGGTAAGTCTTGAAGTTGGCTAGACATTGGTATTGTTTTGCCTGTCCATATAAAATTTAAATCATATTATTAATATCTACAAAAAATGATTCCTGGAATTTTGGTTGAGAATACATTAAATCTATTGATGTAGTTGAGAAAAATTAATGTATTAAAAATATTGAGACCAACAATACATGAAGAAGATAAGCATCTTTCCATTTAGTTAGGTTTTTTTTTTTTTTTTTGGTTTTAAGGAGCAGAGAGTTTAATAGGCAAGAAAGAAAAGAGAAGGCAGAAGGAAGAGGCTCCCTTGTACAGTGACAGAGAAAGGAGTAGCTCCAATGCCGAAATAGAAAGTCCCAAAGTGCGGTGGACACCAGCCAGGTATATACGCAGAGGTTGCAGGAGGTGATGTCATGATTTCTTTGAGTTATGTGGTTTTCCTCAAATAGATCCCCAACATCTTTTCTTGGATTTATATATAAGGATTAAATTTTTGGAGTTCATTTGAAATGGTATTCCTTTCTTCAAATTTCAAATTGCAACTTTTCTTATAGGAAAACAATTGATTTTTTATTGTTAAGTTTTTATCCTGTAGCTTTGCTAAATTCACTTATAAGATCCAGAAGTTTCTTGGTAAATTCTTTGGGATTTCCTACATATAAAATCATGCCACGTACAAATGACAGTTTTATTTATTTCATTTTAAATCTGTATACTTGTTATTTCTCTCTCTCTCTCTCTTTTTTTTTTTTTTTTTTTTTTTTTTTTGAGACTGAGTCTTGCTCTGTTGCTCAGGCTGGAGTGCAGTGGAATGATCTCAGCTCACTGCAACCTCTGCCTCCCAGGTTCAAGTGATTCTCCTGCCTCAGCCTCCTGAGTAGCTGGGACTACAGGCACGAGCCACCATGTCTGGCTAATTTTTGTATTTTTAGTATAGACGGGGTTTCATTATGTTGGCCAGGCTGATCTGGAACTTCTGACCTCGTGATCCAACCGACTCGGCCTCCCAAAGTGCTGGGATTACAGGTGTGAGCCACCAGGCCTGGCGTTCTCTTTCTTGTCTAATTGAACTAGCTAGGACTTCCAGTATGCTGTTGAATTGAAGTGATGAGAAAAAGGTATCCTTGTCTTATTCTCAATCTGAGCATTCAGTTTTTCATCACTAAGTTGATTTTAGTTGTAGCTTTCTGTAGATGTCCTTTATCGGGATGAGCAAGTTCTCCTCCACTCCTAGTTTGCTGACAGATTGTGTCATGAATAACTTGGATTTTGTCAAAAGCTTTTTCTTCATCAATTTATACAATCATATGAGTTTCTGTTTTTTGATATGTTGGATTGCAGTAATTGATTTTTGAATGTTAAGCCAACCTTGCAAATTTGACAGAAATTTCACTTGATCATGGTAAATAATTATTTTTATACATTGTTGGATTCAATTCACTTATATTTTGCTGAGGATTTTGCATCTGCATTCTTGAGGGATAGTAGTTTTCGGTTTTCTTTTCTTATCATGTATTTGCCTCTTGTTGGTGTTAGTGTACAGCTGGCTTACAGAATGAGCAAGGAAGTACTCCCTCTAATGGGAGTACTTCTGTTTTCTGGAAGATGTTTTGGAGATTGGATTTGCTTTCCTCAATTATTTGATAATTAATAAGTGAAACCAACTAGGCCTAGTGTGTTCTTTTCAAAGATTTTTATTGATCCAATATCTCTAATAGATATAGATATATTTACGTTTTCTAATTCTCCTTGTGTAAGTTTTAGTAGTTTGTGTTTTTCAAGGATTTTCTCCATTTCATGTAAATTAATAAGTCTGTGGGCATAGAGATGTTCTTAGTCTATCACTTTTCTAATGACCATGACATCAGTTGCAATGTCATCTCTCTCATTTCTGATATTGGCAATTTATGCCTTATCTCTTTGATTTTCATTGTTAGCCATGCTAAACTTTTATCAATTGTATTAATTTTTTTCCGAAGGACCAGAATTCACTTTCATTCGCATTCATTTTCTCTATTGATTTTGTTGTTTTTAACTGTATTAATTTTATTATTATTATTCCTTTCTCTTGGTCATTTTAGGTTTATGTTGTTCTCCTTTAGTTTGTTATTGTGGAATCTTAGATTATGGATTTTGGAATATTTTTTTCTAATTTTTGCACTTATTGCTATAAATTTTCCAATAATTCTGATTCTGCTCCTCCTCACAAATTTTTGTTTTATTTTTATTTTAATTGGTTCAAAAATATTTTCTGTCGTGTAGGTGATAGAGTCTTCAAATTCCTTGAGTTCTCTCTCTCTCTCTCTCTCTCCTCTCTCTCTCTCTTTCCTCTCTCTCTCTCTCTTTCCTCTCTTGGCTTTAGGCTTGTCTGAGTATTTCTCAGATAGATCTGCATCATGCAGGTGTTTCAGATATAATCCAGTGTTGTTATACTGGGGCCTGTTGGTACAGTGGCAAGGTGTTGGGGAAGAGAAGCATTCTATAAACTTATGTTTAAATAGACTTTCAGTGGGTGTGTGTTCCTGAGCTATTTCCTTCACCAGTTTCACGAATGTTTCTCCATTAGCACAATTTTGTTTTGTTTTTGTTAATCCTTATTAATACAGAAAGGTAGAGGGGGCTAGAGTGAGATGAATGTCCAACCTTTGGGCAGGATGAAGTTCCAGCATAGTCTTTAACCCCCTGAAGAACAGGTCGTCATCGTGGAGAATTCTATGGGCTTATTTCGTCTTAATTTCTCTCTCCCTACCCCTCCCCGAGCCATTAGTGGAACTGGATCTTTCTTGGCTCTTTTTTGCGAAAACTTGTTCTGGCTACAGGCGATAATGTGCACAAAATTGTGGGGTCCTTTGAGTGTGGAGTCATGGGTTTTTCTCAGTCCTAAACTAGTCCTCACTTGACCTCTAGTAATTTATAAAAAATACCATTTAAATGATCCTACTAGTTTATGGCTCCAGTGGCAATTTCCCAAGCAAATAGGTCTTCATGTTGGCTCGCTGGATTTGCTTGTCTCTCCACGTTTACAGTAGTGATTTCGGTTCTCTGATGTTTCCAAGTAAGGCCATTGATTTTCAGTTTACTTGACTTTTCCTGTTGTGTGAATGGGAGCAATGCTTTCTAAGTTCTTTAGAGGACTAAATTGAAGTGAAAAATCCATGCATCTTTTCTAATGTCTTTATGCAAAGCTAGTCACAGGAGAAAGCTGGATTAATTTACATAAGTATCCCCAGGGACTTTTGTAAGTCAAGCTATGAAAATCCAATGGTTTGTGGTGACCTGCTGTGTGAGTTTGGGGCAACCCTAAGGCGATCATAAGGAAAGAATTGCTCAGAAATAAAAGTGTGTTGCAGAACATGGTAGGCTGGGCTTGTGACTCAAGTCTGGTGTGTGTGCCTGCATGGGAGAATCACACAGTCATGATAACACGTGTGATAGAATTTACCCTGGCCGCTGCCACCTGACTAAGGTAAGTTTGAAAAACATGGTCTTGAGAACCACAGGCAACTGGCCAGAGTCCTGTTGACAAGAGCATTAACATGGAGTAAGAAAGTGGTTATTGCTCCTTGCCATACCAGTCTTCCTTGGTGCAGCTGTGTTCTGTAGGAAAACAAAGGTAACTGTAAGTACTCCACTAACATTAATAGTAAGTACTCCACTAGCTAGATTGTTAAGTACTCCACTAGCATTAATAATTGATATGGCTTGGCTGTGTCCTCACCCAAATCTCATTCTGAATTGTAGCTCCCATAATTCCCATGTGTTGTTGGGGGGACCCAGTGGGAGATAATTTAATCACGGAGGGAGTTTTCCCCATACTGTTCTCGTGGTGATGAATAAGTCTCACAAGATCTGATGGTTTTATAAGGGGAAACCCTTACAAAATGTTTGTATTAGTAATTAGTATTACAGACTAATACAGTAATCTCCACTAGATTCTATAATTTGCTTTTGCCTAGCATTTTGAATCCATTATCTTTAGAATTAACAAAACCCTTGAAATTCATGAAAAAATTGGAGGCTCCTTCAATGTTACATAATAGACTTTCTTCTAATAGGGAGAATGGGGGCAAAATGGTTAATTTAAAAAAATTGTGATATGTGAGTATTCTGTATCAATAGTTTTGTAGATATGTGAAACTGGTAAGCAATTTATTTTTTAAGGCTTGTGGAATGGAAAAAATATAGAAATGTCTAGCTGTATTTAGCATCATT
This sequence comes from Homo sapiens, assembly GCF_000001405.40. NCBI lineage: Eukaryota > Metazoa > Chordata > Mammalia > Primates > Hominidae > Homo > Homo sapiens. Next base: position 64,860,381 of record NC_000018.10, read on the forward strand.
TAAAATTAATATAAAAATATGAACACAAAGAAAGATATAAAATACATTTCAAATTTGACATCACTAGATTACATTGTGAACATTATTTTATACTTTTTTAAAAAAATCTTGTTCTTCATTAATTACTAATTTGAGTCAAGCTCTGATTGAATAATGTGGGAGAATCTTTAGAACATAGGTTTAGTTCCTTCATAAATTCACAGCTCACTTTAATTATTAAGTATATAAAAATACATTAGAAATATATATGAATCTTCCTGGATTTAAAATTAAATAATAATGCTCACTATTGTTCCATTTCTCTTTTTTTCTAGTTCTTAAGAAGGCCAGAGAATTGCAGCCCAAATGTCAATATAATATATCCCCAAAAGCACTTTTGAGAAAGATAGTATAAAACTTCTAGTGTCTTAGTGACTCAGTCCTTTCTTACCTAAGAATTATGACAATTTTAAGTACTCTACTAGCATTAATAAACCAGACACAAAAATAATTTCCAGTAGTATATGGTTTAACAAAAAAAAAAAAAAGAGAGAGACTCTAAGACTAATATTCATGCTTCTTTCATTTATTGGGCTGAAACTTTGAAACTCAAAGATAACAATAGTGATAGTAATAATTATAACAGCTAGCTTTTAATAAACCTTCCTTTCTATCAGGAAATTGCTAAGCTTTGTATCTACATAGTCTTAGACCGTGCTTGCAAAAATCTCAAGATATTTGTACAATTCAGTTTCCACTTTATAAATGAAGATATAAAGCATGAAAAGGTTCCTTGCCTCTCAGACTGTCTCACAGTTAGCAGAGGACAGAGCCAAGAATCAAACGTAGGCCCAAGTGGGTCCAGAGTCTGAACTTGTAAACACTCATTATTCCTAAAGCAGTACGTAATTTCTAATACAACTTTTCTCCCTTTCAGTTTTCCATAAATATTATTTTAGATAACTGTGATCTTTTTGTCATTTAAATTTTGACATCTTAAGTAAAATGCATGAGATCATGTGAGCTTATATATTTTAAATAAACTAGGTTGTTTTTCTGTTATGTTTAGCATCACTTTTGAGCATTTTTCCAACAAGTAAATAAAAAAATTTGTAGGCCATTACCTATCTAATTTAGTCATTATCCAATTAAAATTAATGCATTCATCTATTAAGGTAACTAAAACACTATTTGAGATAAATTAGACCACAAGCCAAACTATTTATGAAAGACGGCAGCTAATAACTTATAATTCAGTTGGATACAAATAATGACTCCTTCATTTTCAAAGAAAAAAATTTAAAAATTTCATTAGGTTCAGGTTTGTGAAATTAATTAAAAAAATACAAATCACATACTTTCCTTCTTGAGCTGATTTCTTATTTCTTTTTTGCTAGGTGGATAATGAAGTTTCCAATCAGAATTTGTGTTAAAACCATCAGCAATTAGAAAATAGTCTCACTACTATCAGAAAAAGTGTGTAGGTAGTAATGAAAACAATACACTAATTTTTAATAAAAAGTTTTTGTTTTATGTTTGTTTGTTTTTTTGCTACTGTGGAGTACTTAGAACTCAAAACTTGTTAGAGAGGGAAGAACTGGGAGACTGGACAGCTGACTTCTCTAATTGATCTGAGAGGGAAAGATATTACTAAGAGTGATGACTGGCAACTGTAGTGGCTAATAGACTTCCATGTGGCTTCACATGAGCCACACAAGAATCCAAATATAGCAGGGCCTGTGTACATACCTGTGTACAATTTTGTCAGTAGATTGTCAGGAAGATTTTTGAATGAATGCATTGTGATATTCCTCAGGGTAATGAGCTCGCCTTCCAAACAGTGCCAGACACTTGGCTACATTCTCTGATTTTATCATTAAGATCTTCATTCTTGTTATCTTCTGATTGAATTTTAAGCACTAATACACGAAACTAAAAATATTTTTTTAGGGAATAAAGGTGCAGGAAGATATTCCCATCATTGACGGTGACAATTCATAGTCTTAAGTGTGTTTTAAAACTAACTTTCAGATAACTAGAGCAGCAAGCTTTTTTTATGCCCATGATTCTCAGCAGGATTTTGTTAAAAAGATTATGGTTAAATTCTCTTTCCCTTTAACAGAAAAGGAGCAAGGGCTGCAAAACGTATCCTCTGAGCTTCTTCTGAGGGGTCATGATAATGACAGGCATGGTTCCCTTAATGAATGTGCTTTCTGGAAGCACCAGAACAAGACAATAGTCTGTTTGGTGGAGAGTTTCATTTGAAATAAAATAATAGTTTACAAAGTTAGGAACATTGGATGCCCCAACCAAATAGGGTATAACCTTTAAGACAGGACTTCTATTTCATGTTCAAATGACTTTACCATCTACTTATGAAGTCAACAGCTCATTGGTGGTATGGTATGTGATGAGAACATTATTCCACAAAGCATCCCATTATCACACTTTTTTATGTAAATCAGGAGTCTTGGTCTAAGGCAATATAGTATGGAAGTCCATGCTGGTGCATCAAACACTCTTTGAACTCTTGAAATGTGGTGCTGGTATGAAAAGTAAACCTCTGTCAACAATATTTGTCCTCTAAATGAGATTGGCAAACTATAGCTCTTCGAGCAAATTTAGCCAGCCCCCTGTCTTTTATGACCCATAACATGAGGATTTTTTTCCCCATTTTCATATGGGAATATTTCAAATTATTAGAAAAAATAACTACATAATATTCGTAATTTTGCTTCTTGGCCAGCAAAATCAAAATATTTACCATTTGACCCTTTAAGAAAAAGTTTATTGAACCCTGCTTTAAATATCTGAGGATTCCCCTTTCTCTAATGTATTTCCTAAGTAAGCTGGTACAGGACACTTTGGTTGGAGTACAAGGATTAGAAAACTGATTATCCTAACATGTTCCATTGGTAAATTTTACAAATGGAATTTTGCAGTGTATCTCCTGCTATTTGTTATCCAGATGGAAATAAGGACACATTTTCTGTGTTAGGTTGTTAGGTGGAGCACCAAATAACCTCTGACTGATTGCACCACAGTGTTTTTATTACTATAGCTTTGTAGTATAATTTCAAATCAGGAAGTGTGATGCCTCCAACTTTGTTTTTCTTTCTCAGAATTTCGTTGGTTATTCAGGGCCTTTTGTGGTTCCATATGAATTTTAGAACCTGAAACCACAGAACTCCTAGAAGATAATGTAGGAAAAAAAAATTCTTTGACATTTGCCTTGGAAATAACTTTTTGGATATCATACCAAAATCGCAGGCTACAAAACCAAAAATAAGTAAATGGTATTGAATCAAGGTAAAGAGCTTCTGCACAGCAAAGGGAACAATCAATAAGATAAAATGGCTACCCATGTATTGGAAAAAAATGTTTGCAAGCCATCTACCTGATAAAGCGTTAATAGGGTTAATATCCAAGATTCACAAGGAACTCCTACAAGTCCCTAGTAAAAAGCCAAATAACCTGAATAATAAATGGGCAAAGGACCTGAACAGATGTTTCTCCAAAGAAGAGATAAAATTGACCAGTGGGTATAAAAAAGGCTGCTCCAACCTCATTAGTCACCAGGGAAATGCAAACCAAACCACTATAATGATATAAATTCACACCCATTAGGATGGCTATTATCAAAAGTTAAGATATAACAAATATTGCTGAGGGTATGGAGAAAAGGGAACTCTTGTATGCTGTTGGCAGAAATGTAGATTGAGGCAACTATTGTGAAAGGCAGTATGGAGGTTCCAAAAGAAATTAAAACTAGAAATATTATGTGACCCAGCATCTCTCTTTTGAGTGTATACCAAAAGTAAGTGAAATCAGGAAATCCTGCCATTTCTTACAAAATGGATGAACCTGGAAGACATGATGCTAAATGAAATAAGACTGAGAAAAAAAATTACAGGATCTTACGTATGCATCTAAGAGAATCAAATATACAGACAGCGAATAAAAGAGTGGTGATCAGAAGGATGCAAATGGGGAGATGTGGGTCACATAATACAACGTAGTAGATGTGTAAAATGAACAAGTTTATGTATCGAACGTACAACATGAAGACTGTAGTTAATAAAATTATACTGTTTCGGATTTTTGCTAAATGAATAAATGTAGTTGTTATTGACACATACACAAAGGATAACTATGTGAGATGATGGATGTGTTTATTTGCATCACTATGGTAACCGTTTTACTATTTATATTTATCCCATAACATCATGTTGTATATTTTAAATATACACAAGAACATTTTTTGAAAGAATAAATCTATAATCCTTTGAATTATTGAGTCAACTAACCAGGTATGTTATTTTTACCTAATGAGACATAGTTTCTTAATTGTTTTCTATTCTGTAAACCATCCTGTGAACACTGTAGTTTGGTATTTTTTGTGTAGTCATTGAAACACTTCAAAAATGAAACTTTATAGAAAAGAATTTATTTTGGTTATGCTTGAGAAATGTAGCATAGCATGTCACTCCTTTCAGAGTGTCAACATAAGCAGACTTAGTATTACGCAGTACATATTTTGTGAAATATGCCTCTCAAAATATAATGCCAAGTGAATGTATTATGCAATAGTAATTAATATTGGTCTTACAGTAGCTACAACTTTTGAAGATTTTTACATTAATTGAAAATCTCATATCCCATAACAGGTGTTAAATTTTTAGAATCTTTGAAATTTTTCTGCCATGGTTGAGTAGAATATTTTATTTGGAGCGTATTCAAAAAAGTTACAGTCTTGCCAACATTTTTTTATTTTGAGTCTTACATCTTGTATGTTATTATTTCTTCTTGTTTTTATTCTTTTCTATGGTTTGAAATGTGATTCTTTTTTGTTGTTGTTGGTTTGAGATGGAGTCTCGCTCTTGTCACCCAGGCTGGAGTGCAGTGGTGTGATCTCTGCTCACTGCAACCTCCACTTCCCAGGTTCAAGTGATTCTCCTGCCTCAGCCTCCTGAGCAGCTGGGACTACAGGCATGCACCACCGCGCCTGGCTAATTATTTTGTATTCTTAGTAGAGACGGAGTTTCATCATGTTGGTCAGGCTGGTCTCAAACTTCTGACCTCAAATGATCCGCCCGTCTCAGCCCCCACAAAGTGCTGGGATTATAGGCGTGAACCACTGTGTCCGGCAATTCTTGTCTTTTTATTCAAGTTGTAAATAACATTTTATAGAAGTTGGTCAAAGCACAAGACCTTTTAAAATTTTTATTGTAATTGACGAATTATTGCTCTGTATATTTATTGGGTACAAAATGGTGTTTTAATTTTTTATACAATGTGGAATGATTAAATCAAGATAGTTAACATATCCATCACCTCAAATGTTTACCTTTTCGTGATGATGACATTGGAAACACTGTCTTTAGCACTGTTGAAATGTGACGACCCCATTTATTAACCATATTTACAGGACCTTTGAGCACACCTTTCTTTCCTTCTTTTTTTATTATACTTTAAGTTTTAGGGTACATGTGCACAACGTGCAGGTTAGTTACATATGTATACATGTGCCATGTTGGTGTGCTGCACCCAGTAACTCGTCATTTAACTTTAGGTGTATCTCCTAATGCTATCCCTCCCCCCTCCCTCCACCCCACAGCAGGCCCCGGTGTGTGATGTTCCCCTTCCTGTGTCCATGTGTTCTCATTGTTCAATTCCCACCTATGAGTGAGAACATGTGGTGTTTGGTTTTTGTCCTTGCAATAGTTTGCTGAGAATGATGGTTTCCAGCTTCATCCATGTCCCTACAAAGGATATGAACTCATCCTTTTTTATGGCTGTATAGTATTCCATGGTGTATATGTGCCACATTTTCTTAATCCAGTCTATCATTGTTGGACATTTGGGTTGGTTCCAAGTCTTTGCTATTGTGAATAGTGCCATAATAAACATATGTGTGCATGTGTCTTTATAGCAGCATGATTTATAATCCTTTGGGTGTATACCCAGTAATGGGATGGCTGGGTCAAATGGTATTTCTAGTTTTAGATCCCTGAGGAATAGCCACACTGACTTCCACAATGATTGAACTAGTTTACAGTCCCACCAACAGTTTAAAAGTGTTCCTATTTCTCCATATCCTCTCCAGCACCTGTTGTTTCCTGACTTTTTAATGATCGCCATTCTAACTGGTGTGAGATGGTATCTCATTGTGGTTTTGATTTGCATTTCTCTGATGGCCAGTGATGATGAGCATTTTTTCATGTGTCTTTTGGCTGCATAAATGTCTTCTTTTGAGAAGTGTCTGTTCATATCCTTCACCCACTTTTTCATGGGGATGTTTTTTTCTTGTAAATTTGTTTGAGTTCTTTGTAGATTCTGGATATTAGCCCTTTGTCAGATGAGTAAACTGCAAAAATTTTCTCCCATTCTGTAGGTTGCCTGTTCACTCTGATGGTAGTTTCTTTTGCTGTGCAGAAGCTCTTTAGTTTAATTAGATCCCATTTGTCAATTTTGGCTTTTGTTGCCATTGCTTTTGGTGTTTTAGACATGAAGTCCTTGCCCATGCCTATGTCCTGAATGGTATTGCCTAGGTTTTCTTCTAGGGTTTTTATGGTTTTAGGTCTAACATTTAAGTCTTGAATCCATCTTGAATTAATTTTTGTATAAGGTGTAAGGAAGGGATCCAGTTTCAGCTTTCTGCATATGGCTAACCAGTTTTCCCAGAACCATTTATTAAATAGGGAATCCTTTCCCCATTTCTGGTTTTTGTCAGGTTTGTCAAAGATCAGATGGTTGTAGATATGCAGCATTATTTCTGAGGGCTCTGTTCTGTTCCATTGGTCTATATCTCTGTTTTGGTACCAGTACCATACTGTTTTGGTTACTGTAGCCTTGTAGTATAGTTTGAAGTCAGGTAGCAGAGCACACCTTTCTAGAGACCATGCTCTGGGTTGCCACATGCATATTGATCAGCAATATTTGAGTTTGGTTATGCAACTGATAAACATCACACACTTACAAATGTGTAGTCCATGAGCCTCAATCTTCTGATCCAAATGTCAAAACAGACTACAAAATTTGTACTGAAGTAATTATGTCTTCTTTAAGCGTACCATTCTGTAGATATAGACATAGTAATAAAACAACTGTATCCAGGATGGTCTCGATCTCCTGACCTCATGATTCGCCCGCCTCGGCTTCCCAAAGTTCTGGGATTATAGGCGTGAGCCACTGCGCATGGTGAAACCCCATCTCTACTAAAAATACAAAAAATTAGCCGGGCATGGTGGCGGGTGCCTGTAGTCCCAGCTACTTGGGAGGCTGAGGGAGGAGAATTGTGCGAACCCAGGAGGCGGAGCTTGCAGTGAGCCAAGATCGCGTCACTGCACTCCAGCTTGGGCAATGGAGTGAGATTCAGTCATTAAAAAAAAAAAAAAAAAAACGAACAAAAAACCTTATCTAAATAGGTTTTTATCATATGTTGTTGGTACATATATGTTGATTTCTTATCAACAGAGAGTGGTGCAGAGATCTTGTCTACAATATCAAATAATGAAATTCAACTACAAATGTAACTAGTTTTTCTTAGCTCGTATGTTTAAGAAAAAAATCTTAACTTCTAAGAAATTAATGAATTTACTTTAGTTCAGTTGTCTACTTTTGACCAGTTACGTGTGAAAGAAGGAAGGGATTCATATAACAACAGGACCTTCAAGGATGAGAACAGAAATAGATTCTTTAAGGGAGTTAGCAGGGGGAAAAAGAGTGTGTCCAATAGAGTGATTTTAATTAATATATTTGGCATTTTGTATTTTGGCTTCAGTAGCCTCTGAAATGATTAACAATTAAATCGATATTTTAAAAAGTTGAATAATAATTGTACATACTTATGAGGAATGTGTGATGTTTTTATACATGCATAAAATGTGTGATGATCAAATCAGGGTAATTGGGATATTCATTACCTTGAGCATTTATGATTTCTTTATGTTAGGAGCACTTCATATCTTCTCTTTTAGCTACTTTGAAATATACAGTAAATTATTGTTAACGATAGTTACCTTACTGTGCTATTAAATCCTAGAGCTTATTTCTTCTAACTGTATGTTTGTATCCATTAACCAATCTCTCTTTACCGCCCACCCTTACCAGGCTCACGTATTATTAATTAATGCTGGTCACCCTTGCCGGACTCAAGTAACCATCATTCCACCCTCTACTTCCATGAGGTCAACCCTTTTTAGCTCCCGCCTATGAGTGAGAGCAAGAAATATTTGTCTTTCTGTGCTTGGCTTATTTCACTTAAAACAATGATCTCCAGTTCCATCCATGCTGTTGAAAGTGATATGATTTTATTCTATTTTTATGACTGATTAATATCCTATTGTATATATGTGTATGTACAATGACAACATTAGAGATAGGCATGTATCACATTTTCCTTATCCACTCATCTGTTAGTGGGCATTTAGATGGATTCCATGTCTTGGCTACTGTGAATAGTGCTACAATAAACACAGAGATGCAGTTTTTCCTGGTTATAAACTGATTTCCTTTCTTTCGGATACCAAGTGGCAGAATAGCTGGATCATATGGTAGTTTTATTTTTAGTTATTTAAGAAACCCTCATATTCTTTTTCATAACGGGTGTACTAATTTACATTCCCACCAGCTGTATATGAGAGTTCTCTTTTCTCCACATCCTCACCAGCATTTGATACTTTTTGTCTTTGAATAATTGGCCATTCTATCTGAGATGAGATGCAATCTCATTGTAGTTTTAACTTCCATTTCCCTGATGATTCTTGGCATTGAAGATTTGTTCACATACCTGTTGGCCATTTGGATATCTTCTTTTGAGAAATGTCTATTAAAATTCTTTGCCCATTTCTCAGTGTTTTTTTTCCTTCTGTTTTTGTTGAGTTGATTGAGTTCTTTGCATATTCTGGATATTTGTCCCTTGTCAATTGAATATTTTGCAACTATTCTGTCCCATTCTACAGGTCATGTCTTTATTCTATTAATAATTTATTTTGCTGTGCAGAAGTATTTTATTTTCCTATAGTACCATTTCTCTATTTCTTTTTGTCTCTGCTTTTGAAGTTTTAGCCATAAAAACTTCACCTAGATCAATGTCCTGAGGCATTTACCCTAGGTTTTTCTCTAGCAGTTTTATAGTTTGTGGTCATATATCCAAGTCTTTAATCTATTTTGATCTGATTTTTGTATATGGTGAGAGGTTGAAGTCTAGTTTCATTCTTTGGTATATTATATCCAGTTTTTCCAGCACAATTTATTGACGAATCTCTCCATTTTCTAATGTATGTTTTTGATGCTTTTGTCAAAAATCAGTTGGCTTTCAATATATGAATTTGTTTCTGTCTTCTGTATTCTGCTCCATTGATCTATGTGTTCGTTTTTGTATCAATACCATGATGTTTTGGCTACTATAGCCTTGAAGTATAGTTTCAGGTCAGATAATGTGATGCCTCCAGCTTTGCTCTGATTCCGTATTAACTCTGGCCTGATATTAAGTGCTGCATATGACGTAGTCTGAATATTGGTGTATTTTCTTGTTGGGTAACATTGTCTCGACATAGGAATTGTAAGGTGTTACATAACTTGAAAATTTGATGGGTCACATTTTGGGGGTTACTTATTCAGAAAAAGGAAACAGAGTCATGGCTATCATGATTATCTCTGATGGTGAATATTGTGTGACTAATAGACCATAATGTATTTTCACTTGAGGTATTAACATAAAGAATTATAGAGACTGCCAAAAATGGAGGTTTTTAAATCTACACCATAAGTGGAAAATATGTTCGATGAAACCTGCATTTTTTAGGCATTTTCAGAGTAGGATCTCCACTTATATGTTTCTACTGCATCAAACCATAGGTTGAATCTAGAAATCACAAAAACAGGATTTCCTGCTCATTTTCCCATTCTTCTCTGATGAAGCATGTACACTAATGTGTGTAGAACTGCAAGATTCAAGACACAAAAATTAAAGATCCTTGGTCATGAGATTGCTCCAGAAGATTGGAGATCCCTGTCACTAAAGCTGTCAGTCATCTCAGAAACAGTTTAAGTATAAATCCAGGGCTTTAGTACAAAGCCTTGAAATATTGAATTAAGTTTATATTCAAGCTCAAGACTTTTATAGGTTGAACTCCCTCCCTCCAAAAAAAAATATTATCATCTTTGGTTCCTGTGAGTGTGACCCTATTTGGAAACAGGGTCTACAGATGTAATAAAATTAAGGTGAGGTCACTGAGGTGGGTCCTCGTCTAGCGTGACTGTTGTCTGTTTAAGAAGACCACGTGAAGACGGAGACCCCCAGAGAGACAGCACGTGACGACAGAGGCAAGGATTGTAGTGATGCAGCTGCAAACCACGGAATACCAAGGATTGATGGCCAAAACCATGAGCTAGGAAGAGACAAGGAAGGATTCTACCCAGAGCTTCAGAAGGAGCAGGCACTGCCCACACCTTGATTTCAGAGTCACAGCCTCCAATACTGTGAGAGGATAAATTACTGCTGTTTTTAATCTACCCAATTAGTGATACTGTTTTTACAATAATCCTAGAAAACGAATGTGGATTTTAGGCATCAAAAGTTTCAAAAATTACACCTAATAATTACTTATTCTATTTTTATAATTCTGTGAGTTAGTTTAAAACAATAGATGATGAATTTGGGTGTCAGAGAGGGAAAGTAATGCTCAGTTACTATCAAACCGTAGCACATGAGAAAATGGAAATCCCTAAAATCTCTGTCTAATACCCAGGTTCTTACTTATTAATGACATGGTGTCTACAAAACAAACAAATTAAAAAAGATGTTAATAATTAAAGAGAACATTTAAATTCTCAGATTTAAATATATATATTAATTTTATAAAAGTATATCTACTTTTCATATAAATTTTCAATTTATAATTTATATAGTTATATTGTTTTTCTTTTGTCTTTCAGACATAATAATTCTTACCATGTACTAAATTCCCTGAAATTACACCAATTTTCTTTGCTTTTTAGTTTTTGTAAATATATTTGTGTTAGCCATATTTGGCCAAAACAAAGAGAAAAATCTACATGTTTATTTCTGAAGCAGAGCTCTCTGGATGTACTATCATATAATACTTCCCACACATCCTTCATTATTTCTTCCCCATCCAAGACTTCTTTAAAACATGAGATAATAAGGAAGAGGGGGAGAAAGAGGAGGATAATCTTGATGGTGATAATGAATTTGAACACTTAGTAGGCACCAGGCATTGTACTAAGTACTTTTTATATTTTCCCTTTAATTCTTAACATTGTGAAGAAGCTAATAACTTTCAGCTCATCTTACGCGAAGGGAAAGCAAGACTTAAACAAAATCAGCAATTTAGCTCAGGTATCAAAGCTACTGAATGGTAAAGTCAAAGCTCAAACTGAAGCCCGAGGCTTTGTCTTTGCTATAAGTTTGTTAACTATACTTCATCTGACTATGCTGCAAATGAGCATGGGAGGGCAAGGAGATGAACATAAGAAGTGAGCTCCAACCCTGTTTTCAGGTTTAGGTATGTACATAGGTAGAGCAGAAATGGGTACACTGCAGATAGGCCTGTATGATGTGCTTGTAGAATTTTAATGACAGCAACCTAAATTGCATCGAGCCATGTCACAAGAAAGAGATCTAGAGTTAAACATTATATTAGCAGATTAAATTATCACAGAAATTTTCACATTAAAATTTGAAACCATCCCAATTTTAACAGCTTTTACCTTGTTAACATTTTTCTATTATGCAAGGCACTGAATTACATTTATTGAGTTTACTTTTTCATTGTTTAATATTTTAACTCAGAAAAAAAAATTGGTTTTACTAAAAACGAGACAGTTACAAATATACAAACAACTCTTCCACAATTAATCTTCTACGAGTTAGATAATTCCACAATTATCTATTTTATTAGATAATGAACATTATGAACATTTTCAAACTATCACCGAGACTTAAATTATGTTAATGAAAAATTAACATTAGCTGTGTGGACAATAACTTACATTTTTATTCTCTTGAATATTTGCTGAAATTTTAAGGGAAATAGATTATTAGCTTATTTGGACATACTCACACTGGCCTATCTTTACAAAATAATACAAATAACAAAGAGGAAGGAAAAGCATCTTATCATGCAGCCAGTTCTCAGCATAATTTTACAGTCAGCATTCCAAGTACTTTGATTATGTGTCTTTTGCTGCTTTTTGCTTGCTGCACTCTACTTCAGCATAAAACAAAAGATAATGTATTCTGTCAAAAGAATGAAATAATGTTAGTAGGTAATAGAGTCTGAAATGTTTACAAACCTATAAATGAAGAATGCACCATTAATATGAATGAATGTAATGAAATGCTTTCATGATAATTGCTACATGAGTAGCATAGCATAAGCTAGCTATTTTTAGTGTATTAGTTGCAGGTTTTATAATCATGGAAAAACAATTAGTGCTTACAAGTGCTAATTTTCATGCTACAGAGAAGGTTTTTTACAGTCTTTCCATGTCAACATAAGGGCAATTATCACAGGTTCCTATGGTTCCTTTGAACTCTGGACAGACTTTGTACCATAACATATCTAATTTAGCTATTTTGAAAAGTAGACCAGTCAATTTAGAAAAAACTACCTAATCAAGCTGTCAAGTATTCTATGTTAGTCATATGTCATGATTCTAGATAAATTCCACAATATCACATGAAATTTTTGAAAGAATAGGTTTTGCTGGGGTAATAGGAAATCTTACGTGGCCAGGGACAATAAAGCTATAATTCTCTGGTGGTCAGGGTGAGGCACCATTCTGGGGATCATTCTTAAAAGAAGAAGTTGTTCTCCTATTTGCAGGGAGTGGTATCAGCCTTCAGCTGACAGCTGCTATGGGGATTATCTAAATTGTAGAGGGCAACCCCACTCAATGTCGTACCTTCCTGAAACTGCTGACATTCAATGAGTAGTAATGGCAAGACTCGGGGTGCCACACAGTCACAGGAATTATCTGAGGAATCCAGCTCCTGAGTATTTGGAGATCTTGGCAACTGTGGAATATTGTCCCCTCCTATTCATGTGGAAAACTGAGACTGGGTACAGCTCCAACATCTAGATAAAGATGCACCCCTGGTTCCAAAAAGCTGATTGTTCAGTCAATGCACAGTGAGTGTTCAGGATCATTTTCAGGCATTGCACAATGCGATACACATGTAATTTTTAAATTGAAGGAATGTGTTTATTCACCAAAATAATTAGAAAAATAATCAAGCCAGGGATAAATATATGAAGAGATTCAAGTTCACACATTTAAGCATAAATAGATAATAACCGATCAATAGATAAAACATTTACTATTTATTAGAAACCTAAGAATTAAAAAATGATAAAAATGTACAAGAAATTTATGAGATGAATAAGATGATTTCTATAATAATAAATTTGTATATAAATATTCTTTCATACATAATGCAATAGGTTAATAATTGATGCCTTCCCATCAAGTATTAAGAACAACTTATGGAATTTTCTAGAATCTCTAGGAACCCAAATGGAATACTTTTCTGAAAATGTAATACATATTTTAAGACTAACTTCTTACTATATCTTCTCTAATATATGACCTAATAGTCAATGAATTATATAGTGTCATTTATTCATTAATTGAACACATTATTTTAATATTATAAAGCATCTTCAAAAAACCATGTGTAAGTGAAAATCATAAAAATACATTCAGGAGTGACATCAGTAAGATGGCAGAATAGGAGAACCTCCACTCATATCCCCCCATAACAACAATAATTTGTCAACCATCAGTGGATAGAAACACCTTTGTGGGGACTTTGAGATACAGAAAGGAGACTGCAAAACACCAGTGGAGTCCAAGATCAAGTAGGGCCATTTTGAGACATCAGGCTTGCACCCAAGTTGCAGTGGCTCTAGCTACACACATAGAGATAACACTCTCTTTATTTAGGCTTGGCCACAGCCCCATTTGTTCTGGCTCCTCTATCAGCATTGTCTACTAAGGGACTTTGGAGGAGCCTTACCTGCTTGTCTCTTGGGTAACAGGCTGGCTGACTGCAGTTCCAACTTCAACTCCTGAAGCATCTCTGTGACCTAGCTTCAACCCTGATCAGCTCAGTCCACAGGCAGGTGTACCCACACACTGGAGACAAACCCATCTGTACTCACAGAGGCAGGCCTGCAGACCTGAAAACACCCTATAAATTAGGTTCAGCCATTTTTAGCCTTGGCCTAGAACCAGTTTTGCCAATTTAAAGACCTGCCCAGTAGCCCATTGGGAGCCAATCCAGGGATCTGGTAGGAGAAATACCCATCCACACCTTTGGTAACAGTTCCACCTTTTGCAGAGCCAACTGCAGGCCCTGATGAGGACCCTTTTCCCCGTGCCAGCCCTACTGATCAAGTCAGGGAGGCAGCCCTTTTCACCCAGAAACCAGACAAGATCCACAGCCTCCCCAGTCCCTGGTAGCAGGCCTGTCAACCTTGTATCACACTATGGACCCAGCAGCATCTGTGTGACCCCACTCCAGCCCTACTTTACTGCAATTCTGGAGGCAATCCCATTAGCCCAGGCACCGGAGAGAAGAAGGTATTTACCTGCAAAAAGCAGTCTATAAATACTGGAAGAGGTGATTGTTCCTTCAGTTGCACAGACATCAACACATCTACATGGACCATGAAGAATCAGGAAAACACAACTCCTATCAAAGGAAATTAATAAATCTTCAGGAACTAAGCCTGAAAGAAATGAAAATCTATGAATTGTCCAAAACATAATTCAAAATAATCATTTTAAAGAACTTCAGTGAGTTGCAAGAGAAGACATAACAAAATAAAATCAGAAAAATAATGTGTAAAAAATAAGTAATTTAATAAATAATAGAAACCATAAAAAGATTTAAACAGAAATCCTGAAGTAGAATACAACGACTGAACAGAAAAATTGATCTGAGCTTCAAAAGAAAACTCAATCATGCAGAATATTCAATGAATTCAATAATGTGTCATTTGAAATTAGCCAGTTAGATGAACAAAAAGGAAAAAGAATAAAAAGTATAAAGAAATCATATGGGATAATTGGGACATCATTTGGTGAACAAATATATGTATTATGAGAGATTCAGAAGGCAAATGCAGAAGGGAGCATATTTAAGGAAATAATGGCTGAAAACTTCTTAAATATTGGAAAGTATATGAACCTCCAGATTTCTAAAGCTTGAAAGCCCCTAAGCAAAATTCAGCCTAAGAGATTAACCAAAGACATATTAAAATCAAATTGTCAAAAATAAAAAAAAAGATATAATTTTGAAAAAAGCAAGAGAAAAACAACTTGTCACATACCAGCAACCCCTTCTGCCTGCAAAAATATCATTGGATTTTTCAACAGAAACCTCGCAGACCAAAAAGTTTTGGGAGAAGAAAAACTGCCAATAAAAGATACTATACCCCAGCAAAGTTTTCCTTCAGACACAGAGAGGAAAGATATTCCCAGAATAACAAGGGCTTAGATTTGTCTTATAAGAAATGCTAAAGGGAGTTCTTCAAGTTGAAACAAAAGGTTGATAAGTAACAACATGAAAACTTATGAAAATACAAAACTCACTGCCAAAGGTAAATATATAGTCAAATTCATAGTGCCTTAATAATGTAATGTGGAGAATAAATCACTTTTAACTATAGTAAAAAAGTTAAAAGACCAAATATTTAAAATAACTATAGCTATGATACTTTATTAATGGATATACAATATAAAAAGATGTCAAGGGTGACATAAATAGCATAAAATGTCAGAGAACAAGTAAAATGCAGAGCATGTGTATGTGATTGAATTTAAGTTGCTATCACTAAAATAAATTATTATAACACGAAGATATTTTATGTAAACCTCATGGTAAGCACAAAGAAAAAAATATCTGTAGTAGATACACAAAAGATAAAGTGAAAGTAATCAAAGCATATCATTACACAAAATCAACAAATAACAAAATAATACAGCAAGATAAGAGGAAAGGAAGACAGAAACTACAAAACAGTAAATAATTAACAAAATAGCAATAGTAACTTCTTATCTATCGATAATTATATTAAAATTAAATGAATTAAATTCTCCAATCAAAAGACACAGACAGGCTGAAAAAACAAACAAAACAACCACCAAGATTCAACATTATTCTGCCTATAAAATACTCAGTTTCACTTTATGAATACATACAGGCTGAAAATGAAAAGATAGAAAAAGATATTCCTCTAATTAATAACCAGAAGATAGCAGGGGTGGCTATAACTGTACAGCATGAAATAGATTTTTAGTCAAAATCTGACACAAGAGATAAAGAAGGTCTATATATAATGACAAAGTGGTCAGTACATCAGGAGGATATAACAATTTTAATTACATATGGTGCACCAAATTGGAGCACCTAGACATATAAAGCCAATACTCACAGAAATGAAGGAATAAATAGTAATAAAATAACAGTAAATGACTTTAATCCTCTGTATTAGTCCATTCTCATTCTGCTAATAAAGACACCCGAGACTGGGTCATTTATAAAGGAAAGAGTTTTAATTGACTCACAGTTCAGACTGGCTGGAGAGGCCTCAGGAAACTTAGAATCATGGTGGATGAGGAAGCAAGCACTTCCTTCTTCACGTGGTTGCAGCAAGAAGAAGTTCCCAGTGAAGTGGGGGAAAACCCCTTATAAAACCATCAGATATTGTGAGAACTCACTCACTATCATGAGAACAGTATCGAGGTAACTGCCCCCATGATTCAATTACCCCCCACAGGTCCCTCCAACGACATGTGGAAATTATGAGAACTATAGTTCAAGATGAGATTTGGGTAGGGACACAGCCAATCATATCACCATCCCACTTTCAACAGTATTATCTGGACAGAAAATCAATAAGAAAACAGCACAGTTGAATAGCACTATGGAACAAATGGACCTAATGCACATATACATAATATTCCGTACAATAACAGAAAATACATATTCTTCTCAAGCACACATAGGATATTCTCCAGGATATATCATACGTTAGAAAACAAAACAATCTTAACTAATTTAGGAAGATTTAAATAATATCAAGTATCATTTCTGACATTAATGACAATTAATCAGAAATCAACTATGGGGGAAAGTTAAAAAATCACAGATATGCAGAAAATTAACACACTTCTGAACAACTAATGAGTCAAAGTATACATAAAAAGAGTTGAGTTTGTTCTCAAACTTAGCAGAAACAAAGAAATAACGAAAACTAAAAAAGAAATGAATAAAAGAGAGACTAAAAAGACGATGGAAAAGTTCAATAAAATTTAGTTAGTTTGTTGAAAAGACAAAAATGATGGAAAAACCTTCCACTAAATTCACTGTGAAAAAAAGAGAGGAGTCAAATGAAATCACACATGAAAGAGGAGACAGTAATACATTTCTGTGATACCGCAGAAATACAAAAGATCATAAGAGACTACCATCAGCAGTCATATGCCAACATATTGGATAACTTAGAATAAATGGATAAAGTGTTTAAAAACATGCAACCTACCAAGAATGAATTATAAACAGAAAACCTGAAAAAAAACTATAATGGGATAGGAGATGAAGCAGTAATCAACAAAATCAACAACCTCCCAACAGAGAAAAGCGTGTGACTTCATGGCTTCACCGGTGTATTTTTTTTTTTTTTTTTTTTTTTGAGAAGGAGTTTCACTCTGTCACCTAGGCTGGAGTGCAGTGGCCGCGATCTTGGCTCCGCCTCCCGGGTTCACGCCATCGTCCTGCCTCAGCCTCCCGAGTAGCTAGGACTATAGGCTCCCGCCACCACGCATGGCTAATTTTTTGTATTTTTAGTAGAGACTGGGTTTCACCGTGTTGGCCAGGATGGTCTCGATCTCCTGACCTCGTGATCCGCCCTCCTTGGCCTCCCAAAGTGCTGGGATTACAGGCGTGAGCCACCGCGCCCGGCCTCACTGGTGTATTTTAACAAGCATTTAAAGAAGAATTAATGGCAATCCATCTCAAACTCTTTCACAAAATTGAAGAGGAGGAAACATTTACAAATAATTGTATGTGGCCAGCATTAACCCTATAGTAAATCCAGATAAAATACTGCCAAAAAGAAAATCACAAGCCAATATTTCTGTTGAATATAGATGCAAATTGTTAACAAAATATTATCAAGCTGAATTTAACAGCACATTAAAAGGATCATACACCATGATCAAATGGGATTTATCTCTGATATGCAAGACTGTTTCAACATATGCAAATTTATAAAAATGATATAGCACATTAACAAAATGAAAGATAAAATCATATGATCAGTTGAATAGATGTAGAAAGAGCCTTTGACAAAACTAATAATAAAACAAGTTCATAACCTTTCATAATTAAAAAGCAACTCTCAACAAATTAAGTATAAAAGGAATATATCATAACATAATAAATATCATGTCAAGCCCACAGCTATCATACTCAATGGTGAACAGTTGAAAGATTTTCTTCTACTATCAGAAGCAAAACAAGGATCTCCTTTCTCATCACTTCTGTTTAATATAATAACTAGAAGTCCTAGACAAGGCAATTAGGCAAGGAAAAAAAAGGCATCTGTATTGGAAAGGAAGAAGTAAAATGTCTCTATTTGCCAATAACATCATAATATCATGATATTATGTACAGAAACCCTAAACACTCTACCAACAAACTGTTAGAAGTAATACAGAAACTGTTAGAAGTAATACAGAAATTCGGTAAAGTTGCTGGATAGAAAGTCAGCATACAAAAGTCAGTTGCCGTTCTACACACTAAGTAGGAACTATTTGAAAAAGAAGTTAAGAAAACTTTCCCATTTAAATAACATCCAAAAGAATCAAATACTTAGGAATCAATTTAAGGAGGTAAAGTTTGAACAATGAAAACAATAAGACATTGACAAATGAAATTAAAGAAGGCACAAACAAGTGGAAAGATATTCTGTGTTCATGGATTGAAAGAATTAGTATTATCAAAATGTCCATACCACCTAATGTGACCCACAGAATCAGTGCAATCCCTTTAAAAATTCCAGTGGCATTTTCACAGAAATAGAAAAAAATAAACATTAAGTTTAAAAGACTCCAAAAGACCCCAAATAGCCCAAGCAATCTTGAATAAGAACAAAGCTGGAGGCATCACACTTACTGATTTTAAAGTACATTACAAATGTATATTAATAAAAACAGCATGACAATGGCATAAAATCAGACACATGGAACATAAAAACAGACCAATGGAACAGAGCGGAGAGCCCAGACATAAACCCACACATTTATGGTCACCTCGTCTTTGAAAAGGGTGCCTATAATACAAAATAAGGAATGTTAGTCTCTTCAACAAATTGTCTTGGGACAAATAGACATCTAAATACAAAAGAATAAAAGTGGCTCTTTAGCTTACACCATAAAACTTGAAACAAATTAAGGATTTACTCATTAAGACCAGAAAATGTAAAACTGCAGGAAGCAAACAGGAAAAAACTCCTTGATGTTTGTCTTGGCTATGATTTTTTTTTCTTTTTTCTTTTTTTTAGATACGACACCAAAAACACAGGCAAAAGCATCACGTCTCAGTCTTTTGGCTAAGATTACGTGTAGTGAATGCACAGGCAACAAAAGTAAAAATAGACAAATGGGATTAGATTTAAGTAAAAAGCGGGCAAGGACTTCATGTCTAAAACACCAAAAGCAATGGCAACAAAAGCCAAAATTGACAAATGGGATCTAATTAAACTAAAGAGCTTCTGCACAGCAAAAGAAACTACCATCAGAGTGAACAGGCAACCTACAAAATGGGAGAAAATTTTTGCAACCTACTCATCTGACAAAGGGCTAATATCCAGAATCTACAATGAACTCAAACAAATTTACAAGAAGAAAACAAACAACCCCATCAAAAAGTGGGCGAAGGACATGAACAGACACTTCTCAAAAGAAGACATTTATGCAGCCAAAAAACACATGAAAAAATGCTCATCATCACTGGCCATCAGAGAAATGCAAATCAAAACCACAATGAGATACCATCTCACACCAGTTAGAATGGCAATCATTCAAAAGTCAGGAAACAACAGGTGCTGGAGAGGATGTGGAGAAATAGGAACACTTTTAAACTGTTGGTGGGACTGTAAACTAGTTCAACCATTGTGGAAGTCAGTGTGGCGATTCCTCAGGGATCTAGAACTAGAAATACCATTTGACCCAGCCATCCCATTACTGGGTATATACCCAAAGGACTATAAATCATGCTGCTATAAAGACACATGCACATGTATGTTTATTGCGGCATTATTCACAATAGCAAAGACTTGGAACCAACCCAAATGTCCAACAGTGATAGACTGGATTAAGAAAATGTGGCACATATACACCATGGAATACTATGCAGCCATAAAAAATGATGAGTTCATGTCCTTTGTAGGGACATGGATGAAATTGGAAATCATCATTCTCAGTAAACTATCACAAGAACAAAAAACCAAACACTGCATATTCTCACTCATAGGTAGGAATTGAACAATGAGATCACATGGACACAGGAAGGGGAATATCACACTCCGGGGACTGTTGTGGGGTGGGGGGAGGGGGGGAGGGATAGCATTGGGAGATATACCTTATGCTAGATGATGAGTTAGTGGGTGCAGCACACCAGCATGGCACATGTATACATATGTAACTAACCTGCACAATGTGCACATGTACCCTAAAACTTAAAGTATAATAAAAAAAAAATAAATCAAAAAAAAAAAAAAAAGCTTCTGCAGAGCAAAGGAAACAATCCATAGGGTAAAAAAATGAACTTTGGCTGGGCGCAGTGGCTCACGCCTGTAATCCCAGTACTCTGAGGGGCTGCGGCGGGCAGATCACAACGTCAGGAGATCAAGACCATCCTGGCTAACATGGTGAAACCACATCTCTACTAAAAATACAAAAAATTAGCCAGGTGTGGTGGCACGTGCCTGTATTTCCAGCTATGCAGGAGGCTGAGGCAGGAGAATCGCTTGAACCCAGGGAGGCGGAGATTGCAGTGAGCCGAGATCATGCCACTGAACTCCAGCCTGGGGGACAAAGAGAGACTCTGTCTCAAAAAAAAAATAATAATAATACCAATATGAAAAAGATCTACAAAATGGGAAAAATGTTTTCAAACCATATATCTGATAAGGAGCTAATATCCAAAATACACTTATAAAACTGAATTAAACAGCATAAAAACAAATAACCTGATTAAAAATTTAGTGAAGACGTGAATAGATATTTCTGCAAAGAAAACATACAAGTGGTCAATAGGTATATAAAAGGTATTCAATATCACTAATCATCAGGGAAATGCAAATCAAAACCACAATGAGTTATCTTCTCATACCTTTTATGATGGCTAATATTAAACAAGAGATAACAAGTGTTTATGGGGGTGTGGAGAAAAGAGAATGTTCGAACACTCTTGGTTGAAATATAAGTTGGTAGAACCATTATGCAAAACAGTATGAATCTTTATCAGTATAAAAATAGAACTAGCATATGATCCAGCAATCCCACCTCTGGAGATCCCACCCCTATCTCTCTATATCTATCTATCTATCTATCTATCTATCTATCTATCTATCTATCTATCTATCTATCTGTCTGTCTATCATCTATCTATCTTTCTATCTATCTATCTATCTTTCTATCTATCTATCTGTCTATCTATAACGGAATATTTTTCAGCCATAAAAATAAGGAAGTCCTGCTATTTGCAACAAACTGGGTGAATATGGAGAACGTTATGCTAAATGCAATATGCTAAAGACAGACACAGAAAGACAAGTATGACCTCACTTATATGTGGAAACTGAAAAAGCCATACTCATTACAGCAAAGAGTAGAATGTTGGTTACCAGGGGCAAAGAGGGTAGAAATGAGGGGAGTGAGAAAATGTCAATCAAAGTGTAAGAATGTTATAACATAAATAAATTATAGAGTTCTAATGAACTCTGTGATAGCTATGGTTAATAATACGGTATTGTGTACTAGATGTTTGCTAAGAGAGTACATCTTGTGTTCTCATCACACACAAAAACAATGGTTCCTATGTGAAGTTATGTATGTGTTCATTAGCTTGATCGTGGTAATCATTTCACAATGTATACATATATCAAAACATTATATTGTACACCTTAAATATATACAGATTATATTTGTCAGTTATACCACAATAAAGCTGAGGAAAAATAAATAATGGATGAGCTCCATATGTGACATCATCTGACTTAGCTCTGGACTGCATGCTTCACTATTACATGTATCAATTCTAAGCTCTCATTTTTATTTATTTATTCATTGTTTTTTATAGAGACAGGGTCTTGCTATGTTGACAAGGCTGGTCTTGAACTCCTAGACTCAAAACTATCCTCCTGCCGCCGCCTCCCAAACTGCTGGAATTACAGGCATGAGCAACTGCATCTGACCTCTAAGCTTCTATTTTTAAAGGTCTTGTTCTCCAAACATGTATTTGGTCTTCCCTTGACAGTGGGAAAAAAAATCTATCTTAAATGGCACTCAAAATAAGTTGTGATTTAAATAGGGAGAAGGGAGTAATGGTATTATATCAAAATAAGTGGCCTTGGCCCAGGGACCTTAGTCTTTACAAAAAGCTCTCACAACATTGTGTGACCTTGAGCAGCAGGGAATTATAAGCTGCTAGTCTTTGTTTGGCTACTCTATAAGGCACTTCCGTTTACGTCTGGCTTAGTAAGTGTAAATACAACCCCAAAGGAAAGAAACCAGGCTTTACATTGGGAAGTACACATTGAGACTTTTTTTTTTTCCGCAACAATAATACATGAAGAAAAGAAATATTATGCATGTCATTGCTTTCAAATAGAAAAATTATATCTATTGGGATTACTCTATTCTATCTATTCCTTAGGATTGTTAAAAAAAAGTATTCTTTTTTAAGTATTAACAAAGGAAATGATTTCTTACTGCCTTGTTACTATAGGGAGCTATATTTTCAGCAGGAGAGAAATGGGATCGCTTTCATTACTTTAATGGTATGACAGTTTTCCCAATGCAGAAAAGAATTTACTCTAGAGGCTTCAAAAGGCACTCATATGTAATGAAAAATTTTTGCCATATTGCAAATGCATATGATATTGGTCTACCTTTCAAAAACATGTGAAACTTTCTGCAGCTGTTTTATATAAAGTATTATGACACTGGGTAGTTTAACTTTTGAGATACTTCATGCATAAAAAAGTTTTCTGGGACAGACTTACAGATAACCCAACTGTATTTATTCATATTTAATGTTTGCTTTTGTTGAATGCACAAATGATTTACCCAACTGTGTAATGACATTCATTTCAATTTTATGGAACTATACATTTTCTTTTTGAATGGGATGGATGAGTTGTGTGAAGTCTGAAATTTATGTGCAATGAAGTAAAATGCTAGCAATGAAAATGCTATGATACTTAACTACTAGGAAAATATTTGATTGGGGGCAGGTATCTTTTCTATGTTTGTAACCTCTCTTTTCTTTTTTCGATGTTGTTTTTATTAGAACACAGTAGCAATGAAAAAGTAAATTGTAAACATTCATCACCTAAGCATAGCATTTATTGATTTTCTCATATACAGCAGTTTGCATACTTTGTGATATATGTAGGAAACCAAGAAAAATGAAGGGTTATAACTGTTTACTGATTATGGATCTCCATGAATATTTTTGAAACCAGTAACAACAGCAAAACCTCCATAACACAGTACATTATTACAAAAATACTCACTTAACTTGCCCAAGACCACAGCCTATAGCTGAAAGAGACAAATGATTCTGTGCCTGCAACATGTGTATGTCTTTATTTACTGAAAAGCCTCCATGTCTATCTCATATCTACATTCAGACTGCCATTCTCAATTCAAAGCAAATAATCATTGGTTTCAGAAGGTGACAATTATCTCTCAGTGTTTTAATTTCCCGTAACATAAGTAGATATTTGCTGAGATTAGCTGTATAAGTTTTATTCCATTATATCAACAGTTGAAGCCATAATATAGCAATGTAAATGTGCTAATGACAGCCTTTTGCTTACAAGTAGATTTAGATGAATATATGACCTGGCTCCACGAAAACAGATTTCCATTTAGATTTGAAAATCTAGTTAAGTACTGTGCATAATAATGGATGCAGAGTAGAATTAATAAATGTAAGTATCGATCAGTGGGTGATTGAGATTAAGGCTGAAACGCTACATAAAGGTTAGTTTCCACCACTTGTTAGCTAACAGTGTCAAATATGATACTTATCTTTTAACATTGTAGTATGAGAAAATATCTATTTAATATTTTCAAATAATGTAATTAGGTTTTCTTAAGAGTACATATTTCTAATGCTCTTAGAATCTACATCAATGATGTTGAATATTGATAGTTTAAGTCTTCTACAGTTCATGAATTCAGCTGACAATAGGAGACTAATGATCAGCGCAGAAAGTAGTTATAAGAAGCAGAAGTTTTAGGTTGTTGCAAAAGTAATTGCGGTTTTTGCCATTAAAAGTAATCACTTTTGCACCAATGTAATGGTCAGGTTTTAATTTTAAATTCATCATTTCTTCGATCTTGGGCAAGTCACGTTCTTCATTTTGCCTCTACTTTATACTTTACAAAAATATAAAGTGTTTGTCTGCTTCATAATGTTATAGTTCTTAGTAGGGGTAATTTGGAGAAAGAAATACTGCCTAAATGGAAGAAATAATAGTATCAATAAAAATATATAAATACAATAAGCACACTTAACTAAGGTTAAAAATCTAGTGCATTACTTAAATGAAGTATAAAACTAAGTTAATTTAAGTTCTGGCCACCTTTTTCAAGGAGATGCTACAACATGTATAAAATGTGAAGGCTCTCATTTATATTTGAATATATTATCTGAAAGTCAATGTCCAGTCCTATGCTACTTATTTAGTTGCTTGTTTTCCAGGAAATTTAATTTTCTGTAGCAAAGTCAAACTTAAGAAAAAAACACCAAACACCTAAAACAGCTATTGGCCATCCTGTCTCTAAAACTAGGCATTTTTAAATTTTATTACTTTAATTTTTTGTTACTATAGGTAATTTAGCATACTATTGTTTTCAGTTTTCACTATTTTTTCTTTTTACAATCTGAAGCAATGAAGAAAGAGTTGAGCAAAAAGGACTTGGGAATTATGACAGCTGAAAAAGCTCATCTCAGTGATAGCAGAAATGACAATTTGACAGCCTGCTATCAAAAAATAAGACAGAAGAACTATAAAATTTTTTTTGTAGTATGGTGAGCTTTCCTACTGATGACCTTGAATCAATAACAAAAACAAAGAATGAAACCATCTTTGATGTTCTCTGGCTAAGAAATCAGTGGTTTCTAATCTTTTATTTTTTTGAGACAGAGTTTCGCTCTTGTCTCCCAGGCTGGAGTGCAATGGCATGATCTTGGCTCACCACAACCTCCATCTCCTGGGTTCCAGCAACTCTTATGCCTCAGCCTCCCGAGTAGCTGGGATTAAAGGCTCCCCCCACCACACCCAGCTAGTTTTTGTATTTTTAGTAGAGACAGGGTTTCGCCATGTTGGTCTTGAACTCCTGACCTCAGGTGATCTGCCCTCCTCAGCCTCCAAAAGTGCTGGGATTACAGGCATGAGCCACTGCACCAGGCCTATAATCCATTTTTAAATGATGTCATAAAACCATGGAAAATTTATTTCTAAATTTTATTTTATTTTAAGTTCTGGGATACTTGTGCAGGACGTGCAGGTTTGTTACATAGGTAAATGTGTGCCATGGTGGTTTGCTGCACCTATCAACCCATCGCCAAGGTATTAAGCCCTGCATGCTCTCCCTCCCCGCACCCCCCCACCGGCCCCCTGAAAGGCCCTGATGTGTGGTTCCCCTCCCTGTGTCCATGAGTTCTCATTGTTCAACTTCCACTTATGAGTGAGAACATGCAGTGTTTGGAAACCATGGAAAATTAAACCAGGGAAGGATGTGAAACCTTATCTAAGACAATGAGTCCTCATTCTGCGGATGATAAACTAAAGCAGTTAGAGTTTCATGATTTACCCAAGGTTACAAATAAAGGTTTAAAATTGATAAATTTTAGTTGATGGGGTAAATTTTAGTATCTATAAAGCTTTTAAATATGAAATCATTTAAACCTTAGCAATGAAGGGGGTGTGTGTGTGTGTGTGTGTGTGTGTGTGTGTGTAGCTATACTTATATATCCATACTTATTTATATACCAACATATGCACTGCTCCAGCAACTATATATGAGAAACATATGTCTTAGTTGTCAAGTATAACATTCCTCCAATATTTCTACAATATTTTAAAAACTCACAGTTGAGCATGAACATATTTGTGCTATTAGGATTCACCCTAAAGTTACAAGCCTACATCTGGGAAATAAAGCTGATTAAGTCCAGAATAATTTAATCCTTGATGTTGGATTGGGAGAGCAGAAGTGTCACTTTTTTTTGGTACCTTATATCTGACAAATACACAAGATAACAGATGAAATTCACTTATGTGAATGTGTTATGTATGGGTTAAAAAGCAAGTCAGAAAGATAGAGGTAGAAGATAGCAGTGAGTTATCTTAGAATTTAAAACCATGAATAGCCATTTATTATATTACAGTTTTCAAAATGTGATCCATGAGTCATTACATGACAATTGCCACAATAATTTAATGCTGTGATTCTCATACAATGATATAATTGCAATGCAATGGAAGATGACATAGGTCTGGCACCTGTGTGGGGAGAAAAGGAAGGAAGGAAGAATGAGTAAGAAGAACTTCACATTGCAGTCCAGTTCTGAGAACACTGGATCCAGGCAATGAAAATCCCGCCACCACCCCTCACACATCTATTTATGAAAAGTCTAATTAGGCTTTGTAATATTTCTGAGATGAAGTAGTATTTAGGAAGAAATCTGAAGAATAAATAGAAATTATGCAGGAGAAAAGAAATGAGTGTTTCAAGAACTAGCATATGCATAGACTTAGAGGTGAGACAGAAAGCTTAGCATACATGAAGTACTAAAAGATGTTCAATCTATTGACCATAAAGTAAGGAGTAGCTGTGGATTGCAGAAAATTAAGTCAATTTACAAAAGAAAGTGATTTATAAGCCTGGGTAAGGAGTTAGTTTTTGAGAAAGGAATTTTCTAAAATGGCAGAGATTAAACATATTTAAATACTTATAGGAATAAGCTGATAAAAAGAACTTGATTAGTAAAAAAAGGGAATAGACAACTGACAGAAACAGTTCTTTGTTAGGAGTAGTATTGGCACTTACCTTATATTCTCTATTAAGTAGAGCATATCTTGTCCTTACATATCTCCTCTCCTCATAGCCAAACTTCATGAGAGAGTTATCTTGGTTCCTTGAATTGTTTTCCACCCATGCATCTCATACCTCACCCCATTACAATTTACTGTTATCTCTATGCCCACCACTAAACTTGATCTAACAAAAATAATCAATGACAATGATCCCCTTTAAATAAATTCAATGGATAGCCCACATTACATACTTACTAGATTTTCAGTGACCTTTACTTATGTTGATCATGACCATCTTTTCAATAATTCTCTTCATAATGCCTGCACATCTGCACAAAAAGATGCATAAATAATCTCCTAATTTGACTACCTCCCTTCCTTCTCTTTTCCAGTAGCAATTATTATTATTTCCAGGCAACTATTATCAATTCTTTTTTTGTCTCCTTAGTGCATTCTTGAATTAAGCACTGACGTCTATCAACTAGCTAGTTATTTTTTTTAAGAAATGTAATTCTGCTCTTGTCACCCCCCTGATTAACCTAACATATTCAAATATTATTTCTACTAATTAAATTGTGTAGGATAATTAGATATTCACCAGTTTTCTAAAGGGGCACCATGCATATGTACATTAGATAAAGGACTAAAGTTCTGCCAAACTTAAAGTTTTAGAAGAAAGAATAAAATAGTTCTCCATAACTACCGAAGTATGCATAAGCAAGAGTGGCTCTTTCAATTCCAGAGCTTGTCCCATATCTCATTCTAATAAAAAGGATGCCACCTATGATCTCTGTATATTTCCTTCCATATGTTCTTGCCAACACCAAATCTAGCAGCTTGAAAAGTGTTGAGGATTAAAAAAGAAACAGACTTTTCTCTTAGCTTTTATGCTTCTATATCATGACACTCTCTTGCTTTCCTTTTTTTTTCTTTGTCTGTACCTTCTCATTAGGCTTGAGCTGAAAAGCAATTTATATTACTGAAATACAAGAGTACAAATGAAGATAATTTTTCTGTGTGTTTAATGCTCTGTCCCTAATAACTGAAACAGTCCCTGGAACATACTAAATTTTCTCTGTGTTAAAAGCCTTCAATAAATGAAGAAAACTAGAATCTGTGCTGCCAGATTCTCGTTTGACAATCTTCACCAACATATTGCAGAAAAAAATCACCAGACAGAAGTAGGCATTTAAACTGAAAGTTATGATATAGTAGGACCCAAGTGGGGTTGTTAGTTTCCAGTGATGGTCAATCTGAAATGATGTGGGGACATACACCATGAAGAAACAGAGGAAGATGTATTAATAAGATATAAAGAAACAAACACAGAAAATGGCTGACTCCTCTTAACTGTGTGGCAGTAGAGAAGACCCACGATGGCCTCTGTTACGTACAATCTTTTTGTTTACTTACCTGATGAACCACATGTTTGTGGAGTCCCATGGTCATCCATCCTGCATTCACTTCCTATGTCTCATCAATAAATTGCGGCATATTATTTAGTGACCAAAATGCCCAACTAACAGATAAAATCTTATAAACTTGCAGTAAATCATAATAGATGAATGTCTCCTTAAAGTAAAATAGTGGTTAAAATACGGCTGAAAATACTTTCCACCTCTGCAGATGAAATTAGCAGACAGTCTGGAAACACGTGCTAGTGGAGGCAGCATATGGAGGATAAGGCAATGAGTGAAATGGGTAAATAATTGAATTGAGGACAAAATCTTCTGGATTTCTTGCTCAATTCTGATGCTTTCTAGAAGCAAAGCCTTGGGGAATTCAGTTAATCTCCTTGAGTTTGGTTCTCACATTTGCAAAGTAAGGATTAAAAATATCTTGCCTATCTCTCCGAGGCATTGAGAGGATCAGGTTTCATAATATCTGTGAAATGGCTTTCTAAAATGTATAACAATCTTTAAATCATAATTCTTCTTAAAACTATTATCATAAAACTCCATTCCATGTCCACTGGTACTTCTTAAAGGAAACTGTGTCTTTTGTTTTTTAACACAAATTATAAGGTCAGTTTTACCTTTGCGTTCAGTGGTAACTGAAGCAGCTTCTCCCCCAGAGTCTGCAAAGTCAAAGCACAGCATAAGGCACTGCAAGTACAGGTCTGAAACCCGAATAAAGATCAGGGAACTACAGAGAGTCTAGTTCAAGCTAAAACTGCCTCTTGTTCACTTTCTCTGGGGAGAAAAAGAAAAAAAAAAAAAAAAAAGAAAAAGGAACAAGAAAAGACACCGCTGCCTAGAATGGAAGTCTTGATATAATAATGTCTGAGTCTGGCTCTTTGAAAGGAGTTTAATCACTGCTAACTTAAGGAAGGGGAAGGAGGAGGGCCTGTCACCTCAGTCCCTGAAAAGAGAGGTCAAAAATCTGCTTCTGCTTTTTGCGACAATTAGTCCCAGTGAATGCTCCCTGCAAGATATTCTGAGGATGGAAAGGTCTTTATACAGAATAAAAAAATTGTTCTTATTGTTACACCTATGTCTTCCAAGCAGAGAGCACATCTGCACATCTGTTACAGTGTACAATGTTGGTATGGCTAGAGAATACATGTACAAAAGGAGAAGATACAATAATCTTAGTGTCTGGTTACAGAGGCAATGTATTTGGATGTTTGCTTGGCATTTTAGAAATATTTCCATGGTATCATTGTCATAAAGCCTGAATTAAATACCATGGTTCACCTGAAATTTGGGGCCCAGAGTGAACTAAAATAAAAACATGAATCCAGTAACTCAAATGTTTCTTCTCCAGCAGATATAGAATTAGGAACAATGATTTGGCTTGGGAAAAATAAGAACCTATCAACCTTCCTCAGCATACAACAAATCAAAGCAAGTAGTTTACTTCCTTTTTTTTTTTACTTCTTGTGAACTCCAAGCAAAAGCAAGGAAAGGATGAATTGTTTGGTTTTGGGTGGTTTCACACTTCCAAATCCTCAATGATGTACCACATCTTAATGCAATCATTCAGTGTCACTAAACAATACAGAGCTCTGCTGTGTGTGAAAATGTGACGAGGAAAGGCACCTGTAGCAGTAATGCAGTCAGTAAAGTCACATAGTTTAGTATTACAAAGATGTGGGAGACAACATGTTTATGTCTTTTTACTTTTTATATCAGAAAAAATGAGAACCAGTAAAACCTAATGTTGTACAAGGTTACAAAACTGACTAATGTTGAAATTGGGATGAGAACCTGTTTCCTAATTTCTAGATCTGTGAAATTTCCTACTTGTATTATCACTTCCCTATTTTTCCTCAGGAATAGTTCTAAACGAATGCTTCCAGACAAGATTAACTCATTGCTCTATAAATATATAATATTCATCTACAAGAATATAACTATTGTGGGAGTTTATTTTTCATACTTTGCTTACGTTGATAGGTCCAGAACGGAGAGTGAAACACTGATTTGATGCTTTCAAAAACATTTTAATGCTAAAGTTCCCCTTCTGAATTAGAGAAGATAGCCTTGAAATTCTACAAACCTGCCAGTAACAGTGACTCTGCTCTGTGCTGTTTTTTCTACATACTCACTCATGATATTGTTTTATTAAAAAGCTGATAAAAACACATAAAAAGAAAAATCATCATAAGGTGGAGTTACAAAACCAAATAATGCTTGATGCTGTAGTATGATAGGATTAGAAGAAAAATATAAAAACTAAAATGAACACCAACTATATGTGCCCAATCATTAAAATTAATTTTAAAAAATTCAACCCATGAATAAGAATAATACATTTTTCCATAGATAGAGGCAAAGAAACAAACACAATTACAATTACTTGTGTATATTATTGTTATTAAACCTTTTGAGTTCTCATTTTCAGGGATAAACATTCTAAAATACTGAAAAGGAAGGAAAAAGAGAATGAAAGACAAGTATTTGTGTAACTGCAAATATTCAAATTTCAACAAGCTTTCAAATATTCTTTACTTAAATGAAAATCCATCCAGTAGGGAAATACAGCATTTGTTTAAAATTTTATTGTAATATAAAAGTATCCTGAATTGCTCAGATACAGGGATACACAACTATAGTAGACTGAATAGTGTCTCTTCACCCAACCCTTGAAAACATGTTATTCATATCCTAATCCCTAGAACTTGTGAATGCTACCTTATTTAGAAAAAGAAAATGTGCAGATGTGATTAAGAATTTTGAGATGGAGAGATTACTCTAGGTTGTAGGGATGGGTCCAATATGCAATAATAAGAGTCCTTACAAGAGGAAGGCAGGGGGAAATTTGACTATGGAAGAGAAGAAAACAATGCAACCATAAAAGTAGAGACTGCAGGAATATGGCCAAGAACCAAGCAATGCTGGCAGCCACCAGAGGTTGAGAGAGGTTCAGAGCTTCCAGAAGGAACCAGCCTTATTGACACCTTGATTTTCACATTGTAAGACCCTTTTCAGTCATCTGGCCTCTACAACTGCAAAAGAATAAATGTTAATTGGTTTAAGTTGCTAAGTTTATGGTAATTTGTTACACTAGCAATAGGAAACCAATATAACAGCAATAGATGAATTCATTAAGACAAACATTAGTGACACCTAATTTGAAAAGAAAAATTAAACAATGTCCTTACATGGGAACTTTGGAGGAGGACATGTGTTTGAAAAGATTATTATCTGAATATGATCATTGTATTAGTCCGTTTTCATGCTGCTGATAAAGACATACCCGAGACTGGGTAATTTATACAAGAAAAAAGGTTTAATGGACTTATGGTTCCACATGGCTGGGGAAACCTCACAATTATGGCAGAAGGCAAGGAGGAGCAAGTCACCTCTTAAGTGGATGGCAGCAAGTAAAGAAAGAGCTTGTATTGGGAAAGTCCCCCTTCTGGAACAGACAGACCTCATGAGACTTACTCACTATCACAAAAACAGCACAGGAAAGGCCTACCCCATAACTCAATTACCTCTCACCAGGTCCGTCCCATAACACATGGGAATCCAAGATGAGATCTGAGTGGGGACACAGCTAAAACATATTCCACCTCTGGCCCCTCCCAAATCTCTTGTCCTCTCATTTCAAAACCAATCATACCTTCCCAACAGTCCCCTAAAGTCTTAATTCATTTCAGTATTAACTCAAAAATCCATAGCTCAAAGTCTCAACTGAGCCCAGGCAAGTCCCTTCTTCCTATGGACTTGTAAAATCAAAAAAAGTTAGTTACTTCCTAGATATGACAGGAGTATAGGCATTGGGTATATACAGCCATTCCAAACGGGAAAAACTGGCCAAAACAAAGGGGCTACAGGCCCCATGCAAGTCGGAAATCCAGCAGGGCAGTCAAATCTTAAAACTCCAAAATGACCTCCTTTGACTTCATGTCTCATATCCAGGTCATGCTGATACAAGAGGTAGCCTCCCATGGCTTTGGGTAGCTCCACACCTGTGGCTTTGCAGGGTATAGCCCCACTCCTGGCTGCTTTCTTGGGCTGGCATTGAGTATCTGTGACTTTTTCAGGCACATGGTGCAAGCTGTCAGGGGATCTACCATTCTGGGGTCTGGAGTATGGTGACCCTCTTCTCATAGATCCACTAGGCAGTGCCTAGGACTCTGTGTGGGGGCTCTGACCCCACATTTCCCTTCCACACTGCCCTAGCAGAGGCTTTCCATGAGGGCCCTGCCCCTGCAGCAAACATCTGCCTGGACATCCAGGCATTTCCACGCATCCTCTGAAATCTAGGCAGAAGTTCCCAAATCTCAATTCTTGACTTCTGTGTACCCACAGGCTCAATACCACATGGATGCTGCCAAGCCTTGGGGCTTCCACCCTCTGTAGCAACAGCCTGAGCTGTACCTTTGTCCCTTTCAGCCATGGCTCGAGCGGCTGACACAAAAGGTGCCAAGTCCCTAGAATGCAAACAGCAGGAGGTCCCTGGGCCTAGCAAATGAAACCATTGTTTCCTCCTAAGTCTCCAGGCCTGTGATGAGAAGGGCTGCTGCAAAGGTCTCTGACATGCCCTGGAGACATTTCCCC
Source organism: Homo sapiens (assembly GCF_000001405.40). NCBI lineage: Eukaryota > Metazoa > Chordata > Mammalia > Primates > Hominidae > Homo > Homo sapiens. Next base: position 64,893,748 of record NC_000018.10, read on the forward strand.
CATTGTCTTGGGGACTAACATTCGGTTCCTCATTACTTATGCAAATTTCGGCAGCTGGTTTGAATTTCTCCCCAGAGAAAGGGATTTTCTTTTTTATCACATTGTCAGGCTGTAAATTCTCCAAACTTTATGCTCTATTTCCTTTTTAAAACTGAATGTCTTTCACAGCATCCAAGTCACCTTTTGAATGCTTTGCTGCTTAGAAATTTCTTCTGCCAGATACCCTAAGTCATCCTCTCTCAAGTTCAAAGTTCCACAAATCTCTAGTGCAGGGGCAAGATACCTCCAGTGTCTGCTAAAACATAACAAGAATCAGCTTTGCTCCAGTTCCCAACAAGTTCCTTTTCTCCATCTGAGACCACCTTAGTCTGGATTTCATTGTCCATATCACTGTCAGCATTTTGTTCAAAGCCATTCAACAAGTCTCTAGGAAGTTCCAAACTTTGTCACATTTTCCTGTCTTTTTCTGAACCCTTGAAACTGCCCCAACCTCTGCCTGTTATCCAGTTCCAAAGTTGCTTCCATATTTTTGGTATCTTTTCAGCAGTTCCCCACTCTACTGGTACCAATTTACTGTATTAGTCTGTCTTTATGTAGCTGATAAAGACATACCATAGACTGGGCAATTTATACAGGAAAAAAGGTTTAAAGGACTTACAGTTCCATGTGGATGGGGAAGTCTCACAATCATGGTAGAAGGTAAAGAGGAGCAAGTCATGTCTTACATGGCTGGCAGCAAGCAAAGAGAGAGCTTGTGCAGAGAAATGGCCCCTTATAGAACCATCAGAGATCATGAGGCTTATCCACTATTACAAGAACAGCATAGGAAAGACCTGCTCCCATGATTCAATTACCTCCTGCCAAGTCCCTACCACAACCTGTGGGAATTCAAAATGAGATTTGAGTGGGGACACAGCAAAACCATTTAAAAACCATCTTGTTTTTCTATGATTTAATTCATTAGAAATAGGGAAGAATAAATTGTGGGACTCTGTTACACAATAAGGTAACTATAACTAATAATGTATTTTATATTGCAAAATAGCTAGAAGAAAGGATTTTAAATGTCATCATCACAAAGATATGATAAATATTAAAGTGATGGATGTGCTACTTACCCTGATCTGATCATTATACAAGGTATATAAGTATTGAAAATTCACACTGTAACCCATAAATATGTATGATTATAGTGTATTAATTATAAATAAAGCTTAAAAATATGTCATCCAGCTTGTGTTAGGCTTCTTGTTTCTAAGTAGAATTTAGTCCCAACTTCAATAGCTTTCATTTAAGCTATTTTTTTTCTTCCTAATATTCTCTCTATATCCTGCTTTCCTGTAAAATATATTATGGCACTCATTTAAAATTAAGCCACAACTTAAAATTATGTATTGTACTAGGTTTGCACATGGACATTTTTAGGGTTATAATATGAGGGCCTAACAGACCACACTATCATGAAAAGTCTTACCAGGCTTGGAAGAGAAGAAAAATGAAGCAAGTGAGATCCCCCAAGCACTTGCTCTCACATCTGCCCCTGAAACATCATTTCTATCTATTTACATGGCATTTCCACCTGGTGATGAAAGTCAAATGCTGCCCAAGATGAGAAAATCTCTAGGGAGCAGTAATGTGAATTGGAAAAAAGGTGAAGCTATTTACAAGAATACAAATGTGAAGTTACCTGCTCATTTAATTTTATAGACTCATTCAAAAATAGCCCTTGAAAAAAGAACAGGAGATTAAATCAAAAGAAAGGTTTTATGGACTTAATTAGGCAAAGTATAAAATTTGAAAGCTAAAAATCTGGAAGTGAATTCAAGCTTCACCAGTCTTTTACTTCCCTTATTTATGTATTGTGGCAGATATACACAAAACTGTACTCCAACAAGTCAAGTCATTGTATTATAACCATGCTTGAGGGTGGATGGAGTCAGTGACATGCTTCGGGTCAACAGAATATTGGCATACTTCAGAGAAATTGCAATAGTTCTAGACTACTGCAATAAAGAAAATATTGCAATAAAGAGAGTCACAGAATCTTTTTTGGTTTCCCAGTGCATATAAAAATTATCACTACATTTACAATATACTGTAGTATATTAAGTGTGCAATAGCATGATGTCTCTGTCTCTCTATATATATACCCTGTATATAGAGAGTTATGTACATCATATATATAACAATAAAGTATTTTTAAATTAAGTTGTATATATATATAGACATATATATGAGTATTTTAAGCTATATGTGAGTATTTTTAAATTAAGGTGTATATATATACAGATATCTATAGACATATCTCTACATATATGTCTATATATACACACATGCACAAAGATTAATAAAAATACTTGATATGTATATATAGGATATATATGAAGTATATATATGATGTATATGTCTCTTTATATACAGTTATGTATAGTAGGTTTCATCTCAATAAACCACCTTTTTTGCTCACGTATAGGAAATAACTCCATTCATTCAAGTTGGATCATGAGATTATAACAATTCAGTCACATAATCAGACTCCACTTCCAATTCTCTTGCTGTTTACATCACATCTACGGTTACTTCCTCCGCTGAAGTCTTGAACTCCTCAAAGTCATCCAGTAGGGTTGGAATTAAGTTTGTACAAACTCCTGTTAATATTGATATTTTGACCTCCTTCCATGAATCACTAATGTTTTTAATAACATCTAGAATGATAAATTCATTCCAGTAGGTTTTTAATTTACTTGGCCCAGATCCATCAGAATAATCACTATCTATGTCAGCTATAGGCTTACAAAATGCATTCCTTGAATAATAAAAATTGAAAGTAAAAATTACTCCTTGATCTATAGCTGAATAATAGATGTTGTGTTAGCAGGCATGAAAACAACATAAATTTTCTTGATAGCTCTGATGGAGCTTTTGGGTGACCAGGTACATTGTCAATGAACAGTAATATTTTGAATGAAATCTTTTTCTTTTTTTCCTGAGCAGTAGATCTCAGCAATCATCTTAAAATATTCAGTAAATCATGCTATAAACAGATGTGCTATCATCCAGGCTTTGTTGTTCTATTTAGAGAGCACAGGCTGAGTAGAGTTAGCCTGAATTTTAGAACACTAGGATTTTTTGAATGGTAAATGAGCATTGGCTTCAATTTAAAAGCACCACCTACCCTAGCCCCTAACAAGAGAGCCGCCTGTCATTTGAAACTTTATAGCCAGAAATTGATTTCTCCTCTCTTGCTATGAAAGTCCTAGATGACATATTCTTCCAATGTAAGGCTGTTTTTTTTTTTCAATGAAAATCTTTTGTTTAGTGTAGCCAGTAAGAACATACAACATTGACTGATTAAGTTTGACATTTATCAATTATCTTATGAAGAGCTTTTGGATAATTTGCTACAGTTCCTACATCCGCACTTTCTGCTTCACCTTGCACTTTTATGTTATGGATATGGCTTCTTAAACCTCATGAACCAACCTCTGCTAGCTTTTGACTTTCCTTCTGCATCTTTCTCACGTCTCTCAGTCTTCATAGAATTGAAGAGAGTTAGGTCTGGATTAGAATTTGGCTTAAGGGAATGTTGTGGCTGAATTGATCATCCATCTAGACCACTAAAACGCTCTCCATGTCAACAATAAGACTGTTTCACTTTCTTATCACTCTTATGCTTGCTGAAATAAATGACTAATAGTTACTAAGTTTTAATATGCAAAGTCTTTTTGCATGTATTAACTGGTAAAGACTGTATAAAGATGATTATAGACTTTATAGTTTATGTGGTAAGTAACTCACTTTTAATTTTTGTCAAGAACTTTTTCTTTGTGTTCACAACTTGCTAATTTTTTGATGCAAGAAGCCTAGTTTTCAGCCTATCTTCATGTTTGACTTGCCTTTCTCACTAAATATTATCATTTCTGGCTTTTGAAGTAAAGTGAGAGAAGTATATTTCTTTCTTTCCCTTAGACTTTTACACGCCATTGCAAGGTTATTAACTGGCCTGATTTCAATGTCGTTGTGTCTTAGGGAATAGGAGGGCCCGAGGAGGGGGAGAGAGGAAGGAACATCCTGTCGATGGAGCAGTAAGAACATACAATATTGATTGATTAAGTTTGACATTTTATATGGTCATGATTCATGGTGTTCCAAAACAATTATAATGGGTAACACCAAAGATCACTGATCACAGATTATTATAACAGATATAATCACAATGAAAAGTTTAAAATAGTCTAAGAATACCACAGTGTGACACAGAGATAAGAAGTGAGCACATGATGTTGAACAAACAATGCCCGAAGACTTGCTTGATGTAGGGTTGCCACAAATTTTCACTTTGTAAAAAATGCAGTATCTGTGAAGCACAATAAAACAAAGCACAATAAAATGAGGTATGCTTCTATAGCAAAAGTGATGGGGTGGCCCTCTCATGATTATGTTACTTTACAAAAGACTCAACCTTACAGAAGTGAAGAGAGTCTCTTGCTATTTTTGAAGAAGTTAGGTCTCACATGGTGTGAGAATCTTTGGGAGTTTCACATGGCAAAGAACTCAGAGTGGGGAATGTCTCTTAGAGCTGACAGTAATGTCTGCGTGACAGCCAGCAAGAAAATAGGACCTCAGTCTCAGAACTGCAAAAGAATGAATTCTGCCAACCGTGGAGATAGAAAGAGAACCTCAGGTCCTAGGAAGAAACACAGCAGGCTGTCACCTTGGTTGAAGCCACGGAAGATCCTAGATGACTAAGCCAAGCTGTTTTGTGACTCCTGTCCCACAGAAACTAGATAATAAATGTTAAGCTACTGAATTTGGGATAATTCATTGAGCAACAATAGAAAATTAACACATCTACAAATTATGTAAATCAGTTCTATACAGTCTTTTCAAATAATGGATGTAAAAAGACTTGTGCACAGTAAAACTTAGTTATCTGTATACTTAGTTTACTATTTTGAAAAATACAGGATTAAAGCCATGCAAAAGCTATAATTCCATACATTAGTTTACATATATAAAGATGCTTTATCAACATCAAGTTTTGAGAAATTTGTGAAACCTCCTAATTTGTAAATCAACATCCACAATCTAATCAACATAAAGATTTGGAAGACATTCACTTTGTCACCATCAGTCAATATGTCTGAATTCTACTCTTTTACATTTTGATATATTTAGTCTTGAGATTGAAATTATACTTTTCAATAGAAATTGTTTAATGTAAATTATTTTAACAGATTCACTCTAACCCTAATAGAGGCTTGTTAGTTAATTATCTGGGGGAAAAAGCTAATGGCACAAGCTAGACTTTCTAGATATGAACTCATATTTTGATACTCCTTTGCAATGGTGGCATAAACACAAGTCTGTTGTGTGGATTTTGATGTCAAGACCAGGCTTACATCTAAGTTGTACTCTTACTTTTTATTTGACCTTGAAGTCACTTAATCTCTCCTGGGACCTTAGTTTCTTAAACTTCAAAATGAAAGCGTCCCTCATCACTATTGTTGATGTCCATGAAGATATTTTCTAAAATGTAACTTCTTATAAAATGTTACTTGTCATTTAATATTTTTTATTTTACTGCTATTTAATTAATGTGAAAATGACAAATAAGAAAAAGAGATCATTCTTTGATGTATCATTTTTCTACAATCTCAATTATGTAGTTAGAGTCTTGTTCTATGATAAAAAGTCTTTTCTTAAAATAAGTTTTTTTAAGTCCTTTTTTTAAAAAATTTTTGCCTTTCGGACAGTTGCTTCTGCAATTCTCACAGCCCTTATAATTTCCATCTTTTCACTTTCTTTCATTCAAGTGAGAAAATCCGTCAAGGTGATCAGAAAAAATGTCAAACATGGTCAGAATGTTGAGTTAAATTATCAGCACATTTCAGATTTCTGACTATGCCACTATCACAAGAAAGCAAGTAATAGCAAACTGTTATCAAATTACTGATCAGGTTTTAATAGAAATTAATTGTACTTCAAATACAGATTTGTGATATACCATCCCAGCTTTTAAAACTTCAATAAAGCAGCATTGCACATAATGTAGCATTTTATGTAATATAACTTGTATTACAGATTACTAGATTTTGAAACCAGGGCTTCTCTTTTGTCTTTCCAGATGTTCTTTTTTTTTTTTCAACAGCTTTACTGAGTTATCTTTGACATAGAAAATTTCATATATTCAAGGTGTATTAAGTGATCTTGTAATATCTGTATATGCTATGAAAAGATCCCCACAATCAAATTACCATATCCATTACCTCTAAAAGTTAGCATTTTGTACATTTATGTATGTGTATTGATAATATTGATAATGTGTATTTGATAATATTAAATATAGATAATATTTAATTTATGATCTATTCTCTAGTAAATTTCGAGTATACAATAGAATTTCATTAACCCTCATTACTAGGCTGTTCACTACATTTTCAGAGCTTATTCATCTTGCATAACTGACAGTTTGTACCTTTTGACCAATATCACCCCATTCTCCCTCAACCAGTCCCTGTACCTCCATTTGTATGAGTGATCAAATCATCATAGGAATTATTCAGTTTAACTGAATTAAGCATGGAGGGAGATATTTATAGCTTTTGTACCAAAGAGACTGATAATTAAGCAATTTCTATCTAAAAATACTATATTTCTTTATTACACAGAGAAACATGTAATCTCAATGTCAAGAAATGTGCCTCTTTTTGTTTGTTTATCCCACGATCCTCATTACTTAGCACAAAACTTGATATGTGATACAATTTAGTAGGGCTCTGTGACATAGTATATTAGGTTGGTGCAAAAGTAGTTGCGGTTTCTACCATTAAAATTGATGGCAAAAACCACAATTATGTTTGCACCAAGCTAGATTTAGAAGCACAGACTTTGTCATCAGAAGACATGGGTTTAGCTGTATGATTTACAGCAGCCTACTTATATTCTTTAAGCCTCAAATTTATCAAATATAAGAGATAAGCAATAATATTATATCCCTTGTATATTATTATGAGGATTAAATAAGATAATGTCTATAAAGTGCCAAACTCTGCACCTTGTACATAATAAACTGTAAATAATTTTTACTATTACAATGCTAGTTAGCAACAAAAAATGCATAATTATTTTAATTTAGATAAGCCTTGTATTAGTTATGATTAGGTTCAGAATTAGTTTTAACAGTGGCTTATAGAAAAAAGGATTGTTTGTTCACTTTTATTTTCTCTGACCAACCCTTCAGAGGTAGGTAATCCTCAGAGCTGGAGGATTTCAGGCTTCATTCCTCAAATCATTGTTTGGCTTAGGATGGCTATAAATATTTTTGTAAATACTTATTTAAGTTTTTTTTAAATTGAATAAATACCTAGGAATGTGATTGTTGGGTCATATGATATGTTTATATTTAAGTTTATAATAATATTCTAATAAAGACCAAAAGATAACACTTCATATGTGCTAGGATGGCTAAAATTTAAAAGACAGACAATAGCAAGTATTAGTGAGGATGTGGAGAAATTGGAACTTTACTATGTCGCTGGTAGGAATGTAAAATGGTGCTGCTATTTTAGAAAGTCTGACAGTTTCTCAAAATTTTATACATAGAGCTACATATGATTCATCAAATTAACTCTTAGAGTGATATCTGAGAGAAGTGAAAGCATATGTTTACCCAAGGACTTGTACATTAATAGTTATAGCCATATTATTAGTAATAACTAGCTAGTGAAATCAAGATACCATCATCATTCTTCACAGAACTAGGAAAAACAATCCTAAAATTCATATGGAGCAAAATAACCCACATCTCCAAGGCAAGAAGAACAAATCTGGAGGCATCAAGTCACCCAACTTCAAACTATACTACAAGGCTATAGTTACCAAAACAACATGGTCCTGGTATAAAAATAGCTACATAGACCAATGGAACAGAATAGAGAACCCAGAAATAAACACACATACTTACAGTCAACTGATCTTTGACAAAGCAAACAAAAACATAAAGTGGGGAAAGGACACCCTATTAAACAAATGGTACTGGAATAATTGTCAAGCCACGTGTAGAAAAACAAAACTGGATCCTCATTTCTCACCGTATACAAAAATCAACTCAAAGTGGATCAAAGACTTAAATGTAAGATCTGACACCATAAACATTCTAGAAGACAACATTAAAAAACTCTTGTAGACATTGGCTTAAGCAAAAAGTTTTATGACCATGAACCCAAAAGCAAATGCAACAAAAACAAATATAAATAGATGAGACCTAATTAAACTAAAAAGCTTCTGCACAACAAAATAAACAGCAGAGTAAACAAACAACCCACAGAGCAGGAGAAAATATTCATAAACTATGCATGCAATAAAGAACTAATATCCAGAATCTACAAGGAACTAAGACAAATCAGCAAGAAAAAAGCAAATAATCTGATCCAAAAGTGAGCAAAGAGAATGAATAGACAATTCTCAAAAGAAGATATACAAATGTCCAAAAAATATATGAAAAAGATTCTCAACATCATTAAATGTCAGGGAAATGCAAATTAAAACCACAGTGAGATACTACTTTACTCCTGCAAGAACAGCCATAATTGAAAAAGCAAAAAATAAAAGACAACATGAATGTGGTGAAAAGGGCAAGTTTTTACATTGTTGCTGGGAATATAAACTAGTGCAACCTCTATGGAAAACAGTAGAGAAATTCCTTAAAGAACTAAAAGTGGAACTACTATTTCATCCAGCAATCCCACTTCTGAGTATCTACCTGGAGGAAAAAAAGTCATTATATGAAAAAGACACTTGCACAGAAATGTTTATAGTAGCACAATTAGCAATTGTAAAAATTTAGAACCAGCCTAAATGCCCATCAACCAACAAGTGAATAAAGAAAATGTGACATATATATATATATATATATATATATATATATGCATCCGATGAAATACTACTCAGCCATAAAAGAAGTGAAATAATAGCATTCACAACAACCTGGATGGAGTTGGAGACCACTATTCTAAGTGAAGTAATTCAGGAATGGAAAACCAAATATTGTATATTCCCACTTATAAGTGGGAGTAAGTTATGAGGACTCAAAGGCATAAGAGAGATATACTGAAATTTGGGGACTTGGCGGAAAGGGTGAGAGAGGGGTGAGACATAAGACTACACACTGAGTACAGTGTACAGTGCTCAGGTGATGGGTGCACCAAAATCTCAGAAATCACCACTTAAGAACTTTTCCATGTAACCAAAAATTACCTGTTTCCCCAGAACTATTGAAATAAAATTTGAAAAACAAACACAGAACCTCAAAAATAAAAATTAAAATTAAAACAGTATGCCAGTTCCTCAAAAAATTAAAAACAGAATTACCATACAATCCAGCAATTCCATTTCTGAATATAGACTAGAAAGAATTTCAAAAGAATATCTGTATACCAATGTTCACACCAGAATTATTTCCAATAACTAAAATGTGTAAGCAACCCTTGTCTATCATACACAGACGAATTTATAAAAACAATGTGATATATACATACAAAAGAAGGACATTCTGGCCAGGAGCAGTGGCTCATGCCTGTAATCCCAACACTTTGGGAGGCTGAGGCTGGTGGATCACTTGAGGTCAGGAGTTCAAGACCAGCCTGGCCAACATGGGGAAACCCCATCTCTACTAAAATACAAAAATTAGCCTGGTGTGGTGGTGCATGCCTATAGTCTCAACTACCCAGGAGACTGAGGTGGGAGAATCACTTGAACCCAGGAGGTAGAGGTTACAGTGAGCCGAGATCGTGCCACTGAACTCCAGCTTGGGTGGTAGAACCAGACTTCCTCCAAAAAAAAAAAAAGGAAGGAAATTCTGACTCTGACATATGCTAAGACATGAATTAACCTCTAGGACATTACACTTAAGTGAAATAGGCCAGCCATAAAAAGGCAAATACTATATGATTCAACATACATAATGTTCTGGAAGAGTCAAAGTAATAGAAACAGAAAGCCTGGTGGTTCCCAACATTTAGAAGAAGGAGGAAATAGATTAAAGGAGTTCTGGAAATGGATAATGGTGATGATTAGACAACATTATGAACTTATCACTGGACTGTACAATTAATAATTGTTAAGATGCTACATATTCTGTTATGTGTTTTAGCAAATAATAAATGTTAGAATACATATTTAAACAACTTATGTACTAAACAAGTAATAATAATGAACATTTAAAATATTTAATTTATATTAAGTATTATACTATTAGTATACATGCACACACACATACACACAAATAATGTAGTATTAGAAGTTAGTTGATTTTTATCGATAGGATCTAAGATTGTTGAAACATAGATAAAAACTAAAAAAGTCTACTTTGATTTTAATGATGTAGTAAAATACCCCACAATTAATTTACAAGAAAAACTTGTAAAGATAAAAATATAATGTTGAATAAAATTTGTAGAGAGTTTTGAGTATCAGTTAAGCTGACTAGTTAAAAATTAGAGAAACAATAAACATATTTAAACGGAGACCATTTTTAACAACATTTTGTAAACATTCCAAAGTAGCAGCATGTAGATTTAATAAATACAGATTGATTTTCACATATTGGAGTACCCTTCCTCAGACAACCTTTTTCCTATCTCTGATTGCAAAATCTCAATTATGCATTTCACTTATGTGGTTGTTGAGAAAATTATTTCTTATTAATCAATGCTGTGTATAAACTATAGTCATACAAACTATGAAGATATCAAAAAGCCTGATATTTGAGTGATAATATTAATAATAATGTATTTTATTTTATTTCTTTACCAAAAGTTATAATGCAGTAAGTATCTCGTCCAAATCTCTAGGGAATGCTATCCCTGAATTAGATGAACTCAGTGCTTGTTCCCTTGTTCCTCATGGTGCTTCATTGAACCCACTGGCATGTGTATAAGTTGTTGAACTAGATTGTATTTCTTTCTTGGATTGTTTTAATTTTTGCTTCATTTTGTAAAAGGACCAACAATTCATAAATTTTGAATAATGTTAATACATTTTAGTTTTGAGGGTTTTTTAAATATTTTCCTAGAATCTATTATTATTATTTTGTCCCTTAAGTTCTTTACCAAGTAAGGATGTGGGTTTCTTTTCTCCCCACACAGAAGCAAAATCATGCAGGCTTTAGCTCCTAAATGCTTTGCCTTAAAATCTTTCTCAATAATTACAGAGAAAAAATAGCCCTGTAAGTGCCATTCATTCTGTAAAAAGCTGGTGAGACAAAGAGTATTCAGGTATTATTTTACTTTCAGATGAAAAATAGCATGCAAAAAGTTTTCTGCAGGTTTGCATTGTTCCATTACAATTCAATTTTTAAAAAAAATTTTAATCAAAGGAATGGAGATATAGTCAGTGCACTTAAGTCTCATTCTCCTTATATTTATCATGGTCAGTTAAAGAGTCAAAAATACTATCTTGGACACAGTACTGATGTTATCAAAGTTAATGATGGGAATAACTGAGAACTCAAGATACAGAAAGTACATTAAAGACTATTAGGAGCAATTGTTTAATCTTTTATGTGAGGAAAAGTTTAAGTTGAAGATGACACATGACTTTGTTTGGAACATATACAAATTTTTAAATTTGAACATATTACTCAATTTTACTATTCCTGCTTCAAAACTCTTTTGATACATATTTATTTTCCCCCAAGTATCAGCTGTATATTCCTTCCTTGTCTTATAACAGAATCATATTTGGGAATGTCAATTATTATTTAGCACCTGTTGTAGGGACAGATAAGTCTCTGTTGAGTTTTGGATTCAATAGTTCTGAATGACAACCACCCGGTTCCATCCATTCAGTTTTTTCACTGCCTTAAACAATCTACGTGAGAGTGTTTATATCTATATAATCAAAATTTCTAACTTCTCATTATAGTATTTTCCTAGGCATAAATAAGTTAAACTATATATGCTACTTAAGGGAATTTGAGTTGCTTATGTTCATTTAAAAATAGCCTGAAATTTAAGTAAAATATTAATTTAAATATTAAATATTAAACAGAAATTTTACTAAAATATTTAGGACCTGCTTTAGTCCATTGTGCGGCTACAACAAAATGCCTGAAGCTGGGTAAAGAACAGAAATTTATTTTCTCACAGATCTGGAGACTGCGAAGTCCCAGATCAAGGTGCCAGCAGGTTCAGTTGTCTGGTGAGGGCTGAATCTTCCAGAGAAGAGGAAGGCTGTGTATTTGCATGGTCAATGACAAACAGTCAAGTGAGCTCAACTCTGTGTGAAGCCCCTTTTATAAAGACCTAACTCGATTCACGAGGAATGGATGAATGGCCTAATTACCTGTTAAAGGCCCCACCTCTTAACACCTTCACTTCACAAGTGTAACATTCAGTGAGATGTGTTTCCAATTATGGTTTAAATGTGTCCACTCCATCTGGGGACACTCTGTGAAGAAGCCATGTGGCTCTTTCCTTATTGTGTTTCCTTAATGTGTTTCCCTTCCCTTATTGTCATAATTTTGTGCTCTATGGAGGATGAAATAGTTAGCTTCTTAGACTTGCCATTACAAAGTTTTTCTGTCACCCACAGAAAGCTGCCACAAACCTGACACATTGAAAGTCTACCAGGTCAGTTCAAATGCATCCCAGAAATAAACATTTCTTTACCAATCCTCCCTCTTCTGGCTTCCAAATTTTAAGAAAATTCATAATTAAAAAACCTTAAAAAATAACATTTGTATAGATCCTATAGACCAACAAGTATTAAAAAGATAATACATGGATATTACACTTTGCTATTACACTTGAACAAATTCACTGAAAAACGTTACTTAGCAAGAACAACACAAAAAATAGAACATTTTACTTTACATATCTATTAAATAAATCAAATCTTTAAGTGAAAACCTTCCCATAATCAAAGTTTTCCAAATAGTAAAGAAGTAACACTTTAAAAAAAAACAAAATTTTAAGGAAAATGCAGTTTTTCTAACTTGTTTTATGAGGATCACAAATATTGAAAATAATCCTAATGAAGATGTTAACATTAAAAATCAAAGCCCAATTCTTTCATTTAGAATGAAGCAAAGAAACAGTTTTTTGAAAAAGCAAATCAAATCCAACAATAAATATAAAAAGAAGAATATAGCAAGACTGAGCGGTGATTATTCCAGGAATGCAAGGTTGGTTTAAGTTCCAAAAATCAGAAAAATGCTAAATGCTCATCATCACAGACATAGAAAAAAAAGTTTAAAAATGTTAAAATTCACCAATTCTCTTTTTAAAAAAAAATTATAAAACTAACATTAAGAGGGACAGTCCTTAATGAGATAAAAAGGCATACATAATATTTAATATTAAAATATTAAAAGCTTCCTTCTAAGACTTTGAATAAGACAATGATTTCTGCATTATTGCTTATATTTGCCAGGGTGCTGAAAATCCTAACCAGTCCCAGAGAAAGCAAATACAATTAAATATGTAAGGAATTGTGCCTAAAGAAATAAAGTAATTATTTACAACTTACATGATTACATATAGAGAATACTCAATAGTAGCTACAGAATAACTTTTAGAATTACTAAGTGAATTAAATAAAACTGTTGACTACAAGGCCAATACTTATTAAAAATCTATTTCTACAAATAAGAAATAAGGAAAAATTATAATATCAACAACACAAAAATCAGAGACGCAAGAGGTCTAAAGGAAACTATAAAGTATTTTTGAAAGAAATAAAGAAGGCCTGTATTCATACTTTATAAGACTCAATAATGAAAATGTCTATTCTCCCACCACAGATTTATAGATTTAAAACAATCCAAAATCAATATCTATGAGGTGTTTTTGAGTGTGTGCGTACACAAACTATCTTAATGCCTTTCTATAATTTTCTAGTTATTTAATAATGTAAATACTGTGTAACAAACTACCACAAGGCTGATGTTCTATATGTCATGGTTTTGATTGTAAGGACTTCCAATAGGACATGACTGTTTGATTCTATTGTGACAGGGTCAAAAGTAACCCCAAGCCCTCACACAATCAATGGCAAGATGAAATAGTGTGCAGATCTTGCTAAGAGAAGTGCATAAGAATACTTAACCACTTTTAATCCACAGAAGCTCAAACTGTGGCCATGTATTTAAAATTCCTCCCTTATACAAAATGTACTTTCTTCTCCAAAGGCCCCCAAAGCCTCACTCTCTTACATAATTAACTCAAATACAGGATTTTATTATTTAAATCAAGTGGATTTAGACTATCCAGGGGTGCTTCCTCACATATGATTCCTGTTTATGTAAGGAGAAATTAGGTGAATTGATCCCTGTTTATGATTCCTGTTATGTGAAACAAATTAGGTGAATTTTTTCCCTTCATAAAATCAACATAATAATGACAAGAGAGAGACATGAAAATTACAACAGGTATTCTAATTCTGAAAGGAGTGATATGAAGGTACATAGCAGTCATGGATTCGTGGTAATTCAGAAATCTACTTCATTTGATATTGTAGTTTCTTGATTAGGACACAGTACTACTCCCCACGGCCTTATGAGTTATTTTTAATTTTACTAATAAGTGGTCTATGTTTACAGCAGCTGAGTATTATTCTCAGCCTGTTTACTTCCTGTAGAAATAATACCAAGGTTACAAAGGCCTCTTTTCATTTTAAACTATCTCTGCATTTTGCATCTAATCTGATACAATGGCTTTAAAATGTTGATTGGTTTCCTGTGTATCAAATTAATTCAATTAGCCGAAACCAAACCACTTGTTTTGATAGAGTAACTTCTCTAGCTTTACTTATAAGATATGATATCTTGGGGCCATAAAATCTTTCTTTGTAAAAGCATTTCATATTGACATGGAAGCATGATTTGACAAATCTTAACGCATTTATGCCCAGTTTTCCATTATTGGAACACTAAGCTTGTGGGAGTTATTTATATCCTGCTGCTCAAGGTAATTTCCAAGGTCTCATTTTTCACCAAAAAAATTTGCAACCTCTGGCATAAATGGGTTAATGACCCACTTGTGCAGCAGAGTCTAGGAGACATTCAGTTTATATTTTTAGAAGCCTTACTAAGCAAATTCATGTATCTTTTTTGTGATCTGATGAAAGGATCTTACAGCCACATCCTTGATATCTGTATTCTCAGGCTATGGATAACTAGTTGAGCCTTTGATTTGATTTCTGGCATGTATTCATTTATAACTTTGAGAGTCTTTTTCTGGTAGAAACTAGGAATATGCAACAATTTTATTTTCAAACCCAGCATGTCTTGGGGCCTTTATAATGACTCTAAATTCTGCCAAAAACAGAACAGTTTTTTCTTTATCTCATTATTTTTTTGTAATTCATCATAGATGTCAAGAAAGAGTATGGAACTTGCAACATTATGCCTGCAAATATCCTTGGCCAATCCTCAGAGATCATTAGTTACTCTTTCTATGTTCCTGATTACACGTTGCTTCCTTCTTGCTTGTAATAACATTTTCCTCACTGCTTTTACATTTCTTGTTAATAATCCCCTTGAAGCTCTTCCACCATTCAGTGACAGTCTCCCAGGGCCCTTTTAAGCTTCTCCCTTACCCACCAGGAGGAAGGAAATAAATATCCCACTCTATATAAGGAATGTCAGAGCACTTGTGGCCATGTTTATTCTGCAGTACATGACAATGATACAAGCACAAGAGAGAAAGCCTTACCATAAAGCACATATGGAGTGTCAGTTTCATCATACCACTTTTGCTAATATCTCTTTCGCTGATTCCAAAGTCAAGGGGCAGGAAAGTGCACCCTTCCATCTGTAGGAATAACTGAAATGTTATAAGGTAAAGATCAAGACGGATTCATATGTGTGGTCAACAACACTGTCTATCATCATCTGGCTGTATTTGAGAGTTAATTTGTTTCCAAGTATATGGACAAGGTTCTACTTGATTTGAAGAGAAATGTTTTGGCAAAGTTCAAACAGGTCCACAGAGTTTTCGATAAAAGAGCTCCCAATCCTAAAATATAATTACTTTCTTTTCCTCTGCCTTCACATTAAAGAATATTCAAAATGTCCTTTCACAGTATCAAGGCAGCAGATCTAGCAGGCATTTCAGTGCCTGTCTGTGTTGAATGAGAAAGTCTTTGTGTCAGATTCCAGAGTGGGATGTCTCTGGCTTTTCGTTGAATCTGGGTCCTGTCCTGCTATATTTTTTACCAAATATACCTATTCTGTTAGAAGAGAAAATTGAGACAGAAGGAGAGACCCTGGGACGGAGAAACAGTTCTTTAAAATGGGTGTTTTCATAGTTCGACTTTACTTTTTTAAGGTTTCATATTAACTCAACCATCATGTCATCTTAAATAGAAATTTTATGCATAAAGTGAGGTTTCCTTTTTCCAGAGGGAGGCAAGAATAGAAAGAGAACAATTTGTAATGAATGCTTTTTAAAGTTAAGAGAGGTATATTTGGACATATACATAGTACCCAAATATATACCATGATATTCAGGGGAAAAAAACTTCAAAATTATATGTATATTGTACATAGAATTATATGTATATTGTGCATATAATTATGGAGTTTTTCAATTAGGAAATAAAAAATCACACTCGTAGAATAGCTTTCAATTTAAACAAATTATGTACTATAGTATATCTAGTTTCTTAAAGTACCATTAATTGTTAATATGCTACCATTAGTCCTTAAGCATGTAATTAATATTCTACTAACAGCTTAATGTTATTTGGCATTTGTTACTAATGAATAGATGTTTAATTAAAGCCAAGTTATTCCATGGAAACCACACAGCTGACATTTTCTAATTTCTCTATGAATAGACTCTGCTTTCCATATCCTACCAGGAGGCTTCAATCTTTATTGTGACAGCCATTAAATTTATACCAATACATGGTAAGTGGCATTGTAGCTTATTTTATTAGCAGTGTGATTGTTTTGTAAGTGAAATATTGCAAATATTAAATATTTTAGATTATAAGTTATTTCTTTTAACTCTGAGAAGTCATGAATATCATTTTTGCTAATTTTTTCTCTTAATTCATAAACCAGAGCTACGCTAAAGAAAGAAAAACTGAATTCTATAATTATAAATGAACAAAAGTATGTCAAGATTATGTCATCACTTCTAAAAACAAATTTAGAAGCTAAAATAATATACCATAGAAAAAACATTCATTTGAATCTGACACAAATAAATCTGTGAATAAATAATTCCTGAAAGTGTTCTCACAGAGGAGAAATTATCAGTTACCTGTCAAAGGGCAGGGCTGACCGAACATGTGTGGTCATAGAATTTTCATATTCTGTGAACATAACTGACATAAGTTGAAAATCTAGAGGAATAAGAATACAATGATTTGAAGCTTTTATGTTTATCCTTACTTTCTTTCAATCTATTCTTCATTTCATGATGAATATTATTATTTATAAATGTCTACTATTAAGACTGACATGAAATATGAATACTTCTTGGGGGCATAGAGATTTTTAAATGATAGTCACTATCATTACTATTGTAGTCATTATAGGAATTTTGCATCAAACGAGGCATGCTGGTTTCGTGATGTTTTGTACCTATTCTTTAACCCTTGTAACTTTACCTATATGCACATATAATTTATTCTGATCAAGTAGCAAATAGAATAAAATTATAAGTCAGTCTCAAGGTTTTTTTCATTATTCCTGAATGAAAATTAGAAACATCACGATGTATTCCACAAACAGGCACAATTACAATGTGTCAATTAAAGATAAATTTTAAAATTTAAAGGATTTAATAAGTTCTATTTTTAAAGTCTGCACTTTTACCCCATCTCCAAAAAAGCACACCCAAACAACAACAAAATTCTTCCAGATCTAAAACTTAAAAGAAATGGGTCAGGAAGAAGATATGTAACTCTGAAAACACTAGTAGATCCTCTAAAATAAATTGTCCTTGAAAATAATTTCTCCTGGCTTTTGTACAGCATTATTATCTCTTGTAGTCTTAACTGACTTGTTTATGATCACACTATGATAATTTTCAAGTTCTAGATAGTTCTTCTCAGAATTTACTTTAGTATCTACCTTTTTTTTATATTTTGGTGCATCAGTTAAACATTTTATCATCCTGTTGCATACCAAAAGTGGTCATCATTATGGACATTGCACAAAGTCCATTGTAAGAGATTAAAAACATAAAACATTAATATGTATTTGCTATCTATATACCATGTAAAAATTTCTTTACATATATAGAAAATAATAAGTGAGTGGAGTTATATGGATTTTTACCAAGGGCATTTTAATAAGAAAGGAAGTTTTGAGTGTGGATTTTCAAGATAGGTGGAAGAAAGGACATAGAAAACCCTTCATTATTTAGTGCAGCACACATTCACATAAATACTCACAAATAACTTTTTTCTGCATTATTTTGATTTTTTTAAGTAAATAATTTCTTTTCCATATCATCTTTATTAAACTATAATCCAAAGTATTAAAATTCATTTTAAAATAGCCAAACAATATAAAGAAAGGAATACTTTTTATTCCATTAATTACTATTGGATTTTTAGAAACATAACCCCCCCTCCAGTACCATGTAACTCCAATCCAGGATAAGAAATGTATGTGTGTGTGTGTGTCTGTGTGTGTGTGTGTCTGTGTGTGTTTGTATGCAGGTGGGTGTGCATGTGTGCATATGGTATATATGTGTATGTACTTAGCAAGGGTATGTTTATGTACATCAGAATAATCCCTAAAAGGATGTCGCATAATAGGCAACTGAACTAGTGAACTAGGGCATTATCACCAAAGACAAGTGCACTGAAGAAAACCTTACATATCCTCATCCTTTAAATGATCTTTGGAATACCATGAAAAACAAAAAGATAATATTGAGCTATAATAATGTTCACAAAAAAGCCCCAATAGTTCTCTTATAGAATCAGAATTATATATATTATTTCTGGGGATACATATCTGTTTTCATATCATAGAACTCATTAGGTGATTTCAAAAGAATGCTGTTTATAGTCATTTAAATGCATGAAAAGCAAATTCATACCTCTAGGTAGATGTTACAAATCTTGAGACATGATGAAAATGCCAATGACTTTCTCTCATACAATGGTAATAAGAGAAAAAAAGGTGGTTCTTTGAAGATAAGTGCCACTTTGGCACCTAAGTTTTACTTTGGTGCCAGAAAGCGGAAGAAAATATCTAGAGCATTCTATTAAAATATCTACTTTTCCCACCCATCTTCAGGAATGGATATTTTTGTCTTAAGTAGCCTGTATTCTTCAGTCTTCCTTTTATGTATTTGTCTAATATGATCAAGGTCAATTTCCACCTGCACAACATGATATAGTTATCAATAGGTTTTTGGAGCCTGGTGCAGCAAAGGCACTGGCAGTTTCGGGAGTAGAGCTCCTATGAAGAACGCCACATTCCCAGATGGCCAAAAGCATTTGAAACATGTGTCCACATTCAGCAGAATTTTAGGCCTATTAAAGTTTTCAAAGGACTGCTGTAAAAGTATTTGCTTTAAATTATGTAGAAATATTGCAAGTCTGTGTAAATCATTTCTTTATAAAAGAGATGCATTATAGTGATGGTGTAAATAAAACGGAAATTTTTAAGAAAATTTTTTTACATATTTTTCCACAGTGAGTATCACAGTTTACACCATTCTAGATATTATTTAACTCTCCTCCAAACAGGTTAGTAAACACATGTTCCCTTGAAGTATTGTCATCTACTCAGCAAAGTTAAATACTTCACCTTCACACAGGATGAAATATTATGCTTAAAAGTCGACTCAGGGCCGGGCGCGGTGGCTCAAGCCTGTAATCCCAGCACTTTGGGAGGCCGAGGTGGGCGGATCACAAGGTCAGGAGATTGAGACCATCCTGGCTAACACGGTGAAACCCCGTCTCTACTAAAAATACAAAAAAAATTAGCCGGGCGTGGTGGCGGGCGCCTGTAGTCCCAGCTACTCGGGAGGCTGAGGCAGGAGAATGGCGCGAACCCGGGAGGCGGAGCTTGCAGTGAGCCGAGATCGCGCCACTGCACTCCAGCCTGAGCGACGGGGCGAGACTCTGTCTCAAAAAAAAAAAAAAAAAAAAGTCGACTCAGAAAGCATTTCAATAACAAAGATTTACCCAATGTCTTCTCCAGTTAAAATGGTGTCTGCTTGTTATAAACATTGCATTATATAATCCTTAAAATCTCTCTCCCTCCTTCCTCTCCTCCTTCTTTGTGTTTTCTTTTCTCTCTGCTTCCTCTTCCCCCCTTCTTTTCTCTCTCACTTTTTAAAATATTAACTAACAAAAAACAACTATCACTACTCTAGTTGTTCCCAAAGTGTAGCTTTCTGAATGTTTGAGTTAAGAAGTTATGTAGAATTGGGCTTAACAAGATTTAATGAAGAGAAAAATATTATTTTCTCTAAGACTAGATTTTGTAAAGTTACTTTTCCACATATACTTCTAATCATATTCTTATGTTTTATTAAAAAAAAAACCATTCTTCCAGAAAAAAGTCCAAGATTTTCCAGGAAAGTAGTTCTTACAGTATTTTGTAATTTTACTGTCATTTTATATTTCTAAAAGAATATCTTGTTAACTTCTTAACAAGGGACAGGCATTTATTAAAAAAGAGAGTTCTTGATATATGCTTCATACAAAGAGATTGAGATTTACTTCTGATATTCAGAAAGTGGCAGAACAATGTAAATAAAATATGCCTATGAACTTAGTGTTTTGCTAAAAAGTTTTTGCCAAAGATGCTAAAGTTAACCTTCCATATGAGGCTGTATTGGAGCATTTCACATGTTGGGGTGGTGAGAAACCACAGATCAAAGGTTTTCCTCACTATTACATTCTGGGCTACCATTTTATAGCAAACATTTGGTAATGTTCTTTTGCACGTAAGTTCAAAAAGGTATATGTCTTCAGTTTTATGTAATGAGGAAGAAAAAGAATGCAATATATATTGCAATAATATATACTCATATGTAAACATTTGTCATCGGAGTGAATGTGGATGGCAGTGGCACTTCACTGGCTTCACAGTTTCATAGATCTGCTTTAATCATTTGTGGTGTGGTCTAGAAATTGGAATTTTACAGCTTTCCAGATGATTGTGATGTCCAGCCAACGTTGAGCCCACTGCTAAAATATACGTGGAATTTACTTGAACGTGAGAGCCACAAAAACAACTCGTACAGTTTAGGGTTTATTGATGACCCTAATGAAATAAGTTTGCTGTATCAATGATATATTTATCTAAAATGATGAACATCTCAAATATATTTTTTAGAAATCTTCCCTTGATTTATTTGACAATACACATCTGCATGTTAAAACTCTTCAATAAAGTCTCTATGTTTACATGTAAAAATATGCTTTTTTTTTCAACAATCTCACTTTGTCGCCCAGGCTGGAGTGCAGTGGTGTGATCTCAGCTCACTGCAAACTCCGCCTCCCCGGTTCAAGCGATTTTCCTGCCTCAGCCTCCCGAGCTGTTTGGATTACAGGTGCCCACCGCTCTGCCCAGCTAATTTTTGTATTTTTAGTAGAAACGAAGTTTCACCATGTTGGTCAGTCTGGTCTTGAACTCCTGACCTCGTGATTCTCCCACCTTGGCCTCCCAAAGTGCTGGGATTACAGGCGTGAGCCACCATGCACAGCTGTAAAAATATGTTTTATTATCATGTGATTATACACAGATATGTCAACATAATGCTGGCAAGAATATGAGAAAATGGCAGAGGACACATTTTCCAACATGTCCAGCATTTCTGTTTTCCATGACTATATCTCCAATTATGGAGAAAAGCAGAGATGCCTCCACACCTTTGCAAAACACTGCTTAGGTAGTGTTGTTGAGAATTATAAAGAAAATCTATAGCGTTAACGGAAAATACTTTTTTTTCAGGAAGTAAGTTATCTGTGAAAAACATTTCTTCAGTTACATTTTGTCTTCTTGCCTCCACTAATATAAAAGTAAGTAATATATTTGCAGTTCCTCATTTTATATGCACCTAATTTATTTTCTGGCATTTACTTTGTCTGAATTAATGATGCTTTTAGGGACTCACTTTCCAATTTAAGCTATATGATAACCACAAATTCATGTAAAATATACAGTTGCATATAGATTGCAATATGGTAGTTTCTTTGATTTTCAAATTTACAGTTTAGATATATCCAAGTTAGATCACTGACATACTTTATATGTATGTGTGTGTACATGTGCACGTGGTATGTATGTATATATTATACATATATTTAGTTAATTTATATATAGCTAAAATATATACATACACTGTAAGAATATATATGAACACATTACATGCCATTTCAAAATTCTGTAGATATATATATATATGACAATTCTCACTTTATTTTAGCAATGATAATTTCTTCAGTAATTAACATCATGTGGTTAATTGTGTCTTCAATATGGCTATGTTCCTAAGAAAATGTAAGAAACAATCTGGCATTTTATGATGCACATGTGTATCCTTTCTCCATAGATAAAGGACAAGGATTAAAATAAATTGCACACTGAGATTCTAGCTTAAAATGAGCCATAGTGTTCAATAATTGATTTTTACTTTGGATTTGAGCCTCAATCATTGACAATTAGCTTATCAGGGAAAGAAAATATGTGTATTCAAATTAAAATAATATACTTCTATACTTAGCAGATTACAGTCATTTCATAGCATTATTTGCTTATTTTCTTGTACATTAGTATTGCATCATGAGTACCTTCCTGGTTTATATTTTGATTTTGTTTGTACTCTCCTTTAGTAAATGCAAAGTAGCCTATTAGAAGTTCCCACTTTACAAAGAAAAGATTTGTTTGAAATTGCCCTCAAATGGCTTAACAAACTAATCTGGGGGTTGGTCGATAGGTTGCTTAGTTTGCTGTTGCCTTATTTTTCTTCTGCTTAGTGCACTATTCACGATGTATGCTAAATGCTAACCTATTTAAGAGATTTGATTAAGCAATTTTTCTTTGGAAAAGTTAAGCTCTGATCCAAAAACTGAACTTAGAGATTGAAAAACTTAATTCTGTCAAAAGAAAAATGATTTTTTTGTTGTTGAGGGGAAAGGGGAAGGGCCAGGCCTTGAGGTCAGACAGACACACTCAAGCTCTGGCTCAGGAATCTTGGCAAGTTTTATAGCTACTTATTCCTCATTTCCTCACCAGTGAATCAGGAATAATGTCTGCTTTGTGGACTTTTTGTGAGATTAGGGATAATTGAATTATCTTATACTTGCTCAATTCTCAAAAGTGATAGCTATTAATATGATGTTAATATGCAGCATTAATAGCTGTTAATATGCATCATAAATAATATGTTATATGAGAATGTACACATAAGTTCTAAAATTGTTTGAATATGAAAACTTATGGTTTGTGAATTTATATCTATGTATATTTTGTTTAACTAATAATCCTTATTATAATTAAGTTTATAGATTTGTATCTTTATTTATTTTGCTTATTCTGTTATCCTTCCTAGAAGCATAATCTTAGGGTTATTTAAAATAATGTATTATGTAGAATATCACCATTTTAAAAATAATTCTTGGACAGATCATTGAGATTTTAAAGTATTCTTTAAACATTATTCAACCTTCATTCGTATAATCTAAATATGGCAGATTTTCCCAATTTACATAGCTAAATGTTTATATTTTGTTATTAAACAACTACATATAGAGCATTCATACATGAAGAGTTTCGTTCTAAAAATTTTTATATAAATTGGGAGGCAGATATTGAACAGCCAATAAAATTATTTTATTAGAGCTAGGTAAATGCTAAGAAAGTAATGCAGAATGCTATTAGAATTTTATAATAGAAGATCTGACAATTTGGGGAGTATAGATAGGCTTTTTGAGAACAATGTTTATGAATTGAGCTATGAATAATTCATAGGAATCGACGAGGTGAAATGTGAGTGTCTTGAAAGGGGAAGTTCTAGGCAGAGGGAAAAGATGGACTTGAGGTAGAAAAATGAAAAGATTGAAGAGTTTCAAGGTATTGTAGTTGAGAATCAGAGTGAAGTCTAGAGTTTACAAGAAGGGATTGTTGACTTTTCAGGCAGAGGAAATGTAGGCTCTTGTAATGTTACAGATTTCTTTTTTCTTTATCTCCATAGCAGTGCTGAGCATTGGATTATTTTAGGCAGGAAAATGAGGAATCAATGATAACTGAAAGGATATTTCAGATAGAGTCAGAAGTTGAAAGATACCAGAAATATTTAAAAATAAAGTTGATAGGTTTAAATGAGTGAAAAAAATGGTGAACTTACAAAGAGAAACACACTTGAGAAAAGCCGATCTATACACTAAGGCTCTGTCTACTACTTCCTGGGTGTGAACCATTCCTTGGATGTAGAGCTACACACATAGGTGGTATCATCTCCCTTCAGATGAAAAACCCAGGAGAAAGCCCAGAGCACTTTGTGGGAACAGGTTCTAGGCTGTCTGGACAGGGAATGTGGGGTGCTGGTAGCTCAAGCATGGTCTGGTAGTGGGTTTATGGCAGATCCTTAGGGGGCATTTGCCTTTAGCCTACGGATGCTTTGCCCTGTGACAGGTGCAGAGCCACACAAAGCACCCCAATATGACGTCCATTAAAACATGGTGCAAGTGGGGTTCTACTTTCATCTGGGCTATTTTAGCCATTCTTTGAGAGGAAAGTGATACCACACCATGGGTTTGTATGACATTCCACAGAAGAGGTTGAGACCTTTTCCAGATTCATTGGTCTTTTTGATATTCTCCTTTGAGAAGCAGCTATTCAAGTTTTTGCACTTTTTTTCCTAAGGGAAGGCCTGATTTTTAATGAAATTATGCAAGTTTTTAATATATTCTGGATATAAGCCCTTTGTTGGTTATTAAAAATACCTTTTTCCACTCTGTGACTTCTTTTTATCCTCTTAATGGTGCCATTTTAAGGCAATCCAATTTAACGCAATTTGGAGCAACTGAGGGATTATCAGCTCTCACTAGTGTTTTTCTCAACAAAATTTTGAAAGATCCTTTTACTTATGAAATTGTATTTCTTTTCATATGGTTATTGAGAGCTTGCTTTTGATTTACCTTCAATGCAAAAAGATCATATGGAAATTACATGCCTTAGATGAATATTATTTCAACAATCAAGTTTAACATATTCCTCCACCAGCTTTTTCCAGCAATTCCTCCATATGGTGTTGAATTGCTGTGAGTTTCTCTTAGGTGATAACTATTCCACTTGTATCCACGTGCATTGCTTGCCAGTCTCAGCCTATGAATACCACATTTCTCTTCCACACATCACACACACATATTGATTTATGCATGTTTGTACACTCAAACACATGCTCACATCCACACAAATTCAAGCACACACGCATGCTGATACACATGCTCATAGATTATGCACACATGCTCACACACGTCAACTCACACTTTCAAAAATGCATTCACATACAATTTTTCTCTCATTTAGATCAACTGAGGGATGATTGACTCTTGGTAATATTTTTCCCTTAACAAAATTTTGAAAGATCCCTTTATTTATAAAATCATATTAATTTTGAAAGTTGTTTTCATATAAAAAGTTTTCCCTTCGCCCACTCTCTTTTATGTGCTGATATTGTCAGGGAAGTAATTATGACCAAATAATTGGCTCTTTTTAAAAATATCCTTGCTCAGAGGCACAGAATATTATTTGGACGTTAACTGGAAGTTGAGACAACTCTTACATATTCAGTGTGTTACAAATGGGTAAAATTTAATTCTGAAGGCCATTAAAGTTATATTATGGGTTAGACTACTTTCTGACCTGTCCTGTCTGGGAATTGAATAACATTTTGAGACATGTTTTATAAAGAAAAATGGGCCATAATTTCCAAAAAAGTAAATTAAAAGTAGACTATTTATAATAGAAATATATCTGTCCAAAAATAAACTAACTATGGTCTCAGAAGTATTCATTAAACAGTTAGTAAGCCGACTTTTTTGTCATCCAACCTGGATATTAAGTGTCAAGGTAGTATTTAAATTGCAAAAAAGCATTTCTTATGAGTCCAAATGATTATGAAAGGAAGTAATGATGCAGAAGGTGAAAATGATATGAAAACATGGCATATGCTTTCTGAACCTGAGAAAAGACAGATTCCAATTTCCCGCTCTTTACACATCCGCTGTGTTCATATTTCTGCATGGCCTCTTGAATTTACTATATGGATTTCATGACAGGTATAAACTGCAAGGTTAAACAGGGGCAACAATTTGGCCTATTTTCATGGTAGATTGTTCCTAGAATGTTTGCCTTTGTTCTGTTGTTTGCCTCTGGTTAAGACCTGGGCCTTTGAGGTTCACCAAGATATGCCCTGGAGTCTGTTGTCCTTCCAACTTATCACCTGACAGCACTGATTGTACAGTGTAATTGTAAGTCAAAGGTAGCTTTTGGGATATATGCTCTAATGAAGGAACCATCTGAAATTAGGACTTAAATAATAAAGGGTTCAGGGACATGGAGGCTGGTATTTGTTGTGCATTTTAATTGCAGGACTTTGCAGCTAATTGGAGGCTAACTAAACCCCTTGGACACATTTCAAGTCACGTCAGTGGTTTTTTTTTTCTCCCCAAGGAAACTGATAGGACACACAGCTTAGTGCTGCTTTTTTCTATCTTAATTACCACATTGAATTGTGTTAATATAGATTTACTTTGGAGACATGTTCTATGATTATAACCAGGCAAACATTGTTGGCATTTGTTTTCACTCTGTGAGCATCAGACTGTAATTCAACATTTTAAAATAGGTTGTAAATTCAAAATATTTTAAAAGCAGTAAAATACTATTTAAGTATGCACTTGGTTCAAAATTACAGAATATTGACACGATTTTAAAATCTATGAATTAAAACTCACAAGTTACTTAGAAGATTATATTTGTGTTTGTTCAGGTTTCAATATTCAGTTGATTCTAAGCCATGGTACAATAAATTCAGCTTATAAACACATACTCCAGAAAGACTGTACAAAATTTTTAAGTAATCGAGATAAGAAATAAAGAAATAAATAAGAAAGCTAAAAAAAAAAGCAGTTTAACTCTCGGGAGGACGGCATGTTTATCTATAAAATAGAGTTTCAATGAAGAAATTGTGTAAGTTTCATTTGCCACAACTGAAATTCCTGAGGCATTTTGTAAAATATTTTGCAAAGCAGAACACTAAACTTCATGAGTTTGATGCATGTAAAACAAAAGCAACAGATTTTCTTGGGTAAAAACTCTAATTATAAGATTAATTTATATTTTAGGATAGAAGAATATTTTAGACTGATTTTGTGTAAAAATGTTCAACATTTTTAATTCATAAGTGTTTTTCACTTATAATACTTCGCATGTATTGTAAAAGTAAGATGTTTTAGCTTTGAATTTGAGTAAGATAATTGTTGAACTGAATGAGGTCATCATTCTTGGTACAGTTAACTAGTGTAGAATTGTGACATTTCATTGGCATTATCACAAAGGCAAGGAACTTAAAACTGTGCCCTTCCTTTTTTGCTTTGTTCTTTGTGTCACCATGCTTGGAGGTAGGCAAGCAATGACTTTGCTTTCAGAAGCCATAAGTCCTGAGGATCTGACATGGTAGCCATTACTTTTTCTAAGCCCCCTAATTCTCTTTCTTCACTTCCAAAGAGTGACAAGAAAGGGGTAATACATGAAATTAAGGCCTATAAACACACCAATTCTTACCTTATGAGGCTATCTTATCTTCTTCTGTTTTTAATCATATTAGACATTATATTTTAGCGATGTTTTAAAATAGCAGAACGAAATCGTGATCTTATAACAGTTAAGTATAAGCAGAATAGGTTATTGAGAAAGAGTAAGCTCTAATTGTTTTTAAAAGCACCTGAAAATTCCATTATGGGCTCAATCGAATTTAATGTTCATCCTTTTCTAATCATCTTAGCCATTAAATTAATACAAGCAAATTAGCCACAACAAAAATGGATTTATGGAAAGAAAATTATTTCAGAAAAAAAAGATATACCAGTGATCAAATACCATCTCATGTGTTTGAAAAATGGTTTAGTTATTACTTTTTCACTTCTTTATCTGAAAAAAAAATATGTTTAAACAAACATCATGTGGACTTGAACATTCTAATGAGGTGATAATGTAAAGCTTCTGTCTAAAAGTACCCACTCCACATATGTGAGTGCCTTTTCCTCTTCTAGATAATATAGTAGATATTGTGTAAAAAAAGAAATAACTTCAGACACAAGAGGATATTTAAGAAGTTCATTTTTGTAAGCCGTTTTTCTTAAGACCATACCTTAAAAATCGTTCATAAAAGGCCAAATAGTATCTTTTACTTTTAAATTTCTCCAGTCAAGGATTTCTCCCACTTCAGTGCCTAACAGCCTTTGTGAGTCTCCTTCTACACAACTGAATCATCTTTGGCTAAATTTCTCTAGTCTCTCCACAATTGATTTAGAGAAAAGATGCCATCATTTTCTGCTCAAAAGCACTTGGCACACTTAAAAAATATTATTCAAATACTTCTAAGCTGTCTACAATTCAAGCTCAACAATATTTTTAAAAATCAGAGAATAACAGTTTCAGGAACAACTGAAACAAAAACAAAAACAAAACTTGGCATCTGTCCTGATTTCAAAGTTTCTAAATATTTGTGATATTTTATACCAGAGCCCAAGTCTAGAGAAGGAAAATGAGGTGTATACACACACACACACACACACACACACACACACACAGACACTTAAAAGTTATTGGTGGTGATGGCTTCCCAATATCAACATATCTAAATAAAAAGTAAGAAAAAAATCACTTTGACATTTTTTTTGTTTGCTGAACAGAAATGTAACATAAAGAGACGGACATAATCAATTTTTTAATCAAACAGATCTGGGTTTGATTTTTGGCTTTTCTATATTTAGAAATATGTCTCACATTGCCTACTTAAGAGTATTAATCTTAGAATTACATGGGATTATGTAAATTTGACTACCAGATACCCAAATAGCTGACAATTTATCCCGGCCTTCTGGGTACTGTGCTTCTGATCACTGGGAGCTGAAGTTGTGGTCCTTTTTTCTTTGCTTTATTTTGATTCAATATACAATCATCTGATAAAAGAGACTGCTTGTTTTTCTTGCATTTGAAGTGGTTTGTGGGCAATAGAGGGCAGGAGCTTCCTTTTTGAGAGCTTGCTCGGGAGCAAGGAGGTGTTGGATTGGGGAAATCTCACTGCTCTCCTTGCAATGTGGGAGTGCCTACAGAATAATACATTGCTTTCCTTCTTTTCCATCCTTCTGACTTCTATGCCTCTACAATTGCCACCTCTAAATAATCAAACTCATCATTTCTAATAGTGTATTGTAGGCATTTATGTGCCTATTTGTATACTTTTTAATTGAATATATATTTGTTTAAGAGTTTGTGTTTTTGATACAGGACAACTTGCTTTTGCCTTTAAAAAATTATTTCCTCTTAAAATTTCCTACCCAATTTAAAATAATATAGTTGGCTACTTAACATTTTGTGTTTTAAGGGTACACTATTTCTTTGCCTACCCAAATTCAGTCTCTATATTGCATTTCAGTATAGTTCCTACTTTTAATCTTTTCCTTCTGCTAACAACAACAAAAAAATATGATGAGCATAGCTCTACCTTCAGAATTCTGTACCTATCCTTAATAATATGTCTAACTAGCTCATATTATTTAAAATACATATTTAATTTTTTCAGTAGTTATAAGTTCCAAATAAACTTATATTTTAGGAGAAATATTAAAATTATTGCAAAATATTCCTATTTTGGTGAAAGAAAATAAGTAAAGTGCTCTAAAGTCATACAGAACATTTTCTTTTTTTTTTTTTTTTTTGAGACAGAGTCTCGCTCTGTCGCCCAGGCTGGAGTTGCTGTGGCGCGATCTCAGCTCACTGCAACCTCCGCCTCCCGGGTTCACGCCATTCTCCTGCCTCAGCCTCCTGAGTAGCTGGGACTACAGACGCCCACCAGCACGCCCGGCTAATTTTTTGTATTTTTAGTAGAGACGGGGTTTCACCATGTTAGCCAGGATGGACTCGATTTCCTGACCTCGTGATCCGCCCGCCTCAGCCTCCCAAAGTGAAAACACTTTCTTTGTATAAAACCAAAGTGATATTTTATAATGCAGGCTTTTCTATACATTCACTGTCATTTATTTAAAACTGTAATTTAAAATTAATGATTGAGCACTGGTTGAGTTTAATGCCAAGAAATATCAAACAATCTCTGATAGTGCTTAAAAATGCATTTAATTGGCTGGGCATGGTGGCTCACGTCTGTAGTCCCAGCTACTCAGGAGGCTGAGGCAAGAGAATGGCATGAACCCAGGAGGCGGAGCTTGCAGTGAGCCGAGATTGCGTCACTGAACTCCAGTCTAGGAGACAGCAAGACTCTGTCTCAAAAAAAAAAAAAAAAAAAAAAGCATTTAATTTTATGTGGGAAATTTTGATAATCCACAAGGAGTTTTGATTTTTCCCTTGATATTAGTATTTTGGAACCATATATGGGTGCATTCTTTACTATGCATTGGAATCAAATATGAGTGCATTCTTTACCGTGCATTCTTAGAGTTACTTTAAATTCGCCCTGCATGAATTAGTTGCTTTTAAGGTTGCTTGCTCTTCTCAGTGTTTTGCAACTCATGCACCCCTCTGTTTTTCCTCCAGGAGACAGACAATCCCTCTTAGTCCTGCAACTTTCTTTTCAAAAGCTCACCAACATGTTAAGCAACAGATCAAAATCCATCTCTATGGGGAATTCTTTCCCGATCCACTGAAATTACAGCCACATCCAGAAGTGATTTCTCCATCTTTTAAAGTCATACCATTGTATTGGGTGTTTCCCTTAATGATATTTATCATGTTTAGAATATTTTCTAACTGTCCTTCAGCCCTTAATGGGTGATTTCTTATTTAACACATTTCTAACCCAGTGCTTCAGCTTCATATGTTGTCAAGAACTGTTGGTTGTAATAAATCAAAATAGGATTAAAACACTTACAGTTTTTAAGGCATTTTGAAAACTTTTTGATAAATATTTATTAATCATTTTCTACATCAGTACACACAAGTGTACATCAAATATCTTTACTTAATATGCGGAATCATTTAATAGCAGATAAACTATGAGATGAACATAAGACTCTTAATAAGTCAAAAAATAACAGATGCTAGCAAGGTTGTGGAGAGCAAGGAACACTTACACACTGTGGTTGGAGTGTAAATTAGTTCAGCCATTGTGGAAGACAGTGTGGCAATTCCTCAAAGACCTAAAAGAAGCAATATGATTTGACCCAGTATCCCATTTCTGGGAAGATACCCAAAAGACTGTAAATCATTCTATTATAAAGACACATGCAGTGCTATTCACAACAGCAAAGACATGGAATCAACCTAAATGCCCATCAATGATAGACTGGATAAAGAAAATGTGGTACATATACATCATGGGACACTATGTGGCCATAGAAAGAAACAAGATCGCATCTTTGCAGGGATAGGGATGGAGCCAGAGGTCATCATCCTCAGCAAACTAATGCAGGAGCAGAAAACCAAATACCACATGTTCTCACTTATAAATTGGAGCTAAATGATGAGAACACATGGACACAGGGAGGGGAACACCACACACTGGGGCCTTTAGGAGGCTGAGGGGTAAGAGAGGAGGTAGAAGGAGGGAAAGGAAAAATAACTAATGGATGCTAGGCTTAATACCTGGGTGATGAAATAATCTGTACAACAAACCCCCATGACACAAGTTTACCTATGTAACAAACCTGAACATGCACCCTCAAACATAAAAGTTAAGAAAAAAATATGTGTTTATTATCAGATTTAGATAATTTTAAAGAGAAAATATCCCATATCTTATTTGCTATGTAGAATATTCCAAATAAACTGACATATGGCTTAGAAATCTGAGGACAGATAAAGTGATACCATATCAACATTTTCAGTCTAGAACCTATAGCCTAAAATTTATAGACTATAAGTCAAGCCAGAAATTCCTGGGAAAATTATACAGATTTAACATAATGAAAAATTAAGTTGTTTTTAAAATTAAACTGTATATTTGATGAAGACCTAGTGACAAAGAGGAAGAAGAATAGAAGTCGAGACGCCAAAAACAATTCTGGTATGTAAATTTTTCCTTGTGAGATTCTGGGCAGCAGAGTTTCAGACAAATACTAAATCAGATAACTCAAATAGGGCACTCCAGCATTGAGGGAATTATTATAGATAGGACAAAAAAAGATGGCTGGGCAAGGTGGCTCATGCCTGTAATCCCAGCACTTTGGAAGGCCGAGGCGGGTAGATCATTTGAAGTCAGGAGTTCAAGACCAGCTTGGCCAACATGGTGAAACCCCATCTCTACTAAAAATATAAAAATTGGCTGAGTGTGGTTGCACATGCCTGTAATCCCAGCTACTCAGGAGGCTGAGGTAGGAGAATTGCTTGAATCTGGGAGACGGAGGTTGCAGTGAGCTGAGATCCTGTCACTGCACTCCAGCCTGGGAGACAGAGACTCCGTTGCAAAAAACAAAAAAACAACAAAAGTAGAAACTGGGTTTTCATTTACACAAAAACAACCAGAAATTTTATAATATTTTGTTTTAGAACAAAAAGTTATATCATTTAAATGAAAAAAGAGGCAAGATTAATGTTGTTTCAGTTGGCAAATGTAATAGTCATTTTATCCATGCATGGTACCATATATTAAATAGTCACAACACAAATCAGAGCCTGGGACTTCATAAGAGGTAAAAAATTAAATTACATTTAATTATATTTCAAAATAGTTTGCACATTTTAGTAGGACAGACAGTGTTATGGATTTGCAAACCCATAGTCAACACCAGCACACTATGGGCACAGTGAAGAGCCAGCTTGATATTTCTATGTAATTATGTCAATGAGTTATGTATGCCAATTATTTTTAAAATTTACAGGGCTAGAATTGAAGCCTGAGGAATGAAGGAAAAATATATCAAAATATATCAGCTTGAATATTAACCTACTTTCATGAAAGTAACAGATTGTTTCTAGGCCAATTCCTTAAGTAGGTGATAGCACCAGTTCAACTCGAGCAGTATCACGCTGTGTTATGACGACAACTCTCACAAGTGCTCTGTGTGCCTTCCTCCTTAAAAAGCTACATAAATATATAAAATTATTACAGTTTCTGCTAATTGCTCAAGCTTCCCAAAATCTATTTATTACTAGTATGCTGATATTTTTCAGTTGTGTATTAGGCATGTTTCATGATATATTAGGTTATCTGGCAAGTAGAAATGCGTATCTTCTCTGTTCACCAGATGTTTTAACTGAAGCATGAAGCATTGAATATTACAGCTGTCATTCATTTATAAAATAATGCCAGTGGAACACTGGGAGGAAAATCTGGAAAACGTGTATCTTTTTTTTTCTGCACTCTCTAAATTTTGATTTACTTTATTAAAAATTTAATAAGTATTAAGTAAATGTTTTACATGATATAAATATTGAGTTAATAAAAATGTCACCATAATCAAAAAGAAATATCTATGTAATTTCGTACATTTGCTCAATGGAGATATGCTAGTCACCTATTTTATAAGTGTGTTATTGTCTCTTCCAAAGAGAATATAAATGGGTCCTTAGTGTAGAGGTAGATAAAAAGGTTGAGGTTGGTGAAATAAGATTGGTTACATCTTGTAAACAATAAAACTCGAAGCATGGGACTAGAGAAGATACCAACAGATTCACATATTATCTATTTATCCACACATCTCTCTGTTTATCTATCTTTATATTTAGAGAAAAAAGGAACATATGCTTTGTTACTTGGGATTACCTTTATTTTGAAAGGGTACTTATTTATAAGCTAACAATGTCATTGTTCCATAGTTTGCGTTTTATTGATCATGGCCTCTTTATAGTTTCATGTTTATTGTTTGATTTGAACCTTCTACCTGCTCCCCTTGTACTGTTAGTTTAGAGGGGGTAACAGACCTACAGTTACTAGCCACCAGGTCCTGCACTGTGGTTTGCCCGGACTGCACCCTGCCTGCAACATTGGAAGAAGTCCCTTTATCAGTCACTCTTCAAATGACCTAAGCTGAGGATGCCACCTGTTTCCTTCCAGGATGCTCAAGGATGCAGGGAGCCATCAGAGTCTTTCCATCAGAGGCGTGACTTAATCTGACATATAAACGCTTCTTCTACTGTTGGGCTGAGAATAGATGGGGGAGTGGATTGAAGGATCAAAGGTTCAACTACGTTAGTTGGGAAGCTGGAGTCACTTAGCATAACTGTGGAGGTCATGAGATATTGTCAGATTCTGGGTATTTATTTGAGAGGGCTGCAACAGGGTTTAAAAAAATCGTAGAGATAAGGAGTGTGAAAAAAATGCAGTCAGTGAGGACACCAAAATTTTTTGTCTGAGAACATGGAGGCATCCAATTTCAAGCAGTTGGAGTGGGTGAAATTATAAAAACTAGGTTTGGGTACGAAATTTTGAGCTAACTATAAGACATAGTATGTTGGAAATGACTCTATTACATTCAAGAAGAGATTCTATGTATCACATTCCTGTCTGAATAGTCAATTGCTGAAACATAAGGAAAAATACACATGAAATATGTTGATTAGTAATAGAAGAGGTGACATCTGTACTCTGATGATGACTTCTCCCATTTTTAAAAAAGGTGCAAGCATATAGAGTAGCCATAAGTTATCTGTAAAATTGAGTAGATTGCATATAAAATTGATAAAACAAAACTAATAATTTTCTGTGAGTCTTAGCCCTGACATACTCTCAATATTGAAAAAATGCTATAATAGAATATTCATGATGAATTTTTGTGTAATTTTTCATTATTAACAGTAAGAATTAGAGTTTAACTCCTCTGAGATTTTAGAAATATCTGTGTTAACTTTTTTACATCGCTTGCTTTTGAACTCACACAAGAGGCAACCACAGGAGCATTCTGAACATTAAAACATTCAGAATGGCATGTCACCCAGCACTGCAGGGACAGTGTATTTCAAAGGAATTATGCTGAATGAAAAAAGCCAATTTCATAAGGATATTCTTATGATTTAATTTATGTACCATTTCTGAAATGACAAGATTATATTTCTGGAGAACAGATTAACAGCTGCCAGGGTTTACAAAATGGGGCCCTGGGTTCTACCTCCCTGTGTTGGCTTCACGGTCTTAGGCTCGTTTTCTTCCACATAATGGGCAGCATGACTACTGATATCTTTGTAGTGGCACTGTTCACAATTTCAACACCAGAGAAATTATCCCTTCCCTTGGTACTTAACAAAGATTACCACTACAATGGCCCCGTGTGAGTCACAGTTGCTCATCACAACTAGTTAAGTGTGGCTTCCAGAAAGATGACGGGTTGACAGTACCCTCTAGAACCATATGTTTAACATATGGGCAGGATCCTGGGCCAAATATTCTGTTTCTAAGACTACAGAGAAATGCTGGGCAGGGAAAATAATAGGAGCAATATGTGAGCATTTATTTAACTTCGTGTTTTTAAGTATAAAATCTAGAGTCAGATTAACTTGCTCCTAGCCTTGGTTTAAGTGCTTCCAATCTAAGTGATCTTGGGGCAATTAATTACATTCTCTGCCTCAAAATTTCTTATTCTAAAATTGAAATAGGGATAGAGTTTCTATGAACATTATATGAGATGGGAAATATGTGTAAACCACATTGAATGGTGCCTGGTACTCATAAATTATGAAAAAATTGTTAGCTTTTGTTATTATTAGCACAGCTCCAATTTGTACTGTACACTGTTGCATATTGATTAAAATACGAATGTCCCATGCCACAATTTTATTTGCATGACTCAAACAAAAACAGAAAAAACCCTACAAACTTAATTTAAGTACATGTAAAAATATTAAATTCAATGGAATTCATATAAATATTTACTTTTAAACAAATAGATTCTTTCTTTACTTGTCCAAGGATAAAAGATATATTAAGGGAAAATAATCTTAACTAATATCCAGTAAGATAAAAAGTTTGTTATGACACCTTTGTAGATGAGAAACACCCAGTGATTAAGTTTGTTATAAATTTTAAAGAGTATTAATCTATAATTATAGCAGTGATTATAAGTAATTCTATAAAATTATAAATCCAGAATGATCCAAAGTACTAAAAAATATAAATAGAAAAAACATATGATGGGAAATATTTCAAAATGTTAACTTGCTTACTTGTTACTTTGATCTGAGGAAACAACGACATTTTCACTACATTTATATTTTATAGTTTCAAATTTTTTACAAGTATACATTATTTAATATAAAGAAATTTATAAAAATTAAACTTGAAATGTTTTCTTACAACCTACAGGATGTCAAACATTTTTATAGAATTTACTCCTACTTTATTCATTCCATAATCCAGATATTTCATGAAAGACTTTTATTTCAATCATTCATTAGAGAATAAAAATTATTCCAGGTATCTTACGCAGGGCAGAAATGAACACAGGGAGTTGTCTAAAGAAATCATCAGGAAGGGTTTGCAGGAGCAAGCTCTTCCGTGGACACATTGACCTGGCACACCAGAGAAACCACGGCCCGAGGCTGCCACTGAAGTAGACGATAAGAAGCAGCAGAAACATGGGGACAACTGCCTCTTATGTCCATAGGATGGAGAATGAGAGGATGGATGTCTGTAGTTTCAATTCAAATCAGAGAGCCACAGCCATCCCTCCTGCAACTCAGCACTCAGAGGGATGCTGAAGGGATCCTGGTGTAGTTTTCTGGGTCATTGAGGGAATGTTTATATTCTTCCAAAAGCTTGCTGTATTGCAGTTAATTTTTACATTATTATTTTTAATGATAGCCTTTATAAGCAAACTGATGAGTATTATTCCAGTACAGACCTATACACAGAGAAAATCACAGCATATTATAGTCAATATCAGAAATTGGAATATAATACATATATAATAGAATAAAGATTCCATCAAATAATTGTGTCTCAAATTACAGGAGTTAGAGCAAAAGAAAAAAAATATGTAGTTACCTCGTTGACTCAGTTCAAAAGTTAATAAATTAGCTCTTCTTTGAAATATGGTGTATTAATAATTTTTCTCAAATATTCCTTTACCTTTAATATATGTAGATTTTTTCATATACTGCCTCTGTCTTCTGCAATTTTCTCTGTCTGTATTAGCTTAATTCTCTTCATGGAATACACCAGGAAAAATACAGGGAGCTTTTAATTTTCTCAGTATTTCAAGATGGACTTATTCTTCTTCATTAATATCCCCATTAGACTTCTCACAGTATTCCCTTCTACTTCAGGTAGCTTTATCATATTTAGTATATTCTTAGTTTTTCCCATGTATATAGTGTCATTCTATGTATAGTGCCTTTTCCAGAAAGTAAACCTGACTGTAAGGAAGCTGAATTCTCACCTTCCTCACTAAACTTGCATGGTGTCACATACTAATTGAAAGACTACCTGCCCTCCATCAAAATGCAGCATTTCTTCAACACCTTCCTAACTTTGGACTGAAAGCAATATGGCAAACAGTCCACTGATTTTCGTGATTGATTTGGCTGGCTGATCAAGTGTAAAGGTGGCTGTCTCCTCCCTTCATCACTTCATGTGTACACATGAGGTCAAGAGAAAGGAAAGCTTTTCCATAAACAAGTTCTGTTCCTCAGTCACTGGTCTTGACAATTTCTATCTCTTGCCAAAGCCTCCAAATATATTCTCATCAATCATGAATTGGCATAAATGCATTCCTATTTCATCCATTTTTATTTACTTTTAACATTACATATAATTTAGAAGATATTTTAAAGTACCTATATACCTTTATCTTCACATTCTTACTTCGGGGAGGCACAACTCTGCTGCCTTATATTATGAAATAAGATAGGCTAATTTCTGATTTTTAATGAGGTGTCTAGGAATAGCAACATTCAAAATTGGTTTATTAACATCTTCCTTTAAATGTTCCACAATAAAATTCATGGACAGTTATACATACTTAAATAACTCCTAAGATAAATGAACTTTCAATCATTCTTTATATGTTTACTCATAAAAGTATTTTGGTCTACTAGCAGTTCTATCAACTGCATTTATATGTAGCATCAGTGCATCTGGTTTCTAAAAATTGCTTTTGTTTCAATAACATTGTCTTTTCCATCGCATAAATAGTTGTATTATTTTCTGATAAATTTTATATGATTTTCTGATTTCAATATTGTAAACTTTTTAAGTCTAAAATACTCTTGTGTTCAGATCATTTATATAGGTCAATAACAACAAAAATATGTATTGACTGCCTAGCAGGCATTATTCTAGGTACTGATTTTATATTTATTTAAAAGTATTTTCCAGACTGTAGCAATGTTGATATATTACTTTTATAATGTAAAATATTCTTACAGTATTCTCATAGTTCCTAGGCATTAGAAAAGTAGTGTCCGATGTCATTATTGCATTGATTAATTTTACTTTTGCTTTACTTCTCATCTTTATGTCACTATTATAAATTAAAAATTGGCAGTTAATTGATGTCACCCTACTTTTTCACAGGAGATTTTCATTCCACTAAATAGATGCTAAATCTATACAGCCAAGAATTATTTCTACATTGTTCTATTCAATATAGCTTGTGCAGAATTTTAATTACCACACAGAATGCAGATTTTCCCAAGGGCACCCACTGTGGAAAATGTTTTAAATATAATCACAATAAATCTTCTTATCCTTATTACTTAAAACATTCATCATTAAAACTTAGGGTTTTCCTGAAATACTGTTCCTTCCAAATCTCATTTTAGAAAAGTCATGCATGAAGAGAACAATAATAAACTGAGCCCCCCAAAAATTTAGATAAAAGTTATGAAGACACTTTCATAGTCTGTCACTTACCATTGTTTCTGCAAGCCAAGGGCATTTTTTATGATTTTACAGTTACCTAATTTATAGTTTATAATATAGGAAAGTTCATTTATTCTCTAACTATATGAGCCTTAAATATCTTGGAGATTTTTCCTATGATTTGCCCCAGAAATTAAAAACAATTCAGGGGGAATGAAGAATGAAATAGAGAAATAAAGGAAGTCTGAAAATTCAGAAAATAAAAGTATAGTTTGGGCAAAGCAACTCTAACAATATTATCATGAGCCATCTATCTTTTTAAATAACAATAATAACTCATGGTAAAGCTCTATTTTTTTCTCATAAGGCTACTTTGAAATGCAAACACAAGCGGAAATAGTATTAGAAATAAGCAGTAATGGATTGTACCTATTTTACTAAATGCTAATGACAAATATGCTCACAACGGGCAGATGTGTGCCTTAAAAAAGTGGTCATTTTCTAAGATTATTAAAGTTTCTGAAAGCCAT
The DNA here is from genome assembly GCF_000001405.40 of Homo sapiens. Taxonomy (NCBI): domain Eukaryota; kingdom Metazoa; phylum Chordata; class Mammalia; order Primates; family Hominidae; genus Homo; species Homo sapiens. Next base: position 64,933,244 of record NC_000018.10, read on the forward strand.
CCTTAGGCTTTCATAGGCTATAACTGCATTAAATATTAAATTTTAAGATTTTTCTTGACTATGGAAAAATCGTGGCCGGGCGCAGTGGCTCACGCTTGTAATCCCAGCACTTTGGGAGGTGGAGGCGGGTGAATCACGATGTCAGGAGATCGAGACCACGGTGAAACCCCGTTTCTACTAAAAATACAAAAAATTAGCCGGGCCTGGTGGCGAGCGCCTGCAGTCCCAGCTACTCGGGAGGCTGAGTCAGGAGAATGGCGTGAACCTGGGAGGCGGAGCTTGCAGTGAGCCGACATCGCACCACTGCACTCCAACCTGGGTGACAGAACGAGACTCCGTCTCCAAAAAAAAAAAAAAAAAAAAAAAAAGTTCAGAATCTATCCAGCATATGTAGTATTATAGGGTTAATGACCTTGAGTGGGAGAGCAACCAACGTCCACAAGTTTGTCATTAAAGACAAATACTTTCAAGTTTTAAAAAATAAATTATTCTTCCTTTTCTTATTTATTAGCTATCTTTTGCAAAAACTACAAGTCAACTGATGAATTAGTTAATTTATTTTAATGAGGTCAGTACAATAATCTGCGAAAGATAAAACCCCATTATGCACCATGACATCCTAAGCAGAAATGATATTCCTCGTGACAGCAATCTAGTAATCAAGCCTTGGAAGGCTTTAGCTTGGAAATTTGTTTTATTTCTTCCTGTTATGGACATTTTCAATTAAATATAAAGATATTTTTGCTTCACATGGTGGTTTTAAATTGGCATTTCATCATTTTATATATTACCGGTACTGGCTCTGGGTTATTTAGCATTTATTAATAATTTCCATTTTGACCTTTCCCAAGTTTTGCTATTTATTAGGTAGTTTTGCGCTATTGCAGAGATGACTGAGCAGAATTGGGGACTTTTTTTAAATCCCTTTTAAAAACTCCATACTTTAAATTATTTTTACATTGACCTTTAAAGTTGGGATATAGCTAAGATTTGAAAGTTCTGTTTAAAAAACTACCCTGCTGAAACATCAGGCTACCCCAAAAGTTCAAAACAGATTGGCCAGCCAAATGCTGAAAGCAAAGAAAAACTGGAAGGGAGTGGTGAGAATGAAGAAAGGAAGGGAGAGATGTCAGGAGGCAGAAGGCTGTTTGAATATTCACCATGACTATTTAATTTGTAAATCATTACTGACAGTGAGGACCAGGCAACATACTGGGTGTAAATAAATTCTCTTTGATGGAAAGTGATTTCTGAACACGTCTGGATATATTTGGTGAAGGGACATTTTATTTTCCCATGTCCATTAAATATTATCCATTCCACCTTGAATGAATAATTCTATTTTCATTTAGTTAATTTCATAAAACAGTTCAACTTTGTTACAGGTTAAAATCTGAGGGATCTTCAAGTTTTAAAGATGCAGTCCCTCACTGTTTTATGTTTGATGTTTGATTCAGACTTTGAGTCCTAATGTCAGAACTCACATTATAGCTCAAAGAGTCAAAGCTGTTTGACATGAGATCAGAAATACTATAATTACTTTACTTCAGTGGACAATAAAAGCCACAAACAGGACTAATTGCTTTGTGTTCTGCTGAATTTTATAAAATCGTCAAATAACACTTGTTTCCATTTGGAAATTTTCCTGACTGCTAACTTTTTACCAAAGCCTTGGCAACTGCAAGATGCTGTTTATTACCCGTGTTTTCTAATATTCAACAGCATTACCTTTTTCTTTATTAAAGTGTCATCCAATGAAAGAGATAAAATCTCTTTTTTTAATCAGGCAGCAAAGTGTAGTTGATTACATATAACAAAATGGTTTCATGTTTATAGAGCTCTTTAAAATAAAAAGCCACCACTGACTGAGATAAACTATAGTGTATGTTTACACTGTGTATAAGCAATTACTTGTGTGTCAATAAAGTTGCTTATAACGTGATGGCTGGTGCCAAAGAATTCAACTTTCATCAAAAAGCTATATTTTAATTTTAATCCAATTTATACTTTCTTCTCCTACCCTTAAAGTATGAAGAATATATCTTTAGTTAAACTTAGAAATAAGATGTTGAACCATGACTGATTATAAAGGCAAAACTATGAAACATACAGGCAGTAGCTTTCAGAAAACTTGTACCTATTTATTTATATTGATCCTGGATTTCAAAATTTAATCCTCTTCACTTTTATAGGGTATTTTGCCAGGTATGGTGTTAGGTACTAAGCAAAACACAGATATGAATCACAGTGAGTTACATGTGGCACTTCTGTTCTTAAAGCTGCCTTGGAACCACTGTCATTGTCTAGCAATATTTTCTCTATTACGAAAGGATTTAATGTTGGGTATCAACTTTTGTAATGTAATGTGTGGGGGAAGAAAAGAGTCATATCTATTTCCATGCATTAACTGTCATAATGTTAGAACTGGAGTCTAATGTTCTTTGTCATCACAGTTGTATTTTCTATTTTAAAAATAATTTGCTAGGGTGAAATTCACACAACATAAAATTACCCATTTTAAAATGAACGATTAAGTGTCATTCAGCATTTTCACAATATTGTGCAATGACCATCTCTCTCGAGTTGCAAAATATTTCCACAAAGCTTAGTAAAACTTATTCATTTAGAAGTTTCTCCCCATCCTTCCTCTCTATACTCTAACAACCCCCCAATCTGAGTTATGTCTCCATGGATTTATATTTCATATAGAATCTTACAATTTGCATCCTGTTTGTGTCTGGCTTCTTTCACTAAGAAGAATGCATTGGAGGATTTTCTGCCTAAGAACACACCTATTCACTGCTAAATAATGCTCATCCTCAAAATATTTGAGTGAAAAAAACAGAAGATATTGGTTCAGATAAACCTGGGCTAAATCTCTAAGTTTTTAATTATAATACTTGAAATATACTGTACATTATTCAACTTTTCTGGGCCTTGTATTAATACACACAATCTAGGAATAAATATGAGATAAATTTGAGCAATAAATAACTTAGTGTAGAATGTATAAACTTTGAGTAATAAGTGACCTAAAACCTAATAGGTCCTTCGCTGACTTCTGTTCCATTAGCAGAACGTCTGTTGTAGCAGAAATAAAATTGTTGTATCTTCTTCAAAATTCCATGATTTCATTGATATTTCCTGAAAAATATTTGTGTCAATACCTATTTCTATGTAAATAAGTAAACAATAGATATCACTATTTTCATTTATCGATTTTGTTATTTCCTATATAAGTAAGTAAACAATAAATATCACTTTTTTCATTTGTCAATTTTATTATTATTTTGATTTCTTATCTATGAAGATACACTTACATTTTTACTTCTTAAATTTTAGTAAAATGTTAGATTAATGAAAATTCCCCTTTAAAAAATCACATATCTATGTTTGGTTTGCAGTCCACTTTGTGTGAATTGTAATAATTTTGTTCATTCTGATTCATAAGATTTATGTAAATAGTGATAAAGTTCTTCCTTGGGAAACATTGTTTTCTAAGGACAGAAATTTTAACAAAGTAAAGCTATGTTGGGTCACAAGGCAGTTTCTGATTTACATAGAGATAATTATTCAAAATTACACACACAATAGAGCCGCTTTTAGCCAAGCTAAAGAAAAAGTCTACTTTATAGGCTTATTACACAAAGGAGAGCAGGGTTTTACTTTTATTAAGTGCAGACCTGATCTTTGCTCTTGAATATGAATGTGCTCAAGTCTCAGCCTCAATGTTATTCACCATATTCCAGAAGTAAAGACTTTAAATATAGACTGTGATAGTGAAGAACAAACAACTTAATTATCTGTTCTTATCAAATGGAGCTTGTCACCAAATAAAGCAAAATGAGAGTTAAAAAAAAAATTCAGCAACTGCTTTTTGGAAATTGTAAATAAGTCTCTTTCTCTCTCTCTCTCCCTACTCCCCCCAACCCCCCATGTCCAGGTATTAGTTCTCATGATTTCTCTCATGATTTTGTTTTTGTTGGATGCTTCCTTTGTTAAATTTTATTTATATTGTTTCTTTTTTCTAATCATTGCATCTATTTTAATTCATTTATTAGTTGATGACCCTTATATTTGTAGAAATTTTAGCTGTTCTATGTCTTTCACATGACAATTTTTTTTGAAATAAGTTTTATCTGAAATTTGTCAGAAGCTCATGAGAAAGAAAATATCTCATTTTATACCATTGTATATGATTTTATTATGGTCTTCCCTTAAGGAAGATCTCCCTCACACAAATATGCACACACACACACACACACACACACACACGCACATGCACACACAATCTCGCAAGAGCAAAATCGAGACGAGTTACTGATTAGTAAACTAGAAAGTGAAACATAATTTCTCTATTAGCATGGTTCCATACTATCAGTGCTCAAGTTATCTTTTCTATAAAATGTCATTCCTCTGGGATGAATGACCGCCCATAATCCAATTATATTTCAAAGTCACAGTTTCTTTTAAAATATTTAATAGGTTGATTTTTAAAGTTGAGGAATAGTTATGGAAACTTTTTACTGTTAGCCTTTACTCAAACTACACAGCTTGAGATTTAGTTTCTAAAATAAAAGTAACATCATGTAATTTTACTGTATACAGTTAGTAATATAAATAAAGTGTGTGATAAATGTTCCATATGTATGCTCCACATGTGTGCATATTAGAAAATGTTAATTTTCTCCCCTAGAAGAATATTTTATATATTCTACATCATGCTTCATTAAATTATGGGTAATGATAAAGTATATGTACATTTTATAAATTACACTTCAAAGGAAGATTATGCTAAAACTCAAATGTCTGCATGCTTATTACGCAGTTGTCTCCTATCCAAATTTTATTTGAAGGTTAGTTTTCTAATATAATTCCACAGCTAGGACTTTAAGGTCATCGTAATGGTAGAGTTGAAAAAAAAGTCTTCCACTCTTGACAGATGCAAAGGAAAGAGAAAGGAAAAAGCTAATTTAAATCTTATATAAACACACGTTAAAATAAAATAAATGGTTTTGGGGATGGTATACAAGCAACAAAATCAGTTTTGATATACCAAGTTATGAGAAAAAAAATCAAAAAGAATGCAGCTGTCATTTTGAATTATAGCCAAATAATGTTCTCTTCTCACTTTGAAAAAAAAAAAACTACCAAACAAAGAAGAGTGTGATGTGAGTCTGAAATGGTGAGAATTAGAGGTGAGAATTACCAAAGTTCCATAAAAATGGGGTTATCTAACATTTTAAAGCATTTGCAAAGGACTGTCTTAATATCAGAATTTGAAGAAAAATACTGCTACTGTATTCTAATTTTCCTTACATTATGGATTCTAGAATTTAATTTCCAGGGCATTGTACAGCTGCATCCATTACCGAACCTTATCATAATTATGAGACGAAAAAAATGCACTGTCAACAATTGTCTGTATGTGATGAGGCACTTATATTCTGATGTCTGGTTACCTTCTGCTTGTTAACCTTGTCGTGGAGGGCCTCTCTCCACGACAACCAAATGCAATCCACCAACCAAATGCAATCCACAGTAATTACTATAATTCAGCGGAGATATGTAGTCACTTGAGGCTGACCGTTTTACCCCCACAATCAACCTTCTGCAACTCAAGGAGAACACAACTATGGCCGGGCTCCGACAAATTAGGCATGAACAAATGTTTCACATTAACTGAGTTAAAGGACCTTGCTGAAAATTACAAGGGCTGCTTAGGAAAGCAATGAGTCCCATTATGGAAGTAATAGGTCTCAAAGCAGGCAGCTTGTTAGAGATTCATCTATAGTTGCAGGATGTAGACACCTTAGTGAAAGCGTCTCTGACCTGGACACTTTCAGACTCTGGGATGGTGATGGCAACACGGTCCTCTCTGGGAGATGTCATCAAAATCAGAAGCTGGAGACACCTCTCCTGAAATGTAATTAGAAAATTCAATGCTGCTTTTGCACTATCTCAAGCAATTTTACCATGAAAAATGTGAAAGAAAACAACCCTACACTTCACTCAGTTTAAAATCTCTCCATCTTCCTGGCAATACCTGATTTGAATTCATAGACTGCACATTACAGGCTATGTGTGGACATTTATACCTACAACAGGAATTATTTCCACATAACGATAAATAGACCTGAGATACGAGCACTTCTAAATAAGTGTCTTTATGGAATATATTATTTCAATATGCATTTTCCTCTCCTCCCCCTTCATTGGGATGTGGGTTAGAGGTTCCTATTCTTTAAACACGAATGAGGCTGGGCAGCACTCCATTTACCTCTTTTTCCCCCTGCTTTAGTGATAAGGTAATTCATTGGAAATACTGCTTCAACTATACCTTGTAATATTTTCTAATGCCTTGCTTTACTCTGAAAGAGTGCAAAGATTTATTCAAGTTCATTGTGTGGTGAAAAAAAAAATAAAATTGAAGTTGAGAGAGCAGAAGAAAAGATATAGGTAACATTCCCACATAAATATGTTGTTGATAAAGGAGTTTAACAGAAAATGGAGTCAGCAGGGGCCTGGACCATGCACCATCTTTATAAAATATAAGGCAACTCACCACTACCATCCTGCGTTTTACAGGTATCCATTAAGGGAATCTTTTTGTGTGAATAAACGGCCTGTAAATTCAAGTTTTTTATGTTCTATTTTTTGTAGTTTGACTTTAAAAGGTTCCTGTTTGATATCTTGTATCTTGTACTAACCATATATTTGTAGGGTGACTAAATATACTAACCATATATTTGTATGGTGGCTAAATTTTTTAAAAATGGTAAAATGGAGAAAAAAGAATTGATTATATAAGTGATCACAAATTTATCAGTTCCCCATTGGATATAGGTTATATAGTCTATACTTACGAATCTCTTTTTCTTTGGATCTGTGTACCTTCTTAGGTGAGCAAAATCACCCAGTTTATCTTCCTTCTCTCACCTGTTTGTAAAAAAAAAATCTTCCTGTGAAGAGATTCGTAAACTGCATTGAACTTATGTGTCAAAGTTTGAATAATGGGGAAAGTCTTTGTTCATAAATATAGTTGATGTAAATACATCATGTAGTTGCAGGTTTAAATAAACAACCCACAACTAAACTGATAACTATAAAATATACTAATAGTAATTTATTATTAGAAATCAAAGATAAGAGTAATTAAAAATTGTGGCATACTCAAAGCACACTGATGACACTCAAATACTAAAATTGCCACTATCCTGAGCCTACATTTATAGGAAGAAAAATGCACCTTTCTTAACAGAATATTGAAGTTGAAAAGTATCTGGTAATATACCAATTTCTACTATAAAATACTTGTTTAGAGGCTAGCCAGTTAGTAGTCTTTATTGGTACATAAAATTGTAACTCTATGGAATTGTGCATTGTTAAATGCTAAGAATTAGGGAAGGGATTTGCATTTTAGATGACCTTTGGGTCACCTTTTAGACACGCAATATACGTTCAGAATCAATGTATCTCCAAACCATGGAATCTTTGGATAATTGTTGTAACTTTGAACCAGTTATTTTGACATCAGGTAAAAATAACCATTCTGTTGTTTCTACTTATCACTTATACAAAAATAAAATGCGAAAACAGTTAGTTTTGTTACACTATTAAATCTCCCTAAGATGGGTCATTTCTTTCATTCAGGTGTGCTTTCATTCCCCTCTGTGAGACGTTGCCATTTATTTCATAAGTAACACACATTTTCTGTTAAAGTTAAGTGTGTATATTTTAGGCTCATTAGTGTTGTTGCCAGGTTCATTATCAAACTGGTTATTGTTTGTTTGTAAAATTATTCAATTGTGCATTTCCTAACTTCATAACCAGCAACCATTCTGAATTTTCCACTGTATTTCTTTTCTGAAAGATTTTTAGAGATGACTGGAGTTCTACAAAAATAATATACATACGTACAGTTTTAGTTTCCTATTTGCAATATTTGAAGCACTTATTTCACATTTTATATTTGTAATTATATTTTAGATAGCATTTCAAGAAAAGTTAAATCAATGGACATTAATGTCTTACTCCTGACTTTATATTCCATTATTTATAATTATCTTCTTTGCTGTTATGTATTTTATAACTTATTGAGGAAATATTTATTAATTTCTATATTTTATAATGAGGTTGCTAAACTTCTTAAAAGGTTGTTTGAGAAATAATACATGCATTTCAGAACTTTCTGTACTATTTTATTCTGACCTTTTGACAAGGAAAAACACATCAGTGAATTTTAAATTTTGAACTATTCTTACGTGCATGGAATGATGATAAGATTAATTTTGGAGAAATGATGAGCTCATTTTCATTTGCAGGTGGGAAACTTGGATATGTCAGGCAGAGAACCCAATTTTTGTGCAGGAGGAGAAAGTGTGTAGTTAGGAAAGATGGGCATATGTTAAAATTAGACCTACAGTAAACTTTTAAAGATGTCATTTATGTATATATATTCATGTAATTTCAACATGCTATTTATATTTAGATCATTTCTATCTTTTAAAGTCTACTATTCCAAGGAAACATTCAGAAATCACACAATTTTTTTCTCTCTTATCGCTAGAGTAAATGTAGGCAATTTAGATTCCACTGCCTTAGAGCCACCTGCATCAGTCTTTGTTTCAAAGATGAAGACTTTTAGTAAGAGTGGAGGAGCATTCATTGAAGCAGTAGCAGCTTCACCTATATGGTCTCAGAACACTTCTCATTAAAACCATTTGAATCTCTTCCCTGGGGACTTTTCTCCTCTTGTACCAGATGTGCCCCTCCTTCCCACAGAGGGGGTACATTAAGGTAAATATGGTTCATAGAGAAATCTTGTGTTTAGTGATTTTTTTCTTGCAGTAAATGATGATGATGATGATGATGATTTTTTTAAAGCTAAACTTGCTCAGTTTCTACCTATCTAAAGTTATCTGTCTCTTTCTCTTATTCTCTAAGAATTTCTCTAGCCTGTACCCTATAAAGAGTGTGTGACTACTCACCTTTTTCAATTTTATTTTGCCTGCCACTCTTTGGCATGTAACAGATTTTAGTTAAATTCCCATTGATGCAGGTAGGCAGGCCAGCCCCATAGTTGGGGCTTAGCCCAGGAGGGTGCTTGGCTTTGCCCAGGAAAGAGTTCAAGGGTGAGCTGATGTTAAACAGCAATCTTTTATTGAACCAGAGCTACTCCTTGCAGAGCAGGGCTAACTCATAGGTGGTGCATACAGAGCAGCAATTGTGCACTTGTGGACTGTTGGCAACTGTATTTACACCCACTTATATCCACTGTTATTTACATGCAAATTAAAGAGTGGGTTAATGCAAATTAAAGAGCAGGATATTCAGAATTTTCTAGGAAGGGGGCAGTAACTTCTGGGTTTGTAAACTATCAAGATGCTGGTGGAAGTATCTTATACTAATGAACAATGAGTGCAGCTAGGGATCATTTTTGTTGCCATCTGTTTGTTTTGACTGTTTTTTTCACTTCATCCTGTCAGGATCAGGAAATAAGTTCTGCCAGTCTCCCACCTCATTCCCCCTTCAGAGATCAGATACTCCTCCATGAAGTTAAGGGGGCTGCAGAATAGCAGAGGCCTATCTTCTCTAATTTTTTTCTTCCGGGTTTATAAGCATAGGCCCTGCTTAGGAATGAAGGAGTAAAAATCTCTGGATACCTGATTTAAGGGACCCAGTAGCAGGATGTTTTCATTCTCTAGGTCAGAAGAAGGGAAGGATTGGAAGCCTTCTGCTAGCCTTGTCTTTATATGAAATTGTTGGAGTCTAGAAGACCCAAACATTACAAGGAGTTAAGCAAGAGCCAAATTTTAGTAGTAAAAAGATAGCTCTTGAAGGTCCTAGGAAGGGTAAAAACCAGGTGACATTAGTGAAAGCACTTTTGATAGTGGACGAGATGTAGTGGGGGCGAGTGCCCTGGTTATATCTATGTAACCAGGTGGCTTGCTTATAGATCTTTTGGATGTTAACCTTAATTTGTCTATAGTGATTCATATAAATGCAGCAGGTCTTATTAATAACTTCACAGACTCCACCCAGTTCAGCTAGTCAATAATCCAATGTCAGTCTGTTGTCAAGGACTACATTTACCAAATAATCTAGGGATCCTTGAAGTTCCTTTCATGCTTGACCTGTGCTGGTGGCCAATAATATTAGAGCTTTTGTCAAATTTCTTAGGGGTGACTCATGGTAAGTAAAGTCACTCCAAGGGGATGCTGGTCCTATTGATGCCCTAATTCCTGCCAGAATTAATCTTATTAATCATTTATTTTTATTTCTGGGTATTATGGGTTTATAGATGGTGACCCCCAGAGAGGCAATGGTGGCCAATGTATATTTACCCCTGTTTCGAGTTTTTAATATGCAAGGGATGACAACTCTTAAAGAAATAGGTGGCTCTTGAGGGAGTCAAGAGTGGGTACAGAGTGGAATTTCTTCCCACTCATGGCCACAAACAAAAATGAGCCCAGTTGGCACACAAATTAGGCCCTATTGAATGTGATGTCTCTCTGCTGAGCCAAATTGGCTCTCTATAGATATTTTTCCCTTGTCCAATGGTGGTAGTTGAACAATCTTTGTTTTCTAGAAGAGGGCAATGGTGGTAGTTGAGCAATCTTTGTTTTCTAGAAGAGGGCAGTACTCCCACCTTCCCATATCAGGCGGTTGTTCTCTGGTGCATGTTTTGATCCAGGAGGAGGCATGATGTACATTTTCCTTGCGTATAAGTAGGATTTTATTTATCTCCTTGTGGTCTTGGGAATTTATCCACTAGGGCAAGGAAGCTTTCTCTTTTGTGTATTCACACAACAATGAATACAAAAGATAGTATCATTACTGCACTGAAGATATAGATACCCGACTTCCCAGGTCCAGATAATAGTGGTGTTGTGGATAAGGTGGAATCCTTTCAGTGGGAGAGACTTCCTCTTAACAAATAGGGTTCTGGGTAATTTGGGATCACCATGATTAATGAGAAGGTCTGGAGAGAAGGTCATGAGATTTTCCAGATGTGCCAGGAAGTGGAACTCTATTTTGGGGATAGAGATATGCCAAATGTGGAAGAAGGTTGATAATAGATCCAACATCCCTGAAGATGATTCCCTTTATGAATGCTATAAATTCTGAAACATTTATTATGAAGTCTTTTCCCCCTCCTACACTGTATTAGGTTAATTGGAGAGCAAGAGGATTAGTAGAGGCAGCATGGTGTCTAGTTGGTCCTTAGAGTGGCTTCTATTCTCAAAGAGGACAAAAGAGGTGTTTCCCTGGAGGAGGCAGTTTGCCAGAACAGTAGAAAAGGAGAAGAGAAAAATTAATGCTCCTGTGCCCACACACAACATCATGCTACTTATTGTACACCTGAGAAAAAAACAGCTTTAAGTCTTCTTGGGATTCACATGTGTAGGTCCTGATATCATCCTGTCATGCCTGTGGGGACTCATAAAAAACTGTTTTACCCCAGACAGGTGTACCCACCTAGTGATTCCCTAAAATCTAACAGAAGTGGGGATCTCTAACAATACTTTATTAGTCCATTCTCATGCTGCTAATAAAGACATACCTGAGACTGGGTAATTTATAAAGCAATGAGGTTTAATTGACTCACCATTAAGCATGGATGGGGAGGCCTCGGGAAAATTACAATTATGTAAGAAGGGGAAGCATTTATGTCCTTCTTCACATTGCGGCATCATGGATAAGTGATGAAGTGCTGACCTAAAGGGGGAAAAGCCCCTTTATGAAACCATCAGATCTTGTGAGAACTCACTTACTCTCACAAGAACAGCATGGAGGCAACTGCCCCTGATTCAATTACCTCCCATCAGGCCCATCCCACTACCCATGGGGATTATGGGAACCATGGATGAGATTTGTGTGGGGACACAGCCAAATAATATCACATAGCTTACAGGAGGCTTTCCAATTTGGTTGTAAATGATCCTCAGGGGATTTTTCCTTCCATGTTTTATTAAGGCAAATTCTTGTGGAAGGAGCCAACACTTTATTTCCATAGTATTGAAGGGCCTTTGGAGTCTGGCCTAAATTTTAAAAGTCGTCAGAGTGAGGCATGTCAGAATGACTATTTCTATCAAGATCTGAATTAGTTTTTCAGGATTTCATAGCTAATTAAATGTTATAGGTGTATTAGTCCTTTCTCGTGCTGCTAATAAAGACATACCCAAGACTGGGAATATGTAAAAGAAAGAGGTTTAATTAACTCACAGTTCTGCATGGCTGGGGAGGCCTCAGAAGACTTATGATCATGGTGGAATGCACGTTTTCACAGGGTGGCAGGACAGAGAATGAGTGCCCAGCGAATGGGGAAGCCCCTTATAAAACAATCAGATCTCATGAGAACTCACTCACTATCACAAGAACAACATGGAGGAAACAGCCCCATGATTCAGTTGTCTTAACCAGGTCCCTCCAAGGACACATGGGGATTATGGGAACTATAATTCAAGATGAGATTTGGGTAAAGATATAGCAAAACCATATCACTAGAGCAGATGAATATGGGGGGAAAGCAGGCATTCATTAGCCGTTAAAACCTTTAAAAGCAACATAAGTATCAAAACCAAAAGTCAAAAATAAGGTTACATATCAAGAGAAACCAAGAGTATAGAATCAAGTAATACTGAAAAAAATTGCTTTTATATACCTCTAAGATAAAATATTTCAGCATCAGACCACAGCAACAGTTATAGCTGAAGGAGAAAAAAGATATAGAAGCTGACGATAATGCTGAAGGAGAGAGTTATTATCTCAGACCTTCTACAGAGGGAAAAAGTTCTGAAAGCAACAAGACACAACAATTGAACTTTTAGATATGAATCAGAGAAATGTTAAAAGAAACAGATTATAGAATTGAAAACTGAATGATACCTTAAAAAACTCGTTTTAATATGAAGACTATTCTTTTTTTTTTTTTTTTTTTTTTTGAGTTGGAGTTTCACTTTTTTCACCCAGGCTGGAGTACAATGGTGCAATTTTGGCTCACTGAAACCTCTGCCTCCCGGGTTCAAGCAATGCTCTTTCCTCAGCCTCCCAAGTAGCTGGGATTACAGGCACCCATCACCATGCCCAACTAATTTTTTGTATTTTTAGTAGAGATGGGGATTCACCACTTTGGCCAGGCTAGTCTCGAACTCCTGACCTCAGGTGATCTGTCTGTCTCGGCCTCCCAAAGTGCTGGGATTACAAGCATCAGCCACCATGCCTGGCCCAAAAACTATTCTTTAGAAAGAATATTATAAACAATTTTCTTTTAATTACACTGATTTCTTTCATAAGATCCCCTTCATAGACCTTACTATCATCTACACAGGCTATCTATGACATACTTGGACTTTTTTACTTGCCCTCTACCAGCTCTTTTTAAAGAAACTAGTCATTTTATTCTAGGATAAGAATTTATCAGAAAAGATTATTTCTCACATAAAATTGTTCTTCACATCTTTTGTTACTAAAAATATATATTTATATCTATAATTTTCTTCACATCTCTCTTTTTTACTCACAGGTTCCTTCACATTTCATGAGACTCATTACACAGATTTATGATTTCAAATCAAACAAAATGGTCACCTTTAAGGATCCATTCCATTCACATGCATTTAACTCTTTCTCTTTCAAAAGTTTTATTTAGACCACCTCTGAGAACCCAGATACTATGCAAAGCTAGTTACCATTCAAAGGTGTTTTAAACATTCACACTAACAAGTTCAGACTAGTCCCTTTACCCATATATTACCAAGTCATATACAATTGCTTATTTGTTTAGTTTATCAGTGCCTTTTAGATGTAAGCCAATTTGACAGTATACACAATATATGTATCTATACATATTCACATAATATCTATACACATTACCCAATAAAGTGAACCATACAAGATAATTGGATTCAAATTATTCACAAAATTGGTATGTGTCAACTTGGCTAAACTTTGTTTTCCCCAATAGGTGTGAGAGACAGGGAAAAGCAGAGAAGGGGATCCCATACTACCAAATAAAGAGGGGAAGGGTAAAACCACATTGCTTAAGGGGAGACCGTGATGGCCCTGAGCCATCAAAGAATCTATCCAATGGCAGAGACACTCAGAAAAAGTGTTTGGGCCACTTGCCTGCTGCTTCAGGAAGGTGTCCTTCAGGTCAGGAGTGGAGTTCAGGACCCCAGTAAATGCAGCTCATTGAATGGCAAGTGAAAGAAGGTTAGCTGTAGTATTGTCGGGCAGAGCTTTTTTTTCTCTTACTAAGAACGGTTAGGACATTCTCATTGCCAGTGGCCCTCTGACTCACAGTAGGCACACTGATTCTGGTCCAGGGGGCAGTGAGTTTGAGGCTTTCAACTGAGCAACCCGGACATAGGTCTCAAGAAACTTCCTCAGTACAGGTAACCCAGAGATGGGGAAGGGGCTTAAAGCAGCTGCTAACAACTGCACTTTTGGCTATTTCTCGCTTCCTCAACTCTGTTTCTATTGTTCTAAACTCCAAACGCTATGTTTCAGGGTGGGCTGATAGGGGTTTGAGGACCCATTGCTGTGTTTTTTAGCTTCCTGCTAATGTCAGGGGCAGATTGAGTAATAAAATGCATGCCCAGGAGGTTGTTTGGGCCTTGAAAAACAGTGGGATTTTTGGCTCTCCCCTGAGTTACTTCTCTACTATTTTTATAATTAGCTTAATCTCACACTTTAAAAAATATTTTCTATTTAAAAAGTTGCTATGTGGTTTCTGCACTCAAATCTTCCGAAACCCCATTGGTTATCCCATTGAGGGTCCATACTTGGAACCGCATCTCCCCCAAGGTGATAACTGGCATGGCCATTGTTATGTGCAGCCACTCCATCTGCAGATTCATGGGTGGCACTCAGAATTCTCCTCTTCTCCTCCACAGACAGCAAGTCATGCCAAGTTAAATCTAAGAACATGACAACTTAACAAACTCCTCTATAAACTTCCCTGGATTATCTGAAAACCTGCCAAATTTGTCCGTGAGAAACACCAAATCAGATTTAGAAAATGGCACATGTACTCTAAGTTTTCATCTCCATCAGCTACCTCCCACAACGTACAAGGTTTGATTTTAGGTGCTGATATGGAGCCCCATTCATGATGGTACAGTCTGGGCTTACTTCCTTGGGCAACAGGGGTATAGTCTGTGGCTATTTGGTTAAAAGGGAAGTGTGCCTAATGACCCTGGGGTGGAATCTTGGATTAGATAACTGGGAGTACTCCCCTTAGAACTGGGTGACTGAGGAGTCTCTGAGGAGGATATGAGCCTTCTAGGAACAGCATCATGGGAGGATCCCTTAGAAACAGCTTCTCAGTGCCTAAAAGTAACATGAGGCAGTAAAGGGCAATACAAGGTTTACATATGGGACCTCTACTCATTTCCCCTCTTTATTACAGATTAAGTTCAATTGCAAAACACTATTATGATGTAAAGAACCATTCTTAGGCCTAATTTTTGATCTCCCAATTTGTATTACACTGAAAAGGTGTTGGTATAGAAAATGAGTTTCTTTTTCTTTGAGCGGATTTGAATTTGCTCCAATTGCCTAAAAGACACTCTAGTGGCAAGTCCTCTGGAATGCTCGCCATTGTCTCCATGTCTAACAGGAATCTTTACCAGGAATTGAATTTTTTAAGGTCTAACAAAAGGAAAAGCAACTGGGCTCTTGTTATTTTTTTCTGTTTAGATGTTTACCTCCTGTAGAGAAGGTATAAGTACAGGTAGCGAAGTGTTAGACAAACGGAGTGTGAGATACAAGCAGGCAGTAGAGTACAGTGCTCGCTGGTGAGCAAAATGCAACAAAAGGAATATTTTTACCTAGCGAAGTATAAAAGGAAAAGTGAAAATAGAGTGACAGGACCCTAGGGCAGCAAACAGAAAAAGGCAAGAGCAAAATTTCCCTGGAGTGGGCCTGGAACCTACAATCCTAGAAGGAATGCTAAGGTTGAAAACCCCGGAGCATCCAGGGGACTGCCAATGATGCCAAGTGCCAAAAAGCCTGGATTACCCAAGTGCTGGACAACTAGAGTTCCCACACCACATGCCGAAACCCTGGAGTATCCAGGGGCAACCAATGTTGAAAACCCTGTGGGTTTCAGCATTTTCAACCCCGAGGGGCAGGCAATAGCATACCCTAAAGGCCTGGTTGGGGTGACAGAACAATGTGATTCTGACATCCCAGAGTCAACACAACAGCGACCTCACAACCAAATGTCCTGCTTTAAATAATTACCCAAATACAGTTAGCTAGGAGCTAAAGCAAAACAAAACAACAAAACAAAACAAAACAAAACATGATGCAAACAAAACATACATTTCAGAGCAAAAAATGAAATAAAATAAAATGACTGATGGAAAAAATGAAATGGCATTTTAAAAAAGACTGAGAGAAGAGGAAAAAGTATATATTATAGTTGGTCAGATATGCTAAAGGGGACTTTGAATTGATTACCTGGCCAAACGCCTTATTTTCTGGCTCACCCAATGTTGATGCGAGGAGGGTCAGTGGGGACACTCACCCATCTGCTGGAGCCAAATGGAGATGACTGGTTTGTAACTAGGCCCCTGGCTTGGATGAGTTTGGCTGCCACAAGGGAACTCGTGTATACTCTTGCAACTACCTGGCCAGAGTGCTGTGTCTCACATGAGATTGTACTGTGGCTGCTCACCATTCTCCCTGCTCCACTGCATGTCAGCAAGTATGACAGCTCTTAAAAGAGCCTTGGTTACTGTTTCAGCTCTGCAGGGTTAGAAGATCTTTATTGTTAAAGTCACTATCTCTTGACATCTACCTGTCAGATTTCCATCTCCGTTTCTTGCCATCAAGCTGACTGTCATCTCACTGTGCCGATCACTGTCTTGCCGACTCACTGATGGCTGTCTCACCATCTTGTCATCTTGCCCCATTTCTCACTATATTTGTCCCTTCAGGGTTGCCACAATGATGTAGCTGGGCAAGTGATCCTCATAATTAGTAACTAGCCCAGGAGAATTTTTGGCTTTACCGAGGAAATAATTCAAGAGCAAGGTGGCGGCGTTAAACAGCAATCACTTATTGAACCAGATCTCCTCCTTGCCCAGCAGAGCCAACTCATAGCCAGTGTGCCCAGAGCCACACTTGTGGGCTGTTGGCTAGTTCTATGTATACCCATTTTTACCCGCTATTACTTACATGCAAATTAAGTGTAGGTTAATGCCAATTAAGGGGCAGATTTTTCAGAACTTTCTAGGAAAGTGGCAGTAACTTTCAGGTCATTGACATGGAAAGAAGAGGTAACTTCCAGGTCATTGGTGTGACACGCACATTGTCATGGCACTGGCGGGGCAGGGGGGCGGGGGGAGTGTCTTATGCTAATGAGCAATTAGGGCAGCTAGGGATTGCTTTCATCACCAGCTGCTGTTTGGGTGACATTTTTCACTACATTTTATCAGAATTAGGAAGTAAGTCCTGCCAGTTTCCTAGCAGCTTAATGGTAAAAAACCATTAATCTGGTCAGATAAAATTCTCTACTTAATTTGCATGTTTTGACAGATTTGTAGAGAATTGTTTTGCTTTCCAGGAATTTCTTCCAATTGGGCCAGAATTGCATTGTGTTTATCTGTTACTCTTGATATACATTTGGTTGGGATTGTAATAATCTATACTTTTCCTTCCCAATAAGTTGAATTTTTTGCTGAAGTTTTGTTTGGCAATTGTAAGAGAACTACCAGGAAGTGCTTTTAGAGAAAATAGACCACATTTTTTAAAAACCAGAGTTTTTAGAAATGCTAAATATACTACTAAAATCAATGTTTCTATATTATTTTTTAAATAACAGTTATTTATGTCACGTAACATGAACCAATTATTATACATATTATACCTAAGCTTATGCTTAAAACTCTAAAAAAGTCTGATTTTCTGTATCATATAAGACAGACACTGGGGCCTTAAGGAATTATGTGTATTACCCAAGTGCAAGTAATCATTCAGTTGGATTAATCTGATAAACAGGTCATTTATAGTCTTTACTCAGACTTCCTTTCTTTCATGAGTAGCTGAGTTTACATGACAACTAATGAGTACTTAATACCTAGTATTAAATACTCTGATTTAAATAACATAGCCAGAGCTTTTTTCTTTGAAATATCCATGATACAGGCTACATCATTCCGTTCTTGGAGCTATTTACATTACTTTTAATAAGCAGAGTATTGATGTCACTGAGATAAGTTCCAATTGCTGTTTCTATTTTTTCCAGGCTTACTGTCATTTTGTTGAGCCTTTGAAAGATTTTAGTTAGGTAAGTTGATTTGTTAATTATTGTCATCCTTTAATATTTGTGTGGTTTGTATCATTCTGTTTCTTTTCTTTTCTGTCCCAGGGATTGTGTTTATTATTCCATAACATCTTTCAGTTTATTCTTTTCAAATTTTGTTCTTCTATGACATAAAAATTTGAACTTTTCTGTGAGGTCTTCGTCCTTGACAAGGGGGCAGATGAGATTTGAAACTTGGCCAGTTTTTATTGGTATCTGCCATCTCAACACAGAAATACAAAATCAAGAAGTTTTGTTGTTGTTCTGAGTTAACTTTATTTTGTCTTTTTTCCCATAGCTAATAAATACACACGTTGCTTACTGTGAACTGGGGAAAAAAAAAAAAAGAAAAGAGGAGACTGGTGCTATTGGTGTAGTAGTCTTTGTGATGTGGCTTCCTGGAAACTAGAAAACATACATATTCTTCCTACCTCTTCAATTGGCTAACTGGGATCTTAAAGTAGTCAATTAAACACTCTGGCCTAATATTTCTTTATAGGAAAAAATAATAGAGCCTGCTTAGATTATTTGGAGGTCCCTTCTAGTTTAAAACACACACACACACACACACACACACACACACACACACACACACACACACACACACACACACCCCAGTTGCATTTCTGGCATGTGGAGCTCTGTGACATTAAGCTGGAAACTATAAAACACAAAATACAATGTATTGGGAGCAGGACATTAAACCAGATGGAGTAGGGGGTTGAGTCTGATCCAATGAGGCAAGGACTTCAGTGACAAATCTCATGATTTTACTATAAGGGCAAGATAATAATTAAGGGTTTTGAAATGTATATACACACAAAAAAAAAAGAGACAAAGAAAAGGACAGTTTACTCTTTCAGCAGTGTGGTATAATTAAATGAGAAGCAACTAGATACACAAAGAATAGTAAGGTCATTGCATTTTATATGTAAAAGCCTTCATAAACTTGATATCTAATGATTTAGTGCATTTCTTGGGCAGATAATAAACAATTTTGAGTAAGTGATGAGGAATATTATCTAATCAAAGAGCACCAGGCCCTTTAGAAAATCATGAGTTGTATAAGAATCTACTTTAAGGAATCTTCTTTAAGAACTGGGCTCTCACACACCCAGTTAAATCCCTTTAATAATATTTATGTGAAGCAATCTTTCTACCTCTGTATCCTATTCTCCCACCAATAATAGGCAATTATGGTAGGATAAATCAACTGGGAAAAATGGGCCGAACAGTGTTCTGTCTTAGGAATGCAGACTACAAAAAAGGACTTTTGTTGTTTTATTTTGGGCAATTAAACTATGGGAAGATATAGCCTTTCTTTCTTTCTTTCTTTTTTTGCTTTTTTTTTTGTTTTGTTTTTGGTTCATTTGCAGCAGGAAATAAATATTACCTGGATAAAACAAGACAAAATTGGGACTTAAGTCAGCAGAGTGTCACGCTAAAATTAAAAATTACAAATCCAGTCTCCAAAGCATTGAAAAGCAGTGCAACGCTTTAATACCAGTTTTAGGCAGAAACCTGACAAAAAAAGGTTTTCACTGTATAAAAAATTTATAGACTTACTAATAACCTCATTTCCACACTCTCTCCCAAAAGCAACACTCCCCATGTCCATAGCTAAAATCAATCCTCCTTCCTCTCCCTGTATCACTGTCCAAAATGATTTTGTGTCACGAGGCTGTCACTCCATTATTAATTATTTCATCTCCAGTATCATTCATTTGTAAAATGATCAGTTTCTCAAGATTACTTCAAATTTTTCTATACCCCTCCCACCCACAAGGGAAGCTCTACAGGTTAACAAGTTGACAAAGTGTATTTTTATTTCACTAGGTTGCAGCAAGAGAAGAAGAGGTAGGTATTAAAGCAGCCAGTACAGAAAACTCCAATAATGTACTAAATTTGTTTTACCTGACCCTCATAGAAAAACTTGGTCTAGGTTGAGGTTATAATAAAGCAGACGAGAGGTCATAAGACTTAAGAAAGAGAGAAAGAAACTCATTTTGTTTATAATGCTAATCTCATACTTTTTTTTTACTTTTCTGACATCTATGCTTCGGAAGAAGGAGACACACTGGATTTCTAATGCAATCTCGACCCCTCCTGCCTCATTGTTCACATTTAATCAAGAGACGCTCAGTTACTCATAACTTTTAAAAGGTTGCAGTACACAGAAACAGTATAAAAGTTCATCTCTTAAAAATGAAGAGAGGCAAGTAATTTATGAGCTGTAGCAATTATTCCCCAAATTAAAATAAGCTATTATCTTCACTTGAATGAAGGAGAAATACAATTAAAACTTAGAATAACAGATGAAAATAATTGTGTCATATAGATGACTGTGTCTTATGCATTTCTTATCTGTATTTCAGAGCAAATATGTTTTATATAAATCACATTTATGAGACAGCTTTACTTCAAAAATAAATATAAATATAACACAAATATAAGCATAACAATAACCACTAATTACTTTTAAATGCTTTCCTGATACTTGAAAACTCAAGAAATTTTACGTTAAATGCTTATTTTTTACATTATGAGAATAGAACATGCTATTACATGGCGTATATAATATTTATGATATTAATTACATAGTATATATATTGCTTATATACTTAATTAAAATGTAACTTTCATGGAAACATATTTGTTATAAAACTATTCCTTCTGATTTTTTTAAAAAAATGTTGTTCACTTGAGGGAATTTATACACATATTTAAGGCTAAATAGACTAGTAGTTAGGTGACGTTAGTCCCAGATCAAGCCATGTAGCTTATTTCCCATATATAAAATGAAGTAATATATATGTATACATACCTATATTTGGCAGGGATATTGTGAGAATAAAATGAGCTTTCCCTATGAGATTGTGAGTGTTGGAAAGAGATGATTAATGTATTTGCTGCAGAATTTAAACAAGTAACATTGAGCAGACGTTGGTGACCAATCACATGGAAACAGGTGCATTAAGAACCATTTATTTAGTGAATACATATGTAACTAACCTGCACATTGCGCATATGCACCCTAAAACTTAAAGTATAATAATAATAAAATTAAATTAAAAAAAAGTTAATACCCTTTCACCTGCAAATAGATTTTTAGGGATACTTATATGTTCAAATAATTATCAGCTCATTAAACAACTTTGTGATAACAGAAAAACTTTGGCTAAAACCTGAATAATAATTTACAAAAGAGTCACTAAGTCCACTGTTGTTTATTCATATAACGCCAAGCTATGCGGTCAGCAAAGAAAGAAAAGGTAGACCTGGTTTACAAATGTGCATAGATTTTCCCAATATACTATTAAGTCATAAAAAGAAGTTCCAAAATAGAAGTGTGATATTTTGTTTTATATATATCTATATTATATATAGATATAGATATAGATATAGATATACACACACATACACATATAAAGAGAACATAATTAAATATATAAAGGACATGCCTGGAAAGCATTCCAGATGTGAGGTGTGAGGAGGGGTTTCTGATCTTACATGGTAAAATGATAATTTAATCTTACCTATAATGCCTATATTTTTAACCAGAAAATGTATGCATGATTAACTTAAATTATAAAATACATTTTTTAAAAGAGAAGTGTGTAAACATTTACTGTGCAAAATGCCAAAAGGCAAGTCAAAATAAAAAAGAAGAAAGGAAACATGTGCTCAAATGAATGAGGACAATTCTTTCACGGGGAGAAAAGCTACAAAGGGGTTTTCTGAAGAGGTGGGGAAAAGCAGTCATATTTGCATTCAAGGTAGAGTGAGAAAAACGTGGCAGAAGTATAGTTTTTAAAGAAATGAGATGGCATGGCACTTGGAAAGGCTCGAAAGATCACTTGAGAAAACACTAGCAAGACAAATTTTGGTCAAAATCATGGAATGAACTAAATAAAGAATGTCTGCTAGGGCTACCCTAATAAAATACCACTGACTGTGTGGTTTAAACAGCAGAAATTTATTTTTCACAGTTCTGGAGGTGGAGAAGTCCAAGATGAACGTGCTGGCAAGGTGGGATTTTGCTGAGGCCCCTTTTTTTGGCTTGTAGAGGTCACGTTCTTGCTGTGTCCTCCTATGACCTCCCTGTGCACTCAAACTCCTTGTGTCTTCTTGTTTTTTACATAAGGGCACCAGTCCTGTTGGATTAAAGCTCCCACCTTATAACCTCGTTTAACCTTAATTTCCTTCTTAGAAGTGCTGTCTTCAAAAACAGTCACAATTTCGTAGGCTACAACACACAAAATTGGAGGGACACAATTCAGTCTATACCATTCACCTCTGGTGTTTGTTTTATTTTGGGCTTGGAATATTATTAATGTGTAGAAAATATAATATAAAACAAGGTGGTATACTTTCTTGTAACCAACACAAAAATTAGGCGTATGTTAACATCTTCTATATTTGTTTAGGTATGTCTTTTGGAAAATAAACAATGTGTTACTGATTCAGCAAAATACTTTGCTGTCTAGTGTTTCTCTTCATCTGAATAGAGAACCACTAGTTGGAGTGTTTGTGAATTTTATGATAACATTGTCCCCACAAACAATATATGCAATTATTTTGGATTGTCTTTCAAAAGTCACATTTCAGTTATTTTCAAGAGCCTCACCTAATTTATATTCATTCATATTTATGCTTTATAAAGTCATCAACCATTAGGACACATTGATTAATTCATTTTAACATTTTAATATTTTAACCATTGCAAGATATTCCAATACGTGATAAACATTTATTTATTAACTTCTTTGCCAAAATTTTTACTGTTTGCCGTTATCGATATTGCTTCTCTGGGTAAAAATTTAACAACTATCTCAGCTATTTACCCCAGAGCCATTACACTTGAGATGCTGGCTCTGGATTTATTTTCCTCTAATGGTGTTCTCTGGAATGCGGTAGTTTAAGAAAAATGAAATGTTGATTTGTGTCATGTTGTACTAAGGCAGATTGTACTCTATTAAAATTGTTGTGAGATCCATGATTAATGAGAATCATCCCGAGAGTTGTGATCAATATCTTACTCCCAAAGGGCTATGCAATAACCACAGCAGACAGAGGTTTGAGTAATGGACAGCGATGTTGTCTGGAT
This sequence comes from Homo sapiens, assembly GCF_000001405.40. Lineage (NCBI taxonomy): Eukaryota > Metazoa > Chordata > Mammalia > Primates > Hominidae > Homo > Homo sapiens. Next base: position 64,956,667 of record NC_000018.10, read on the forward strand.
TTGCTGCAGTGTGTAGGTGCTTCAGTTTCATTTCCAGCAACTTAGCCCACAGCCTGGGTAAAGTGGCCTGGAGCCTGTACCTAGTATGTTACAAGACATTCTAGACTCTATATGGTAAAATAGTTGGGGGTAACAAGGTTTGGTGAGGTAGTGTTAAATTTTTATTGTGTGAAAGCATGTCAATCCAACTTTAATTTTTTACATAGAACTTAACTTGTCAACGCAGAGTAAAAAATATAATTCTGTGGAATTGGCAATGGGTGGAAAAATTAAAAGTGGCAAAACTGAAGGGAAATGGCACACACACACACACACACACACACACATCTGCTCTCCATGGTTACTTTGAAGATGATTATTGAAAGTAAAGCCATTATCATGGGAGAGGAAGACAGAGCAGATTGGTTTAAGGCTGGTGTTTAAAATCAGAACCCATTAATTTGCCATCTAATGTTCTTTAGGGTATTTGGTATAACAGCATACATAACTGCTGTGTCATACCACTGAGATTTTTAATTTGGAAATACAGCCCAAGCTCCAGGTAAGAATAAACAACTCATTAATAAAACTAAAAAAATACAAGCTGTTACATATAAACGTAGAGTTACTTTGGAGAGAAATACCAGCCCTTACCCATGGAATCTTTATTGTCATAAGCTCTCAAATTGAAATATCAGAGTCATAACTTTATAATTGATATTAGATACCTCAGAATAGCAGGGATTATATGAAATATTACTAGATTCCTATTAGATATGATTTTTGGTGTTCAATTCATTCTCAGAATGTAGTGGCTTTGCCCCTGTTAGAGTGGATAAAAGCCACAGTTAAATGAATCTACAACAAACAAGAGAATTGTATTCTTTCATTGTCTCATGCAAAATGAAACCTACCCCCAAAGAAGTCTAAACAGTGTTTGATTAATTATGATATGATAATTATGTGACTTCCCTATGATTATACCCACTATCCAAACTTTAGCGAATACAGTTGCTAATGCTAAGTCTTCCTCACCTCCTTTTGGGTAAACAGAGGCCATACAGGACACAGAAAACAATTTTTTTCCCAATTAATTAGCATTGTGAACATAAAAAAGTTACAGCAAGTCAGAAAAGTAATTCAAATAGAGTGGACATATATTAAGTAGCAAAGAAAGTATCAATATGTTCCACAGACCATAAGTAATAAAATTATATTCTTTGATTACAATGCAATGAAATTGCATATTAAAGAAAAAGTCTCCTCTGCCTAGGAATGTTTAAAAATAATAATAATGACAAGAACTCTCTGATAACAATTTTTGAGCACAAGGAAAATTTACACTGAAGCAGAAGAATTTATATAACATTGATAATGAAAACTACTTCATATCAGAATTTTGGAATATATTTAACCACTGATTACAAAAAAGTGTAAGTATAAAAATAAAATAATAAAAATAAAGTAATTATTTTTTTCACTCAAAAGCCTAGAAGAGGAACAAAAAACTAAATTTAAACAGAAAATAAAAATTAAAAAGGAATAATTAAGTAGAATCAATGGCACAGAAAATCCCCTAAATGTAGAATTAATATGCTAAATGTTTGTTCTTCAAAAAATTAAAACTGGAAAAACCACTGAGTAAATTAAGTAAGGATAAAAGGGGAAAAGCACAAATATTCAGAATTTAAAAAGCGGCAAAAAGGAAATAGTCATCGAAGCATAAGTAAACAAAATGATATATTATTTACAAAATCAAATCTTTCACAAATACTGTTCGATTTTGCAGCTGTAACAGCAATATTTGACAAACATCTATATATAAGTAGGTTATTTCTCATATTTACTTATTTCAAAAAACATGCATAAACATACTAACATGTATGCTTTTGTATCGTTGGAGCTATGTCACTGGGTACATTCCCAGAAGCTGTATTGCTGAATGGAATGGTAAATGTATTTGTTCCATGAGGTATTTTGCAATCTTATTTCATTCTCCAGTTAAAGGAGCAGTAAATTGCTGAGCATATGACTGATTATATGTCTAGTTCAGGAGAAATACAAGGTGAGCCTTAAACCTCTTGTGTGAGACAGCCAAACATTTAAAAACATTGATGGGACTTTTAAAAGGACACGGGAGCCAATTTGAAGAGGTGTGCAGTGACCAAATTAGGAAAAAAAAAATTAAACATTGACTTTTAAATGATAGCCTGAGATATAACCCATTGAATAAAATAAATCAGTGGTTCTATATAAATATATTTTAACTTAGGAATGAAGAGAACAGAAAGTCACTCAAGATATACTTATTAATAAGTTTAGAAAGAATGATGGAATAAAAATTCTCTTTTTACAGTCATTCAACAATAGTTGATTTATCAAAAAATTATCAACAATTGCTAAAACCAAGCCAATTAATTAAACTGACCAATTAATAAAATTTAATTGAGAAACAAAGTCACCAAATTTAAAATATTATCACACAGATTACATACCAATAATAAACAGAATAAGTTATGTTTACAATAGATAAATCTGATCACCATGACTCAAAATAAATGGATACCACGTGGCCCCATTTTGCAGTCTAAAAAAAAATAAAAAATATAGTATTTGGGGCAAAAAAATTATTTAACATGACTATATTTTAATAAGTGCTTTCAGAAAAATCCAAATTAAGAGTATTGTAAAAAAAATCTGTTTTGGGTTTTTTATAAATGCCAATGAAATTACAAACAAAACAAAAAATATTGCTTAAAATTTTGGTCATAAGAGATAAAGGACAGGATGATTTTAACCTTGATTGGATCATGGATTTAAAAAATAGCTATAAAGAATACTTCTAGGATAATTTGGGATATTTGATCATGCATTTTAAGTTAGCATGACATGATAACCGGCAGTATTAAAGTGCAATTTCTAATGTTTAATCACTGTATGTTGTGGGTTGTAAAGGGGAGTGTACTTTTTATTAGGCAAAAATGTGCACATTGCCCATTAGGGAGAATTATATCTGCAGCTCATCAAATATGTGTGATGTCTGGGGAGAGATAGAAAGAGTGAAAAGAGCTAGTGCTCAGATGTGGCAAAATAACAATCAGCATACGTAGGTTACAGGTATATGGATGTGCAACTTTTCTCTTGGTTTTAAATTTATTTAATTAAATATTGGAGTAGAACAGATGACATTAGTTCGTAAAAAACATATTATTCTGGGCTTTACTGGGGTTCTGTAGTTAAAACCCATAGAAGAAAACAAATTTGACAGTGACCAAAAAGTAATATTTATAACAAATATTTGAAATCAACATGTCAGATGTTAAGATGGAAAGACAATTGATGATAAATATATATTAGATTTAAATATTCTTGCAAAAAGATGTACTGCAGTATAATTGTCAGCACTTTTGTATGAAATAATATATTTCTAAAGGGAAAGTACATCATTTATTAGGACAATATATGTTCTAAGTTTGCTTTTAAACAAGATAACACTTATAATTTGGCTTATTACATGAGAAAAGTGATTAAATTCAACATATAATAGGAAGAAAGCATGTTTTAGCAATACTGATATTTAGAAAGAAAAAGTTGTGTTCTAGGCTACCAAAATTAGTGTTAGGTTAAAACATTTATAATTAATTATTTCACAGTAAGAAATAAGTGAAAGACTAAAATATAGTATACTTTTCTGCAGATATCAATAAGAATAATGTTATATGTGTATATATGTGTGTGTGGAGAGAGAGAGAGAGAGAGAAAGGGAAGAAAGAGATAGTGAGAGACAGGAGAAATTATAGCAGAAACAGGAAAATTCTAAAGTAAGAATAAATAAGGAGTTTGTTCTCAGGTTCTCAGATTGAGTCCATGATGAAACATAAAAGCATGAAATCACTACCTGTAGGTAACTCTGGTTGTGCGAGAAGGAGAAGAGGGGTTGGTGTGGTTAGAAGAGATGAAAGACTAGCAGAAATAAAAAGTCAGGTAAGATTGTGCCAAAAGAGGATTCGTGGATAATGGATATTTTTGCAGATTTCATCAAAAAGCATAGGAAGATTAAGAGAGAAAACAGTCTGTGGATCACTGCCAGGGACTTGATAATGGATGAAGGGACACGATTTTATAGGAGAAATCATAGCTTTGGAGTTGAGCATCTTGATCATTTGGTGAAACAAGTGAGATAAACGACATTTGGCAAAATTCTTTAACATTCTGAATGTTCCTTTGGCTGATGTTTGCAAGGGCAAATGGCAGAGGTGACATGATAAACACAAGCAAATAAGTGTAACATAAAAGATTTAAAATTAGGAAAGAATCTTTTAGAAATGACAAGGAAGTGATCTGAAAAACATTACAAACAGGAATTTCATAGCATGGTTAGAAACACATAAATCATAATGGCATAAATAGTAATCACAATAACCTAACAAGAACAATCATAGTAGTAGAAATAATAATTAATTATATAGCATCTGCAATTTGTCTGACACTATTCTAATGATTTTGTACATATTCAATGCCCCAAATTTGTATTTTATGAAGATACAAAATTGAGATAATACAAATACTATTTTCATTTCATAAATGAAGAGACTGGACAAAGACAGGATGAGTATCATATACAATATCACAAAGAACCCAAGTAAGCTGGTTACAGAGTTCATGGTTTTGTTTTGTTTTGTTTTTTTGTTTTTTTTGAAATGGAGTCTCATTCTGTCACCCAGGCTGGAGTGCAGTGGGGTGATCTCTGCTCACTGCAGCCTCTGCCTCTCAGGTTCAAGCGATTCTCCTGCCTCAGTCTCCCAAGTAGAGTAGCTGTCATTGCAGGAGTGCACCACCACACCTGGCTAATTTTTTTATTTTTAGTAGAGACAGTGTTTCACCATGTTGACCAGGCTGGTCTCGAACTCCTGACCTCAAGTGATTCATCCTCCTTGGCCTCCCAAAATGCTGAGATTACAGGCATGAGCCACTGTGCCCAGTCTAGTTCATGTTATTAATTATATAATATTACGATAATCAAAGAAACGTGGAGAATAAGAAAGATGTGGAAATGTCAAAATAGGTAACTGGGAAGGTACTTTATCTAAATTTTTTTTTTCAAATATCACTAAGGATCTCTATCTAACCTTACATAGTGGAGTTGTATTTGTTCTTCGCAGCAGCATTCTGCGTAGTAAAAAACGATTTTAAAACATATTTTTTTCTTGGCTTTCATGAATATTGTTTTATTTATACACCACTGGCTATTTTCTGGTCTCCTTGGCTGACTATTTCTGTACTAACTATCCTGGAAATTACAAAGTATTCGAAATAACCATCGGAAGACCACTTATCTTCTGCATTTATACTCTCTCTCTGGTTGGCCTTAAACTGTCTCTTTTACATTTTATGTGCATGCTGATAACTCCTGAAGGTGTATATCTGGGCCTGATTGTACCCAAATAAACCCCAGAATTGCATGTCCAGAGACATTTCCTAAAAGGCACCAGAAACACATTTCACATTTTAAAAGACCAAAATTCATAGCTTAGACTATTACATACATGCATATATGTGTATATATACACACACACATACATGCATATATATACACATATATATACACAAACATATATATATACACACACACATATATATATATGCATATATTACATAAAGTTCAATGCTTTTTCATCCCTAATCCTGATTGTCTTCCAATTTCCTCGACCTGTGGGTACCTGATGCTTATCACAAAAAAAATGGGTTAAATTTTGTTCCACAGAAATGGCTTCCTTAACCACCAAATTTGATATAGCTACCCATTCATGTATCATCACAGTAACCTATTTTAAGTTATTTATGCACATTAGAAGTTATCTTGTTTGTTGTATTTTCTGTTTTCTCTGATAGATTGAGAGTTTTATGAGAATCCTACCTATCTTATTAGATTCCATTCTTTACACATAGGACAGTTCCTGACTCATTATAGCCTCATTATCTAAATAGTCATAGAAATGTAACAGAAAAACCAGTCACTGTGTTTCTGATGTGATACAACATAAAGACATAATTTATTTTATAAAGCACTGTTATAAAATATTTAATTCAAATATAATCAGAGCTCTAGATTAACTTCCAATTTACAGAAAACAGAGCATATAGACACAAGTTCACCAGTATAATGTAGAAACAATTAAAAAAACAGAGAAAGAATTCCTGAGGAAAACTGCCTGGGATGTCTCCAAATTAAATGTTTTGTGTTTAAACAAGGAGTAAACCCTACTTGATTTAAAATGATTAAAGATAAATCTTCATTCATTTTAAGCATGATAATGGTACTGTACTTGCATAGAATGTGGATTATATTCTTAGACAATGCATGCTGAATTATTTAAGGATGAAGTGCCTTGATGTATTTAATATACTCCTAAGCGTTTCGTCAAATGTAACACACACACACACACACACACACACACACACAAGAGGAAGCAAATTTGGCAAAATACTTAGGTAAATTCATGTAGAAGGAATATGAACATATATTTCCTTATTCTTTCAACTTTTCCATGGTGTTGAGATTTTTCAAAATTAAAAGGTAGTAAAAGTGTACTTTTGATTAACCTCTTCTAGGATGGTTTTTATAAATTCTCCCCTTCTACTCTAATTCTATTCTACTCGGAATTTGTAGATACTTAATTTTTTTGTATTTTATTCATATTAATTGCTTAACAAAACCAAATTTAGAATGTATTTTACTATAACTATTCCTTTTGGTATCTATAAATTCATTCTTAACCACATTCAAATATGAATCAATCCCCAAAGTGCAATGAAGTTTTTCAAATACGTCATGTGTCTTCATTTTTTTGCCATGGTAGAATCAAGGCATCCTTATGGATCCTTTTAACAACACACACACACACACACACACACACACACACACACACACACACACCTCCCTAAGGGAAGTTATAACAGAGGAAATACAAAAATTACACTGGCACGCAACAACTAGAATGACTAAAATTAAAATTATAGATAATATCAAGTGTTGACAATAATGTGGAACAACTGAAACTTAACTACATTGCAGTTGTAAGTGTGCGTGCATGTGTAAAGAGACATGTGTGTCTCATTCCCTGTAAGCATCTTTATTTTCCCCTTAGATTTGCTCTATTTTATTAATGCTTTTTCGAGTTGGAAGTTAATATCATTTATTTCACAAAGACTATTATACAAGGAGACAGGTGTCTTAATTCCAAATGTAGGACTGTGTTGAACATAACAAGAACCACTTTTATATAACAAACTACATAACAGATTCCTGAGACCAAACTGAACCAAAAGCTACAAACTTAATTCATATTACTCTTATTTTGAGGCATACATTTTTGCTTTGTATTACTTAATTTTATATTACTTGCTTCAACTTCCACAATAAAAACTTAAAAGATTTGTCTCTGATATGAGTAAACTGGTAAAATGGTTATATTGTCCATTAATGGACTTATTGAAAATTGTTCCTGTTAACTTAATGAATGTTAACACTTGGCATATATAAATATTTAAAAACATGCTAATTGCCTGTAAACTCTTAGAGTCATGCTGTGTTCTAGTGAACAAATCATAATGACAAGCTCATAATTGATTATATTCTATAAAGATGTGGCATTTTATAAGAAAAGAGAAGCACCCAATTTACGAGTGTTTCCTTAAGCATAGGGAAGGTTTGACAATGTTTGCACCTCAGAATAGCGTTCTGTTTGTGTATCTAGTTCAAGACTTACTCTTCTTAACCTTGCAGACCAGTGGAAATGATTCCATAGTGTAGGATGGAAGATTGATGGGATAAGAACAGGGGCACTGAAGTGACTCAGATTGTTTTATTGGTTTACGTGACTTCAAATTTCTTTTACTTCTACAAAACTTAAAATTAATTCCTTGATATCTCCCTGTTGTCATTCCTTCATAAGACCTTATGAGAAGAGGTTAATAAGGAAAATTGTTTTTTCTGAAATGATTAGGTTAGCAGCATAGGCAGAACAGAAATCAGTGCTCCCACTGTTCCAAAAATAGCAGCCTTAACAGCATTTCTGACAATGTTAAAGACAAATAATTTCAGCAAATTTGGAGGACTCAAACAAGAAAATAAACATAAGTAGAGGAAGGTCATTAAGTAATTTCTAACCATCTTAACTTGTTTCAATTGCTTCTATATTGGAAACTTTAATAAATCATTTACTGAGGGTAGGAATCTGTGAAATGTGTAGTCCATGGACATCCAAAAAAATAGGTGTCCAATAAATTGTTTTTGTTATTAATATTGAAGACATACTTTTCAAATTGCATTCCATTTGTTCTGCTGTAGTTAAATAAATTTTAATTTAAATGCTAACCTAATTAAAATATTGTCTGTATATTACATGTGTATTTTGTGTAAGGTGGAATGGTAAACCCTAAAATAAGTCATTTTTGTTGTTTTTTGTTTTGCATTTAGAAGATATTATCCCACAGAAATAACAATATGTTTGTCTCCTAATAGAGTTTCATGTTCTTCCTTGCTTCCTTTCTCCAAGAAAAGGTTGAGTGTTTCATATGGCCGGAGTTCTATAGGGTAGATTTAACTGATGCATGGAAATATTTTTCTTTTTTTCAACTTTTATTTTAGATTCAGGGGTATATATGCAGGTTTGTGACATGGGTATATTGCCTAATGCTGACGTTGGTGTATAATTGATCTCATCACCCAGGTAGTGAGCATAGTACCCAGTAATTACTTTTCAATCCTTTCTCTCTCTCTACTTCCTCACTCTAGTAGTCACCAGTGTCTACTGTTGCCATTTTCATGTCCATGAGTACCCAATTCTTAGCTCTCACTTATAAGTGTGAATATGAGGTATTTAGTTTTCTATTCCTGTACTAATCTGCTTAGGATAATGGCCTCCAAATGCATCCATGTTGCGATAAAGGACATGGTTTCATTCTTTTTTATGGCTGTCTAGTATTCCATGCTGTTAAACAACATTTTGTTTTCCACATCCACCATTGATGGGTACGTAGGTCAATTCCATGCCTTTGCTATTGTAAACATTGCTGTGATAAACATACAATTGCATGTGTCTTTTCGGTAGGACAATTTACTTCCTTTGGATATACACCCAATAATGGAATTGCTGGATCAAATGGTAGTTCTAAGTTCTTTGAGAAATCTCCAAACTGCTTTCCACTGTGACTGAACTAATTTACATTCCTATCAAAAGTGTATAATCGTTCCCTTTTCTCTGCAGCCTGTCCAGCATCTGTTGTTTTTTGACTTTTTAATGATAGACAGTCTGACATAAGACATGAGCAGACACTTCCCAATAAAAGGACATACGAGTGGCCAACACACATAAGAAAAAAATGTTCGACATCAGTAATCATCAGAGAAGTGCAAATCAAAGCCACAAATAATTTTCTAAAGGCTGCCTTCCATCTGCAGTGTGCAGTGTACACTTTGATTCCATTCCAAGGCTCTCATCCTTATAGGTTTTGAAGTCAGTCAGCCAGAGAAGCAAATCTAGCTTTAGAAATCTGTCCTAGTTGGCAAGAGCATGAAACCTGGGTCTGCAAGGAGCCTTAGGCACTGGGGAAGATTTGTGTGCATGATTCTTCACACAGCTGAGTTCACTTTTCTGGGCGATTTTTCTCACCATTTCAAGGTGGTTATGACAAAACAGGCAAGATTCGGTTGTGAATGTGAAGAGTAAGAGACTCTTCAATCTACACTACTTTGATACTGCAACTCTAACCTTAGCCTAACCACAAATTTAATTGTCAGTCAGATTATTAGGTAGAAAAATTATATTGGAAACTGAACATAGTGTCTTTATTTGAAAATGGATTATAGATCTTCTATATATGGTGGTAGAGGGGAGAGAAATTAAACCAGTAATTACATTTAACAAACTGACCCATTAATTACATTCAAATGGTAGTTTCGAGCACATCCGGCTAGAATCTAATGATGTCATTTGAGAAGTATTTTCCTTCTCTCCAGTAACCCTGAAACTAAGTGTACATTTTTCTTAGTGACTAGTTTTACTAACAAGGCCAAAAGGTAGTGAAAGCCTATTTCTCAATGAGAGAAAATTATCTCTGATCAATAGCTCCTCTCTGATACTCACTCTGTAATGTATAGCAGAGCCTAAGCTGCAAGCAGCAGAGTACCCAGTGATACACTGCCCCCTCCTGCTGCCAACATGGCCAAGAGCCAGTAAAGCACTTAGTGAAACTCTCTGTCATCACTGTCAGGCTTTGAAGGCATTTTATGCATCTGAACATTGGGTGTCTTTTTTACTTCCCCTACAGGAAATATAGATTCACTCTGATATTGCTGCAAAAGAAAGTCATCTAAGAACCTAAGCTTTTTGCTTTTTAATCAATCAATGATACCAAAATGTATATTCAAATGCCTTTTCATGTGAATTATTCTGCTCCTAGAAGGATAGTATTAATAGAAAAAACCTAGAAAGATGATATTAGATGCAATACAATCCAAAATTATCATAATATGATACCATTCTATTGTTTTTTTCTTGACAGTATATTACACAAAATCATAAGTAGCATTTGGTCTTGAGTGAATGGCAAAACAAGAGTTTAAATTATGAGATATTTCAAATGACCCTAGCTTCAGACAAGCTGAAGAAGATAAAATGCTTGTAAAATCCCTAGACAATATTTGTAGGGGAAAAATACAATGCAACTACTGAAAGTTCATAAGTTTTTACACAAATAAAACTTTTATGCCCACTTGCCTCTGTTCTACCTATAATAAAGCAAACACTCTTGCTGAGCAATACTTAAAAGTTGTTTAAATAATCCCTTCTAAGTAACCAAATATATTTATTATAATAATATAAATAATTCACTGTTAGTCCTGCTATAGTACTGCTATAAAGAACTACCCTGAGATTGGGTAATTTATAGAGGAAAGAGGTATAATTGACTCACAGTTCTACATGGCTGTGGAGACCTCAAGAAACTTAGAGTTATAGTGGAAGGGGAAGCAGGCACCTTCATCACTAGGTTGCTGGAGAGAGAAGAGCAGGGGAAACCAACACTTATAAAAACATTGGATCTCAGGATAACTCACTCACTTTCATGAAGAAAGCATGGGGAAAACTGCCCTCATGATCCAATCTCCACTCACCAGATTCCTCCCTTGACATGTGGGGATTTGAATTTGAGATGAGATTTGGTTTGGGACACAGCCAAACCATGTCATTCACCCAACACTGATATTTGCTTGTGAAAAAGTCAAAAAGTTTGCTATTGTTGGTTTTTGTAGAAACATTGAGTTTCCTGATTATTAATATCTAGTATATTGGTTTAATTTCATAAATGTTTTCATAAATTTTACAATTATAACATTGTTCATGAAGTAAAATGGAAGACTATATTTGACTCTGAATAGAAATAAGCCACTATATTGTACTACTCTTTCCGGTCCCCAGCAATGCAAGAATATCTACCTTGTGACTCAGTGGACATTGAAAACTGTTTTCATTCTTCAGTGCTCTACTTGAAATGTCAACAATTATTCGACCTTAACCTGCGGTTTCGTGGCCAATCAGTGACTTTTACTCTTGATTCAAATAGCAGCTTTAAAATATAACGCTTGCTATGTATACATATATCCAATCACCTCTTATGTTTGTTACTCGTGATGAATTTGGTGGAATATTAATTCCTCTCCTAATATTTATACAGTGTAAAATTTAAAATAGTTGTGACCAACAAAACATTTTGTAAATTCAATAGCTATTACATTATTTTATAAATTTTGTTAGTAAATATTTCATTGTATCAATGAACAAAAATGTATTAATTCATTCTACTGAAAGTGTGTATTTGATGAATAACAACACTTCCCAAGAACACTATTTTACATATTGTCTGATAAACATACGCATCTCCTATAGCATGTGTGTATGCATACTTACGTATACATACTTTTGTTTATATACACATATTTACATGTATACATACATATGTGATTGTTGGGTTGCAGTGCATATGCATATTCAACTTTGCAAGGTAATGCCTAATTGATCTTTAAAGTGCTTGTATCGTTTTACACGTTCATCAAATGTGAACAAAGGATCCATGGGTACTCATCCTTTAAAACACTTCCTGTTATGAGATGTTAAAGTTTCTGCCCATGTAGTGAACATAAATTTTGTTTTGCATTTTCTTGATTAGTGATGAACTTGACAGTGTACTCACGTTTATTGGTCATTTATAATCCATTTCTATGAAATTACATTTGCACCTTTATCTACTTTTCAATTGGTTTTATCTTTTTTTGGTGGGTAGAACGTTTTCATATATTCTGGGTATGAATCATTTGTAGGCAAAATGGTTTGCAAATGTTTTATTTGGTTCATAGATTGTGGTTTTTTATTCTTTATAGTATTAATAAATAGAAATTCTTAAATGTAAGATAATTAAATTTATTAACATGTCCCCTTTTTCATATTTTGCTCTTAAAACTTCATTTCCAATCCTTTGTTACAAAAATATCCTCCTATATCTGACCCTAGAATATTTATGTTTCGTCTTTTATATTTAAATTACTGAAAGCACTTTAGTTGTTCGTATGTATATTTAAAATTTCAACTCACTTAAATTGCAAATATAAAAGCTCTTATACATTATTTAATTTTTGCCATAATATTATTTTCTATTTTTCTAATTTTTTTCTCTGTTTGTTTGCCTCATTTTAGGCTTTTGGTTTAATAGTGTTTTCCTTCAACGTTTCCTTATTTTTCTTTAACTGTAATGAAAGCTTTATGTAATATTTTTATTATCTTATGATTGCCCTAGGAATTTAAATGTTTATGTTATCTCAAAATACTTAAGCATAAATGTTATTTTCAATATTTTCTTAGACAGTACAGGGATTAGAAAATTATTAAACTCTGATTTCCCTCCCCAATGAACTTATCTTAATCCTGAACTTTAATTTTTTTTTACTAGCTTGATTTCCTTAACCAAAACCCCTAGATTCTATCTTGATTTTTTATATGTGTTGTTCATACATGTGTTTGCATATGGGCTGTGTTTGCTTTTTACTTTATCATTATCTCTGACACTTAATACTTTCTTCCTGGTTGATTAAGATCCAATTTCTAGAATCCTAGATACAGACAAATAAACACAGTCAGACACTGACTCCCTTGTAGTTTACCCTTGCAACTTATTCTTTGGTTGGTTATTTCTTATTCCCTACACCCGCTCTTTCTTTCTCCCGCTCTCTCTCTATATAGATATATAATATATATGTATATACATAATTATATAATACATATTTATGTATGTAATGTATAACATATATTTATACATATATGTAATATAACATATATTTATATATAAACATATATTTATATGCAATATATAATATATTATATTACATATATTACATATATAATATATATTATAATATATAATGTAATTATATTTTAAAATACATTATATATTATATAACATATATAATATATATTATATGTAATACATATATAATATATTATATATTATATATGTATTTATATATAATATATATAATATATAAATATATAAATGTATATTTAAATATATAAATGTAATATATAATATATAAATATATAAATCGGAGTTTTAAATGCATGCCAAAACATTTAAAAAATATTAATTTAGTTTCTCAATGTTTTGATATGCATTTTAAACTTTTATTAATATATTATCCAGGGTGGAGTTTGATTTAACATCTAGTTTACCATTTTTCAAAAATGAAAATAAATTCAACATTTTAAAAGAAAGGAATGACTGAAAAATCTTTCAGAGAAATCCTTATTGCATAAGGTGTAAATGTATTATTCGAAAAGTTTGAAAAAGAAAACTACTTGAAAATCTTAACAAAATGTGATGTAAAAATATCTCAAATTATCCATGTGAGCAATTAAGATGACCATATTCTCACTCATAGGTGGGAATTGAACAATGAGATCACATGGACAGAGGAAGGGGAACATCACACTCTGGGGACTGTTGTGGGGTGGGGGGAGGGGGGAGGGATAGCACCGGGAGATATACCTAATGATAGATGACGAGTTAGTGGGTGCAGCACACCAGCATGGCACATGTATACGTATGTAACTAACCTGCACAATGTTCACATGTACCCTAAAACTTAAAGTATAATAATAAAAAATAAATAAAAAAAAGAAAGAAAATTGTAAACAGAAGAGGTACTATAATATACAGTGTTCTGTTTCTAAATATCAAATTTATGAAAAGTAGTAAAGGTGGTTAAATGATATAAAGAAATGATAAGTCTGCCTGAGAACACAGAAACCTGAGAAATGAATTGTTCTCCAACATAGCTTTATATACTCAGGCCATACGACACCAAATATTTTTTACTTAACATAGACTTTCATTACTTCTGTCTGTACAGTGTCATATCACACATACAAATTTATCTTGAAAGATTATTGTTATATATTTATGTGACATGTCCTTGTTACTAGGCTATTAAGAATAAGTAGATATCCAAAACCTTTTCTTTCTCATGGTATTTTGCTCCTATCACAGTAATTTATAAGAAGAAATTAATGTATGTGAATGTGTAATGCTGATTTCATGAATGGATACGTGAATTAACCAGTGAATCCCTGATTTGATACAGGATATAAAATATTTCCCTGAAAATATAATGAAAGGTAAAAAGGGAGATTTTTGTAATATTCTATATGTTACCAAGTCAAATAAAAGATAGGCAGTCTGATTTTTTTTTTCCTAAAATAGATCCCTGAATTGTCACATATGCATCAATTGGATTCAATACAAGATGCCTTTTTATTTCCTGAATGAAAAGCTTTATGTTACAGGTAGTTAAAAAATAAAATAAGACGATACCATCAAAAAACATTAAAAAGTTCAAATTTTAAAAGAAATGAAATGTGCTTAGTTTAGATCAGCAAATAACCGTTTCCTGTTATTAGTGGCAATTACAGATCTTGTTTTCATCCTAAGATATTTTGGCAAAATATATTACAGTGATAGGATTCTCCATGGTGGGGCATGGATTTGTAGAGGGTATTGTGAACTACAAAATGACTGATTATTTCTTTAAAATCTTGGAGGTCATGTACGATAACATGTTTTAGGTCTAAGAGAATGTATTGCACTGTCTTTACATAGGATTAACCTTATTTTGATTTCAGTAAATGCTGAACGAAACTGCTGGTAATATTTCTAAAATACCTTCAAAAGTCTCTAATTGTGCTCTTGCTTGATATTGCACCCTTTTAATTACTGATAACAAAATATTCAGCATTTGTTTGAAAATCAAATGGTGACTTCACTGTCTGTTTTAAAAATGTAGTGTATCTTGTGTATCTTTCGTGTATCTCCAGTGTACCTTTAGTGGGGGTAACATGGAAGTTGACAAAATCTCTGGAGGCTCTGGAGAGAAGGAATAAAAATGTAGAATTATTCTGGACTTGAGAAAGGTCCCCAGGGATGTAACATTTAGGTATCATTAACCGACAGAGGAATGTTTATAAGTCATGGCACCTTAGGAAATGTAGAAAGACCTGAGTTTGTGACAATTAAAATAACTCTTAGTAGAGTTGAAGGCCTTTCATGATAAAGTAAATGTAACCAGTTAACAGTTTAACGTATTATTTTCCCTGATTTGGTTGCTATTTTGTTTTACTGGACTGTCATAACTATTATTGATTTCTTTACCTGACAATTGCTATTAAGGCTAAAGTATGAGGTTTTAAAAATGTCACTCACATGGATTTAAAAGAAATAGAGTTGAAAATTAAATATTTCTCATGAAATACAGAAACATTCTTTTAATTTTCTGCCCACTAAAGTGTTGCTGTCCCGTGTCATTTTAATATGCAGTTAACCAGAGGATGGAAATGTTATGATTTATCATGACACTGTAAATAAAGCAATAAGAGCAAATCTAATTTAAGCATGAGTCACTGAGCATGCCTTTCCACCCCTGCTTGATAGCTACCCAAAATCATCCACTGAAAAATGAAAGACAAGATGCATTAAATGTGGGAGACTGGCTTTCGAGCACACTGAAAGCCTGTTGGCTACTTAGGGGTTCTGCAGCCTTCTCCTAAATCACAGACTTCTGGCTGAGATCTGGGAAAGGCTTATCCTGATCTACTTAGGCATTTACACTTCCTGCTGCTGTTTGAATCTTTTAGTATAGCTGATTCATCTAACAGGCACCCTGGATTTGAAATTTATCTCTTCCATTTACTAGCTGGGGTTTACTGGACAAGTTTCTTAATAAGTCATGCTACCATTTCTTCTTCTATAAAATGGAAAGTAAAATCATATTAAGCTAAGAGAGTTTTTTGATTGTTGATGAGATGACATATGTAAAGCACTAGGGCAGTATTTAGTAGTAATAAAAGCTCAGTAGATATTAACCATCACTAGTGTTAATATCAGGCATAATAATTATATGAAGCTTAAATATACATAAAAACTGCCTTAAATAAGTGGAGTCAGTAACTTTCACATCTTGCTCTCATACAGGAATGATATGCAAACATGTAGCTTGCCCTCCAGGATGTCAGTTAACTAGACTTGAGGCGTAAATATTTAAAATTTGGCGTCCTTAAATATATATAACTCTGATGGCCCCACATGCTCAGTAAGTCTAAGGTCACTCTTTATTTTGATAGCCCCATAAAGTAGCTCAAGTTTCCATATGACTTGTTTTATCCTTACCCTACTCCTCTTTGTATAATAGTTTTCTTTTCAACATTTTTCTGATAATCTTGATTTCTAATACCAAATAGTTCTCATAAAGCCTTATCACAAACAAAAATAAAACAGAGAAGAGAAATTTTAAAAAGGAAAGAAAGACAATAGGCTTTTCTTCAAGAGTAATTCTTTCTGAGCAAACACATTTAAACTCCATAGGCATTTTAAAAAATGATAGTATGTTTCTTTCCATTACAAAAGACTGTTTGTACATGCAAAAATGAATAGTAAAAACACACTTTCAACATAGGCCAATTTGCGGTGCTGGTGTTTTTCTTGTTCTTAATGAGATCCTAGGGCATAATTAGAACTTTTCATATTCTATGAAGGATTTTATAATGTGATATGTTGGCGTTATCAAGGACACTCATGATATTAGTGTTGCTGTGTGAATAGAAAAAACAGGACAAGGAAAGATTATTCACAGCTGACACGATGTTCTCACTGAGTTGTAGGCACTAGACTATGCAATCTAGACATCCACTTAGTATGACAACTTTTTGAGCAAAGATACTAAGTGCACTTTACACAAGAGAAATTACAGGTTAAGAAACTTGACCAAACACAGCCAGGAGTGGAACGTAGAATTTGGGCTTGTGATAACCATGGTTCATTCTCAGTATGCTTATGATAGTCTGTAGAGTAGCTTTCAATGTTACTGAACAAAACACCAGAGAACTGTATAACTAACTTTTTCATGTTTGCCATCTTATTAAAATATGTACCTTTTTAAATGCCTAGATTTGATTCTACAAACATGCACATGCAAACCTTGTTACCACAGATCTGCTTCTGTTGCAGTTGTGGTTGATCAAATATGTTAGCTACTAACATAATTTAATTTGTATTTTCCTAATAATATAAATGCACTAAAAATCCTGGTTTCACTGACTTTATTACCAGTCTTTCAATATGTTGATCTTCAAATTTTATGTATAATGTGGGATATGGGTTAGATTTCAAAACAAAATTTGAGATCTAGTTAAGTTTTTCAGAAAATGAATGAAAAAACAAACCGGTTGATATCATCGGTAGTTGTGACACATATATTAATGAAATAAGAGCTGGGACTTATGTGGGCCAGATTGAACATGCTGAAACAGGGAAGACGTGTACACACATCTCCATAAGACATGCCTGCCAGTGCCCTGTTGGTTTACTGTTGCCATGGTAACACCTGGATGTTACTGCCGCTTTCAGTGGCAACATCCAGGAAGTTAGTACCCCTTTTCCAGAACTTTCTGAATAACCCTTCCCTTAATTTGCATGTAATTAAAAGTGGATATAGCTATAACTGCAGAACTAAATGGCCCTAAGTTGCTACTCTCCCCACACTGCCTAGCGGGTAGCCAGCTCTGCTGGAGCAGTCACAAAGCTATAACACTGGCCGCTCAATAAAGCTGTTCTCTTCTACTCACTGGCTAGCTCTTGAATTCCTTCCTGAGCATAGCTCTTGAATTCCTTCCTGAGCAAAGCCAAGAAACTTCTCAAGCTAAGCCCGAATTTGGGGGCTCGCCTGCCCTGTGTCATTAATGCTTATCAGGCTTTCTACAACAATCAACTCAGAAAAGAAACTGGGAAAAATTTCCATTCACTGTTGTGTATTTGATTATATGTCACAGTCTAAAATACATAGGATGCACTTAGCTATTTAAGAGATGCATTTCACTTTATCTACATACATTTATATTTATATTGCAATTAAGTCTACATCCTAGTGTCCTAGGAGACCACACTGGTCATTCTGTAGCACAGAACTTACCAGCATAAGGAGTATTCTTGTATATTTGCTAAAGTGATGAATGTGTAGCTCAAGAATGAATGATTACGTTCTGCATTGAATGTATATGAGTAGATAGATTTGGCTTTCTATTTGGCTTTTTTTCTGTTTGTCACATGTTTATCTCAGAGCTTCTACTATTTTTATATAGAGATAATAAACTTTCTTTTAAAGTTACTTTTCCCAGAGAAGTGATGACTTAGGGTGGTGGTCACTGAAGGGATTATGCACATTTCCCCGGTAGAATTTCAAACCCAACCCAAACTATTAAACTAGCTATGTTTAGAGCTGAAATCTCCTCATTACCATTCCATACTGGAAGCATAGAATGGAGAAGACTTTACCACTTTCTAACAGACATATGAAAAAAAAAGGAGATGAAGAAAAGTAGGAAGGAAACTACCTCATTATGGGAGAAACACACTCAGTCATAGTTCTTAATCTTTACAAAAAGAGTTTAGTGTAATAATGAAAATGTTGGCAAATGTGTATATATACACACACACACACATATATATATATATATATACACACATTTTTTTTTTGAGATGGAGTCTTGCTCTGTCACCAGGCTGGAGTGCAGTGGCACAATCTTGGCTCACTGCAACCACTGCCTCCTGGGTTCAAGTGATTCTCCTGCCTCAGCCTCCCAAGTAGCTGGGACTACAGGTGTGTGCCACCATGCCTGGCTAATTTTTTGTATTTTAGTAGAGATGGGATTTCACCATGTTGGCCAGAGTGGTCTCAATGTCCTGACCTTGTGATCTGCCGCCTCGGCCTCCCAAAGGGCTGGGATTACAGGCTCTAGCTACTGCGCGTGGCAAATGTATATTTTAAGACGGTTTTTGCTCTGTAGGTCATTTAATGATGAGTGTAAGATTTATCATGAAATGATTTAAAATGTTACGCCTCAAAACACAAGGTTATATATCATGAAATATCATCTGCAGCTGTAAACTTCTGTGGGTGCATTGTAGTATTATTTTTCATTCTTTTCCATAGGCTTATTACTCTCTCTTGTTATATCGAGGTCAAATATCCTGCCACTGCTTTTGCTGAATCACTCTTATACACTGGAAATTCAACAGAGCCCAGAAGATTTCCTTGTGTGCATATGTAGAAAATCGTGTGTGGTGTATTCCTTAAAGTGTTTGAGAAAAAATTAATATTCATTAGGATATGCAATTATTTAATTTTCTATTTTTATTGTTAGTGTTAACAACTAAAGACTTAAGTATTTGCGATTAGTGAGTGAAAAAAAATGCCTGCCTAGCTTGGTTTAAATATGTATACTGGAATTAGATTCTGGAAAACCTTATGGTGGTTAAATGTATCCCTGAGAGTAAATGCCCTCTAAATTTATATAGAATGAAAGATTAAGTAATTTATCCAAAGTCACATTGCTAGGAAGTGGTAGAGCTCAGTTCCCAACTGAGGCAGCATAGCTTCGATGTTTATTCTGTTTACAATTATATAACGCCTAATGTGGAGAGTTTTTGTGAAGATTAAATGGGATAATGTATATAAAATAGTGGTTTTTAGTTTTTGAAATAAGTAAACAACAACAAATTTTACTTCCTTACAGTTGCATTAAAAAGTAACACCTGGCATGATAAAATGAAGGATTTAAGAAATACAGGAAATAGATTGGCCTGACCAGTGAGTAGAGAATACGTAAGAGGACATTAAAGATAGGAAGCTAAATTAAAGTTGAAAATGCTGTTGAGCCAGATAATGGAGGCTCTTAAATGCCAACCTTAAAAGCGTTCACTTTATTTTATATGCAACCTGGAGAAATATTTAACTATTTTTTGAGAGGTGAAGCATGATGAGTTATGTGCTTCAGGACAGTTACAGAAGCAATACATAACATGATTGGGTAGGTTGGGCAGGGGGAGGTGGCACAGTAATCAGTTCATTTACCATGGCATTACCTGAAGTAAGAGGTATTTACATCTATAAGTGGCAGTGAATATTACAAAAAGCGAATGAATGAAAATATGTACACATGGAAAGAAGGATAATGAATGAAAAATATAGAAACGGTTAAAATTCATTGAATGCCTTTACTATTTCAATACAACATAGCTAGCATTTTCAAACAGAAAAGTCATTCAATAAATTTTAGACTTACACATTTACATCTCACCAGATGGTTATGTTATATTTATAAGGTTCATTTTATTCCCATTTTACAGTTGAGAAAGCAGAATCTCAAAAAAAACATAAAGTAATGAGCTTAGATCACACAACATATAAGAGGCACAAATAGGCATCTAATGCTGATCTTCAAAATTTTGCTTCAAAATTTGAGATGTTTATTCCACCGCATGTACCCCATGCCACACATTGTTGGGAAATGCAAAGTAGGTAAAAAATTTCAAATTTCTTTGAAAGAATGGTGGGTGGCAAATCTAAACAAAGTAGAAGATGTAATAGTAGGAAGCACCTATTTTGATAAGACAATGATAAATCTTGCCTTGAAGTTTTAAGTATAGGGATGGATTCACAGTTAGAAAATTGCAATGCATGCAGATAAAAATTATAGCTTTTCAAGATATACTATGCAATATGGCACCATTAATAATTGTTATCATAATTCTAAATCCAAATTATTGATTAGATCTTACATATCACTATGAGTAGGAGACACTTCACAAATAATATTGTAATGTGCTTCATTGTGATCCTATAACATTTTCCTCCTCACCCCATACCCCAAGAAAGTACTATTGTCTACTTTGAAGAATCATTATTTTATTGCCTTCTCCATCTGTGAGGGTATATATCTAAATCCTACCAGTGTTTCTGAAACCAAATTACTAGTTGCTGTGACCTGAGGAAACAATGCGTAGTTTTTCATAAATAGACTGTTACAGAAAACAACATGGAGGATACGAGATTTAATGTTGTTTCTTGATATCAAAGGAACATTGATTTGCCATAATCCTTAGATTCCTTTTTTTTTTCTGCCTTGTATTTTGGCTTCTGGTATCCCTTGATATTTGTATAAACCCAGGAAGACAGTCCAGAGCCAGATACACCATTAGCATCTTGAGTTCTCCAAGGCACAAATTTTTTCTCTCGTAATATTGAAATCTGATAAAAGTAAGGCAAGTGTAAAGCTGGAAACAATTTCTCATTAGATTTTCTGATGGTATGCTCAGGAAGTCTGAAAGATTCATAATGCAAACATATATTTCTCTGTAGAGCCTGACAACACATTTCTGAGAAGGGTAGACCATCCTGGCTAACTTGCAGGAAGGGCAGCTGCTAATCTCGCAGTGGTGTTCCTACAAAACATGTTCTTTAGATACTGTATGATAACTGAAGCCATGAGAATTGCTCATGGATTTAGACAATCTGTTCCCTAAATTACTAAATCAGACTCAGGCATTTGAATGAGCACAACTATGAGAATCAATGTAACCTAGATTTGCAGCTCACCTTTCTAAGCAATGCAAGAATATTGTAAGGTGAGTTGTCATAAACCTATTTTTAATCATTTATAGATCCCTGGATGACTTCAGCAAATGCAGGGTGCCAATTAGATATTATATATGGGCTAAATGTCAACATTTCTTTCCTTCATCTCTAAATGTCTTCCATCTTTGGTGTGTCATTTATAGTTCCCGGAAGTTCTTATGAGTTCTATAATCCTAATGTTTACACCTTGGCATGAGCTCACAAACACACATGTGCATGCACACACACACACACTCACACAATTCATTTAAAATGTGAATAATTCACTACCCATCAGACTTGAAGCTAGTCCTGAGTCCATACTTGACAAAATAAAAATATGTAAATTTAGACATTAGTTACATGGAAAACCTATTCATTGAAATAATACTGTAGCCCCAAAGGCCTAGATCCTATTCCAATTTTGCCATTTTGGGTAGACCATTTTATTTATTTGAGTTTTACTTTTCTTTTCAAGGTGACATGGAAAAAAAGTAATAACATTTTCTTTGGCAGGTTATTGTGAGGGTTATGTGAGACTATCTAAACAAATATTCTAAAAATTTTATACTTATTTTAGGCTTTCCTTATTATTAATATTGGCTTTCTTTATATTTTGCATTTCTCTAGTTACGTTTGAAGTAGCTTAGGAAAATATACTAATAAAACATAGAAATGTAAATGTTATTTACATTCTAAACAAAAAATAATAAAAGTCATATGGTTAAGGCCAAGATGGATGTATTACTACTATTAATATACCCATGAACAAAATAAATGGATATAATTTGAGTTTTTCAATTTATAAAGCATTTTATTTGCTTTACTTAACTACTGCTATATTTTATATATTCCTAGAACTGTGTAATAACCAGTCCTTCATGGATTATGTAGTAGCTTTATTTGTTTCAGTTTTTTTCCCTTTTGTTGGTGAAGGGCATTTACTTTGTAGGCTTTATTTTATTATTTTATTATTTTTAGTTGAGGATAAAATCAAAATCATTCTAATTTCTAATAATTAGGATTTAATGCCATAAAATAACACATCAAACTATAAACATTTCAACGGTTAAGCCACATACTATTTTATTAATATGTTGTGGCAATTGAGTTCCCATTTCCAGAAAAGTAAGAATTGCAAGGGATGTAAATGAGAATTAAAAAGAAACCAACCCATAACAGATGTTAGCAAGATTTTTCCCTCCTACTTAGAACGTAATAAACATGTGGAATAGCCTATCAGGCGCAATTGCTGAAGCAAAACACAAGGATCATTCAAGAAACAATTAGATTCTGTTCTAAAGAAATGGAATACTTAAAAAGGATGGGTCCTGATGGGCCTATAGTCCTGATGAGCAAATAGCTCCAGCTAAACCCTTTATGATCCTAACTTCATTTGAATGTAAATATCAACACAATGTACTCATATCAAGATTTGGGAACACTGTGAAGATTTTTCTCTCCTGCAAGAGAGGGAACTGTGTTGATAATATTCCATGTCTCTGTTGTAAAATGCCTACATGTGGTAACTTTGTTTCCATTTTCTTTAATATTAAGAAGAGTGAAGATTTCTCATTATCTTAATTTCTTTATTTTTTGGATGATGTTTAGTGGAGCAAAGAAAATTGTTCTTTTTGAGATCAAAATCAAATTTAGGAAAATTTCAAAGCACATAATATAAAATATGTTAGGAAATAAATTGGGAAAATTTATTTGAAAAGTAAATAAAAATTATGAACATATAAGCTAGGGTACAACATAACAGCATAAGAAAAAATCTAAAAACAGAAACCTTTAGAACTCAATGCCACCATTATGGTGGTTTGTCCTTCATCAGCTAACTGGTGTAGCGTAATTGAACATGACCTCAAGATAATTTTATTTTATTTTTTACTTTTACAGTGGTAGTCTATTTTTATATTACATACAATTTCTTTCTTTTTTACAAAGCACTATTTTTAGAAACATCTACTTTACCATCACACTAGAGTATAAAAGTTACTCGGTTTGTCTTCTCTATCTCTCTATCAGTCATGAATGCTTGCTTATGTAGTATATATAATAAAAATAAAGAGCTTCTAATTTCTGCAAATGAAAATAATATTTTGAGTGTATGTTTTAGACTACATATGCCACAACCATTGTAAGATCAGCTATGCCCTCCTTGAAATGTTAAGTATTTCTTCTCTTTCCTGTCCAGAATTAACTTAAAACTTTTAAATCAATATGTATCATTTATGCATTTTTGTAGACAACGATGACAGTGACGTTTTGAAAATAATATTTACAGGTAAAAGATATGCTGTTCAGTGAATAATGATAATCAAAGTTACAATTTTAATAAATATCATTTTACATATGATTCATATGCTAAGTAGTGAGCGTCAGCATAATATTACATTTTACATATTCTGAATTCTGCCTCAGTTTGCTAGTTAATGAAGTTGAACCTGGGACCAACATAAAGACATTGGAAAAGCCTGAATTGTATTTTCTTAGTAATCTTAAATTGACCTACTAGGTGCTTACATACCCTATTTTGGAATAAAGGGAAGAAAGTTTAGTTGCAGTGTATTCAATCAAAATTATTTATTTATGTGTGTATCTCTCTACTAGAAGTTAACCTTTTGAGGGAAGCAGCTATGACCTAATTAATTCTATATATCTCTGGCACATAGCAGGTTATCATGAAATGTTTGTGGACTAGAAATTAATTGTTAATGCAAATTTGTTTAACCTATTGATATATACTGCTGAAGCATGCACCATTATCTTATTAAGCTTCTACAAATTAGATGCTAACTCTAGAATGGCAAATTTTAACATTGTCCTTGAACATTTGCTTCTTACTTAAATCTAGTTTGAGGCTATGAAATATAACCTTTTAGGGCCTCCTTGTTTTCACCCATACAGACTCAGCAACTTGCCTTCAACTACTAACTGCAATTCATCAACCACATTTATCTGTATGAATTTTGGGCTCAAGGTCAACAATTAAAACTCTCTGTCTCTTTCTCTCTTTCTCTTTTACACACACACACACACACACACACACACACACACACACACAGAATAAATCGTGGAGTACTTTTTTCCAAGATTGTATCTTCAAAGTCTCCTAGAGGACATAGCCATACGATATTGTAGTGACATAATACACAATATCCTGTCTGACCTGAAACATTTCTATTTAATATATCAAAAATGGTTGGGCATGGTGGCTCATACTGGGTTTACCAGAACTTTGGGAGGCCAAGGCAGGAGGATATCTTAAGTTCAGGATTTCAATAACAGCTTGGGCAACATATTGAGAACCTATCTTATTTACAAAAAATAAAAGATTAGCCAGGGCGTGGTAGCATGTGCCTGTGTTCCTAGCTACTCAGAAGGCTGAAGTGGGAGGATTACTTAAGCCTGGGGTTGTTGAGACTGCAGTGAACTGTGATCACACCATCGCACATGTAACAGAGTGAGAACCTGTTCCAAAAGAAAAAGGATGCAAAATTTATGCAATGTGATTGCTTACTTAAGTATATTAAATAAATGCATATTGTGTACTTAGCAGGTACACAAATTTGGGGTCAACCATTAGTTTTAGACAATTAGGTAAAAAAGATTGTCTTTTAATAAATTTGGGTCTTTAACATTTTTCAAAAGTTACAATTTTTATCTTGAATTGTAAAATTAAGATTGGTTTCTATCATTAAAATTTTGTAACAGTAACAAATGTAATAAGTAGTTTTGACATTTTGTATTCACAGAGACAAAGGAAGGATTATTTATTAAAAGATAAAGCAGGACTTTTAAGTTCCAAACATGAGATATTGGCATGAAAACAAACCAGCACAATCAGCTACGTAGATCACTCTAGTGTATTACAGCATAAGGAAGAACTGGCCAATGTGTGTTGACACAGTTTCACTGAACAAGACAGCTTTCACTCAGGCCTCAGCTGGAATAAACTTCAGACAGGCTTCTTCCTGACTTCAGACCTTTCATCTCCCTTCTCTTAGAGCATTCACTGTAGAAAACTTACACATGTAAATTCTTTCTCTGTGTTTTTGAGATACAAATCTTGTCAAAGCTTCCCACAAGATTTACAACCCAGAAACATCATTCTCAAAAACCTGGAAGCAGTCCATTTAAAGTGTAACCATTATCCAGGAAGATAGGGCTCTATCTCCCAGAGTCGGCTCCCAGGCCAGCAGCCTAACTCCAGCAGGCACCTGGCTGTAAGCTGTAAAACTACTTCTTATTAGGAAAATGTGAGCAAGTTTGTTTCCTTTGGTTAAGGCCAATTGGCAAACATAGGTAGCCTAAGATTCCCCACCTCTTGGTCTTACAAGCTCCCCAGGCTTTGTTCCATTTAATTGAGCTCAGACTGAGTTCTGACCTCTCTGTTCTGTTGAGATAGCATTCAATAAAATCTTTCTTAGCTGTTTAACTTTATACAGGGATTTTTATTTTATTTATTTATATTTTTTGCTTTGACATGGAATATAAAAAGCAAACACACAATTTAGGAAAAGAATGTTTAGTGTTCTAACTTCACTCAAAGATGGTTATCCAGTAAAAGGTTTAAGGAAGATTTTGCTTTAAATAAAGTGAAGTTTAAAGTAAAATTCTAAATATGTTCATATATAAAACTATTATGAAGTTTCTGTGCTTATAGTGTATATGAAACTTTAAAATCCAAACAATATGTATATTAGATATAAGAAAAATAGAAATACAAATATAATCAAATTAAAGTTTGCAATATCAATGTGATGTTGATGGGAGCTGCTGCTCCAGAAGGATTGCTGCTGCCATCGAGCTGGATGCAGCAGAGAGGTGCAGCTGGGGCTGCACCCTCCATGAAGCTGGTGGGAGCCCTACCTCTTCCAAGTTGGGGTGGGAGCTCCCAAGGTGCCGCTGCAGCCGCCCAAACCTCGGCTGCAGACCCCAGATTCTGCTCCTGATCCACAGAGCAGGCAGGAGCCCCATTCAGGCAGCCACCCCAACTGCAGCTGTGGATCCAAGCCTCCCTGTGCTCTTAGGGGGCTGCCCTCCTGGGCGCAGCTGCAGCTGCCCAAACCGTGGCTGCAGACTCAGGCATCCCTGCTAGGGGAGAGCCCAGGAAGACCCCGTCCCCTTGCAGGCTCGTAAGTGCCTGCCCCACTGTCTGACTTCTCCCTGCTGTCAGCAGGGCCTCTGATCTGGGAGCAAGTCTGGTGATCTCAGGGACGATGTAGGGCTGCTGGAGGCAGACAGGCTCCTGGGCTAAGGAGATAGGTCCCGATAAGTCCCGACCTTCAGCTCAGGGAGGGCCTGAAGGCTCCGGGCCAGGCTGCCAGTCCCCTGGACCAGAGTGGGGACTTGTGGTGCCTTTTCTAGCCCACCCATGGCTGCCCATGGACCAGTCGCCAGACACTTCCTCCTCTCTGGGTCCATAAAATAGTCCTGGACTCATCTAGAACAGGAAAGCAGATGGACAGGTGATAGGACAACCAGCTGCAGAGAGGAGCTACCCACCCTGGTACATCTTCTCTGCTGAGCGTTTCAGATGTGGAAATGACCTGCCTGCAGGGAGGAGCTACCCACTCCATGGCCTCCTTGCTGCTAAGAGCTGAATATTCAATGGGACAGCCTGCTTACAGACAGAAGCTACCCACCGGGGGTCTTTTCTGAGCTGTTCTAACACTCAGTAAAGCCCCTCTGTGTCTTGCTCACCCTTCACTTGTCTGCATACCTCATTCTTCCTGGACACAGGACAAGAACTCGGGCAAAGGTGCCACCAGCCACAGAGGTTTCCCGGCCAGAAAAACCAACACTCCAAACATCCTTTAAAAATCTGACAGATTTTTTTTAACACTGCAATCCAACTGTCATTTACAATATGATTCTAGGAGTGAAGAGCATGGCAAGACAATAATTTTTCTAAATCTGGCTGCCTATGCTAACTATGCCTATGCTAAGGGTATACCACCCTTCTACCACTGCCTTTCTTTTTTGGTGCCTCTACATAATATGCTGTGAGATCATTTGATCTTAATTTGACCCAAAGGCATGACATTACCAAATTTGCTTCTGTTCTTTTCCCATAAGTACTAGAGAATCTGTATGATAACAAGCACAGTTTTACTGATATGATATTAAACCCAATATAAAACTCTATTGCTGAAATCCTATCATGGTTCTCAGAAAAAGAAGAGCCAGCCTGCCTAACAGTGACAGTTTCATTGATGCAGTGGGAGGACCCCCACTCTTTCTATTGTGAACCCTTCATGTCTGACCTTACTGTTAAACTATATCACTGTCATCTATTTTGGGAGAAGCCCTAGCTATTTATTGGTTTGTCCATTTGTTTATTTATCTATTTATTTATTTACATTAATTATTGAGAGAATTGTGTCTCTTTGGGTCCTAGCATAATCTCAATTATGAATTCATGTTTGGGGTACCAATAACCTGAAAAACTGCACTTATTCCCCAACCCCACACACAGACACACAGATTCTGGGTGAATAAACACCCAGAAATGGGAAAAGAAAGACATTCATCTCTTAGAAGACAAAACTGGTGGCCAGGTGCAGTGGCTCATGCCTGTAATCCCACCATTTTGGGAGGCGAAGAGGGGCAGATCACGAGGTCAGGAGATCGAGACCATCCTGGCTAACATGGTAAAACCCTGTCTCTACTAAAAATACAAAAAATAAAATAAAATAAAATAAAATAAAAAATTAGCCGGGTGTGGTGGTGGGCACCTGCAGTCCCAGCTACTCGGGAGGCTGAGGCAGGAGAATGGCATGAACCTGGGAGGCAGAGCTTGCAGTGAGCTGAGATCGCGCCACTGCACTCCAGCCTGGGTGACAGAGTGAGACTTTGTCTCAAAAAAAAAAAAAAAAAAAAGACAAAATGGTTAATCTCTCAAATACGGTATGAAATCTTACCAGCAAATATCTCTGTGTACTTTTGTTCAAGAAGAAAATATTCAATATTTAAGAATTCTGAAGTTACTTGCATTGATGTGTTTTTAAGTATCTAATCTACCTAAAGGATATGTGTCTTCCCAAGACTTTTTGTTGTTATTGAATTCTAACATTTTCTTTAAGTTTAGCATGCATACAGAAACATACACAAATCACAAATATGCATATCAAATAATTTTTACATCCTGAGCACATTCATGCAACAAGTACCCAGATCAAAGCATACAACATACCAGTCCCCACGGAAACTCTTTCTTCCTTCCAACTAAAGCTGCCGCCTATTAACTAACTCAGGAAAATCAAAGGCTATCTGCTTCTAATAACATTAATACATTTTACTGTTTTTATACTTGATATAAATGAATCATACAGTATGTGTTTGTGTCTGTTTTCATTAATTGCACATTTATTTCTGTGAAATTCATTTTTTTCCTTGTTGAAGTTGCAGTTAGTTTACTTGCATTTCTGTCTGCTGTTTGCTTATTTATCTATTTTGTTTATTTGTTAGCTTATTGCCTTATTCCACTGGGACATCCACTATAGGAATCAAGTTATTCTAGTTATTGATCTTTATGTTTTCTTCCTTCTATCAGTGATTAGTCTTGCTAGAAGCTTATCAATTTTATTAATTCTTTTGAACAATCTATTTTTGTCTACAACAATGCTCTCTACTGTATGCATGTTTTCTATTTTACCTGCATCTGCTCTTATTTTTATTTATTAATCCCTTCTAGTTTCTGTGAATTTCATATGCTTAAAAACTCCAGCTTTAAGATAAAAGCCTTAATCATAAATGATGATACAAGCCTCAAAAATAGTCTGGCATTTTCAGTCTTTCATACATTTGTGTGTCTGTGTGTTATATGTTTTTAATTTTTTTCTAAACACCAATTTTGAATTTCAAAAACTTTTATATGTCACAGTCACATACTTGTTCACAATTCTAATTTCTGTGATGATTTCTTCTTTTATGCAATAGTATTTGATGTGCTTTCTGAACAACTGGGGATTTCTTTCTTATGTTTTTAAATTGATACACAAAAAAATACCCTGAACTATATCAATGTTTCAAGATTTGTTGACTGTTGCTCCATTGGCTTAGCAAGAGGTCACTTTTTAAAAAATGTTACAAGTACACTTAAAAATAAACTATATGCTGTCTTTGTTTGGTGCAATCTCCTACCCATGCCATAGTGCATATGTGCTGATGGTGTTGTTTTCAGCTTCTGTGCCCTTATTCTCTGCATGTACCTGCTATTTCTCTCAGTTCTTTTGAGCTAAGTTGGCTGATTCTAATACTAATAATATAGCTATAACAGAGTCTGCTCATAATAGAACTTCTTTCATGCTTTTTGTTTGTTAAAGGTTTTTGTTTTGTTTTGTTTCTCGGTCACCCAAGCTGAAATGCAATGACTTCATCATGGCTCACTGCAGCCTTGAACACGTGGGATCAGGTGATCCTCCAGCAGCAGCCTTCCCAGTACCTGGAATTACAGATGTGTGCCACTATGCCCAGCTAATTTTTTACATTTTGTGGAGACAAGGTCTTGCCATATTGCTCAGGCCAGTCGTGAACTCCTGGGTTAAAGTGATCTTCCAGCCTTGGCCTCCCAAAGCACTGGGATTACAGGCCTGACCATGCCCAGCCCATCATGCTGTTTATTTTTAACTTTCCTGTGTTGTTTATTTTTAACTTTCCTGTTCTGTTTATTTTTAACTTTCCTGTGCTTCTTCTAAGCATTATATGGATTTTGTTTTTGCTGCTATTTAAATTAATTTGACAATTTTAGTCTTAAAAGAAGTGTTTTTAGCCTATTAATATGAAATACCGTATTAATTTTTTAATATAATTATTGATGTATTCAGATATATGTTATTCATCTTCTCATTCTTATTCATCTTCTCTTTGACCACCTATGTTATTTTACTTCTTCTGTTTTTTCTTGTTTCTTCTGTATTAGTTATTTATATTCTATATTTTCTCTATTACTAATTACATATTATTTCACTAATTTTTAAGTGGCGGATTAAAAGCTTCTTTATCAATACTTGCTTTGTTACCTTTGAACAATGTTACTTTTATCATTTCCTTAATAAAAAAAACATAGAACATTTGAAATACATTTACTTTATTCTTTCCATTTGTGCTGTTTTAGGCATTTTTTATCTACATGTATTTTAGTTGCCATTAGGTAGCATTATCATTGCTTTATACAAACAATATTATTTCTATTGTAATGTAGGTCTGCTGGCAACAAATTCTCTTTGAATTTGTCTAAAATCTGTTTTTTTATCTTTATTTTTGAAGGATATATTTACTGAGTATATAATTTTTGTTTGGGAATGACTTTCTTCAGCTCCTTAAAAATGCCATTCCATTATCTTCTGACATTCATTCAGGTTTTGTTTTGTTATTTGTTTTGACAAATACTATTGTTGCAACTTTGAACATAATTTGTACTTCCACTGCCCGCCCCCCGCCCCCTGCCCCCTATTACTACAACCCAGGATGATTCAAATTCTTTTTCTCTGTTTCTAAGCATTTCATTGAGACGTCCCTAAGTGTGGATTTCTCTTACTGAAACTGCTTTGGGTTCAATGAGTTTTTTGATCAATAGGTTGATACTTGTTCTGTCTGTTCCTGCATTATAAGCACTTTAACATTCATTGGCTTAAAATAACCATTTTATGAGCTCATGTTTCAATGGGTTGACTGAGTGTGGCTCAAGATTTATTTAGCCAGCCTCACCTGGGGTTCTCCATTTATTTCATGGTTGGATATGCAGTCATTTGGATGCTAGAATATTTTATTCCAGATGGAAACTTTGATAGCTCATCCACTCATGTACAAGATGCTTATTTCTTCCTCCTCTTCTTCTTCCTTTTTTTTTTTTTTTTTTTGCCAGAGTCTCTTTCTGTCACCTTGGCTGAAGTTCAGTGGGGCCATCTAGTCTCACTGCAACCTCCGCCTCCAGGACTCAAGCGATTCTTCCACTTCTGACACCCAAGTAGCTGGGATTACAGGTGCGCTCCACCATGCTCAGCTAATTTTTGTAGAGCTGGGGTTTCACCAAGTTGGCCAGGCTGGTTGCAAACTTCTGATCTCAGGAGATCTGCCTGCATCAGCCTCCCAAAGTGCTGGGAGTACAGGCGTAAGCCACTGTGCCTGGCTGCTTGTTGTTTCTTCTTTATGATATAATTCTTTGCCTATTGTATCTTGTCTTCCAGGGCCTCTCTCCAGAAGGGCAGCTGGAATTTTACATGGTGACTCCAGGCTCCAGAAGACTCAGAAGAAGATGTCAGTCAATTTTAAGGCTTGGGCCTAATATGGTACAGTGTCCCCTGTCACAGCCTTTTGCATAAAGCAAGGCACAGTGCTGGCCCACATTCAATAACAGAGGACATTACATCATGGCAGGAATATTAACCCATAGTTTTCTGGGGGGGAGATTTGCAACCAGCTGCCATAAATCCTTTCTTTGGTTTTAATACTTTTTCTGACATTATGTACTAAAATTCAATGTCTTCCCTTTTCTCTTGTTAATTTCCTCTGGAACAGAAATTACAGGTAGGCTACACAAATTTTTCTGTGTTCAATTTCTCTGAAACTCTTTTCTGTGTTTTCTTTTTCTCTCTCTCTCTCTTTTTTGGTTTATATTTATTGGCATGTATTTCAGACAAATAATCCTGTGTTTTTCTGTTTCTAATCCATCATTAAATTCAGTGATTAAGCTCTTAATTTCAAAAGTCACATTTCTTCAATTCTAGGTGTTCATTATATTATTTTAAGTCTTTCAATTTTTTGGTATAATCACTATTGCTTTACCTTTTTAAATATTTTCCTTTATGTTCTTTTACAGTTGAATAATCATAGTTATCTTAACGTCCTGATCTGCTAATTTAATATCTGCACTCTCTGAGAGCTTGGTGTGTTTTTCATGACTCTGACCATGGACAGTTGAGCGAATGTTAGCCGTTGTCTCCTCAGGAAGGCTACACTTTCTCTGTTTTCCTTCTTAGAGGCTTCCTGTTTAGTCTTTTTTTTTATCTCCTCATCCTTTATGTAACCATAGAGGGGAAAACAGTCATGTATTGAGAGGCCATCACATCTCTGTTTTCTATTTCTAGCCCCAGGAGACCAACAAAATGTCTGCTAATTTTTCTCTACCTAACAGCAGTCTTCTTCTGGGCCATCACCTACCTTCTCAGCCTCCTCCACAAAGGCAGAGACAGCAGATTTCCTCAGGTAAAAAGCCTCTACAAATGTCAGAGGTTCTCCTCTCTCTGGAATCTTGCTGTCTTTAATTATCCTGGTTTCAGTACTTCTTTGACATCTTGGACATGACTTCTATTTTTGTTCAAATTTTCTAGTTGTTTTTTATGAAAGTATTGGTATCCCCTCATTAACTGTTTTTTTATTTTTTAACCACAGCATTTGGTGTCACCTACTCTTGACTGCCTGCCTGCTTGTTTCCTCAAGGAGTCCTATAGTTTCCTCTACACTTTGACATGCACTCTTACAGAATAAGAGTGTTTAAAAGCCTGAGCCTCCCTTTAGAATATTTTTTAAATTTATTTAATTTTTGTATTTTTAAATTAAGACAATTATTATACATATTTGTGGAGTATGGAGTGATGCTTTGATACATGTACATACTCTGTGAAAATTAAATCGGGATTCAGTCATGCATCAAATAATAACATTTTAGTCAATGTTGGACCACATATATGACGATGGTCCCATAAGATTCTAATGGGGCTGAAAAATTGCTGTAGCCTAATGATGTCATAGCTGTCCTAATGTCATAGTGCAATGCATTACTCACATGTTTGTGGTGATACTGGTGTAAACAAACCCACTGTGTTGCCAATCACATACAAATATAGCACGTACAATTATGTACAGTACATACTACTTTAAAATGATAATGGAATGACTATGCTACTGGTTAATGTATTTACTATACTAAACATTTAATCATTATTTTGCAGTGAACTTCTTCTACTTATTAAAAAAAAGTAACTGTAAAGCAGCCTCAAGGAGGTCCTTCAGGAGGCATTCTGGAAGAAAGCATTATTGTCATAGGTGATGACAGCTCCATGCATGTGATTTCCCCCAAAGACCTTCCAGTGGGACAAGACACAGTGGCAGAAGACAGCAATTTTAATGAAGCTAATCTTGTGAAGGCCTAGGATAATGGGTGTGTTTGTGTCTTAGTTTTAAATGAAAAGTTTAAAAGTTAAAAAAAGCTAATATCCAATGTTTAAAAATATGAAATGAGCTTATAAAATAAGGTTATAAAGAAAAATAATACTTTTGTATGGCTGTACAATGTGTTTTTAAAAGTTTTTTACAGACAGTGTCTCTGTCACCCAAGCTGGAGTACAGATGAGTGATCGCAGCTCACTGACCTCTACAATGTGTTTTTATTTTCAGTTAAATGTTATTACAAAAGAGTCAAAAGATTAAAAACTTAAATGTTTGTAAAGTAAAAATGTTATAGTAAGATTAGTTTAACTTATTATTGAAGACAGAAAAAATATTTTATAATTTTAATGTAACCTAGTGCACTGTTATAAAGTCTATTAGTGCACAGCAATACCCTAGGCTTCACATTCATGCACCACTCACTCAGTGACTCACCCAAAGTAACAGTCCTGCAAGCTCCGCTCATTGTAAGTTCCCTATACCGGTGCACCATTATTTTTTTGTTTATGCCATATTTTTACTGTACTTTTGTATTAGCGTGTTCTCATACTACTGTGAAGAAATAACCGAGACTGGGTAACTTATTAAAGAAAGAGGTTGAATTGACTCACGGTTCCTCATTGCTGGGGAGGCCTCAGGAAACTTAGAATCACGGTGGGAGGCAAAGGAGAAGCAGACACCTTCTTCACAGGGTGGCAGGAGGGAGTGAGTGCAAGCAGGGGAAATGCATAACCCTTATAAAACCATCAGATCTCATGAGAATTCACTCACTATCAGGAGAACAGCATGGGGGAAACTGCCCCCATGATTCAATTATCTCCACCTGGTCTCTCCATTGACACATGAGGATTATGGGAATTACAATTCAAGATGAGATTTTGATTGGGGACACAGCCAAACCGTATGAACCTTTTTATGCTTAGATATGTTTAAACAAATACCATTATGTTGTAATTGCCTACAGTATTAAGTACAGTAACATGCTGTATGGGTTTGCAGCCTGAGAGCAATAGCTTAACCATATAGCCTAAATATGAGGCTGGCTATGCCACATAGGTTTGTATAAATTGTGTATATTGTTCACATAACTGAAATTGCTTAACCACACATTTCTCAGAACTTATCCTTGTTGTTAAGAGATGCATGACTCGATAGTCACTTTGGTTTGAGTTGACAGGTAATTGGGGTTATAAAAGCATAAAGGAGACACTGGAGCAATATCCATTGACATAAAAAGAACAAAAATATAGCAAAATAATTCAGAATCTCTCTTCCTCCAAGGTTCTGCTCAATGTTATAGTTTTCCATTTTGAGGCTGATACAATAAATGTTGATATCACACTTGCGCGGAGAGGACATTGGACTGAAAGCACCTTACTCTGCATTAGATGTTTACAAAGGGATTTCTATAGGGAACTAATATAGTATAGGTATAACAAAGAATGCCAAAAGAAGGTTTATTCAGTTTGAATATCTAGTTTCATTGATAATTAATTTTAATTAAGTTGAT
The DNA here is from genome assembly GCF_000001405.40 of Homo sapiens. Taxonomy (NCBI): domain Eukaryota; kingdom Metazoa; phylum Chordata; class Mammalia; order Primates; family Hominidae; genus Homo; species Homo sapiens. The sequence goes on from NC_000018.10 coordinate 64,992,387, forward strand.
TTTGTATGTGGTTATGTTTTATGGTGAAAACAATCATCAATTTTGGTAGATACTATGAGTCTGCTCATAATTTTGGTGTACTTTTTATGTTCCAACATGTATAAAGTTGTATAAATTATACAACTTGTATAACAACTTGTATAAGTAAACGTATCTATAAGTTATACAACTTTAGTTTAGTTATCTATAAGTTTACTTATACACTTATAATAGGTATGTGATATAATTATAAACAAAATTCTCTTACCTTTAACTTCAGATGTCTGCTTAAAATCTATCTTATCTCTCCTCAGTCAAAAGAAGACCATTTTATCTCTTGGCCTAAATTCTTCTAAACAAATTTTTATTTCCCACAAATGTCTACTGAAAAAAAGATTCTTCTCTTCAGTGCTTCCTGCCTAAGTAAAATGTTCCACTCCCTTTTCTAGCCCTGCCTGTGGATAGTCACCAGTCAACATTGGCATCTCAAGGACAAGTTTGCCAAGATTAGAAGTGCTTATATTTTGGGAACACGCTGGCCACTTGCACATCAGAGATCTCTGCTATTAGAGAAATTATTTGGGAATCCCTAGAATGTTTGTATGCTAGGCTATTTCTTTTTGTGTTTAAAATATATGGAACTTTCAATGGAAGACTTTAAAAATTACTCTTGTTTTGCCTATGGCATAATACACAGATATAGTAATTTTTAAAACCTTTGGTAAATAAAGTAAAAATTATAAGGAAAACTTGCTTGTCACCTTAATTATTGTTTGGTGATGTTCTCTTATGTTAAATACTTCTCTATTATACCTCTTTACTACAGATACAGGGTCCTTATCACCTTTGTGTACCACGTGCCTACATCAATACCTGACATATCATGGGCATTTAATAGGTGTGTTAATGAATTAATATATAAACTGAAGAAGTATTGAAGACAGTTTTTGAACCAAAAATATGTTCAAAAGGCCTGAAAACGAGAGGATCGCCCGAGCCCAGGAGTTCAAGGCTTCAGTGAGCTACAATCACACCGCTTCACTCCAATCTGGGCCACTAATTTGCTTTAATTCTGATTCAAGACATTCATTTTTGAAATATGTGAAACCTTCAACCTTACTATTTTATTTCAGTGATACGACTGTTGAGCATTGAAGGTCAAATTCTTAATCATTTCCGAACAGAGTGAGCACAATGGTTTGCAAAGGGTTGATTTTCATTTTCAGTTTGGTCTGCATATTTTCTTGTCTCAGTACAAAAAGTTTCTCTTATACACAAACTCCAATTGAAATTATATAACCTGTTAATGCTTCATTTAGTTCATGAGTTCAGTGTCTGTGCAGTTGCTTGAATGTCGGCTTGCCCTTAGATTTTGTTGTTGTTGTTGTTCCCTGGCATCGGTGTTGTCTCTCTTGCTTGTCACTGAGGATTGCATCTGTTTAACTTTCTTTCTGTTCAGCAAAGATCCCTTCTGTTCTGAGCTGTAGCCTGAAGTCAGAGTCTAACTCTTGGAGCAAGTACTTAGTTTTGTTATGTTTCAATCAGCTCAAAGGTGTGTGGCCTTGTGCTTGCCAATGAGGGTGTAGAGTGGAAAGAAAAAGCACTTGCCCTTGTGAGGGCTCTCTGGCGTTTTGACAAACAGGACAAAGCTTCCATTTCTTTGAAATCAGATAGCTCCTTTTGAGTGCCCAAGTTGTTAGGGTAAAATATCATTCAGGTGACAGCAAAGGAAGGACATTTTGCAAATTTTCATGGTTTTGAAAGTTATGTTAACATTCTCAAAACTGGGATGAATTTCCATTTTCATTCTTACTGATCAATTATTGTTATTTTCATAAAACCCCCATCCCTGCCTGTGATTAGACGGAAGCCAAAGCATTCTAGAGAAACCCGTGTTTTCTTAAGGATTAAAAGGTGAAATGAAACTGAAACAAAACCAACACATACATCGCATTCAGATTTTAAGCCTTCTAGTCTATTTTTCAGAATAAAAATACCCCAAAACACAAAAAAGACCAAAAACACAATGCAAATATACTTCTAATATTTTCTATGCTGATGCACAAAATATTGAAGAAAGATCTAGTTTTGATGTAACATCATATTTGACAATATGCCTGGATAAATTTTATGCCATGGAGTAGCACATTTGAGATACTGGGTGTGCTTGCACTTCTCCCACGAGACTTGAATGATTCTACAGAGAGGCTGTACAGCCACACATTAGGCTGTAATCTACATGTGCATCACATTATGTCTTTCATCTTGACATCCTCTGAATGTTCAGATTTTTACATTATTCACCTTGTCTGTTTCACCAAATGCCTTCATGTACATACAGGTGCTTAATCAATGCTTCAGTATGAGAATGATTTATGGTGTTGTGGTCATTTTTTTCAGGCCTTAATGACTACTAGCAGGTAAAGCTAAATCAATAAGTACTTAGCATCTGTGGAAACAGAAGGTATTTATCTGCTAATCAGTGTGGTATTGAGGTGTTTCATATTTTAGTAAACTGTGTGATAACAAAGGTTACTGTTACTTTGGGTTGATTTATGTTATGTCAAAGAAATGCTAATCCTAGAATGTTTCTCTGATGTCCTGAAGGCCATTGCCTATAAAGTATAAAAAGTTTAAATAACATTCTGTATTTCCCTTTTCCTTTGTCGGTTAGAGTTCATTTTAGGTTTGCTCTGTGATAGCTCTAGGTCACGTACTGACCAGTACTGGTGGTAGCTCTTCTCACTGTGTCGGTGTTTTCTGTTAACATCCCATGATAGCAAAACGGTCAAGAGTTCAACTAGGTAGAACATCAATCAAACAAGAAACTGACATGATGTCAAAGGTAACAGCCACTTTTCAGTTACATTGGTTTTCATATGACAAGATATTTAGAAACATAAATTTTTTTATTGCAATCGCTTCTTATTCTTTCCATGGTGTGATATAGAAAGCATTTTCTCAGGTGATTAAATTTCTTCAAAATGTGTAAAATACTTTGTGCCTGCCAATTAGAATTTCATATATCCACATGCCATTGGAAGACACAAAATATAAAGAGTTTTATATGTAAAAAATTATTAAGTCTTTAGTGTGTACATTGTTTTTGTCTACGATTATTTGTGAACACAAAGTAGCAACTGCATATAACTATATTTATAACTGGTCAATTATGGGTCAATTAGCCAACCTTAAAAGAAATTGGGTATTTAAATTTACAAGGCAAAGTATTACATTTTTTAAAATTTTACTTAACTTTCATTAGATAACTTAGATGATTATTTTAAAAACTACAGTGAAAACACAACCAAAAAATCTATCAATTTGTGAAAGTTATTTATCAAGAACATTTTGGAAGAAATAGTATTGCATAGCTTCAGAAGTTTTAAACAAAATGGTGGGTTTGGAATAGAATTTGGTTATTTAGTGGAATAAAATCAAATGTAGTAAACATGAGAAAATGAAAATACAGATGTGTCTTTATCTTATTTATGTTTGCATGTGTATGAATACACACACACACACACACACACACACACACATAAACCAATTAGAGCTAAATACTTAATGAGACATTTTTAGAGAATTGGCAACATGTATATGTATTTCTATTCCTTCCCTCTCTAACCAAATGAAGACCACATAGTGTATCAGAATGCTGTTCCAGTATACAATTTTTCCTTAAAGTCACTCAGTAAAAGGAACAGTATAGATTTATTTCATAGAACCACTTGCCTCTTTTGGAAGCATGAATTAAGTGGTTCCCTGAACTTCACATTTAACATGGATGCCATTTATTCTCCTTAACTTATGTGTGTTTCATGTGTTACAGTACAGATTTCATTATAATTATTGCTAATTTTATTAGCGGTATAAACTTGTCTTTTATTGCCTAGAAATATATATAGATATGGTAATGTAATATGAATTTGTTTTGTGAATTATCAGTCTCATGAAAGACGCAATGACTGTGCCATCTGCATTTTTAAGAGTTAATGATTTGGAAGGCCCACTTTTCCTATAAACTTTATCATCTAATAATATTTTAGTTATCAGCCATTATCAGTAAGATTAATCAGAATCTTTCATTTTGTTAGAAATTCTATCAGTAACCATTCATTTGGAATAAACTATTTTCATTTTAGAAAGCTAAGTATATTCTCAGTTTCCTAACCTGGGGAAGCATGAAGAGAGAAAGCTAATAGAATAAAAAATAATGAACAAACACACTTTGCATTTTGCTTGCCTGTATGTTTTTATTGTCTACATTATAAGTACAGGTGAATAGGTTATTAAATACTCTGAACAATATATGCAAAACTCAGCCCACATATGAACAGAAACTTGACTTCTAAAGCAGATAAAGTTTTCATCTTTAAATAATATTTAAATTGAATCATGGAAATAAAAGGGACGATAATACAACAAGACTAAACTCTCAATGACTTCGCGTTAATAAAATGTTCAAAGTGAGGGATAGACATTAATTCCCGTTATAATTTATTTATGAAAATAATTTTTGTCACAGTTTTAAAAATTGTATTGTCTACCACTAAAGTAAATATTTTGTTATTCAATTTGTATTTACACTTAGCTTTCTTCATCCTATAAATGATTGGCAAAAACTTGAAAGAAAGATAATTTTAAATAAAGTAGAGCATTCGAATATTAAGTCTTGAGTATGGCAATATAAATAAATTTGTTATTGATTTTCTTTAATTTTTCAGGCTCTATGTTTGTAAATAAGTTTTTGATTCTTACTGTCTCGCACTTATTTTTGGTAGAATTATAATATGGCACTTAATCTATTTCGAGGTGTTATTACAAATGAAAGTGTATATATATCATAATGGAATTACATTTCAACTTGGAATGCTTACTAAAAACAGGTCATTAGACAACGTGTTCTTAGAATTTCAGCCGTGGAAGGAGCTTTCAATCAAAAGAGAATGCAAGGAAAGACTCTGGTTTAAAAATTCCCTTGTGAAATTTGTAGGAGAGTGATTTACTTTACATGTGTTGGACGCTTCATATACCAAATGGAAGTAATAACTACTTGACTAGTTCCACAAAGGTGCTATTAGAATTGGAATAATGCAGATGAGCTTTTCTTATACAACAAAAACGTGTGTGTGTGTGTGTGTGTGCACGCGTGTGCGCATGCAAGCAGAAATGTGTAACTGAATTTTGTAAAATTACCATTTGATCCAAAGTAGTATTGCTAGAGAAGCAAGATTAACTGATTGAACAAATAAAAATAATCAACATGATAATTCACAGTTATATTCATAACAGTGTCAAACCTAAGACTTATTTTTTAATATATGTATTTTAGGTGATCTTTTTGCACTTTTTTAAAAACATAAAATTGTATGTGTGCTCATAATTTCATTGAGTCTTGGAAAATTATTTTGCCTTTAAAATAGTTAATAATAATTTATATCCATATTGCTTGAAAATATTAGATAACCTGCTATCATAAGTTTCATTAATAGAAAAGGCTGAGGTTCAGAAGTAATGTCACTAGAAGCTTCAAAGTGCTGTCTGTAGTTTAACCTAAGATTCTCTTGAAGGATTGGTTTATTCACCTAAATCTGAGGATGCTTTCAAGGCTAAACATTTGCCATGGGTGATAGAGCCGCGGCTGTAATTTAGTGGGGTAGCTCTCATTCAACCTGCTGAGAATCTGACTCCTTATTGATTGGATGACCTTTATCAAAATGACTTGAGGACTACAGCTCCTTAGTTGTGAGACGTTGTCCTATTTACGCCGCTGTGTAGACAAATGAGCAGATCTCTGGCTAAGTATCCTATCCAGTTGGATTCTTCAAGAGAGAGATGTACAGGAAACTTGGTAAAGCGGAAAGGTGGGTGACACAATGAGACAGGCAACTAGGATAGAAGATCACACTTTGTATTAATGCAGCTGGGAGAAATCACTTCATATTTTTAGGCCTCTGTTTCTCTTTTGCAAAATCTAGACTTAGACTAACATGTTGCAAATGTGTCTTTTAGCTCTAAGATTTTAGATGAGGTTTAAAAAGTCTTCTGAGAGTACAAAATAGTCCATTTTTTTAAATGACTTATGTTCAATGTTTCAAAGTTATAAGAAGATATTCTTAGCACAACAGTCAACTGCCCCTATTTGATACATAGTGGGCTATTTTAAACTGCTCTCTACCCCTTAGCTCATCATTATTCATATCCCCTCTATAGTTTGAAGGTCAAAGATAATGTCTAAATCTATTATTTTCCACTAACCTGAGAAGAAAATATGCCATATTTTCATTAAACATGAAGTAAACGGTTATAAAGTAAAAGGCTGTAATGTCAGTGTTCAAGGACAAAGTCTCTACTTTTGTTTTTCTTTGAAAGTGAGAGCTGCCATATTTGTCACAAACAGCCTTTGTTTTATATTCCTGTGTTGTTTCCATTAAACCGCATTATCTGTCACTTTATTTCCTTCAAATGTATTGTTATAGCATTTATGAACAGATGAATTAAAATGCTTTGGATAAATTCTGTGTATGTTTATATAATAGTCAATGCAAAATTATCCAAGAAGTAAATCAAGATGAAAAAGCAATGGAATAGGATTTTTTCTTTTTACAATGTTTTAACATTAAAAGTATATGATGCTCTACAAAATATGTACCCAATATTAGCTCTGTAATTCTATGCAAAACAAAATGCTAGCAAAATATCTAGATAAAAGCTTACCATAATACATAATTAAATCAATACGTGAAGGGTTTTTAATAATGAAAGCAATAAGCCACAAACTCACAATATACATTATGTTGGATTAATATTATAAGTGTAGATTATGCATGGATGGACCTCACAAACTGTGGCCATAGTTAACGAAATCCTAGCTTCCGTGAGCAGCAAAATTCGTCTATATTTTACTTCAATAAAGTGGAAAACTTCATACTGACACCAAGAGTAAATAGAAGAACTCTTTAATATTCATGTAATTTTATCCATTTTGCTGTTTTCTAATACAGATACATAAACACATTTGAACAAATGAAAATGTATGGGTTTTTTTTAAGATCTCAAGAAAAGCACATTCTAAAACTACACTCAATAACACATATATCATTTTATCATATTAATTAATAGTTACCATTGAAAATTATTTTAAAATTACTATTTTTTCTTCAAGTCATGAGTAAAAACAAGTGCAATGTTTTCACTTTACCATTGTATTGTGATTTTGTTTGTATTTCTGTAGATGTTATGATTATTTTCATTCATTAGGGTTCCACATACAAAAAGAATACAACTATTGATGACACATATGTCATCAATAATGTGTTATAAAAATGAAATCATGAGATTGTTTATCTCTTTGGTAAATTATTATACCATTTATGTAAAATGAAGCAAACAAAGGAAAGTATGTTTTTAGTGACAGTAGAATACTTTTGCAAAGAATTTTCAGTAAAGAGATTCCAAGCTACAACATGAGTAATAGTGGATCCAAAAAAAATATGTTTCCTCAATTTTAAGGAAGGAATAGTTAAAAGTTTTTAAAAGTTACTGATAGTAACTGTGAAAAAGATATGTTGACAATGCTACTATTGTCTGATTACTGCAGGATGAATATATTCCAAGGTGATTAAAATGGGAATGTCATTATGTATGTATTGGAACTTTGGCCTCCTAAGATACCTAGGTCATAACATCAAATATACTGACAAGAATACATTTTGACCTAGCAATATATATATATATATTTAAATACTCTCATTCATTCTTAGATGGAAAGTGCTAGATGATAGGAATGCAATGATAAATAATACAATGCTTCCCATCACAAAGAAATGATAAATATATGAGGTGATGAATATGCTAAATACAGGTAGGTATGTGGCATGTAATGGCAGGGCTACATTCTCACAACTGCATCCTTAGGTGATTTCATTAGTACTATTAGGTTTTATTAGGTACTGTTAGGCTTTATAAATTTTAAAATATTATCTAATCCACATATATTCACACGAAACTGTGCCCATGAATGTTCATATTAGCATTATTCATAATAACTAAACAGTATCAAAAAGACAAATGTCCATCTATGGACAAATGAACAAAACACATTATCCATACAATGAGATATTATTCATCTGTGAAAAGGAACAAAGTTTGTATATATACAAAAACGTGGAGGACCTTTGACCAAAGGCCACATATTGTGAGATTTTATTCATTTAAATTATCCAAGATAGGCAAATCTATAGGAACATAAAGTAGATTGTGTAGTGATGGGAGGATGGGAGAATTGGAAAGTATGTTTGCCGTTTGTTTGTTTGTTTATTTTTTGGAGTAATAGAAATATTCTGGAATTAAAAAGTAGTGATGATTACACAAAATTGTGAGTATACTAAAACACACTGATTGTATAATTTAAAAATGGTTAAGATGGTGACGTTAGGTTTTGTGAATTGTATCTCAAAAAAAATAGTACCAGAGGCCAGGGGCAGTGGCTTATGCCTGTAATTCCAGCACTTTGGGAGTCTGAGGTGGGCAGACCACCTGAGGTCAGAAGTTTGAGACCAGCCTGGCCAACATGGCGAAATCTCATCTCTACTAAAAATAGAAAAATTGGCTAGGCATGGTGGCGCGTGACTGTAATCCCAGCTACTGGGGAGGCTGAGGCAGGAAAATTGCTTGAACCTGGGAGGCAGGTGTTGCAATGAGCCGAGATCATGCCACTGCATGCTAGCCTGGACAACAGAGCAAAGACTGCATTTCGAAAAAAAAAAAATGATCTAATTCAATAATTATTGTAATGCATTTTAACCATAACTACTTTAAAACAAACAAACAAAAATCTAACATCAGATAAATTAAGTAGTTTGTTCTTGAACACTTTGCCAAGAAATGAAAAAGCTGATTCCAAACCATTTTGCTCTGTTTCTACCATAGTACTTTATGAAATGAATATTAAGCAATTTCCTGGTAAATTGGATTAGGACCAATATTACATAATAAGAGTACTTTTCAAGATTTTATTACTATACTTTTTATCTATATTTTTATAATCCAAATTGATTTGAGATCATCAAAGATTTTCTCCATGTTGTGTTTCAACATATTTTGTGTTATTCTATTTCAAGTTCCTGTTGAGAGGCATCTGATGTATGCCCTTTAAATCGCGCCAAATGCATACTCAAGGCACACTACATATTTCTTGTATGAAATAATGTAACTTTTTATTGATATATTATTTTAAGGATTTAATAGTTCTCTTAAATAATTTGCCTGTATAGGTTTTATATAATTAATATGATTTTAAAACATTTTGGTTTTATTTACAGTAATCAAACATATTATGAAATTTTAAGCATTAACATTTTAATTTTCAAAAAATTTTGTAAATAATATTAACTTGTATTATCAAAACTTATACATATATTTTTTTCATTGTAGTATACACACTTTCAGCCAAATACATTGATGTTTTTTGCTTAGAGCCTCTCACTTTCAGGTTCGGAACATTCACCTGACCTTGGAAATGTGTTCTTTCTCCTGTGTAGCTCTTTGTAGAATAGGATAACATTGAATTCCCAGGAAGCAATGGTAATGTCAAAAATTACAGCCTCATAAAAGCTTTAATTCCCACCATAAAAATAATATATAAAGTAGAGAACTATGAGGGTGCTTCACATATTGCAATGTCAGGTTTAGGAGCACTACTATAAAATTTATAGTACCTATCTATTTGATAGTGGGTGAGAACGCAAGAAAGTGTTGCTTAAATATAGCTAGGTTATAAACAAGTGTGTGCTTTGGGGGAGGGAAGATTGGGGCATGTTTTGTGGAACAAATGAATGTTAAAGACCTGATGTTTAAAAATCCTGTTTCCTTAAGATGGAGCTCTAAAAATTACGTTTTATCATCAAAACATAACGAGTTGAAATTACAAAATATAGTATGCTCTATGGATATGTAGGAGAGTGAGAGCTGTGATTGAATGAAAACACAAAAACAAAAGAATGGAAAAAATGAGTTTACCAAATATTCAACTGGATTGGCATAAACAGAAATGGAATGACTGTGACTAAAGAGCATCTGCAAACTCAGGGAGCCATATGACAGATTAGGCAGAATTAGCTCTGCTTGGCCAATGTTATGTCTCAAATCCCAGGTTTTCAGCTGGATCGTGATCTACTAGGATCCCTTCCCAGCATCCTGATTCTGGCTAGAATTTACATTGCCTTGAGATACTGTCTCTGTGTTATTGGAGCACAAGACAAAATAAAGGTAGGATTGTTTTGGTGAATTAATGCGGTTTTATCTCCTCTATGTGGCTAGGATAACTGCAGCTTCATAGGTCATTCAGCAACAGCTTTTTTCCCCTAGGGCTTTACATTTAGAAATATGTTTTTATTGATTTTTAAAACACTTTTGTCATTTTTAAAGAATCTCTTCTGGCCAAGATAATTATAAAACTTTAGTTTTGCCTTGGCTTGGTCCTCTACTACTTGTGAGATTTTTATCTTTCAAACTCAGATCATTTTTTCATTCTTTAATTAAATACTGCATTGGAAGAAATTATCTTTTCACTCTGCATTTCCTTTATTTTTCTCTACTATTTTGAATACTCTTTTTCCAAAATCATGCTTGTATTCGTGTATCCACTGACCTACCCTACCTCCTCACCTCAGCAGCAGCTCATGTACTTCAAGGAAATGACCATAATCTCTGTAATTTATTCCAGTAGTGGGTGTCACTGGGGAAAAACCCAAACCCAGAACAAAACAAAAAACAAAAAAAGCCTAATTTCCCTTATTTAGATTTTGTTAAGGCAAGACCTATGACCCAGTTTGGTCATCTGGAAATTTCCTGAATAGTTTGGAAAAGGTTTTCTTCATTTGCGGAAGAGGACCTCTTTTTCTCTCCTTGTGTTCATAAACAAGAGTGCTTGCCTTCCTGGCAGCTTCTGTTTGTCATCCAACAGGAATTATGGGGAATAGGTAAAGATGCAAGCAACAATGTGGATGCAAAGCAAAATGACACAACCAATCTGAATCTTTGATAGCTTCATTAAGCCACCTAATCAATGAAACCTAAAGTCCTAATTCATGCTATATATTCTGTTATTCAAATTAATTAATTTTCTTATTTTTAAAGCTGGGCTGAATCTGAGTCTTTTACTTGCTCCAAGAGCATATTATCTGATCCGTACATGCTCATATTTACCTTATATTGCAGTATACATTAAATATTTGATATTTAAATAGGTACAATATCATACCTAGTATTTCAATTACAAGACTGTATTTTAAATAATCCAGCTTGCTTTTTTCCCTCCACCCTCCATGATGAAGTTTATCTCAGTGTGTGTTTTCCTTTTACTGATCATGCCGAGGAACCAACAGCTTTTTGGCCATGTTATTTTTCTCTGCAGCAGAGCATCCTAGAATTCATCATCTCTAGATTTATCATATTCCATTGATTTAATATTTAATGTCACAATATTTTTCTCAGCACAGTATATTGTATTGATGGGTTTAGCGCAACAGACTAAATGAGTAGACAATCTCAATGAGTTACAAGTCTTGCCTTCCTAGAGCTTGCAGTCTAGCAGAAGATGTTGCTATAACTTTTGCACGTCTTTATGGCATTGTTGGATGACATGCCATTTACTTTTCCCCAGGACACCACAGAAACAAAACTCTTTCATAACCAAAATGAAAAAAAAAAAACTTAAAATATACAAAGTATATTTATTGTAAATTTTACGCTCTGCAAAGGAACAAGAGAAACTGTAGCCTTTCCCGTCTATCAAAAACACAGAGTTAGAGCCTCTCCTGGCAGAGCTAAGAATTCACAGGCTGGGCATTTGGAGACGCTCTTCTCCACGTGCACCTGGGTGTAGGTTTAATATGCTGCTGAGTTCTTGTTTTGCACAGGAAGGCAGTCATGAAGCACATGCCATAGCAAACACCTGCTCTCTAGCCATACGAGTATTTTTGAACATGGCAAAAATAGGCAGAGAGTAGGTGCAGATACAATTATTGCTGCAGATTTGTAATTTTCAAAGGAAAATTGCAGCTTTCATTACTGCTGTCTAAATTTAGATGAATGAGAGCAGAATCAGCAAAATACGTTTTTGATGTTATATATGTATAAATTAAGAGTTTGCATCAGAATCTGTTTGCCAGTTTTCTGCCTTTTTTCTTACTTAATATGAATATTCTAGAAGATGGCGTTTAAAGAGTAAGTTATAAAAATATATAAATTATGTTTTGTTCCCCTGATACAGTTTATATAGCCATTTTATGTGTGAGATGTAAAAGTGATATTGGGAAATAGAAGTGATACTAAAGTAATAATCTCTTCTTTTAGAATAGTGGAATGTAAGGATAGTAGAGCTATTCTTACGTGACTATGGGAAACAAATGAACACTGTAGAAACTCTCCCCAGAAAAATTAACATGCACAGAAAAAGTCGCACAGAATTTTAAGGCTTTATGGATTCCCTAGATCTATTTAATATTTGTTTTCGGTTAAATATCTTTCCAAACCTAAAAACATAAAGTAAACAAAAAGAAAGATTTACTTAAAAAAACTAAGGGTAAATATGATTGAAATGCTATCTTGTCAGCTTATTATAGTCAATAAAACATTCTTAGAGAATAGGACTTTTTCCTTGTGCCTCATTAACTGCTTGTCGTATATTCAAATTTTCATTCCACTAGGTATAAGTACAGAAAAATTTAGCAAACAATTTATATCAACTTTAAAGTGTTTAAGACATTGCCTATGCTTAGGTATACAAATTTGATAATATATGTATGTTATCATGTAAATGTTATCTTTAATATAACCTTATTATTTGCTATAGAGTAGCTTAAGTAATTGAAATATACTCTGAAGAGTCCATTAATTAATCCTACTTTGTTACCATGTTTTTGAGTGCATGTAACAAGATCCAAAATATGTTAGTTTAATGAAAATATTGTTTTCTTCCTCTTCTTCCAGGAAGTCCACATGTTGGCAGTCCAGAAGTGGTCAAGTGGCTCTACAATGTCAACAGTGTCTCAAATCTTTCTTTCTGCTTAAGAATCTTGGACAGGAGACTCACATCTTCATGCCTGTCTTATAGTAACGACATGGGGCAGTCTTTGGTCTGCACTGAAGGCAGGAAGAAGGGCATGAGGAAAATGAAGGTGATCAGCTTCTGTGAAAAGCAAACTCAGTGGTCAGAACACTGTTATTAGGATGAGCCCAAGGCTAGAGAATATATTATTGTTAGGCAGTGCATTGCTGTCCCAAACAACAGTATGATTCTGCTAATGAAGATGAAAATAAGAATGGATATCCAAGGCAATTAGCAGTTTCCGTAATAATTAATACTTTGTTCTACCATTTTATGAAGTCACTTTTTAGGTACCTGCTTTAGAATGAGCTTTATCCCCCCTAGATTAGTTACTCCTCTTATTGACTTGAAAAACTTAATGAAGTAATTTCATAAATTGATAATAACAGGAGAATAATTTAGGCATGAAAGTATGGCAGGTGTATGGAGGAATTATACTTAAGGCAGATGTGGGAGAGTGTTAATTAGAGGATATTTCACTCAAGTAGGTTTTGGTCACCAGGAATAAAGAGACGAGGTCTCCTGGAGGCCATTGTAATGTTGCCCTTATTTGTGGTGTGCTTATATGTGCCAGTCATTGCAACTGAATGCCTTCTTTATACTTCCTTATTTAGCCCTCATAATGTTACAAATTACAATAATTTTTATTTTAAGATGAAGAAAGAGCTATACAGAGGAGTCAAGTAATTTTTTTAAGAAGCCTCAGCTATTAATATGTTTTGCTGAACTTTTAACTCAGTTCTTTTTATTTTTTATTTATTTATTTTTTAGATGGAGTCTCGCTCTCTCACCAGGCTGGAGTGCAGTGGTGCAATCTCTGCTCACTACAACCTCCATCTCCCAGGTTCAAGTCATTCTCCTGCCTCAGCCTCCTGAGTAGCTGGGACTACAGGAGCGTGCCACAGCATCCAGCTAATTGTTTTTTTTTTTTTTATTTTTAGTAGAGACGGGGTTTCACCATGTTGGCCAGGCTGGTCTCAATCTCTTGACCTTGTGATCCGCCCACCTCAGCCTCCCAAAGTGCTGGGATTACAGGCTTGAGCCACTGCACAGGGCCAACTCAGTTATTTTTAATGCCAACACCTACACTCTTAACCATTACATAACTCTAAGTTGTCTATAAGCAACAATGTGAAAACATAGAACTGCTTTTAAGGGGTGGGGAACTGCAAACAGTTCACTGTTGGTAGAGAAGTTGGCTAAGGAAATCTAAAGAAGTTTAAGGAGAAAAAATGAGCTAGCTCATCTAATATTTGAATTCAGGAGGAGCCAGTGGTGGAGCTGTGCATGGGTGTCATAGAGCAGTACTTCTCAAACTTCAGTGCACACACAAATCATTGGAGGAGTTTATTAAAACCTACATTATGATTCAGGAGCTCTAGAGATAGATCTGGGACTCTGTGTTTTTAAACCTCCCCCCTCCTGTGCTGTCCAAGTTAACAGAATGCTGCTGATGCCATTGATCTTAAGTAAGAAGGTCATTGATCACTCTGGAGGTTTGGAGGGTAGATTCTGAGGAAATATTGGAAGCTCAGTCATATATGTTGAATAACAAGACAAATTTCAAGTTAAAAATACCAGTAAATAAAGTGTTGTGGGTGCATTGCCAGGTTATTGAGATAAGAAGGAAAGAAATCAATTGCAGAAATTGCAATGCATGTAAATATAAGCTGTGGAATACAGCAATGAAAGAGACTTTGACTATGTAGAGGAAATTGAGGATAACAGCAAGTTTATGAATAGCACTTTCTTTTCCAGCAACTGTATAAAATGTACTGATGTCAAAACTTTACAAAAATCAAACGTTGAATGAGAAGAGTCAATTCCCCATTATCCTATGTAGTCTATTTTCTTCTTTGGGAGAGGATAAGAATTGTTTATGCCCATTCAAAACAAACCCTTGTTATTTATAAGAAGTACTTTCTGCACATCGATTGTAAAGTGATACATTTTTATCACTACTGCTTAGAGTGACCCATGCAGTAGTTCTAATAAATATATACACATAAAAATTTCAGCTAGGAAATGATGAATATTACAGCTTGTGTGCATGGGCTGAGCACATTTCTGAGAGGACAAATACAAAAACATCAATTTTAAACTAGCTTATTGAATTACATAATCGGATAATGGCAGAATAAATGAGGATATATGAAACAGGTCCACTAGTAAAATAACTTTTATTCTGTGTAATGTGATACAGGTAAAATAAGGCAGAAAATCAAGAACAAAAACTATCTCCTGGCCAATTTGGGCTATTCTGCTCTTTTTGCTTATGCCAAATTTTAGAGTTTAACGAAGATAAAAAGAACATAAATGTCTCAAGAAGTGCAATTTGGCTTCAGTATTCTCATAACTTCTCTTAATTAAAATATAACCAGGTTAAAAGCAGATTTTGCTGTTTCAACAGCATTCATCCATTTATTCATTCAGAAAATATTTATTTAAATGTCTGCTGTTAAAAGATACCGCTAACGGAACTGTAGTTTATATGGTAAACTAGACTGAACAAGGCCTTTGCTTTCATAATGCTTATATCATAGTCTGGGGAGACAGGAATTTTTTAAAGGCAAAATAAACAGAAACATAATTTCAAGTAATGTTTTTAAAAGTCTGAAAATGTGATTGAAAATAATTATGGTGAGGATCTACCAAAGTTGGTGATGAGAATAGTCTTTTTTGAAGAGCTGCTACTTTAGGTGTTATTTTAATGATTTAATAAAGAAGCCATTTTCAAAAAATCTGGAGGAAGTATGTGTTATGCAGAAGACGTACTTAGTGTATGGGCACTGAGGTCTGAATAATCTTGGTATGATCAAGAAAGAAAGAAGGGGGACTGGATCAGGCATACTGGGAAGATACAAGCGATCTCCAAAAGACAGAAGTGAAGATACAGGGGCTAAATCACAAAGTGCTGTGTAGAGTAGGTCAATGAGTTTAGACTTGATTTTGATGTGATGGGAAGCAAGTGACTGATTGAAGTGGGTAACAAGTAGGTGGAAAAATATCTGAATTGCCTTTTGAGATGTTCACTCTAGCTCGTGAGCAGAGAAAGGTTTGGAGGAAAGTGAGCAAGAATAGAAGAATTAAAGTTTTGGAGTAAAGTGAGCAAGAATACAATAATTAAAATTTTCAAAGAGTTCAGGGTAAACTCAAGCATTCTGATGTGCACATTGAAGATGTTAAAAGACTAATAGACTCTGAAAAGGTGATGTCAACTGGGCAGTTGTTTAGGGAAGTCATGCTTAGGTAAGTATCTGAGAAACAAATGTCACAAAAATCATATTAAAACCATTGGTTGTCAAATAAAAAGCAAGAAGTCATCAAAAGAGACTGAAAGGTAGAGGAAATGAAGAGGAGAAAACCCTCCCAGATAATAGCATCATGGAATGAAACAGGACGTTGTTTTAAAGAGGCAGTAAGAGGGCACTAACTATGCAGATTGCTGCTGAGGGTTCAGCTATGGCAAAGACAAACCGGTGACCCCTGAGTTTTGCCAAGAGAAGCAGATGGGAAACCACATTAGAATAGCTTCACTAGGGCCCCAGGGATGGAGGTCGAAGGGGAGTGAGTTGTAGGGAGAAGGTGAGTTGAGTAAATTAGGTCATATTTTTCTAGGAAAGTACCACTATAAAGGAAAAGACAGCATGATGGTAGCTGGAGCAGAGTGGAGACTGGAGGGGATTTTGTTCCCCAGACAGATGATAATAAAAGCTGTCCACAGATATTTCAGTTAACCCTTGGGTCATACACATGAAACAAAATTTCAGACTTTTAGAGTTTCTAGGTCTTTCACAAATATTCCTAGTATCTCTTCTCAACATACTGAGCAACATAAATCTGATCTATGAGTAAGAAATGATAATTATTTATTGAAAATATTTAATGCCATTCTGTTTTTGAAAGCCTTGAAAAATAGTAAACCAAAAATAAACATTAAACAATTTGTAAATATCAACTGAAAGTGTCACCATATTCCATTTTTCCCAGAGTCTATTGCATTTTAGTGTTTCTTAGGTCTACACATGCTATTTTATTTTTATTTATATAGTTACATGTGCTAATGTATTATCTACTGATATTTCAAATATACATTTCTGAATCTACAATTTTCTTAAATGAACAAATAATCTTCTCACTGGAAGGAACCTAGGAATATAATTCTGGATAGAAACATAATTAAAACGTTCTGGATGTAAAGCTTTTCTGTTTTTAAAAACATTCAAAAGGAAATCCCAAATTCATGAAAAACCTATTTGCACACAAACCTAAGGCTTACTATCATATTTGCTTTGATTATTGTAGTTTCTCCCTCATTGTCACATAATGCAATTATTTTAACGTTGTGTGATGCGGCAGTGTGGTCTTAAGGTTGAGTAGTTCACACATATCTACAATGATTTATTTTTCTGTAACCATGCTTGCTCAAATCAAATCACTATATAGACTTTTGAAGACTTAACCAATAGAAGTCATTTGAGATTCAGTTTATATTGTTCAGCATATACCTTAGTAAAATTATGTATTGAAATAAATATATGAGCATCCTCCTTGTTCTGTCATTGAGCTTATCTAGTATCCTTGTGTTTGATGCTAAGCATCCTTCCCTACTGGCTAAGCACTGTTCTCCCAGGGCTGTTGACATATACACACAAACAACTAAGGGAATAATGCTCTAATAAAGAACACTTAGGCATCAGCTGTGAAACAAGAGAGTTATGCAGAAAGCACAGTAGAGCCGTCTCTGATTTTGAAACACAGCTGTCTATAGACCTCCTTTGTTTGGAAAGTGAGTTCTATAATTAGACCCTTAATGGGACTGTCTAATTTGTAGAAGCATCACAAGTTCCAGTGATGTATGCAAACCATGGCATGCTGTTTTACTGTCACTTACAGAAAGTTTTCAAAATGACATTATTCTTTGTAAGTTCAGGGATACAAGTGCAGGTTTGCTACATAGGTAAACTTGTGTCTTATACAGTTTGTTGTGCAGATTATTTCCTCACTCGAGTATTAAGCCTAGCACCCATTAGTTATTTTTCCTGATCCTCTCCCTTCTCCCTCCCTCAACCTTCTGAAAGACCCCAGTTTGTTGTTCCCCTCTATGTGTCCATGTGTTCTCATCATTTAGCTCCCACTTATAAGTGAGAACGTGCCGCATTTGGTTTTCTGTTCCTGTATTAGTTTTTTTTTTTTAATCCATTTACAAATGCTATAGAAAGCTGTTCACCCAAAGGAACAATATTAACAAGAAACAGAGTAAATCTTCGTCAAAACTAACATAGACATTTATGAAAGACCTAAATATTTCTCATTAATAAGTTCAAAAAAGAAAAAAGAAAATGATGCTTGCTGTCTCTGTGTAAGCACACTAAAAAGACCACTTTCTATAGAGTACACACAAAGCCTTTTTAAAAAAATTTATTTTATTTTTTTTAGATAATGTTTGTAGAGTAGGATGTTGGTTGTCTGGCACCTGCACAAAATTGCCAAAACAAAGCTCTTATTTCTTTGAAGGTTACATTCCATGATTCAGTATGCCAAAGGGTCAGTTAAAAATTTAAATACAGCACCCAGATTACTCATGTTTTGCCAGCAGTCGACTTGTTATTACACCCATATTTGAGATATTTCACTAGCTTCCAATTACCCAGTTTCAGGGAACTGCATTCTGCTTTCAATTTTTAATGCCTAACTCCTGTGGATTTCAGCATGATATCTGTGGGTAGCAAAGTGTCAGAATATACTGACTTTAAGAGGGTACTTACAGTTTTATAAGGCAGTAAATGACATAAAGTTTCCGTATGTGGATATTTCATTGCATGTTACATTATTAAAGGTGTATCTGCTTGGTGTTTCCTCTCAGAGCTCTGGGGCAATAAGGGAACATTTTCGTTTGTTTTCTTTGTTTGTGTTTGTCCTTCCTCGTGACACAGTTTGAACTGCTAACCGTTGGATAAAGTAAATTTTAATGTTTCATTTTATTATTAAGAACTGATATTCTGAAACAGATGTTAAAATGGCAGGTGACCAAAATACTGTCTTACAAAATAGCTCGTAATCTCAGTTTACATTTGTATGCCAACTTGACCTCCACTGTTCTTTAGGATCTGAGAAGAGTAAATTTTCTTGTATTCTGAAAGCTATTCCAGTGAAAACTGAAGAAGAAACTCTGAAGACACTGCTGTGATCAAAGCTTTGGCTGTTTGTGGTTTGTTAGTACATTCAGAATATGTGAATATGAATGAATAAAGACACATAATAAATATAATGTATTATTTAGAGTTGTTTTTCATATATTGTTGAATGTAACAAATATTTAATACATTTGTAACAAGTGCGTTCCTGGCCTTATTACGAGAAACACATTAATTTAATTAACATATTATTAATTCAATAAATAGATATACAGAGGCTATGATATGCCAGGCATTGAACGAGGAGTTATGGGTGATGCCAAACATACTATATGAACATCACTTCCTCTCACAAAAGAGAATTCAAAAAAAAATACACAAAATATAATCAAAGGAAAGTAGTTCTGTGTAAGAGCAGTACAAATAAAATCAAATTTCAGAAACCAGAAAGGTTCCTTCTGGCTGAGGATATTATAATGTTGCAGGAGCAAAGGTCTGAAAATGGGAGAACATGTGATACCTTTGCAGAATAAAAAGTAATCCATTATGTAACTTTACTCTGAGTGTGTGAAAGAAATAGCAAGAGATAAACCTGAAAAGGCAGGATGGGAACAGCTTATAAAAGGCCTATTTTGTGAGACTAAAGATATGAACAATACTCTGCAGGCAATAGGAATCTATTAACTAGTGTTGAGCGGCATAATACAACTTTATCAGCGCTTTAGGAATATTAAGCCAGACTGCTGTGTAAAATGAATTTAAAGAAGGTAATAATAAAGAAGAGGCAAGAAGATCTAGTACAAATATTTCCATTTGGTTTTAGACAGAATGAGGGTGTGACCCAGCAAAGAAGTTGAAAGCATAAAGAGGGGAAAAGAGAGAAATTATGGTAGAAGAATATGCAGAACCTAAAATCTAAGTGTCACCATACAGTAAGAAAGAAGGAATAATTATCCTAGATCATTAAGCATGATGGCAGAATCAACAGAGTGGAAATTTCAAGAGAAGCAGAAGCAGATATAGAAGAATGGTCAAAAGTAATTTGGCATGTTACAGTTAAGGCCCTGGTAAAACATCCAAATCGTGATGAACAGCAGGCAATGCTAAAAGCTAGCCTGAATTTTAGGAGAGATTTGGGGTTGGAATACATTAAATCATTTGAATAAAGCAATAGTTGAATTTACACAAGGGGATGAAATTAATAAAAGTAAGTGTATGGGCCCAGCACAGTGGCACAAACCTGTAATCCCAGCACTTTGGGAGGCTGAGGCATAGGGATCACCTAGGCCCAAGAGTTCAAGACCAGCCTGGACAACATGGCAAAACCCCATCTCTAAAAAAAAAAAAAAAAAAAAATTAAATAAATTAGCCGAGTGTGGTGGCATGCACCTGTATTCCCAGCTACTCAGAAGGCTGAAGTGGGAGAATCACTTGAGCCCAGGAGGTCAAGACTACAGTGAGCCATGATCACGCCACTGCACTGTAGCCTGGGTGACAGAGTGAGACTCTGTCTTAAAAAATAACAATAAATAAGAGGAAAGCAAGTCTATGGAAGTATAAAAGTAAATTATATATTCAGAGTTGTCTCATGAGCTCCACTGTGCCCTCCCTGATGTGAAATGTCACTGTGAAAGACATTCTCATGGTGGATCCATGACACTCATTCATGTCCTTGCCCTTGTGTGATGTCACCTCTTAGTGTGGGCAGGACTTGTGACTTCCTTTTGATCAACAGCATACAGCAAAGGTGTCAGGATGCATGTGATGATGTCTACATGGTTATCCTAAGATCGCAGTGCGACTTTGCTGGTATTGCAGACATAATGGCCATGTTGGAGAATCCCAGGTGACAAGGGACTGAAGGCTGCTTCTAGAATCCGAGGACAACCTCCAGACAACAACCAGTGAAGAAACGGGGTCGTGAGCCTTGCAATGTAACAAACTGAGTTCTGCCAGCAACTACGTGAGCTTGGAAGACTAAGCTTAAATGTAGAATATTCTACAGATAATTGACTTGGTTTTTAAAAAATGTTAATTGCATAGAAAGAGAGGGAGAGAGACAGAGAATGAGCTTTATCTAAGTTAATATGGAGTTAAGATACAAAGAAATATTATAACTAAATTCAAAGTGTGGATCTTGTTTGAATCCTCACTGTCATGTTACAATTTTTGAGACTTTTCAGCATGTTTGATTATGGGTTGGATATTAGGTGATATGTAGGAAAGAGTATTAGTTTTTTGATGCAATAATGGCAATGATTATGTAGAAATACTCTTCGTTTTTAGTGATGCACTTTGAAATATGTATAGTCATAATAACATGATCTTTGGAGTTTGCTTTTGAATTGTTCAGGAAAAAGAAAAAACAGAATAAATGTTCTCTGTGTACCTGGGAAGCTATCCATGATAAATAAAGAGTAAAATGAATAAACAAATAGTTGAGAGTAAATGTAGACT
Source organism: Homo sapiens (assembly GCF_000001405.40). Classification (NCBI taxonomy): domain Eukaryota; kingdom Metazoa; phylum Chordata; class Mammalia; order Primates; family Hominidae; genus Homo; species Homo sapiens. The sequence continues at coordinate 65,014,074 of NC_000018.10, forward strand.
GTAGATCAAAATATATAGTATAATTGTTTTTCATTAGTATACATTGATAGCTAGATATGTATATATGTATATATGGATACATTTAGATAGATACAGGTATGTATGTAGATAATATATAGACAGATAAGAATAATGATATAAGTAAATTTTAGGTAAACTACTGCAAAAAATATATAAATAATGGCTGGCCAAGAGGATTTTTTTTGAAGGGATGATACTCTAAATTATGTCGCTGTTAAATTGTTTAAAGTCTTAATATCACGAATATAGTTTAAAAATAATTTTAAAATATTAGTCTTATACAATAAAAATGTAGAAACTAATAAGGAGAAGGACTATGTCTTGCAGAGAGAAAAAGAGAAAATATCCACAGAGAAAAAATGAGTACAAGCCACTGAGTGGTACAAAAGAAAAAATGGGTGTGCTTTATATTTTAGACATATAGAGTAATGAAGGGTAGGAGATAAAGTCGCCAAAGTTGGAATAAAAAATTAAAGATTCTTTAAAAAATTGGAATGCTGATTTCACATTAATTTTTGTGGTCTGAGGGAACATATTTCTGAGGAAAATGAGACATTGAGAATGAAAAGGAAAGCAGTATTTCAGAGTAGGCAAAAAATTAAAAGATCAAAGACCACAAAGAAAAAGAACAGTTAAAACTTCTAAAGAAGAGACGACCAGACTTTTTTTTTAACCCTCTGAGACAAAGAGCAGAAAGAAGTGTTTGATAAATAAGTAAAAGAGGAGACTCAAATTGAAACCTACCCAATAGTCCCATAGATAATTTTGTTTGTTTGCTTGTTTTGATACACAGAGAAGTTGACCTTCTGGTCTTAAAGCTTGAAACTTACATTTGTTTTATCTCAATTCCATTCTCATTAAAGGAACCACAGGCCTCTCAAAAAATTATCGAAGAACTGAAACTCACCAGATTACCACATCCAATGAGATACCAGACCTCTCATTCATCATAATTGCTTCCTGACCCCTTTCTAATTTCTGTTTTCCTAATCAACCACCTCCTTCTTTGTGATCGACTCCTATTCCTTATGCCTATCTAGTTCCTTTTTTTCCCACACAATTACATTTCTTCCCTGCTATATCAACTGCTATATTTTAGTCAGTATGAGAGATGGAGTTGAGACTGATCTCCCATCTCTTCAGCTGTAGCATCTGCTTAAAGCCTTCTTCCCTGGCAGTACTCACGATCTCCGTAATTGGTTTTCTGTGCAGTAAGCAGCAGGGTCTAAACCAAACCCCTGATGTTTTGGTAACAAAATCAAAGAACCTTTAAATTTTTAAAAAGACAATGCATTTTGTAGATACTTTCACCTCCCCTTTCTCTACTCATTGACCCTAGTCACATTTGGTAATTTCAGAACCCTCATGAGGCTCCTTAGATGTCCCGTTAAGTCAGTGAGTCTATAAATTTCTTATGGTTACTCCAATTATAAAAATGCTAACTAAGGCTCTCACAACTTTAGCAGAATTCCCAGGTTTGCAAAATAAATGAATGCTGAATTGGGATTAGAATCCCAGTTTAACTTAGTAGGAGGGGCTACTCTATTCTTGAATTACGGTTTTTTGTAGCTGTTGAAACAAATGTATCATATGTTGTAGATTAATGTATCAACATTTCTGTGGAGAAATATTTCTAGTAAATTGTCAAGACATTTTGTGTCTCTACTCATCCAGTTCAATATGTTTTGTAAATCAAATTAGAAATATAAAAGGAGTACAGATAAGCCCATATTTAGACTCAGATCTAACTTAAAGATATTTCACTCTCTCATAGCCTCAAGTCCTTCAGTCACCAATCCCGCAAAGTCTAACTTCACATCACCTTTCTTCATACCCACTAACAACGTGTAAATTCAGGCCCATATTTGTTCTTTGAACAATTTCAATAGCTTCAAATGAACATCTCTGCCTCTAGTCTTCTCTCTTACCTCATCTTTTCCACATTATTTTCAAAGCCACCTTAGTAAAACACTGACCAGAAATAATCTCCATGAGTGTAGGGTTTTATCTGCTTTTTTTGTCTTTACTGATTCCATACCACTTGGTATAAAGCATGCACTCAATAAATTGGGCAAAAAATTCGAATACATGAAATTGAATGAATCTTTTTGGTTTTATTGTTGTTGTTGTTGTTGCTGCTCAAATCTTTCAAATTATTCCTAGCTAATCTCTAAGCCCTGGCCCTAGGAGAGAAGACACTTTGTGATGTGTTCCTACCTCTTGCCTTATTCCTGAGTGTAGTACAGCTCCCTTGCTTCCTCTACATTGGTTTCAGTAAAAAGATACATAGAAGTATTTGTATTTTCACCATCATATCCTGTTTCACATTTCCTCTGTTTTGTGCAGAAAATGCCACACTGCCTTCTGAATTGCTTGCCTATGAGGATAATACTAACTTACTCTTCAAAGCTAGGGACTCAAATTTTTGTAAAGCTTTGTCTCATCTTCTATAAAGCCCATAAGCCTCACATCCCTAAGATTTGCATTAGTTTATTATGGCCCTTGCAAAATCTTATTGCACTTATGCATGTATATACCTCTTTAAATATCTTGATTACAGAAGCCATGTCTTTTTTTAAAATTTTTATACCTATAGCATCTAATATAGTACTTGACATAGATAAAGGGGAGCACTTCTGAGATGCTTTATGAGAATTCCACAACTTTTATTTAGGTGACTGTCACTCTACTGATTACTAAGTCTGTGACATTGGAGAAGTTTCTTAACCACTCTGTGACTCACTCTGTCAAACTATAGCATGAGGGCATTAACAGTACTGAATCTTTAAAGTTCTTGAAGATTTTAAAAGACAGTGCTTAGTAACTGACACGTGTCACAGGATCCTTGGGGTGTTGCTTTTCTGCCCTAACACCTCTGTGGTCAGTGGTGCCTTTGGTGGAGTTTTGCTCGGGCCCACTGAACTCGTTCCACTCACTCGGCCCAGCAGGCTACACTCAAGGTTCGTGCTACTGGCCTACATCACATGCCTGCCAAGGGCAAGCCGGGTGCAGAGAGACAAGGGGTGTGTGAGCAAGTGAATGTGGGGTCTTGCCATTGCACACAGCCAAACACACTGGCTGTGGCAGAGAAGGCAGCTCCAGGTGCCAGCATGGGCGCCGGCTCCCTGCGAGGCTGTGGCTGGAGCAGGTTTACCACAAGCAACTTCCATGGCTGGCACCAGGGAACTCGGTGGAGCCTGGAATATTGGAGACAGCAGGAACCGCAGAGCCCCAAAGAGGGTGTCACAGCCCTGGCTCAGGGCGGGGCTCCTGGGACTGGGCCCCCCAAACGGCAGTAATGCTTCTCTCCTCTTTTTTGTCCTCATTGTCTGCAACGTGGCAAGCAAAAGGTGTGTTTCAGCCCTGTTTGTGTTACATCTGTTTCAGCCCCACCATTCGGTGAGTCTCAAGTTCTCGTCCAGGAAGCATGAGGTATGCAGACAAGTGGAAGGTAAACAAGGCGAAGAGGCGCTTTATTCAGCGACAGAACAGCTCAGAGGAGACTCGCAATGGGTAGCTCCTCTCTACAGGCAGGTAGTCCAGTTATCTACCCGAGTCTGGCTGAGTCCAGGGGTTTTTATGGGCTTCAGAGGGGAGGAAGTGTGTGCCGATTGGTCCATGGGTGGTCATGGTCACCAGAAAAACCACAAGTTCTCAGAACTGACAGCCCAGCACCAGGGCTTCAGACCTCCCTGGCTTGAAGGTGGGGCTTCACTGGGGACCCTCACCTTTCCCACCAGGAGCCTGTTTGCCTCCAGCCTCCATTAACCTGCTTTCCATGGTGCCCATGGCACTCAAGCTGTTTGTGCTGAGGGGCACATGCAAGCCCATGCCAAACCACCCTTCATATCCCACTTGGCATCCCTCTAATGCTCGTTGGTGCCCAAAGTCTGAAGGGGTCTGAGGCTGTAGGGTGCTGGCGTGCCAGTGCTGCCCTGAGTGTGCACACACCCGGCCAGGTCATGAAAGTGCCAGGGCTCAGCCACAACTTTGCTTTGAAATTGGAGTGGGTGCCAGAGTGAAGAGAGGCCAAGCAGTGGGAGCAAAATGCTACAAAGTATTGTTTTTTGAGAAAATCACCCACCTAGTCTGAGGGTTTATTTTCTTATTTGTAAATTAAGGGTAACAATGCTAACTTCAGAAAATTTTTGTAAGAATTAAATGAGGAAAGTATTTTGAAATAATCACCTAAACAAATGTTATTTCTAAATGAAATAAAAGGATGAAATATGTAAATGAAAATGTTATTAATAAGATGATAGTCATAAATTTAATGACGTCACAAAGTTCAGAAGGCTATTGAATTGGAATATCCAGGGAAGTTGACTTACTTTAAAGAGTCAGAATGAAGGACTGGAAAAGAAGTCAGCAACAAAATTAGAGATATAAGTGCTTGTTTAAGAGGATTTAGGTATAAGACACTTAGTGTCTTCTAGTGTACATGATAGCTTTCCCCACATATTGAAATGAGATATAAGTAGAAGAGACATTGAATTTGTTGATGACTCTCCAAATGAAAGTTTAGAACTACAGAACGAAACTGTAGGAAAGCCCATTTTAGTTCATCATAAGGAAGTATTTTCTAAAAATTAGATTTATGCAAAAAAGAAATCCATTTCTTCACATGGAGCTGAGAGTTTAAAAACACCCGCTCAATTCACAGAATGGGAGAAAATATTTGCAAACTACCCCTCTGACAAAGGATTAACAACCAGTATATATAAGGAGCTCAATCAACTCAATAGAAAAAAAATCTAATAATCTGATTTAAAAATGGGCAAAAGATTTGAATGACATTGCTCAAAAGAAGCCATACAAATGGTAAACGAGCATATGACTGTCTTCATTCATTTTTATAGTTATGTTACACTTCATAGTGTGAATATACATAGTTTTATCCAGCAGTGCTTTTTAATGGGCAGTTATATGTTTTTGAGCTTTTTGTTGTTAAAAATAACCCTGCAATGAATAGTCATATTTTGCCTATTTTGTTATGCATTTCTTCTGGTATATCTCTGGAATATAGTACTAAATGTGGGATTTCTGAGTCAGAAGGAAATGCATATGTAATTTCATTCAATGCTGACAGATTATCTTCCATGTGAGCTGTACCATATCTTTGTATTGTTTTATTTTTTTACTTGACAAGTAAAGATTATGTATATTTATGGTGCACAATATGATATTTCATACATGTGTACATTGTGGAATGGCTAAATCGAGTTGTTTAAAATATCCATTACCTCAAATATTTATTTTTTGTGTGGGAAGAAATCTTAAAATCTACTTGCAGCCATTTTCAATATATGATATATTTTTATTAACTGTAGTCATCATAATAATGGATCACTTGAGCTTATTCTTCCTATATAACTGAAATTTGGTGTCCTTTTGCCTACATTTCCCCAATCCTCCCAACCCCCAGCCTCTGCCAACTATCATTTTACTTTCTGTTTCTATGAAATTCAACTGATTTTTCACACCACTTGTAAGTGAGATAACGTGGTATTGGTCTTTCCATGTCTGGATTATTTCACTTAACATAATGTTCTCCAGATTCATTCACATTTTCACAAATGGCAGAATTTCCTTTTTTTCTTTAAAGTGAAGTAGTGTTTCCTTGTGTGTATATGACACATGTTCTTTATCTATTTATCTCTTGAGGGACACTTAGGTTGATTCCATATTTTGGCTATTGTGAATAGTACTGCAATAAATAGGGAAGTGCAAATATCTCTTTCACATACTAATTTCATATCATTACAGTTATTAATATATACCCAGTAGTGAGATTGCTGGATTATATGGTAGGGGGGAATCTCCATACTATTTTTTATAATGGCTATACTAATTACATGCCCACCAAGTGTGCCAGGGTTCACTTTTCTCCACATCCTCACCAACGCTTATTTTTTTTTCAGTAACATTCAAAATTCATTCTAATAGATGTAAGGTGACATCTCATTTTGGTTTTGATTTGCATTTTCCTGATGTTTGATATTAAGCATATTTTTTCTATACCTGTTGCCATTTTTGTGTGTTCTTTTAAGAAAGTCTATTCAGATACTTTGTCCATTTTTAAATTAGTTTGTTTCCTTACTATTTAATTCGTTGAATTCCTTATATATTGTGGATATTAACACCTCATCAGATTTATGGTGTGTAAATATATTCTCTCATTCTTGTTTCTTTACTCTTGATTATTCCTTTGCTGGGCAGAAGGTTTTTAGTTTGATGAATTTCATTTGTCTATTTTAATTTTTGTTGCCTGTGCTTTGGGTTCATATTCAAAAAATCTTTGTCCAGAGTAACATCATGGTGATTTTTCTCTATGTTTTCTTACAGTAGAATTACTATTTCAAGTAATGTATTTGTCTTTAATCCTGTTGAGTTGATTTTTGTATATGGTGTGAGGTGAGGATCTAATTTCATTCCTCTGCATGTGAATATCCAGTTTTCCAGCACCATTATTTTATACACTGTTCTTTCCCCCATTGTGTGTTCTTGGCCCTTATATCAAAGATTAATTGACTATAAATACATGGATTTATTTTTGGGTTCTCTATTTCATTCCACTGTCTATGTGTCTTTTTTATGCCAGTGACATGTTCTTTTGAACACTATAGCTTTTTAGTAGATTTTGAAATCAGGTAGCATAATGCCTCTGTTCTTTTTGGTCAAGACTGCTTTGGATATTGGAGCCTTATCTGTGAAAAATGTCATTGGAATTTTGATACGGATTGCATTGACTCCATAGACATCTTTGAGTAGTATGCACATTTTAACAATATCAATTATTCTAAACCATGAACAATGGAAATCTTTCCTTTTGTGTCTTTGGCAATTCCTTTCATCAATGTTCTATAGTTTCAATGGGGCTGTATTGTTTTTTTTCCTAATACTATCTTATGAGAGTCCCGTTTCATCAGAGTTTTGCAACAGTGTTTACTGTCAAACTGTTGATTTTTACCCTGTAAGAAAGAAACTGAACCAAGATGTAGTTTTCATTTTTAGTTTTATGAGTAGATGAAAGATTGAAAATATTTTTAACACATTTAAGAGCCATTTCACTGTTGGTAGGAATGTAAATTAGTTCAGCCACCGTGGAAAACAGTTTGGAGGCTTTTCAAAGAGCTTAAAATGGAACTATCATTCTATCCAGGAATCTACTGGGTATGTAGCCAAAAGAAAATAAATGGTTCCGTCAAAAAGACACACACACTTGTATGTTCATCTCAGCAAAATTCACAATAGCAAAAACATTTAATCAACCTAGGGGCCTATAAACTAAGAACTGGATAAAGAAAATGTGGTGCATATACACCATGTCTTTTGCAGCAACACAGATGCAGCTGGAAGCTTCTATCCTAAACAAATTAATATAGGAACAGAAAACCAAAAGCCGCATATTGTCACTTGTAAGTGGGAGCTGAACTTTAGTCCTCATGGGCAGAAAGATGGCAACAATGGACACTGGGGACTATCAGAGGGGGAAGAGTGGGGCAAAGTTTGAAAACCTACCTATTGAGTACTAGCTCACTACTGGGGTGAGGGGATAATTTGTACCCCAAACATCTAGGTTGCTATTAGATTTACTATTTTGTGTGCATGTGTTCAAGTTTGTCTACTCTTTCCCTGTTTCTTTTGGATTTGAAACATATTTAAGTTTGCCACAATCCTACACTTAAGAGAAATTCACCTGAATTTTCCTCTAGAAATTTATCCTCGTGTAATTCATTTCAGTTTGCAGCATAAAAGATAGCTTAATATTATATTCCCCATTATAGATATTTTTAATAGGTCCCAACACTACTTATTAAAAAGGGCATCTTTTCCTAATTAATTTTAGAATCTGCCTTATTGTAATAAATGAACCTATGTCACGATACATTTATGACTGTCCTACTCAATTTCATTGTTCAGACTTTTTACCCATAAACCAATATGAAGTAGTTTTAGTTTTAAAAGATTTATACGATGTTTTAATAACTGATTAGGCTAGTTCACCTTTTTTCTCCTTCTTAAATTTCCTGGCCAATTTTGTTTGTTCTATAAAATAAACTTTAAAATCAACTTGACCAGCTCAAGTAGAAAACTTAATGTTGGCTTATCTGGGATTGTGTTAAATTAAAATATTACTTAAGAAGAATAAGCAGCTGGGCATGGTGGCTTATGCCTATAACCCCAGCACTTTGGGAGGTCGAGGCGGGCGGATCATGAGGTCAGGAGATCCAGACAATCCTGGCTAACACGGTGAAACCCCGTCTCTACTAAAAATACAAAAAAATTATCCGGGCGTGGTGGCGGGCACCTGTAGTCCCAGCTACTCGGGAGGCTGAGTTAGGGGAATCGCTTGAATTCAGGGGGCGGAGGTTACAGAGAGCCTAGATCGAGCCATTGCACTCCAGCCTGGCGACAGAGCCAGACTCCCTCTCAAAAAACAAACAAACAAACAAACAAAAAATCAAGAATAAGCAGCTTGACTATGTTAAGCCTTCCTATCCTAGAATATAAACTTGTCTGTATTCCTTCAAGGCGACTTTTTAATTTTTAGGCTGATTTTATTATTTTTCCCATGTCAATAAGGTAGCTGGTCTCCAGGATATCTACCAATTATACATATGTATGTATCTCCCAAATATACATACTTTTTTTTGAGAGTTGAATCTCCCTTATTCTTTTTATTACATTTTTGGTAGATATTTCCGAAAATATGATTTCTATATAAAAATTATTCGTATGATTTTTTCCTGTTTTATGTTATTAATTTCTACTTTTATTTATCTTAACCCCTTCCATATACTTCCTTTTCATTTCCTTAATTTTTCTTTTCACAGATTCTCAAGTTGGATGTCCAATGAAGATATTTAATGGTATAAATTTTATACTAAAATATTTTATACTGAAATACTTTACATTAAAAATTTATTATATTATTTAGTATATATTATGTTATTTAGTATATACTTTATACTAAAAATATATGATTATGATGACATATACCTATCTTTCACTTTTCTGTAGTCCATGTCTGGTTTTTGAGTGTATGCTCTATTTTTCTGTTTTCTGAAATAATTTTTATGTGATTGAAATTAACATTCCCACTTCAATTTCTTTTCTGTTAATTTTCACTTTATTATTTATCTTTTTTATTCTAAGTGCTGTATTGCATTTTTTTGTTTATACATTCTCTTCATCTGTGAATATTTTAGGTTTTACAGCTTTTATTTCTAGAAATCTTATTTAGCTTTTCCAGGGATCAGTGGATCCAACTTATCCATTTTTTTTTCATAATTTCAATGCCTTCTTTTATTGCTTTTCACTGATTAAATTCACAATTATATTACGACCTTAGATAATTCAATTTTAAGTCTTTTAGATGTAACTATACTATTTATTATTTCATCTGTGAGATTTTACTCCTAGAAGCAGAATTATGAACTTATTTAGAAAAAGAGTTTGATGATAGAAATTCAACCTTTTAAAATTGCGGGTACTGGTGAATTACACATAGATCAGGTGTTTCTTCTGCATCTGATACTGAGCCTGATGTTGTGGAACAGGCAGTAGGGGAAAAACATATGAACAGGAAGTGAGGGAGAACAGGGAAAATTGAAATAGTCACTGGCACTCCACATCTCCTAGTTTCTAACCTTGATGTCACAGATGACTTGTGCCAGGAGGAACTGTCACTCTGCCATAGAGCCACACTGACACCTTGCCAGAATTTGGTGGGATAGAGCAGGGGTGTGGGAGGCAGGAGCTTTCAAATAGTTGCTGCCTATGCAACAAAGTGAGTCCAAACATCCTCCAAAATATGAATATGACTATTTACATTAAGCTCTTAAGTGGATGGATCTCCTGCTCTGCTTCCAAATGTCATGGAAATAAAAATCTGTGTCCAACAGTAATGGAAAGTTTAGAGAAGGAAATTATGGGACCCTATTTTGTTTCAATCAAGCTGGCACATTTAAAGCCACCAGAGTTATATATGCTGTCACCTACTCATGGTGGCTTCTTTACTTGTGCTCACTGATTTCTGTTTATTGTGAACCATTGGTTCTTGATCTTATTTTATGGGAGAGCGCTTCTCTGAGGTTGATTTTTTTTTCATCTTGGCATTTGTTTGGGCCACAAATGTAATGTGAATTCAGGATTTGAATGTTTAGAATTTAAGAGTAGATTTTTTTTTCTGTTTTCTTCATGTTACCAAGATTCAAGGATAAGAGAGACATAGTCTCATTATTTCTTCTTTTGTTATTCCTAATTTACTCACTGAGGGTGCTGTTCTTTGGGGATCCTAGCTTAATGCAGGCCATCATTTTTGACCTATGGACCTGCTCAGGCCACTGGCTTTGTTTCTGAACCCGGTTTAATAAGTGCATTAAAATGCATGCTGTGGTGGCTCACACCTGTAATCCCAGCACTTTGGGAGGCCAAGGCACGCAGATCACAAGACCATCCTGGCCAACATGGTGAAACCCCATCTCTACTAAAAATACAAAAATTAGCTGGTCGTAGTGGCACACACTTGTAGTCCCAGCTACTCAGGAGGCTGAGGCAGGAGAATGAATTGAAACCAGAAGGGAGAGGTTTCAGTGAGCGGAGATCGCGCAACTGCACTCCACCCTGGCAACAGAGCAAGTCTTTGTCTCAAAAAAAAAAAAAATGCACTCTCAAACATACCAGGTATTAGCAGATATGCCAATAACAAAAACAAACAGTGCTTTATTATTTCTTTGCATTGAAACAAGTCTTCTGGCTTCAACAGAATCTGTAATGATCCCAACAGCTTATCTATGTATCTATGTATCTATGTATCTATCTATCTATCTATCTATCTATCTATCTATCTATCTATCTATCTATCATTGTATATAGCTTTTCATAACCAAACTGTAGCTACATCCAAAAGCCACTTCTACCCAAATTCTGAGAGAAGAAAGGGAGAGAATGGTGTTACTGATGCCAAGGAGCCAAAGTCAACTAATGGACGTGAAAATCAGTGGTCCTGCATAGCAGATGTTAGAGAGACTGAGATGCCAGCTGTTGCCAGCAACACTGCACAAAGCAGAAAGGGACAGAAAATAAAGTCTCAATTCTTCCCTTCTCCCTTCTCCTAACTATGCCATCTGTTGCCCTAACCCATCCAGCAGCCAGCAGGCACAGCAGTTGGTCTCTAGTTTTTCAACTGGTCGCCATTACTACCTTAGAGAGCAGAGCGGAGTAAGGTCAAGGAAAGAATCTCAGGACAAACAAGCCTAAAAATTTACGTAGAGTCTTACATTATTCTAGCTTGATTCCAAAAAGTAAAAGAAATTTGATTTATATTTAAAAACACAATATGTGAAGGCAGTAAAATTTCAAATTATGACTTTGAAAGTTGGTATAATTATTTCCATTTTACAAATAATAATTTAAAATAAATAACAGTTGAGGTTCAAAGAAGTAAATAATCTTTCCAAAACTGGCGTAGCTAGTTAATAATAGTGCCTGGAATAGAGTTTTCTCCTTTATCTTCTGATTGACATCACCAAGTAACTCAATGTCCATAAAACTGATATTTAGCCTCATTGCCACAGAATCACATTCAAGATGAACTGGGAGACAAGATCCCAGTTGTAAATAGTAATTGCATGTACTTTTCCCAACTTCATTCTTGGGATACTCTCTGGGAAATTATGAGAACTCAAGACAAATAATGTTTGTTGTACAGATATTTACATCTACAAATGCTTTTGATCCTGACTACAAATGCAAATACCCAAAAGAAGTGAGCAGTGGCTCCTCCTAGTAATTAGGATCCCCCAAGGATTTAATTAGTGCAGCATCCAAGTTCATCTGCTTGCCACATTCCCCAGGGGTTGGTATCTATTGTGAGTTGCATAGCAAATCGGCCAGCTATTCCCAGGAAACTCTTGGCTGTGGAGAATCAGATTCTATTCCCACCCCCCACCCCCCAGCGATGTATATGTAAGGTAAGAAGAACAGGAGACTGTATTTCAATTTGTATCATGGTTTTCTTGTCCAGATAAAAGAACTGGATGGACAGCCACTCCTTCATTCACAGGGATTGTGTACTCGACTTCATGCCTGATCTCCTGAAGACAATATCACTTGTAACATTTTATGTATGTTAATTTAATCATTCACTTATCTTCCTGATCTGGTTTTATTTGTAAGAAGTGTGATTAGATTAAATGAGGGATTTCTTTCAGCTTTGAAAGCCTGTGTTGCTAGACAGAAATGTGTTTTTAATTGGACCTCAATCTATAAATAATAATGAATACATGCTACTGCTATTATTGCCACTACAACTAGAAATAATAGTAATGTAATCTTGTCTGTACACATTAGTTTCATCAATATAATCTATTTTATTTTTTCAACAGTGCTGCATTTCAGCAAAGCTAATAGGTTGGTGAGTCTAAGGCCAAATGGGATGAACTGATGAAATGCGTTTGAACTTTACTTGCATAAAACAATAAAGAGATGTTTCCTTTTTTAAAAAAAATTTACTTTAAGTTCTGGGATAGATGTGCAGAACGTGCAGGTTAGTTACATAGATATACATGTGCCATAGTGGTTTGCTGCACCCATCATCAACCCATCATCTAGGTTTTTAGCCCCTTATGCATTAGGTATTGGTCTTAATGCTCTCCCTCCCCTTGCCGCCACTTCCCAACAGGCCTCAGTGTGTGATGTTCCCCTCCCTGTGTCCATGTATTCTCACTGTTCACCTCCCACTTATGAGTGAGAATATGCAGAGTTTGGTTTTCTGTTCCTGTGGTAGTTTGCTGAGAATGATGCCTTCCAGCTTCATCCATGTCCCTGCAAAGGACATGAGCTCATTCTTTTTTATGGCTGCATAGTATTTCATGGTCTTTATCATGACCATGATTTTCTTTATCCAGTCTATCATCAATGGGCATTTGGGAGACATTTCTATAAAAACAGTACAAGGGAAAATTATTAACCATGAGAATGAAGAAAAGAACAGTTGGTCTCTATAGAAAAATATTTTTCAATGAAGTTTTAAAATAAAAATAAAATTGTAAGCTTCCTACTGAGTGAACAGATCCCTCTCTTGGTCAAGGGGACCCCAGATAAACCTTAAAATCTGAGTTTCCAGCCATGACAGGATGGATGGTCAGACATGCCTCATTATACCTCACCGTTTTGCAGTTTGGAGACAACAATTGACCAGCATTAATGTTAAAATGGAGATTGTGCACTAACAGAATGGACTCTTTGTGGCAATAAGATACCAAATTATAAACAAGACCCAAGGCCATTCCAGGCAATGGTCTAGTCATGCACCCCTAACATTTAAAGAATACACCATGTTCTGACAGCCACAAGATTTTTCTTTTTCTTTAAACAAGCACTAGCCTTGAGATAAGACCCAATGAGGCAATTGCAGCTCCACCAGACACTGAGTAACTGATCCCCAGTACCAATTCCATATTCCGTAACTACAGCTTTGATGGGACAAGACTACTTTCAGTAACTTTCTCCTGGTTAGAAAACCAGCAACCGTGGACTGGTTCTGGCTGAGTGACTTAAGCGCCTTCATTTACATGTATTACATTTTAAAGTCAGAAGATCTATACGTTTAGAAAATAGACTTTATGTCTTATAATGGGTTACAGCCGGCAAGGTGGTCATAATGGCCACTTTGCCGGCTGTAACCCATTATAAGAATGGTCAAAGGTGTTTTAAAGGGCCTAATTGTGAAACACTTAAATGTTAAGACTCCACCCCAAAGTGAACATGGGCCATGTTACATGCATGTTTGTTCAGTACACATGTGTCCGGCCCTTCTTCATTAATATTCATAGCTCTTTCAGCAACCTCCTGAATATGTATATTGATGAACGTGAATATGTATATGTACAGCCAACCCATTCAGCATAAAGCTCCTACCACAATCCCCTCCATCAAAGTGCCTGTCTCTGGTCTTTGCTGGAGGCTCTGCTTCCCAGCCTGTCAGGCTGACCGTCTTGCAGGCTGTAACGCTTTATAAGAAATAAAGTCTGTTTTCTAAACTTACAGATCTTATGACTTTTTTTTTTTTTTTTTTTTTTAGAAGGAGTCTCGCTCTGTCGCCCAGGCTGGAGTGCAGTGGCGGGATCTCAGCTCACTGGCAAGCTCCGCCTCCCGGGTTCAGGCCGTTCTCCCGCCTCAGCCTCCCGAGTAGCTGGGACTACAGGCGCCCGCCACCACGCCCGGCTCATTTTTTGTATTTTTAGTAGAGACAGGATTTCATTGTTTAGCCAGGATGGTCCGATCTGCTGACTTCGTGATCCATCCGCCTCAGCCCCCCACAGTGCTGGGATTAGAGGCGTGAGACACTGCGCCTGGCATCTTGTGACTTTTAAAGTTGACATGAATATATTATTACTGGTGTTCTCAGATAAATTCATGTTTGGTACTCCTGGGCCACATAGGTTGTATGTTAGTGCTTCACTCTGCCAGGAAAATTGAAGCTCCTCCCTTTCTTTTTCTGGGATAGCCCCTGCATTTAATGTATATCTCAAATTTACCACCGTATCGTCATAGTACTTCATACCACCTATTATTGCCTGAAGATTTTTTTTATCTATCAACTCTCTATTGTCTTACTATCTCACTCCTCTGTAATTCAAACTCAATAAAAGCAAATATTTATTTCTAAAGTTCAGTGCTGTATCCCCGGAGCACAGAGCAGTGCCTTTAATATAGCAAAACTCATTAAATATTTGTTGAATTAATTGTTAAGCTATTAAATCTATGAGAAAAAATATCATTGAAATATTTCATATTATCTTTATTTTTAAAGCTTGTTACTCAAAAAGTTATAACTATTTAAACTATTCTGGATAAACACATTATTATCAAATATTGAGGGTAAATCTTTTTTTAATCTGGGGTCAAACCAATCTCTTTTGTTGGAATGCCTAAAATCAAGTAGAACAAGCTTTCTGATATTACTAAAAATTAGTAGAACAAATTAGTAGAATATTAAAAATTATTTAGAGAAATAAGCCAGTCACAAAAAGATAAACACTATGTGATTCCACTTATAGGAGTTGCCTAAAGTACTCAAATTCACAGAAACGCAAAGTAGAATGGTTATTACTAGGGGATATAGGGAGGAGGAACATGGGAGCTGTTTAGGGGATATAGACTCAGTTTTATAAGATGGTAAAGTTCTGGAAATCTGTTTCATAAATATGAGAATATACAAAACACTACTAAACTGCACACTTCCCCACAGATTCACACAATGCTTTTATGGGCACTATTTGGAATCATGTCATTACTTACATTGCCTGTATCTTTTCAGCATGTGTTAAAACACAGTGCACTTATACTACTGGCAAGGCTGGAGATGAACATGAATTATCAGGTTAGAAATGCACTTTGTGGCCCAAGAGAACCGCAGTTGCAAATGAATTTGAACACTGCTGTGGGTATTTCACATCTAAAACCAGAATTTAGCACTAGCACTGTGAAATGATTTTACTTTGAAAAACTGAAGTGGCCAAATCACCTACCAACCTAAAATATCTTAAATGGCTTCTCTTCTTTTCAGGGAAAGACTCAATACTCTGGGTTTTCCTATAAATCTGGGCCCTCCATGATCTGCTTCAAAATTTTCATCCTCATCTCCCATTACCACCCAGGTTCTTCTCAGACACATTCAATATTCCACCAACATTCACAGGCCATGAGAGTTCACATTTCAAGAGCTTTTAACTACGCTCTTTGCTGCAGAAATGCCTTTCAATCCTTTCTCTTGCCTGTTGAAATTATACTAAATGGACCTAGTTAATCATTTCTTTGGAAGCCCTCCCTGATAGATTTGTCCCAACTCAGACATTCCCTAAAGCAAAGTTAACTAATTTTTCTGAGATCCCACAAAGACACAGCATGCTATCAATGTGAATAAATGTAAGACAATATTTGGCCTGGTAAGAACCCAAAACGTTAATGTTTTTTCGTTAGTAGTCCCTCTCCAAGAGACTCCAAGATATATTATTTCCTTTGTTTCTTTTTTTAGACAGTTTCACTCTTGTCACCCCGCAATGGCGCAATCTCCGCTCACTGCAACCTCCGCCTCCTGGTTTCAAGTGATTCTCCAGCCTCAGCCTCCTGAGTAGCTGGGGTTGCAGGCGCCCACCACCATGCCCGGCTAATTTTTGTATTTTTAGTAGAGATGGGGTTTCACCATGTTAGCCAGGCTGGTTACAAATGCCTGACTTCTGGTGATCTGCCCTTCTCGGCCTCCCAAAGTGCTGGGATTACAAGTGTGAGATACTGCACCTGGCCCAAGATATATTATTTCAGTCGCAGACACCAAACTTCTCTTGGGGAATAAGTGAACTTTGAGGGCGAACATATCGCAGTACTGCTAAAGAGGTAGAAGCTGAGCTTAAGAGGGCCACAACAGGGGTACCAAATTCGAAGTTTGAAGTTTCGTATGTTGCTAAAATGGAAATATCTCCTCCTCCATTTCTCCATCCTTTCCAATCTACCATGGGAATATGACACTCACTAGTGCTTCGTGTATGTTTTGGGGTTTTGTTTATTTGTTTTCTGCATTTATGTATTTATTCCTTTGGTTATAGAGTTATATGTCACTTGTATTTCTTCCTTTATTGTTATTTTATTTCATTGTAGTAAGAATAATTAACGTGAGCACTATCTTCTTAAGAATACACTGCAGTATTTTTATCTATATATACAGTATTATACAGCTGATCTCTAGACTTATATATCTTGCATAACTGAAATTTTATACCCAATGATTGGCAGCCCCTCCTTTGTCCCTTCCCTAGCCTCTAGAAACCACCATCTTGTTCTTTTCTTCTATGAGTTTGACTATTTTAAAAACCTCATATATGTGGAATAATGCACTGTTTAAACTCCTGTGACTGGCTTATTTTACTTAGCATAATGTTTACTTAGCATCCATGTTGCTACATATTCTAGAACTTCCTTGTATTTTAAGTCTGAACAATATCACATTGTATGCATAGGTGTGTATCACATTTTCTTTATCCGTTCATCTGTCCATGAAAATTTACAAAATTTTCAAATCTTAGCTATTGTGAAGGATGTTGTGATGAATATAAGAATGCTACTATATCTTTTAAAGTCCAGATTTAAATTATTTTTAGATAAGTATCCAGATTTGCATTGCTAGATCATATGGTAGTTCTGTTTTTATTTTAAGAAAGCGTCATAGTGTTTTGCAGAGTAGCTGCACCTATTGCATTCCCACCAACAAAAGGCAAGGATTCCAATTTCTCTACACCCTTGAAAATACTTGTGAACTTTTGTTTTGTTTTGGATAATAGCCATTTTGGCAGGTGCGAGGTGATGATATTTCATTGTGGTTTAATTTGCATTTCCCTGATGATTAATATCATTGAGCATTTTTCAGTATACCTGTTGGCTATTTATTTATATGACTTATTTGGAGAAATATCTATTCAAGTCTTTAGCCCACTTTTAAGTTGAGTTACTGGGGTGTTTTTTTTTTTTGCTCTTTGGTTGTAGGTATTCCTAATATAGTTTGGAAGTTAACCCCTTATCAGCATATGTTTTGCAAAAAAAATTTTTTTTTCTATTCTGTAAGGTACTTCTTACTCTGTTGATTATATCCTTCTCTGTGTAGAAGCCTTTTGATATACTTTTAAGGAGACTAGTAGTATTTTTCTGTTTTTGCTTTTGTCACCTATACTTTTGGTATCATTTTCATGACATTGCCCAGACCAATATCATGGTATTTCCTGTGTTTTCTTCTAGAAGTTTTACAGTTGCAGGTCTTACACTTAGGCCATTAATCAATTTTGAGTTGATTTTTTCTCTATAGTATAGGGTTCAGTTTCATTCCTTTGCATGTAGATATCTGATTTTCCAGATACTATTTGTTAAAAAAAAATCCTTTGTCCATTGTGTATTTTTGTCTTGCTCAACAAAGATAATTTGACTATGTATGTGAGGCTTTATTTCTAGGCTTTCTATTCTGTTCCACTGGGCTATCGGTCTACCTTTATTCAGTACCATATTGTTTAATTAATGTAGCTTTTAAATTTATTTTAAGATCAGAGAATATGATGCCTCCAGCTTTGTTCTTCATTTTGAAGATTGTTTTAGGTATTCGAAATCTGTTGTGGTTCTATATACATTTTAGAATTTATTTTCCATTTTTGTAAAAAAAATCCATTTTGTAAAAAAAGGACAAAAATATTTTAAAAGGCGTTGTATTAAATCTGTAGATTGTTTTGGGTGTCATGAGGATTTTAACAAAACTAAGTCTTCCAATTTTGAATACAAAATTTCTTTGCCTTTGTTTGTGTCTTCCTTAACTTATTTCATTAATGTTTCGTAGTTTTCAGTGTACAAGTCTGTCACATCTTTAGTTAAGTTTATTCCTAAGTATTTTACTGTTTTTGATGATAGTGTAAATAAGATTTATATTTCTTTTTTCTTCAGATAGTTTGTTACTAATGTACAGAAATGCAATAGTTGATCTCATATTCCGGCATATATGTTGTATGTTGATCTTATATTCCGGCACTTTCCTAAATATGTTTACTAGTTCTAACAAGTGTGTGTGTGTGTGTGTGTGTGTGTAGTCATTAGGGTTTTCTATATAAAATATCAGGTCATTTGTAAACAGGAACAATTTTACTACCTCTTTTTTGATTTGGATGTCTTTTATTCCTTTTATCTGGCTTATCTGCGTACTTGCTCTGACTAGAACATCCACACTATGCTGACCCTGATCATGGTGAAAATGCTTTCACTTTTTCACCGTTCAGTATAATGTTAATTCTGTGCTGTTCGTATATGGTCTTTATTATGTAGAGTTAATATTTCCTCTATTGTTTTTTAATTTACTTTTATTTTAAGTTCCAGGATACATGTGCAGGACATGCAGGTTTGTTACACAGGTAAATGTGTGCCATGGTGGTTTGCTGCATCTGTCAATCTATCACTTAGGTATTAAGCCCCACATGCATTAGCTATTTATCCTGATGCTCTACCTCCCTCCAACCTCCTGAAAAGCCCCAGTGCCAGGGCCCTTTATTCTTAGTTGCTGAGAATTATCATAAAAGTGTGTTGAATTTTTTCAGGTGCTTTTTCTGCATGTGTTGAGAACATAATGGAGTTTTTTTTATTTTTTGGTTTATTGATATGAAAAATTACATTGATTAATTTTACATTTCAAACATATATTTCTCTGATAAACTACTATTGTTCATGAAGTCACACACATACACATACACACACATACACATACACACACATACACACAAATTCACTCTACAAATATATTTTTTAAATATTTGTATTTAGTTTCATGGATAAATTGTGTGTGTTTTCTTTTTTGCAAGATCTTTGTAATATTATGTAATCAGGGTAACTCTGCAAAGTAAGTTAGGAAGCATTTTATCCTCAATTTTGTGGATGGTTTTTATAGAATTATCATTATTTTATCTTTAAATATTTGGTTTCATTTATTTCCTCCATTGTTATGATGTCTTCTAATAAATGTAGCAGCAGAAAACAATGTATGTTTATTATTTTGTCACTGTTTCTATGTTTCAGGACAATCAGTGCAGCCCAGCTGAGTCCTGGGTCTTAATTATATCTGCAAAATATTTCACTGTTGCCATATAAGGTAATATAACCACAGGAGTTGTATTCCATCACCTTTGCTATAATCTATGAGTTAGAAACAAGTTACATGTCCAGTTTACACACAAGGGGAAGTGGGTTATATACTGACATACACCACCAGGGT
This sequence comes from Homo sapiens, assembly GCF_000001405.40. Lineage (NCBI taxonomy): Eukaryota > Metazoa > Chordata > Mammalia > Primates > Hominidae > Homo > Homo sapiens. The sequence goes on from NC_000018.10 coordinate 65,033,896, forward strand.
TAGTTTTAATATTGTATCTACCACACTTGTGATCATTTTAGATTTAATTTGATTTTTATTAACTTCTTGATGTTTAAGTTTACATCATTGATTGAGAATTTATTTCCCTTCTAATAGAGGCCTTTAAAGCTGTAGACATCTAAGCATCACTTGAGCTACAGTTAACATATTTAAATACACTATGGTTTCATTCATATTCAGTGCAAACTATTTTCTCAATTTTTGTTCATTTTTCATGAATCATGGATTCAGAAATGTCTTCCTTAATATTTGGGAAGCTTCAAAATATTATTCTACCATCAATTTATAGTTTCATGTATTGTGGTCAAATAACACCCTTTGTAATATTTTTGACTATTTAAAATGTATTTGAGATTTGCTTTCTGCCCCCAAATTTCATTAATCATGGTGAAATCTTCATGTGCACTTGAAAATCACGTGTATTCTGCAGCGGTCGTGTGGAGTGCTCTAAAAATCTTAATCAGGTCTAGTTGCTCAAGGATGTCATCCAGTTGCTCAAGTTATATTATTACTCATTTTTGTCTCTTGGATATCCGACCTTGACCTTACCCCATCTTTCCAATGATCCCCTGGTAGAAGCCCACAGACAGCAGTGCTGAGCAGAGTGCAGCCTCTCCTCTAGTCACAAGCTCCCAGGGATCATAATATTTTATGCTCACCTGCACTTGGCCTTTAAGAATTAATTAAAACTTCTTTTAATTTTTTCCAAGTTGGTTTTATGGTTGCCAACTCTCCCACCAACAAATTGCCAAAAGTGAAACAATTTTACACAACGCGTCTTTCTTTGGAGTGGCTTATCACCATTAGTAATTGCTTACCACGTGAATTTAACTCTCTTCCGTTTTATACAAAACAACAATTTTTCCCCCTTTTAGAGTGGCAGTGATCTTCTCTTGTAGTTTCTACTTCCTAAGTATAAGCAGAACTAAAAAACCTTGGGGCTTGAAAACGGGCAGAAATATTTCTGATACCCCATCCTCAATTCAGAGCCAGCTTGCCCCGATTGGCACCCCCACAGGACAGTCCTCTTTCCGAAATGGTCACTGCTCCAAAACGTATGGTACATATGGTTTGATAGATTTTAAATCCTGAAAACAACAAAAGGAATCAATCCAGCAGAGGTTAATAAAAATGCTTCCTTATTGGCTATAGTTGAGAATGATAAATAGTGAAATGTTGGAAAGTAAAGACATAAAAGGCAAACTGGAGATTTATCCTACAAAATTTAACTCTTCCTTTTTGTGAAAGGTGATACACAGAGCATTTGTGAGGAATGGGGGCACATTTCACAAGTTATACTCTGCCCCAAGGGGCTACTTTTGGATTTCTTACTCTTGTTGATGTTAGTGGTTTTCATTAGAATAAGAGAAAGTGGTACAAAAGTTTCCAGAGAAACACCTCCTCAGTACTAAGTCAGCAACATGAGAATCAGGATTGCTATTTGATGATTATTCATGCATACGCGTATGTGAACATGTGTGAACACACCTTGTGTATAGGACAAAATGCCTTTAGACAACACTCACTATCTAGATACAAAACAAGCAAATACCAGGTAGCTTTGAAAATGAGATACATTCCAGATTACATATTCATTTAAAATAGTATATTTCTTCTATTGCTTTTTAGAGTACAGTGGAAATTACCATAAGTAACGTATTTTCTGAAATAGGCATGCATTTTAAATGAAAAATCATAATATATTATGAACTCTTATGAGCATATTAGGAAACAGAAAGAATTCACTGGCACAGGGGACTGAAAGAAACACAGAGAGTGAACTTCTGGTTTCTTCAGATCTCTAAGGACAAAACATAACAGAAAAGACTTTCTTGTTCTGTGAGCCAATCCAATCTTGATTATACTTTCTATGTGCAATTTGTTTAAAAAATCTAATCATCTTCTCCTGCTCCAGATATAACCTCTCCACCCCATGTGGTTCATATTATGTAAATGGAGTCAGAAATGTAATTGCTCAAATTTGATTATAGCGGCTTGTTGCCCGTGGTATCATTAAAAGTGCAAGTTGACACATGAGCTTCTAGTTTATGGTACTGCATGTCATAAGCACATTAGTTAAGGCAGTAACAGCCCTGTTTGCTTTTATACTGCAACTGGCAAAAGACATATTTGTAGAATAGGCTAACTGCCGTAACAAACAGCTCTCAAATCTCAGTGGATTACACAGCAGAGTTTCTCACATGCATCCCAGTGGGACGTAGGTGGGCAGCAACCAGGGAAGGCCCTCCGCTCCCTAGGCTCAGCTTCCTCCGTGGGGCTCCCAGTCCTTCGCTGCATCCTTTGGCCTCTGGTGACAAATGTACCAGGGAAGACTGCACAGAAGAGTTAAGTAAGAGGTGAAGGACAGGCTTGCAAGTGCACCACCCCTTCTGCCCTTTCATTGCACAGATCTCAGTCACATGGGCAGTCTTTGCAAGGGAATCATGAATGTTGACAGCAAGGTGCTATCTAAAACAAATACAGATTTTTTGGACAACTCATGGGGATCTACTACAGACAATACTCAGCAAGATACAAAATAGATAACCTACAATGTGACTTGGTCCCAAAGGTGTGAGGTTAATGAAGAGAACAATTATTTTTTAAAGCAAATTTTTAAACTGCAAAAAGGTAGTTTTATTCTATAAATAAGCTTATTATAATTTTATAAAAATTACTAGAGAGTGGCGAAGGTGGCAGGTAAATGAAAGATAGGAAAACACTTCTCTACCTTCCTTGGTCCCAGGAATAGACTTTCCAGTAATTCTAAAGGGATGTCAGGAGTCACCACAGAGCCACTGCAGGGATTTGGGGTATTTATATTGCTGTACCCACAGGAATAGACATCAACTCCTTAAGCTAATACTTTGGTGACATTAGCTAAGTGCATACTTACAAATAGTACGTGGACTCTTTTTTTCTTTTTTTCCTCCAGCTTTTAATTTGTGTGTAAGTTATTTCTGGGGTTAAATTATTAGTTTAACATTCTGCACACTATGAAACAATAAAGAAGAATTAAAACAGGTCATTTTCTTGTGACTCTGGCACTTCTTCTTCTTCTTCTTCTTTTTTTTTTTTTTTTTTTTTTTGAGACAGAGTCTCGCTCTATCACTCAGGCTGGAGTGCAGCGACGGGATCTCGGCTCACTGCAAGCTCCGCCTCCCGGGTTCACGCCGTTCTCTGGCCTCAGCCTCCGGAGTAGCTGGGACTACAGGCGCCCGCCACCACTCCCGGCTAATTTCTTGTATTTTTAGTAGAGACGGGGTTTCTCCATGTTAGCCAGGATGGTCTCGATCTCCTGACCTCGTGATCCGCCTGCCTCAACCTCCCAAAGTGCGGGAATTACAGGCGTGAGCCACCTCACCCAGCCCGGTACTTGTTAAAAGTGGTATAATGCACAAGAGCATAGCTTATTTTATAAGGGCAAATACAGACCTAGATTCCAGCTTACAAAGAACACCAAGACACTGGATTGGAGAATCCTAGAGAATGCACATTTTGTAACTCAGACAGGATTTTGTAAGGGTAAATTTATGGAAACTGATAATATTATAACACTAAATTGCAAGCCTTGAGGGAACTCGAAGTAGAATTAGCCTCAAGGAGGAGAAGAGAAACTGATAATATTACATACCTGTACTTAATGCTGAACTACAGTAGCTTTTCCACATAAATTGCTTAAGTGATTGTTAAAACACCTTAAAAGTGTCATTGTCATAAATGTCATATATTCCACAAGTTATAGATATTTTTGTGAAGGATAAATCTGTGTATCTCATTGTATGATAAAAGTAAGAAAACACAGATAATCAAAATAAGAAAAAGATAAAATATCACGAATAATTCTACTTCATGGAGACAAGTGCTCTCATCTAAGAATATATCTTTTCAAAATCCTTTTCTGTATTTCAATGTGATCACATTATGTGCTATTGAGAATGATCTGGTGAACAGCGGCATTTATAATGACACTCATTGGTTATCTACCATTTCTGGCAATTTTAATTTCAACATTATTTAAAGCAGTTTGATTTATTTCATGCATTGTGTTATATAATTTTAAGTTATTTTCTTATCTTTATATAGAATAGACGATCAGAAAGGAAGGAATTGAGATCTCAATTACAAACTCACAATTTCAAAGGTGAAAAAATGAGTCAGATAGATTCTGGACTAAAATTTCCCTCTTATTCCAAAATGGCATTTCCCTAGGCTGTAAAAGAGCACACATTTCTCAAAACCTTCGCAAGTTCCCATTACAGTAAAATGGCTACTCGGCTTCTGTTTTAATTCCGTATTTAGTCAATTTGCCAGCAATCACATTGTAAGTGTCATTTGCAAATGGAGTCTCATAAATATTCCAGTTTGCACATTTTTGTGTACCGAGCATTCACACTGGATGGTGCAGTTTCATTTTAGTTAAGGAAAATTGTATGCATTTGGGATTGTTTGGTTCCCAACATGATGAAACCCAATGCTGTAACTAAATAGCTCTTATGGCAATTTATCATTTGTTGGCTTTAAAAAAAGTTCATCACTTCATCCCATGACATTGCTTTCTTTGCAAGTTGCAGAACAGATTTTTCACTAAAAGACACTTGTCATCTCACATTTTAGTATCCATACTACCCAGAGATTTTTTTTTTTAATTCTAAATGTTGTTTTTGTTTTGTTTGTTTTTGGTTTTTTGTTTTCCCTTGAGGCAGACACAAGAGGGAACTTATAAAAAGACAGGGAGATAGAATCTTTATTCCTTCTTCTAAACCTTAAAATTAATGTAATTTTTTGGTTTTGCCATTTACTGTTTTTGTATTTTACTAACATAGATTAGTAGCTACAAAAGGAAACAAGGCAGACTGCTCACCTGTTTACTAATACAAACAATGAAAATAGATTTCACTTCCCAAAGGACTGTCACGTACTGTGATTTATTCTTGGTGCTTAAAATTAATTGTGTAACTTAATGTTTACAGCTTCTTTCCTAGAAGATTATTCATATTAATTTATAGAAGGGAACATGAGGATCTTAAATTTAATGTAAATTATCTAGGGTTCAAGTCCTAATCAGTAGAACAGCAAGTTTCACTTCCAGGTTTGACTTACCACAAATCTGCAATTTATAACCATTCTGCAACCTGGTTTGGCTCCAAAATACTTGACACGGAGCTATTTAGTAGAAAGAAAAGAAAAGAAATTATAATTTTAAATGAGAACTTTGTATTATTTAACATATCAATAATTATACCTTTCTCACACCATCACAGAAAACCAAGAGCTGCCTGTACTCAATCTGTACCCCATTATTCGTACCTCATTATTTATTCCCCAAAGAAATTGTTTGGGGTACAAATAATGTAATCTGCTGATTACCCCGTTATGACATTTCTACTTCCTTTTTAATTTTTGAGAGAAATGATGACAATTAACTTAAAAATACTATTTAAAACATTTGTAAGTACTCCATTATTTTACACTTCTTTTTGGAACTCACTTTAGATTTACGGAATGTTGCATATTTGTTTATAGTTTATTTTGTCTTTCGCCTGAGGGTTTGCAGTCAATACACTGTTTTCAGAAGGTAGCTGCCTTATTTCTTCCTCTCAGTGTGTTTATGTTATTCATTATTCATTTTGAATACAGTAGGATTTATCTGTTTGTGTTTGTTTGCCACCCTTTTTTTCCCTCATCTTCACTGTTGATTTTATTTGTGTGTGTGTGTGTGTGTGTGTGTGCGCAATAAGTATTGCCATTTTATACAGAGTGGAAATTTATAAAAAGATCTACTCAAATAAGTGTCCCTCCTCCATCCCTTTTCACCCATTTCCATAAACTTCTTATAGGAAACTTAATCTCATTGGGTTCTGACTCACCCTTCCTCCGTGTCCTTTTGTACAAATGAGCATCTACCTGTGTATTTCTTATATCAGCTTTTTCTTACAAAAAAAAGAGAGCACGCTTAGTCTCCTCGTGCTTACAACAAAAAATACTGTAAATTAGGTGGCTTATATGCATCAGAAACATATTGCTTAGAGTTCCTCCCATGGTGGAAAGGGTAAAGAGGCTTTCTTGGGCCTCTTTTATAAGGGCACTAATTCCATTTATGATTGGCTCGTAAAGGCCCCACTTCTTAATACTATTGCATTGGGGATTCAATTTCAACATAAAACTTTTGGAAGGACACAAACATTCAGATGATAGCATACACTATAGATATTCCTTTGAACTTTGTGTATTTTTAAAATCTGACTTTTTTCACTTAGCACAAGGAATAATAGACTACAGGCTGTGGGCCAAATACAGCTCATGGCTAGTAAGCTAAGAATAATTTTCACATTCTTAAATATTGAAGAAAAGAAGAGAAAAAATATGGATAAAGATTGTATATGGCTTGCAAAGCCTAAACTATTTAGCAGCTGGTCTTTGACAGTCAAAGTATTTCTATCCTTGATTAGCATAATGTTTTTGAGGTCCATTTATATTCTAGCATATATCAATAATTCATTTTTGTTGCTGAATGTGATTCCATTGCATGGATATATTATATTTGGTTTATCCAGTTGCCAACTGATGGGCATGTGAGTTATTTCCATTTCAGATGGGCTATCTGGTTCTATGAATAATGGCTACTCATGCATACAACTCTTTGTGTAATCATATGTTTTCATTTCTCTCAGTGACATACCTAGTAGCAGAATTGCTGAGTTGTATGGCAAATATATGTCCAACTTTTAAAGAAAATTTCAAACCGATTTCCAAAGGGGCTACACCATTTTCTACTTCTACCAGTGACATATGAGGGTTCTCATTTATCTACATTGTTGTCAACATTTTTTCTTTTGCTTTTTATTATTGCCCTCTAATGAGTATGAATTGGTATCTCACTGTGATTTTAATTAACATTTCTCTAATGCCTAATGATGACAAGCTTTTTTGTTTTTTGAGATGGAGTCTGGCTCTGTTGCCCAGGCTGGAGTGCAGTGGCGTGATCTCTGCTCCCTGCAAGCTCCACCTCCCGGGTTCACTCCTTTCTCTTGCCTCAGCCTCCTGAGTAGCTGGGACTACAGGTGCCCGCCACCACGCCTGGCTAATTTTTGTATTTTCAGTAGAGACAGGGTTTCACTGTGTTAGCCAGGATGGTCTCGATCTCCTGACCTCATGATCCACCCGCCTCGGCCTCCCAAAGTGCTGGGATTAGAGGCGTGAGCCACCGCGCCCGGCCGACGACAAGCATTTTTAAGAGCACTTTTAAAATTTAGGTTGGATGTCCTCTAATCATGGAACAGAAACAGTCTTTCTTTAGATAAATATTTGCAAATACCTTTTTCTTCATGTGTGCCTTAGCCTTTTGCTTTCACAACAGTTCCATTTGTAAAGGAAACTATTTTATGATGCTTAATTGGCTTTTATGAAGAGTTGCACTTACATTCATGATGAATATTTGTGGTTTTCTTGTAATGTCTTTGTCTTGTTTTGGTAATATTGGTCTAACAAAATGAGTTTGAAAGAATTTATTCCTTTTAATTTTTCTGGAAGAGATTGTGTATAATTGGTATTACCACTTTCAGGTAAGTTACTACTTTCTAGTAAGTTTGAGGTAAAATTCATAATTAAGGCATTGTGTTGAGGGATGATTTGTAACTGCATATGTAAGTCCATTAAACGTGGGGCTATTTGGGTTATCTATTTATTCTTAATTCAAAGTTGGTAGAGGGTATATTTTTCAAGAAATTTGTCTATTTCATGTAACTTATAAAGTCATTAATAAATTCCTGTATTATTTTAATATTTGTATCATCTATAGAAACATCATTTATGTAATTCCTTATAAAGTAAATTGTATCTTACTTTTTTTCCTAAAAGAAGAAAATTTAGGTTTATTAATTTTATTGATTGTTCTCAAACAACCAGCTATTGATTTCACTGATTTTTATCTATTTCTTTTTACTTCAATTCACTTACTTTAATATTTATTATTTCTTTCTTTTAATTATCTTGGGTTTATTTTACTATTTCTATCCTACTTACATTAGCCAGAAGTTGAAGTCAATGATCTGAGGCTTTTCTTCTTTTCTAATGTAGTTGTTTAATGCTAGAACTCCCTCGATAAAACTCTGTTTCGTCAGCATCCCACAACATTTATGAGACTTTAATTTCAATTCCTGTCAGTTTAAAATACTTTCTAATTTTTTGTTTTCTTCTTAAAACCATGTTATTCAGAAGTGTGTTAATCCTAACACACAAATACTAAATATTTGGTGATTCCCCACAGTTCTTTTTGTTATTGATTTCTAATTTAATTATCTTATCAGCAGTGAACATACTTTATCTGGAGTAAATATTTTCAAATGGATTGAGACTGCTTTATGGCCCTGAATTTGTCTATCATTGTGTAAGGTCTGTATGCACAAAAAAGAATGTGTATTTTCATATTGCTGGCTGTAGTTTCTATAATGTCAATAAGATCACATTGCTTGGCAACGATATTCAAATCTTCTATAATTTTACTTACTTTCTGTTCTCTTATTCTACCAATTATTGAGAGACAGGTATTGAAATCGTCAACTATAAATTGTGAAATTGTACATTTCTCCATTTAACTGTATCTGTTTTTGCTTCATATATTTTTGAAGCTTTACCATTTGATGCATAGGCTTTTAAGATTGGTGGGTCTCTGATGAATTGACATTTTATCATTATGAAATGACTTTCTTTAATACTAATATTCTTTGCTCTGATATCTCTGTTAATTGATGCTACTATAGCCCCTCTAGGTTTTTGAATTAGTGGTAGCATCTCATATTGTTTTTCATCATTTTCTTCTATGTTATGTGCTTCTTAATGTTTGAATGCATATCTCATAGCATACAGTTGAGCCTTGAACTTCTCTCATGTTACAAGCTTGTTGTTGTTGTTGTTTAGGATTTTAGTGTTTGTTTTGGAGACACAGTCTCACTCTTTCACCCAGGCTGGAGTGCACCACGTCCAGCTAATTTTTTGGGGGGAGGGGGTAAATTTTTGTTGTTGTTTTTGTTTTTTGTTTTGTTTGAGATGGAGTTTCACTCTTGTTACCAGGCTGGAGTGCAGTGGCGTGATCTCGGCTCACTGTAACCTCCGCCTCTTGGGTTCAAGTGATTCTCCTGCCTCAGTCTCCTGAGTAGCTGGGGTTACAGATACCCACTACCACACCCGACTAATTTTTATATTTTTAGTAGAGACAGGGTTTCACTATGTTAGCCAGGCTGGTCTCGAACTCCTGACCTCAGGTGATCCACCTGCCTCATCCTCTCAAAGTGCGGGGACTACAGGTGTGAGCCACTGCGCCCAGCCAGCTTTGCATTTTATTAGGTTGGTGCAAAAGTAATTGCAGTTTTGCCATTATGATTAATAATACTTTTATAATACATTTAGAACATTTATATTTAATGTGATCCTTGATATAGATGTTTTTAATCATTTTGTTCTTGTTTCCTATTTTTCCTAGTTCTGTTGTTATTGTTTTGTTTTTTAGTACTCATTCCAGATTTATTACTTCCATTCCAGGTTGTACCAACAATAGCAGACACAATTCTTTTCTTTTTTTTAAGGAGCTTGCTCAAGGTTTTATTACTAGTAACTGACATAATCAATGTTTTCCAAAATGTTCTCATACTGTAGGCCCTCTTTTAAGTCCTGCACCTGAAACATTTTTGATCATGGATTTCTTTCTTTTTTTTTAAGAAAAAGATTTTATTTTGTTTTTTTATTATAATTTAAGTTCTAGGGTACATGTGCACAATGTGCACAATTCTTTTCTATACAACGCAGAAGCCATTGGCATAGACAACAAGCAACTCTGGTGCTTTTCAAACACTGCTTTCTCTTTTAACTTCCAGGACTCAATGTTAGCTTTTTAAGGCTGCATTAACAAAGTATGACAGGATGGGTGGCTTAAACACATGAAATTTGTCTCAGTTCTGGAGGCTTGAATTGTAAGATGAAGGTCTTGACAGGGTTTTGTCTCCTGAGGGTTGGGAGGGAAGGATCTGTTCCTGACCTCTCTCCTTGGCTTACAGATGGCTGTTGCCTTCTCCCAGTGTTTTCATATGGTCTTCCCTCTGTGTGAATCTATTTCCTAATCTCCTCTTCTTATAGAGACAACAGTAATATTGATTTAGAAATCAATCTAATGACCTCGTTTTAACTTAATTATATGCTAAAGACCCTATGTTCAAATATAGTCAAATTTATATGTTGAAGTACTAACCCTCAATATTCAACATGTTAATTTTTGGCAGACACAATTTAAGCTACAACAAATTCTTTGATTTCTATTATATTTTTTATTTTTCATAATCCTATGGTGCATCCAATGATACCCAGGAGCCAGGTGTGTGAATATGATTGAAAAGATCCACAAAAGGTTGGTTGGATATTTGTGTTCAGTCAAAGCTACTTGCACAGAAGCCATTTTCACAAAGCAAGGGTGGATCATATGTCCTATTAATATTTTTTGTCTTTCTTTTTCTGTAACAACTTTATAGAGTGAGAGGCAATTCACATACCATATAATTCATCCACTTAAACTGTACAATTCAATGTGCACCTTTTCTTGGTTCATCTTTCTTTGCTTTCTGACTTCTTTGGCTTAAGCAATTTTTAATTATTCTATTTTATCTTTTAAGCTAACTAGGTGTAACTTTATTTTTTTTTCTTTTAGGGTTTGCTTTAGGGTTTACAGTGTACATACTTAACTCGTTACAGTCTACTATCAATTTGTATTATACCATTTCACAAATCATATAAGATAAATAAGCTTTCAAGTGGTATACCTCCATTTTTTCCTTTCAGACATTCATACAATTGTTATCATATATTTTATTACTGTATATGTTATAAATCCTGTATTACATTGTTTTCATCTTTATTTTAGCAACCAATTACTTTTTAAATATATTTGAATGCTAACAAAATTTCTTGTACATTGACCTTAAAAATGATTTCTCATCATTCCTGGCTCTCATTCTTTTATGTAGATCTATATATTTATATAATGGTCATTTTTTTTCTTCTTTAAGGACTTTTGTCACATTCCTTGAAATCACTTCTGCTGGTGATGTCCAGGCACACCTTGTTTTTTGGGGCTTTGCTTTACCGTGATTTGCAAATGTTGCCTCTTTTATAAACTGGGGGTTCATGGCAACCCTGCAGTGAGCAAGTCTATCAGCACAATTTTTCCAATAGCAGGAGCTCACGTTGTGTCTTTGTCACATTTTGGTAATTCTTGCAATATTTTTAACTTTTTCATTCTTATTTTACATAGTGTTAGAGTTGTTATGGAGCCCCCCGATCCGTGACCATATAAAAAAAAAATCAAACAATCTCTAAAGATTGTTTGTATTCTGATTGCTCCACCCACTGGTCATTCCTCCATCACTCTTCCTCTTCTGGGGCCTCCCTTTTACATGAGACAAAACAATATTGAAAATAGGCCAATTAATAATCCTGCAATAGCCTCTGTGTGTTCAACTATTTGTTTATTTCATCTAGTGTTTAAGTGAAAGAAAGAGTCGCACATCTCTCACTTTAAATAAAACACTAAAAATGATTAAGCCTATTGAGGAAGGCATGTTGAAAGCCAATATAGGCTGAAAGCTATGCCTATCACACCAAACAGTTTGCCAGGTTTTCAATGCGAAGAAAACATTTTTTAAGAAAATTGAAAGTGCTACTTTAGTCAACACACAAATAATAAGAAAGTGAATAGCTTTATTGCTGACATGAAGAAAGTTTTCATGGTTTGGATGGAAGATCAAGCCAGTCAAAATGGTCCCTTAAACCAAAGCCTAATCCAGAGTAAGGCCCCAACTCTCTTCAATTCTGTGAAGCTTGAGAGAGGCGAGGAAGCTGTAGAAGAAAAGTTGAAGGCTAGCAGAGGTTGGTTCATAAGGTTGAAGAAAAGAAGCCATCACCATAACATAAAAGTAAAAGGTGAAGCAAGCAGCAAGAGCTAATGTAGAGGCCGCAGAAGTTAGCCAGATCTACCTAAGACAATTTATGAAACGTAGCTACAATAGACAATAGATTTTCAATAGAGACAAAACAGCCTTCCATTTAATGAAGACACCATCTAGGACTTTCACAGCTAGAGAGGAGAAGTCAATGCCTGGATTTAAAGGTTCAAAGGACAGGGCGACTGTTTTGTTAGGGGCTAATGCAGTTGGTGACTTTCAGTTGAAGCCAATGCTCATTTTCCATTCTGAAAATCCGAGGACCTTTGAGAATCATGCCAAATGTGCTCCACCTGTGCTATATAAATGGAACAACAAAGCCTGATGACAGCACATCTTTTACGGCATGATTTACTAAATATTTTAATTTCGCTGTTGAGACCTACTCTCAGAAAAACAGATTCCTTTCCAAATATTACTTCTTATTGGCAATGTACTCAGTCACCCAAGAGGTCTGAGGGAAATGTATAAGAAACTTAATGTCGTTTTCATTCCTGCTAACACAACATCCTTTCAGCAGCCCAAGGATCAAGGAGTTATTTCTGTTTTCAAGTCTTATTATTTAAAAATTACAATTTGTAAGGTTTTGAGAGGTTCAGGGCTTAATGGAAGAAATAACTGCACATGTGGCAGCAAAAGCAAGAGACCTAGAATGGAAACTGGAGCCTGTAGATGTGACTGAATTGCTGCAATCTCGTGATCAAACTTTAAAGAATGAGGAGTTGCTTCTTTTGGATGAGAAAAAAGTGGTTTATTGAGATAGAATCTACTCCTGGTTAAGATGCTGTGAAATTGTTGATAGCAAAAGATGGTTTGACGTTACGTTTTCTACTTTATGATGAGTTTATGGAGATATTAAATGCATTTTTGACATGGTATTTTTGACTTATTATGCATTTATTGGGACATAACCACATTGCAAGTTGAGATTATTTGTTGAAAAAAGAAATAATGAAATTTTAACTTCTTATTTTTATTAGTAGGATTTTTGAAGTGTTGAGGGGGTACAGTTGAAAATACCCTTTTTAATCTTCCCCTCCAAAAAATTATAAAGCCCTGGGAGTTTACATAAAATCAACCGTAAAAAAAAAATTGATGAAAATCTGGCAAATTACAACCAGATGAAATAAACTTAATTTTCTCAACAAACTAAGAATAAAGATGAAAGAAAAATCAACAAAATTATATTTTTATTACATTGCTGTATAGAGTCATTTTAAACCTATGTCTGGATATAAATTACTGTGACCTATAAAAATAACATGCTAATGCTATTACTTTTAGAGTCAAAGTCTTCACATTTCTTCTGATAGTAGCCTCAAACGTAGAAAAAGTAGAGAAAGTATACAGAAAAGCTAAGTTGATAGGCACCTTGCCATGTACAAATTAAATTCCTACAAATTAACTATTGATGAAAGAAAGAGAGAGAGAAGAAGGGGGAGAGAGACAGAAAGAGAAAGAAAAGGAGAGAGATCCAATTATCTCTTTCATCATATGAATTTAATTCACACATGGCAAGGTGCCTATCAAATTATCTCTATTATGTATTTTCTCTGCTTTTTCTAGGTTTGAGGCTACTACCAGAAGAAATGTGAAGACTTTGACTCTAAAAGTAAGTAGTATATTATTTTTATGGGCCACAATGTGTTCATTTCATATCTAGTGATAGGTTTAAAATGACTCTATACAGCAATATCATAAAAATATAATTTTGTTGATTTTTCTTTCATCTTTATTCCTCGTTTGTTGAGTAAATTAAGTTTATTTCTTCTGGTCGTAATTTGTCAGCTTTAATCAATTTTCATCAGATTGGTTTTATGTAAACTCCAAGGGCTTTATAACTCCAAGTTTATACTTCATATATCCAATTACCTAAATTTTAGGTGGTGTTTAGATAATTAGAATTATAATGAAATAATTAAAAAATATGTATTTGGAAGTAAAATGTTCCTCTAAATGGAAGTCTAGGCTATATTTATTATGCCTTAAAATGTCTTGACATCACTGTAAATAATAGTGACTTAGTAATTAACTCCTCTGTGTGGTCCTCAGAGGAAAATAGAAATAAAGAGAAATATGCGATTTCTTTAGTGATTTGTAACCCAATAATTTACTGGAGTTTGGTAAGATTACAAATTAATATTGTGTCTCTATTTATTTGCAGACAGAGATTCTTGTTGAAACCAAGCAATTGTGGGGATGTTTAAATATCATGGCCAAGCTTGATGATATAGGCCAAGTTGGATATTAAATGGAGGAGGCAGGCACTGTAGAGTCTATCTGGTAAAATCAGGTCACCTCGACAATGTACTTCTGCGATTAGAAATTCTTTCTTCTGATTGATAAGTCCTATTTGTTGACTCTCTTCTGCTGGACGTATTTCTGCATGCAAGACTGATAAGAAAAGGATTAGAATTTCAAATATAGGCTTCACCGGATTGCTTTTGTAAACAGTAGAAATATAAGACTTACCATCTCTAGAGTTTCTCAAATGTTTAAAACATTAAACAGTGCTCACTACTTGCTCCCCTAATATAGCAGTATATTTGAATTCATAATTTTTACTTCCAATGGACTTTTAATTTATTGTTTGTTTTGATTTGTTTGTTTGACTGGTTATTTTTAAATACTTGACCATGTAATGGTATTATGTCTTCTTTTTACATTTGTCTTCTCTGGAGATTCTCTCTCTCTCTCTCTCTCTCTCTCGTGTGTATGTGTGTGTGTGTGTGTGTGTGTGTGTGTGTGTGTGTCTCTCCCTATTAACTTTGTAATATGTTAATTATCAATATCAATTAATCGTAAATACTATATATAGATTTTCATGTCATGTATTCATCAGTATTAAAAAGCTATTCAATGAAATTAAATGAGAACATGAATAGACATACATGGCTCATGTAATTTCAGTTTTAATTAATTGCTAGGCTTTTCTTTAATTTCTAAGATTAAATTTTCTTCACTTTAAATACTCTGATTATTTGATTTGTATTTTTTCAAATTTCTACCAATTTGAGTAGCTTCATGAATGGCCAAAAGAAGAAACCTTTAATTGTTTCTCAATCATTTCTTTCAGTTCCATTTTTATAATGTCATATTAATGAAGTATCGTAGCATATCATTCATGTCAGGTGCAGAGTTTCACTAAATTGGCCCAGTAATAAAGTTGGGACTAAATTTTTATTTTGTCCTGTAAATCTGAGAACAAGATTTAGTTTTAAAAAAAACCTGGAATATAATTGTGTTAGATACACATATGAGTGAATTTTACATTGTTTTAGTCCCAGTAAGACAATAGTAATTTATCATTAACTAATATGCACAAAGTATAGATAATTCTTCTTATCATTTATTATAATTGCCAGCTAAACTTTCATTATTCATTACAAGATACACATGAATCTAACCAATGGTAATAATCAGAATATCTCAATTCAGCTCAACTTCTTATCTCTTTTGCTCACTGAATTGCTGAGCAGTAAACTAGCTTTCACTTTTAATTTAAAAATTATGGCAACTTTGAAATTTGATAAACATTTTCAGATGCTGATTCACCAAAATTTAAAACAACAACAACAAAATTGTTTAGAAAAAAATTCCCCTTGACTTTTATTAGACTAGAAAGCTTTCTTGATTTTTCTGACAAAGTTTTATTAAAAAAAAATCAGTAACCTTCAGCAGACATTCACCAGGACTTGACAAAGTTTTGATTGAGGAAAGATTGATTCTCTAAAGTTTGAGTGGTCAGACATGCACTGAATTTGCTGCGGTTCATTGCTATATCCCAGAAAGGATTTCTAGCCATTCTCGCCTAATGAGCTTATTAGTAAAAGGCTGAAAGGATCACAGATTGTCTATCAAGGAAGATTGTCAGTCACAAGCTGTTAGCGACTCTGCTGTGATTTATCCACCATGAGTAAAGAACAGAATGGTGCTAAAATGCCACTTATTATGTCCCACAGCTTGTGCAGTAACACAAATAAAATATGTGGAGCAAAGGTTTAAAAGAAAAAATAAGTTCTGAAGAAGAAAATCAAAGGAAATTAGAGAGAATAGTGCTTCACTACCTCCCATTTCCTTTAGTGGTAATTATAATGCAGAGGAAAAAAATCAAAGCACCTGCAGCAGTAATAGCAAAAGCCAAAATGAGGCTATTAAACTCCAGTTGGAAAAAAAAATACTTTTTTAAAAAATTTTAAACATGTCCGCTTGACTGCTGTTGGCAACAGGTAGAATGAACTTTTCTTCTTGGAGACAGATTTTTTTTTTCAAATAAAACAGCTATTTACAATTTTTCCCTATTTCCCAATTCCTTGTTAATACCTTAACTCAGCTTTCAACCCGAAATTTGGAAAGAAGGAAGCTGTATATCTTGTTGCAGTCAAATAAATATCTCTGAGCCAAATTAATTTGTTGATGAGTACCTCAGGATTGGTGAAAAATTGGCAATGCTAACTTTCAGGTACTTGATAATTATTTTATATCATGATTTTATTCACATTTTGTATAAACTAATGGTCGTATAAACTAACATAAATCCATGTGCATACTTATTTTTCTTGAAAATTTATTAGGGAAAATATGTAAAACTGTATAAAGAGGATGGTGATCGAATTTAATTGCCAATGCTTATTTATTACATGGATATGTAGTTTTAGAAAGTTTTCAGTTTGTTTTGTTGTTTTTAAAAGGATTATAAAACACCTTTTAAATGAAATAACACCTTTATTTGCCTCTGCTCTCTACAGCTACCCCCATGAAATTGGTTGATCTCCCATCCTGGCACAATTTGGTGGGTATGAACTCTTCTATATCTAAGTCATGTTCATCATTCTTGGGACAGAAGGAGTTGAAGTGACTGTCTTGTGATCCATTCACATCTTTTAACAGAGGATCCTCTCTGCGGGAGGAAAAGAATCAGGAAACAAGTCTGACTTCCTGACCAACATGGTAAATGAACCTCCATGAAAATAAACTCGTCGTGTTTCTTAGCGTCCTTATCTATGCAATGTTCTTAATAAGATGTCTCTAGTCAAAAATTGCTTGTATTACTATAAATCCAGAATCTATCAATTTAAGAGCCATCGTTCTCCGGAAAACATCATATAAGCTGGTGTATGAAATGGAAATATTTCCTAGACTAAAGTGTTCTCTGGTATGTGGTGATAACCCATTTACCTCATTCTGAGACCTCATCTACCCTAGGTCAAGGAATAGATGTTTCATGCTGAAAGGAAGGACATAGGAAGCTCTCCTCAATCCTCTGGACTTGCACTTGCTTTTCCTGAAGTATCGACAATTTATACTCTTAGAAATAATAAAGCTTGATCTTATCTCTGCGAGTCATATAAATCTGATTTACTTGACTTTGACTGGACAGATTTTTCTATGTTAAATTATTTCTAAAATGTTGCCTCTATTATGTTAATCATTGATTAAAAAAACAAAAAGAAACACAAACAAACAACACAATTCCATAGTTCCAAACACCTACTGTAATGTTCCTGGAAGACAGTCTTTGCTCCATTATTCTCCTTCATCAATCCTCAAGTCAGGTAAAATTCGTTAAGTCACAGTCAAGAAAAGCATCTCAAATAGTCTCATGTCTGTACTTTTGATGATATTCTACCACCAACCTCCAAGGTATGGCTGTAATCTACTTCTTTCTTGACAATTACAGTTTAAAAGTGCTCCCTGCGCTACTATAGATTCTTACCTAACTCCCTAACCACCAGCATACTTTGCCCACACATTCTCATATCCTAAATATATCAATTTGCTTCATATTTAAAATGCAAAACAAGAAATATTAAAAGAATGAAGCTAAGTTTAGGAAGTTTGGGTAAAAACTCTTACTTATAGATAGAAAGTACTTAAACTTGATTGTATAAAAATTAAAAACTTCTGTTGAAAAAACAAATAAGATCCCAAGAATAAAAAATTAAAAAAAAGTGAGATTTATAATACATAAAAAGTTAACGTTGCCATTCTGTGAAAATCTTTTTCAAATCCATAAGGTAAATAAGAAAGGGATGTAAATGGCCAAAGCACAGGGGGAAATTATCTACATGAGAAATAAATGTGAAAAAAGAATTAATCTTGCCCAGACATTACTACCATTAATTATCGGCTTTCTTCAAAAGATTTGGACAGCCATAGTTTGAATATGCAACTCAACTATATTCTATATTATGAAATGAATATTTCTCAATTCATCATATATGACTCAATCCATATTAGGAAATGCACATTTTCACACACTGTTCCTGGATATGTAAGTAATAAAATCTTTTAAAATTTAACTGGTCAAAATTGTAAACGTACATCTCTTCTATCAATTGATTTTTAAAACACTACTCCTAGGACACATAAACTTCCCAAACATAAGACTTATACATTGCAATGTTTCTTGCAATATTTTTTACAATAATACAAAATTAGAAATGTCTTAAATATAAAGCAAGTAGGCACAATTAAGTGCAAGTATAACTAAATGCATCTTTCAATCACTCCAAAAGCTGGACCCTAATGCAGCTCTTAAATGTATGACACATATGTAAGTATTCATGTGAAAACACACCAGAATACTCTGTTCATATAGAAACCACATATCAGTATGTATAGTATGAACATTTGTATATTTGTGGTATAATTCCAGAAATTGCACACGTACACACACACAGACACAGGACAGGCTTGAATATACACAATCTTGAAAACACAAACTTGAAAACACACATCAGTATTTCCAGTAGCTTTCTGAGACATGTGTATTTACTGGGACTTTTACTAACTATAAATTCTTTTAGTTTCTAATATTTCTAGACAGACAATATGTTCTGTTTTTTGTAACAGAAATAAAATGAATGTCATTGTTACATATTTTTTTGGTCCTTGTTAGTTCAGCAAACTTCTCGTTTCCTCCTCCTGCTATGCTGTGAGATGCATATGATGTCTATGGAAGAGCGGGAATAAAATGGTTAAATTACACCAACCCCACTCACCTCTGCTCTTTCCACTGACAGTGAACGAAACCATAGTAACCCTATAAGAAGGCATCTGTGAAGAAAGCTTTCCTGTAAATACACCCAGTAAGTTAAGAATCTGTGTTACAAATGCAGAGACACAGAATTCTCTGAAATCACTAAAAAGAAACCTGACCAAAAATGAATGAATGAATGAATGAGCCAACAACAAACAAAGTGAAGGGAGCTGACAGTCCTAGTACCTTGCAGTTTGTGACAACTTTATCGTGGGTCAGAGTAATAAAGATTGGATACACCAAGAAAATGAAAAAACAAAAAAAAAACAAAAGAAGAAAGGAGAGAAAAGGAGGGGAAAGAAGAAAGGATATAAGAAAATGAAAGAAGACAAATTGAGCTTAGACTGAAGCCATTATAATTAATTCTATTAGTCTCACTTCACCAAAAGCAGAATGAAAATATCATTGTTTTTTTAGGTAGGTATACCTGCACTGAGTGTGAAAAAACAGTCTCATTTGTATATGTTTTAGTTACATTTGGTTGAACTATTTTCTCTATTACTATTCCTGGCCTCCATAGGGAATAAAATGTGCTGAAAGAGGGAACCACGTTTAGCTAATGGACTTCACTTTTAATACCAGAGACTGACAGTGACCAGCGGCTCTGCAGAAATGATGTTCTTGAAGTTTCTAAAATAGAGAGAGTAGGTTGCATCTTTGTCATCCACCAGAGTCTTGACAGTTAATATACTGTCAAGAGTTTCCTCATAGCTCTCCAAAGAGATGCTATGACCCTTCTCAAAGTTGTTAAGCTACAACTAGTTCCACTGGAAACAAAAAAGCAAGAAGCAATTGCAAAGCAAATAAATAAAAATGAGTGTTCGATGATAAAAATAAAAGTTCATCGAGGCGATTAACAAGATGATTTCACTTGCTGTGGAAATAAATAATAATTAAATCATTCTTTTAAAAAAGATAAATAAACCATACCCTTGTGAATTCTAAAGTGCTGATAATTTCTGGCAGTAAAACAAATACCTGGAATGTGGACTACAGTAGATAGGTCAAACTCTTTGAAGCAATATTTATCTTTTCCCACTTCAAACTGTAAACTTTTCTGGAACATGTGTCATTAGTTGCATTTGGTTTTCTATTAGCTGTAAATATAGTTTATAATTTATTTGACTTATTGCTGTTGATTTTAAAGAACCCTAACATGTTTTACCTTCTTTATAGTTAAAATGCAGAAGTTCAGTAACTTATTAAATTAGATTTCTTGGTTCCCAGCTTCCTTCTTGCATTTATTTCGAGATTTTTTTTTCTTTGTATACTGCATTGGTTTTCTCATCTATTTTTGTACTTAGAAATTAGTTCCAATAGCTATTCTTCTAAAATATACAAATGTTTTATTCATGACTTTTTAAAATACTGCAAACTAAAAATTACAGTTGATTATTTAAAATTTTTCTCACTAACAAATTGCATCACACACACACACACACACGTATCTTGGCACATATTCTTTTCAAATTTCACTGGAAATAAAATTATCAAAATATTTTACCTATTAATAAAATCGCCCAGCATTGATTACTAATTGCTATGGACTGAATTGTGCCCTAACCTAGTCCACTCTGCCAGATTCATATGTTGACATCCTAACCCAAAATGTGTGACTGTATTTGAAGATTAGGGCCTTAAGGAAGATAACAAATATTAAATGAGGTCATAAGGGTGAGTCCCTGATCCTATAGGGCTGGGGTCCTTGTAGGAAGAGGAACTGACTCTAGAGATCTCCCTCTGTCCAGGAGAGTGGAGAGGTAAGACCATATGATGGCACTGTGAGAAGGTGGCCATCCACACCCCTAAGAGAGAGGTCTCACTGGAAAACAAACCTTGAGAAAATAAATGTATGTTTTTGTTTGTTTGTTTGTTTGTTAATACTTTAAGTTCTAGGGTACATGTGCACAACGTGCAGGTTTGTTACATATGTATATATATGCCATGT
This sequence comes from Homo sapiens, assembly GCF_000001405.40. Lineage (NCBI taxonomy): Eukaryota > Metazoa > Chordata > Mammalia > Primates > Hominidae > Homo > Homo sapiens. The sequence goes on from NC_000018.10 coordinate 65,054,894, forward strand.
TGGTGTGCTGCACCCATCAGCTCATCATTTCCATTAGGTGTATCTCCTAATGCTATCCCTCCCCGCTCCATTCACCCCACGACAGGCCCCAGTGTGTGATGTTCCCCACCCTGTGTCCAAGTGTTCTCATTGTTCAGTTCCCACACATGAGTGAGAACATGCGGTATTTGGTTTTCTGTCCTTGTGATAGTTTGCTCAGAAAGATGGTTTCGAGCTTCATCCATGTCCCTACAAAGACATGAACTCATCCTTTTTTATGGCTGCATAGTATTCCATGGTGTATATGTGCCACATTTTCTTAATCCAGTCTATCCTTAATGGACATTTGGGTTAGTTCCAAGTCTTTGCTATTGTGAATAGTGCTTCAATAAACATATGTGTGCATGTGTCTTTATAGCAGCATGATTTAAAATTCTTTGGGTATATACCCAGTAACAGGATGGCTGGGTTAAATGGTATTTCTAGTTTTAGATCCTTGAGGAATTGCCACACTGTCTTCCACAATGGTTGAACTAGCGAGCTTCTGCACAGCAAAATAAACTACCATCAAAGTGAATAGGCAACCTACAGAATGGGAGAAAATTTTTACAATCTACCCATCTGACAAAAGGCTAATATGCAGAATCTACAAAGAAGTTAAACAAATTTACAAGAAAAAAATCAAACAACTCCATCAAAAAGTAGGTGAAGGATATGAACAGACACTTCTCAAAAGAAGACATTTATGCAGCCAACAGACACATGAAAAAATGCTCATCATCACTGGCCATCAGAGAAACGCAAATCAAAACCACAATGAGATACCATTTCACACCAGTTAGAATGGCGATCATTAAAAAGTCAGGAAACAACAGGTGCTGGAGAGGATGTGGAGAAATAGGAACACTTTTACACTGTTGGTGGGACTGTAAATGTATTTTTATTTTTAAGACATTCTCGTCTGTGATATTTCCTTATGGCAGCCCTAGTAGACTATAATGTTTCAAAATTCCCTTCAGTGACTTAATAACATACTTTCTCTTATATACTGGAGTTTTGCTATCTGGAAACTAAAGATAAAGCAGAGTTAGTCTTAAACCATGTGTTTCAAAAATGTGAAGGAAAAAAATGTGATGGTGTAGTATTTACAGGTTCTCTGTGTCTCAATCGATTCCCTTTATGCAGTAAAAGGGAAATGATATGTAGATGGAAGAACTGCATTGAACTTAGTTCAAATGCAGAACTAAGACTGAGTTAGCACTTTATTTTTATAAGTATCATATATGTCATGTGTCACAAAATACAAGATGTATTTTTAATGTTCACAGTTGGAAATTGCGTACAACATACAAAAGATAAATTTGAGAGCAATTTTTTAAATGTTCAGGTCTTAGGTGAAAGAGTCACAGGCCTAATACAACATTTACTATAGTAATTAATTTTAGATCTCTAAAATGAAAGCACAAAAGAGTTATCTTTGTGGCTTGCCAATCTTTCCACAGCTTCTAGAATAGTGCCTACCGTACAAAGAGTGTTCAATAAATATGTATCACATTAATTAATTTAGAAATTTAGTGACTTATGTGATCACACTGATATAAGATAAAAATCAATTTGAAATATTGCATTTTCCCATTTATGTTTTAAAAAATTACATATAAGCATCTTCAACATAATTGTTTTTTAAAAATTACTAAGCCTACATTTTAAGTCATCTTACCAAGTTTTCCATATTGGCTTTACTTGCATTTAAATTGTTTGAGATACGTTTTTGAAGATGGCTATTTTCCTGTTCCTGGAAATATTTTCTCAAATCACTAGTATCCAATTGCACAAAGTCAAGATGAATTAGTTTCTCTCTCCTAAGCATTTTGTAGATGGGGGCATGTGTGATCACAACAGTGATAACTGCATAATGCATTGCATTTTAAGTGACTGTTAACAAGGCTTCTTCACAGTGACATTCAACAGTCGCTATTGTGCAGCCACATCCCAAGAATAAATATTTAAAGTCTTCAAACTGTGTTTGCTGCCTGTTTAATACATTTTACAGTTGACTCTGAACATATCAAAAACTTTATTTTTAAAAAAACAAGCATTGAATAACATTGCTTCATACTAATGTAGATTTTCCAAAATATGCTTATCTTTCAAAATAAAGACTTTGAGAGAAATTGATGATAATATGTACTTTTTAGAATTTGAATATGTATTTCCCACGAGGAATAATTTTGTGGGAAAATCAACTGACATGCATTTATAGTATCTATGTATTGTAAAATATCAATACTTAATTCACATTAAATAATAACTTTTATTGATACTTTAATACATATGTATCAATCTAGTTCTACTAATTTTTATTTTCCTTTTCCCTGAACTTTTTTCTATTTTCTCTCTACAGACTTTTCATTTCTTTTTTACCTGTCTCATATTTTTATCTCCATTCTGCTCAACTTTGTTTTCTACATCTAAGTGCACATTATGTATTTATGTTTCTATTTATGAATAGAAACATACGGGATTTACTGTGCTGATCCTCCAATGTCATAGAACATCAATATCTGATTAATTTTAATAAATAATGAGAATTTTTCTTTAACTGGAAGTTAATCAGAGCGTAGCAAAGACCACTAATTACTCCCAGTACCCATTCTCCTCTTTACCTTTAACAATCAACGGGTTTTCAGTCATAGTTGGTGATATGGCTTCCCAGTGACAAACCACATTCCCCTCTGTCTTATCTAGACGAGTGCAGTTCATATGACTAAGTTTAGACTACGATGTGTGTGGAAGTGATAATTGCAACTTCTGGAACTTCTTTGTGATGTGCCCCTTAATCACAGATTTCCTGTCTCTCCTTTCCACAGTCTAGAATTCGGGTGGAGTGGTGAGGCCGCTTAAATATATGACATTACATTTAATGACAGAGGCAAACCCTAGAGAATGATGAAGCAGAGACGTAGAATAAAGACATGGTCTCTAAATAACCACAGAGAGCAAAGTTGCTCTGCCACCCTACAGTACCCCGACTGCATGTCTTTTGTCTGTGGAGTTAACAGGAAGTATAATTATGTCTCCTTCGGGCACTTATTTCTGCAGCTTGGTTGGTATCATATACTACATACTGAAACCAACAAAGAAATGTATATTTTATTTGAAAAATTCCAGGAAACTGATAGGTGTCATTATGAGCATAGATTTTGAAGTTAGACAATTATTGGTTTCTAGTCTACTTTCGCTTTCACTGTGCATTTGTTCTTGAGTCAATTATTTAACTATTAATAGCTGTGTTTTATCTTCTCTAAAGTGTAGATTAAAAAATACCAGTTGAAGAACTCATGTTTATCTTAACATAGATAAAGGTGGCTACATATAGAAATATTTATAGATATGTGTGTGTATATGTATATGGATTATTATAGACACGTCTACTTATTTACTCTGTCAGCTGATAAGACCTAAAAGAAATGGCATCCCAGCAGCAATGAAAAAATCTAATACCTAGATTTTGATTTTTAATCTCATTCTTCAGTAGAAGGAGTCAGGGCTCTGTGGAGTGACGTCTGATTCTAGGACTTGGGGATAAAGTATGCAAGATGGACCTGCAGCATACTGTAGTGCCAGAAAGTAAGGAAGTGCTAAAAAAAAAAAAAAAAAAAAAAAACTAAACAAGAAAGCTTTCACTTATGGAGGTATGTCAAAGGGGCACAGGCGTTAACTAAAAGATGTCCCGATGTTCAACCTTAGGATAATTTGAACATAATAGATAAAGTGGTATGAGATTATAACATAAATTATGAATTATCCATGAGGGCATACAGATATATGGATACACTTAAATAGAAGACAAAGGACAAATCTCTTAGGCAAAAAAAATTCAAATAATACATTTCATGGATATGCTCTCCTAAAGAAGGGTTAGTGTAACTCCCTTTCCTTAAGTGTGGGCTATGTATAGTGACTTCTTTCCAATGGGTAAAGCATGAAAAAGGATTAAGAAAGATGTCACTTTACAGTAGAAAAACGTGACAGCACTACTTCAGACAATGGACCAAGCTCAATATCAAAAGGCATAAATCATGTTGATAATATGTATCCTTGATATGACGTATTGAAAAGGCAATTTACTTTGATCATCTTTCAAAAGCCTATAATCTTTGTCTAATCATGAGGAAAACACCAAAATAATTTCCACAGAACGGCATCCTACAATATACCTGACTGGTACTCATCAAAACTGTCAAGTCCCTAAAATTATCAGTCAAGAAGAGCTTAAGGAGACGTGACAAATAATGTGGTATCATGAATTTGATACTGTGACAGAAAAAGAAGACATAGGTACAAACTAAAGATATCTAAATAAACTATAAATTTTAGTTCATAGTAATGTATCGATATTGACAAATCAATTATTACCAATGTTCCAGACTAATGAAAGATGTCAGTAATAGAGAAACTATGTGCAAAGAGAGGGGATAGGGTATCATCTGCTCAATTTTTCTCTAAAATCAAAAATTTTTCAAAAAATATATTAATAAAAATACATAACAATATAGATAACGTATGTTTATAAAAATGAATGGACCATAGCTATAAGTAGCAAAGTATGTGAATTCAAGTAGCATATTATTAGGTTTTGGTTTTTATTTTATGTATTTATTTTTTGAGACAAAGTCTCACTCTTGTCACCCAGGCTGGCATCCGATGGCATGATCTCCGCTCGCTACAACCTCCGCCTCCTGGGTTCAGGTGATTCTCCTGCTTCAGCCTCCTGAGTAGCTGGGATTACAGCTGCCTGCCACCACACCCAACTAATTTTTATATTTTTAGTAGAGACGGGGTTTCACCACGTTGGCCAGGCTGGTCTTGAACTCCTGACCTCAGGCGATCGCCCACCTCAGCCTCCCCAAGTGTTGAGATTACAGTCGTAAGCCACCATGCTCAGCTTTTTTTTTTTTTTTTGCATGTTACAACAGGCAATGTAAATGTGATTTCTTTCTTATGAAGCCCTTTTCTTTCAGTTATTACACTGACTATGGACATATCACCAAATACATTAGAAAGGGTTCAAAATAGATTGCTCAAATTTCTCAGATTTTTTACATATTTTAGACAATGAAATATTTAATATCCTAATGTTCTTGTTGAGAATCATGTTAGATCTGTATATATACTTGTGTGACATATCTAATCACAGTAAGGTGACAACAGATTGGGAGTAGATATGATCCTTAAGTAGATTTTATGTAGAAAAAAACAAAAGTGTCAACTTTTAGAGGCTAGTAGAATGAAATGAAGACTCATTTGCCCTGAGTGACATAACTATGTGATAACGGTGTAATTAATCCCTTGTCCAAAATTCCTAGAGCCAGATGTGTTTTGGAATTAACTTTTAGGTTGTAGAAGCTTCTGGATTGTGGAAAGGTGCACATATCAAGAAGTAACTCCAGATGGGTCTGGAGAAGCTCCTTGTAACCAAATATGAAAATATATACATATTGTCATTAATTAGAAATAACTACATGCCAGTTTGGTTTTGCCACCAAATTATTTCAGGTAAGTCAATGTTTTTCCACACAACTAGTAATTTTTTTTTAAGACTTTTGGTTGTCTGAGCTTTTGGAGTTTGGAATTGTGGACACAATTTTTGCTCCTGAAAGAGATTACCAATTGGGGTTCATTAGCATGAACATCTTTGAAGTTAACATAGCGGGAGGCATAGGGAATTCTAACATATAAGTCATGTGAGAAGTGATTTTTCTCATTTAATTTTTGAGAATAAAATGTCACAAAAAGAAGATAAACTCAAAATAGATACATCATGGAAGTTAGCAGAGAAGATTATTTCAGACATGATGGAATGTTTGTTGGTGTCAGGGTCTACCAATTAAGTCAGAAAAGGCTAGTAAGAGCACATAGGATGTATCTGTTAGGTTGTAGCTTGCTCTTCCCAATGATGTTCAGCCTTTATGGTTTAACTCATTGTCTGGTAAAATGTCAACTCCTCTCAACTCCTTTGGTGGCAAACCCAAAAAAGATAGATCCAAAATTTTATTAATTTTAGAAATAAATGAAAGATGATTAGATAAGGAACCCTTTGCACAAACTTTGCTAAGCTATTGATAAATACCAAAAGGCTCATCAACAAATATTGTACAGTTTATCTTGCAAATTCAGGCATTAAAATGAAAACCTATTAATTTATATATTTAAAAAATCCAATATTATGGATAGCTTTTTCCATCATGCCCGAGATTTCCGTCACTACTGCCTCTTCCCTGCCTCCCCGCCAGGATTTCAAAAACCTTTTTCCTCTGTTATGCCATTTGTCTCCCATATCCTTAAACTCCTCTTCTCTCCTGAATGTGCTAATGTGGGAACTATAACATGCTTAATTACGTATTGCTTTAAAGTAAAGCAAGAGTAAGTCTCCTACCTTTCTATTTTTTCTCCCCCTTCACAGTACATTCTTAAACTGACGGTTCACCTTTTTTGATAGCAGATCCTCCCTACTTATTTACTCCTTTCTCTGCCCTTGCAACCCCCTTAGAAAATTCCTCTTGATAACAGACTCTAAAAGGCCTGCGTTGCTATTTCAATCATATTGCTGGGAATCCTGACAAAGCTGACTACACATTCTTTCTTGAAACACAGTCTCTTACTGTGGCATGGATGACAAGTACCTTGGTGGTTTTGATCTAACCAGTTGCCTGTCAATAGAGCATTTTGGCTGTTCTTTCTTTCTTTTTTTTTTTTTTTTTGACGGAGTCTCGCTCTGTTGCCAGGCTGGAGTGCAGTGGCGCCATCTCCGCTCACTGCAACCTCCGCTTCCCGGGTTCAAGCCATTCTCCTGCCTCAGCCTCCCGAGTGGAGTAGCTGGGATTACAGGCGCCCGCCACCACGCCCAGCTAATTTTCCTATTTTTAGTAAAGACGGGGTTTCACCATTTGGCAAGGGTGATCTCGATCTCTTGATCTCGTGATCCGTCCACCTAGGCCTCCCAAAGTGCTGGGATTACAAGAATGAGCCACCATGCCCCGGCTTGGCTGTTCTTTCTCCTCTAACAACCAGGTCTTTGCCAATTGTCTCTCTACACTCTCTGCTTTCAGCTATACCTAAAGAAACAAAGACCATCTATACATTGATTACTCCAAGTCATTACCTTGAAGAAAAACATCTCTTCTGAGCAGCAGAATGTTGTAGCTAATGGTCTCATTCACATCTTTCTTTGATATCTCACTGACCACTCAATTCATAATTTGTAAATCATAATTTCCTCTTAATTATATGCATACACCTGTGTATCTTATGTCTGTGTTATTGCCATGCACCCAGTTTCTGAAATTTGAAACTTCACTTAACCTCATATATTCAATAGATCAATTAATTTAACTTGCAATTGTCTCAAATTATCTACTTCACATTCTTTCTTTGCCCAAATCCTGTTCTATTATATCTGATTCAGAGTGCAAATTTCAGAGACAGACTATTTATCGTCCTCTCCCAGGTCATCCATTTATCTGCTTTCTGATCGTAAGCAATTGTTAGTCTCTCTGAGCTTCTTCTTTTTTTAATTTTATGTTTGTGCATGAAAATAATACCTAAAAATACCTTTCACACACTGCTTGGCACATAAAAATGTAGTGTTCGATGAGTTGGGGCAATTATTATGAACTTATCCAAGCCATTTGGAGACCATTGCTATATCTCTCTTACCAATCTACATTGGTCAATTCTTCAAAAGAAAATATTGGCTTTTCGGCAGGGCGCGGTGGCTCACGCCTGTAATCCCAGCACTTTGGGAGGCCGAGGCGGGTGGATCATGAGGTCAGGAGATCGAGACCATCCTGGTTAACAAGGTGAAACCCCGTCTCTACTAAAAATACAAAAAATTAGCCGGGCGTGGTGGCGGGCGCCTGTAGTCCCAGCTACTAGGGAGGCTGAGGCAGGAGAATGGCGTGAACCCGGGAAGCGGAGCTTGCAGTGAGCCGAGATTGCGCCACTGCAGTCCGCAGTCCGGCCTGGGCGACAGAGCGAGACTCCGTCTCAAAAAAAAAAAAAAAAAGAAAAAAGAAAATATTGGCTTTTCACACCCCGTCTTAAAATATTTCAATCGTTTGCAATCTCTCTTAGCATTAACCACAGAGTCCAGAATGTGGCCTGCACCGTGGGCTTCTGTTCACCACTCCAGCGCATTGCTTCACCCTCCTTCTTTCACTGGCCTCAGGTAATGCCAGATTTCTGGAGTTTCATCAACGTACAAAGTTGTGTCCCATCTCAGGCTGCCCCAAATGTGATTTCCTTTGTTGGAAACAACTTCCCCTTTATTCTCTTAATTTAACTTATAATGTATGTGAAACGTTTAGGTCTCTGTCCCCAAGAAGAATTTAGGTACCTTTTGCTATGAGTTCACATAGTTGTTGTGCTTTTTCCTTATTGTTGTCCAGAAGAGTTATCTGCGTATTAATTTAATGTTGATCACTCTTTCCCGACTAAATTTCTTTGAAGTTAGAGAACACATCTGCCTTTTTTACTGCTATAGTCTGCAATGTAGGTTCTGAAGCATCCTAGTGATTAAACAATTAATATATATCATTTAAACATATAAATAAATGAATAAGTAAGAGTGAGAATAAATAAATGAATAAAGAAATGCCTCACATTAAGAATAAATACATGAATGAAGGAATGTCTGAATGCTAAGTTAGTATCTGCAAAAATGTCCAGTTCTCTGAAACTTTATTTAATCATCATTATAAGTAGTTATTTCTGCTGTCTTCCAATAATATATAAGTAGGAACATTTTTATTTGGAATGTCTTATTTAAATACAATGAGCCAGAAAGATGCTGTAATTAGCTTAGGCTTATAAAACAAGCTCCTTGGTATATATGCTTAATATACACCTGCTTCTAATTAAAAGTCTGAACTTCTTGTTTTTATGACTCAATATAATTATTTCAAATATATTTTCTATAGAAACTAGTTACCAACTATTTTAAGAAAAAAATGAGGAACAGTTGAAGGTTTGCCTTTTTATGTCTCATATTACGTATATCATATTCTAATAATTCTGAAAAGAACTATTTGAATTAGTGCTTTAGTTAGCAGGATTGTAGAAGGGAGAAAAGACCAGCATAATAGAGGTGGAGAGTACAACATTTGTCATTTATGTGGCATATATTTTACTTCCTAACGCAAATGTTAACACTTTACCTCTGTTACTGTTCAAAGTGAGCAAAAAATCCCTAATTTTAATATAATTTTTACTCTGAATTTCTTTAGAGAAAAGATAATCAGTGCTTAATATAAAAATTTTTTGAGAATTCTTCATAGCAGCACCATAGAGAGTTGCTTATCTATCCCTTATAATTAGTGTAAAATATTATATTCTAATTTGGAAAATATGAATATGCATAACTTACTCATTTTTTAACTATTTTATTATAAACCAGATTTTAAAATAAGCAAAGTAAATGTGCATTCTTTATTTGACATGAAGAGATAAAGCACATTATGTAAGTATTGATATATTTGATAAGATAGACATATTTCTGCAATGTTTCTATTTAAAAACATCATTAAAATTCCCTGAATTTCACTATATTTATGAAAATATGTTATATAAGTGTAACAAAGAATGACACATTTTTGTTTCCAGATTTTTTCTCATTAAAATTAGAAAAAAATCATTGCCTTCTATAATTATGAAATATGTATTCTTAAGCAATTTAGCTTTATTGGTATTTTATTATAATAATCAATTAGTAATAGCTATGTTTTACCTTCTCTAAAGTGTAGATTATTTACAACAAGAACATGTAACATGAGATCTACACTTTTAATACATTTTGAGTGTAAAATACAGTGTTGTTAACTGTAGACTCAATGTTATACAGTAGATCTCTAGCTTTTATTCATCTTGCTTAACTGAAATCTTATGCCCATTGACTAGCAGCTTGTCATTTTATCCTCTCTTCAGCTCCTGGCAACACCATTCTATTAATTCTATGAATTTGATTATTTTATATATCTCATAAAAGAAAAATAATGCAGTATTTGATTTTCTGGTACTAGTCTATTTCAGTTAAGCACTATGTCCTTAAGGTTCATTCGTGTTGTCACATATCCCAGAATTTTCTTCTTCTTAAAGGCTGAGTAATATTTTCTTACATGTATATACGGCATTTTATCCATCCATTCATCCTTCCTTGAATATTTAAATTGTTTCCACATCTTGGCTATAATGAATATTGCTGCAATGAATATAAGAATGCTAATATCTCTGAAATCCCAATTTAAATTATTTTTGATAAATACCCAGAAGGGGGATTGCTGAATCATAAGGTAGTTCTGTTTTTAATTTTTTGAGAAACCGTCCTACTGTTTTTCATGCTGGCTGCACCGTATTGCATTTCCACAAACAATGGACAAGGGTTCCAATTTTTTCACATTCTTTCCAGGACTTGAAGTCTTTTTTTTTTTTTTTTTTTTTTTTTTTTTAAATAGTAGCCATACTGACAGATGTGAAGTCGTATCTCATTGTGGTTTTGATTTGCATTTCTCTGATTAGTGACATTGAGAAGATTCAAATTTGTTGGCCATTTGTGTGTCTTTTTTAGAGACACATGTATTCATGTCGTTAGCCCATTAATTTAATCTGGTTATTAGTTTAGTTTTGTTTTTGCTATTGTGTTACAGAATTTTCTGATACATTGTAGAAATTAACCTCTTATCATTTGGGTGGCTTATATATATATTTTCTCCCATTCTACAGGTGGCTTTTATTCTGTTGATTATTTCTTTTCTTTGCAGAGCTTTTTAGTTTGATAAGTTCCCATATCTATTTATTTTTCTTACTTGCTTTTGTTGTCTGTGCTTTTAGTGTCATATTTATAAAATTATTTCCAAGATCGATGTCGTCAAGCTTTTCTTTTACGTTTCCTTCCTGAAATTTTACAGTTTCAGGTCTTAAGTTTAAGGTTTTTTATTCCATTTTGAGTTAAGTTTTGTATATGGTGTAATATAAAAGTCCAGTTTCATGCATTTACATGTTGATAAACAGTTTTTCCAACAATATTTGTTAAATAGATCATCTTCTTCCTATTGTGCATTTGTGTCACACTTGTGGAAGGTCAGTTGACAAAAAAGCAAAACGTACCAAAACTTACTGAAGGCAGCAAAAGTAGCACCAAGATGGAATTTATAGTGACAAGTTCCTACATTAAAAAACAGAAAGATCTCAAATAAATATGCTAACTTTATACCTTAAGAAGCAGAAAAAATAACAAACCGAGAATTAGCAAAAGGAAGGAAATAATAAATAATACAGGTCAGCTAAATTAAATAGAAGGTAGAAAAGAATTTAAAAAATCTATAAAACTGAGTTGATTTAAAAAAAAGATGCAATCAAAGTTGGCAAACCTTCAGCTAGACTAAGAAAAAAGAGAAAACAGAAAAGATTAAATTATGTAAAATCAGACGTGAAACAGGAGACTGATATCATAGAAATAAAAAAGGAACATAAGAGCTGATTATGAACCAATTATGACTAATAACCTGGATAGGCTGGGTGCAATGGCTCATGCCTGTAATTCCAGCACTCTGGGAGGCAAAGGTTGGTGGATCACCTGACGTCAGGAGTTTGAGACCAGCCTGACCAACATGGTGAAACCCCATTTCTACTAACTAATACAAAAATTTGCTTGGCGTGGTGGCATGCACCTGTAATCCCAGCTACTTGGGAGGCTGAGGCTGGAGAATCGCTTGAACCTGGGAGGTGGAGATTGCAGTGAGCCGAGATCATGCCACTGCACTCCAGTCTGGGCGACAGAGCGAGACTCCATCTCAAAAATAAATAAATAAATAAATATAATAATAATAATTTGCCAAAAAACCTGAGATAGTTATTTGCCTATGAATTTACATCTACTATTAATTAAATTTTATAAGAATGGCTTGTGATTTTACCTAATTATAACATGACATCACAAGCAGACTGTGAGTGTGAAACAAACTCAACATTTTTAGTGACATTCAATTATGAAATATTCAATCCAAGACTTTACAATTTTATCTTATTATATATTGAGGAGCCTTAAGTTATTTTTACTAAATGCCTTGTAACAGAAAGATCCACAACGTTCAGAACAATTGTTCTTCCTGCTTTAGTCAAACTTAAAAATAACATGCTGAAATAGTTTGAAACATTAAAACACTTTTTTTGTCAGCAAACAGTATTCACAGACAAATAGAAAGCACTGCTGAAAGTTTGAAGAGTATTAGAAAAATATAAGATATAAGTAATTAGAATGCAGTTGTTTAAAAATTTTTAACACGTCTTTTCTTGTAGAATTTGTTAGTGTTTGGGGTTTTGTTGTTGTTCTTGGGGGTTTTGTTTGGTTGTGTTTTTTTTTTTTTTTTTTTCGCCGTGAATTATAGCAAGAATGACTCCTTGAGAACCACTGTAAGAAATGTGAATCGGAAAAAAAAGTATTAACACAAAATAACTTCTTACATAAACATGTGTCATAGAGAAAAATTGTGAAAATAGAATCTTCTAATGGAAAGGTTACTTTGGGAAGAGCAGGCATTCTAGTCCTGGGTAGACTTACAAAGATAGTATCACTCCTAAAATTCAATTGTGAAGTATTATTTGTAAACTTGGTATTGTGGCAAATATATCAAAGCCGAAACCAATTGTGAATAAATCTCTGAAAGATATGATCAAAGGGATTACATTATTGCATTAGGCTGTTCGTGTGTTACTATAAAGGAATATCTAGATTGGGTAATTTATAAAGGAAAGAGAGTTTAATTGGCTTACCATTCTGCATGCTGTACAGAATGCATGGCATCGGCATCTGCTTCTGGTAAGGGCCTCCAGAAGCTTCTAATCATGGCGCAAGGAAAAGTCAGAGCAGGTGCATCACATGGCAAGAGTGGGAGCAAGAGAGACAGGGGAAGGTCTCAGACTTTCAAATAACCAGATCTCATGTGAACTAACTGAGTAAGAACTTAAACCATTTATAGGGGATCCACTCCCATGATCCAACCACCTCCCAGCAAGGCCCTGCCTCTGACACTGGAAATCATATTTCCACATGAGAATTGGAGGGGACACAACATCAAACCATGTCAATTATGAAAACAAGACTGTAAAATTATTTGGAATATTTTAATATTTTGCATTAAGTGGAAAATAACTGTGAAAATATTTTATGAATAGCCAGAGATGCACTGAGGATTATATTGCAAAGTGTGTCTCTACATAGTTGCACACATCAAAACTATGAAGACACCCTTATCTAAACTTCTGAATATCTGCTAAATGGATATTTTCATAGGTTTGCAAGCCATAAGTTGAAATTATACTTAGTTTAAGATAATGCTATAGATATAATTTTAATCATTATTGCATGCAATAAACTTATTTAATATTTTTAGTATCCTCATTTTTCTTAAATGTCTGCTTATATATACATTTAATGTACATATATATTGATACAACATTACACATAGGAAAGATATTTTATAATTATCAAGGAATGAGAACTGATACTTCATTATCATGATCATTATTATTAGTAGCTTTATTATTATTATTGTTGCTATTGATTAATTGAAAAATTCTCCCTATCTTTGTGATGTTAACAAATTTTAGCTCTTCTTTCTTTCAATTACACTTATCAAAGGATTCAGTAATATAATGAATAAAACATTTATGAATGCAATGAATGCATACGGTTCCATAATTTTATGAAATTATTAATTTCTCATCTTTCTTCTATTTGTGATTCTATCCAGTCTAAGGGGATGTGATAAATCTCCGACTTGCATAAATAAGTTTATTTCAAAATCCCTACTTTCTTCTCTGTAAACATAGTGGAAATTAACTAATACCTTTTACACTTGCTTGATGCATCCTTTTTTTTTTTTTTCATTTAGAACAAATTAATTGGTTTAAAATACATTAGAAGTTCTTAGCATACTGGGACTTGAATACCATTGAGATAGTTTAAAATATTGGGTTGTACATACTTGAATTTTGGAAATATGCTATCAAATTGGAAAATGTTTGGTCAAATAATAGAACTCCATTTATCACGAGAAGATTTGCTTTGTTTTGTGTTTTGCTTTTGCTTTTAGAGACAGGGTAATAATGAATAATTTAATAGCTCTTAAAATGGTATTGAATCCTTGACTTGGCTTAAATAATTCTCATTTCTTAGAGTTGTTTTTGCAGCTCTACTCTTGGCTACATTTCTGTCTAAAACTAAGCTCCAGATATTTAAAAAGTTTTTTGATAAGCCTCATGGTACAAACTAAGTATAATTTCCCCTTTGTTCTTACATGTGTACTATCTCTGACTCCTGAAAGCAATCCTTAAACTAACTGGGAAGTAAAATCTTCCGTGTTCTACCTCTCTGAGGTGGCAACTACTACTGTTGCCAATTCATGGACCATATTATGACAAGACTGATAGATCAAAATGTTTAAACCAAAATAATATGGTAATAATGCCTTATTAGTTTAGTGCATTCTCCAGACTATTTCAGGCTTTTTGTAGAAAGTTTGTTCTTGTGACCTGGTGCCAGGGCAGCCTCTTTCCTAGGTACTTAGGCATCTCAGACAGCCACCAGGTTCCTTTCACTAAACCGTATGTCAATCTCTACCCAGAGACTTTTCCCTCCTGAGAGAAATAAAATTAACTAAGGATACACATGCCCTCAGTCTGATGACAGTAAGAATTAAACTGTCTTCCTCCAGAGAGCACTGATTCTATGGGAAAGCTTTCTTACTCTGTCTATGTATGCTGTCATCTAATTCAATTCAATCCACAGCTTTTCACCTTTTTGCTTTAATGAAGTGTTACCCTTCACCTTTCTCCATTTCCCACACCATAAAAGCTACAGCCTGGATAATTCAAGACCTCTTGACACAAGTGCCTAACTCCAAGAGCTCCTTGATTCAGGCAGAGGACTTCTGCCCTTGGGGTATTCCCTTTTTTATGCTTCAATTGGCTTGAGTGTAACCCTCAGACTACACTAAAAATTAAGAATAATAGAAAAAATTTATATTGCAATAGAGCTAAAATTAAAATATTGATTGCTGTGTAATTTATGTGTGATCACAGATCCATCCTTTTTACTTCATTACAAATAGAAAAGATTTCATTGACTCTATTCCTCAAATACTCTTCATGCTATATTTCTTTTAAATGCAAGAATTAAGGGCTCTGTACTTCTCATCAACATCTTTGGAGGACACTCCTGAGAATAAACAAGAGAGAGAGCTTTAGTTTGTTTATTAATTATCTTTTTCTTAAGAGAGCTGAACCACGTGATATCCATATTGCATAGGCAGTACTTTATTTGTGAACCTTTATGAGATTTTCACTTAATAAACCTTGACATATTTTGCAGTTGGTGATATTAATAGCCACACGGGAGCTACTTCAGAGGGTCATGTTTGATAGAACAGTGACTCCCACTAAAGGTTTGGTGACACCCTTGGGTGTCTCTAATTATCACACAGGCTCTTGTAAAATTCTACAATGACTCTCAGAAGAAAATTAATTTTAATTAGCCTCAATTTTGAAAAATACATCTCATACAACATTTTTCATGGCCAAAGTGCCACCTAATCAAACAGAATGCTACAATGCTAAAACCATATCTCTGAGATGCAATTCGACTTTGTTAATGCGGTTTGGGCACCTACTCTGTGCAAGATCCTGGACCAGGCCCAGTAAGTATTCAAGGATGCCTCAGAAATAGTCACTGCTACTGACAACTTAAGCTCTTATGGGACACATAAGCTATAAATAACTAAATAAACCATAAGAAAACTAATTTGCAAAATATGAGTTTTTCCATGGCAGTGCTGAGGAAGGAACAATTAATTCTGATCAAGTGAATCAAATAAGGCCTTAAGAGGGAAGTCAAATAGCATCAAGATTTGAAAAGTAAATGAGATGTCAGTGCGGATAGGGACTGTGGGAAGGGTGTCTGTTACCACCACATGAATAAATACAGTGGTCTACCCAGAGAGGTAAACAAAGCTGAGGTGAAAATTTGTGTGAATATAATTATTTTGAACTATTTTTTTAAATGTTTGTGTCCTTTACAGCTAATATGAACCATGCTTAAGATAACTTGCAATCAAATACATTTCTTCCTTCCATCAAATAGTTTTAGCCAATATTCATCTTGATGAGCAATGTTCTGGCATGTATACATGAATTCTTTGGAACATATTAATTAGTTGAGAGTTCTATTACATTAATGTCAATACATTTACTAGTATTAGTTAATTCTTTTTTTATTTCAATAGTTTCTGGGAAACACGTGGGTTTTGGTTACATGCATAAGTTCTCTTTAGTCGTGATTTCTGAGATTTTGGTGCATCCATCACCTGAGCAGTGCACACTGTACCCAATGTGTAGTCTTTTATCCCTCACCACCTCCCACCTTTCCCCAAGTCCCCAAAGTCTATTATATATTCTCATGCCTTTGTGTCCTCATAGCTTAGCTCTCACTTATAAGTGAGAACATGCAATATTTGGTTTTCCATTCCTGAGTTACTTCTCTTAGAATAATGCTATCCAACTCCATCCAGGTTGCTGCAAATGCCATTATCTGATTCCTCTTTATGGCTGAGTAGTATTCTATGGTGTGTATATACAACATTTTCTTTATTCACTAGTTAGTTGATGGGCATTTAGGCTGGTTCTATATTTTTGCAATTGCAAATTTTGCTGTTATAAACATGGGTGTGCAAGTGTCTTTTTTATATAATGACTTCTTTTCTTTTGGGTTGATACCCAGTAGTGGGATTGCTGGATCAAATGGTGCTTCTACTTTTAGTTATTTAAGGAATCTTCATAGTGTTTTCCATAGTGTAGTTAATTCCTAAAATTGTGTCCTGAGTATCTGCCATATACAATGCATCATACCAGCAGCTATTTATTTTAAATGAAAATATATATTCATCTGACATCTCTATCGGTCATCTTTCCTTTTTTTCTTCTATACTCTCACACACCTCTAAATATAGAGTGCTTTGTCTGCCAAATATTATGCTTGCCTATGCATTCCCTTTTTCATACAAAGTATCTTATTTGGCTGAGAAACAGGCCAAGATACTTTGCAGAAGGAATGAATATTAGTAATTTATATAGAGAATTTTTTGATTCATATCATGCATTGTTTTATATTAACTATTATAAAAAATAGACATATTTCTCCCCACAGGGGTTTGTACTCTTGCAGGACTGTTTACGTATACAGATGTTGTAGATGCCTTGAAATCATGGATATGTACTCCAATCCATTCTATTGTTTGCCCAAGGTCATTAAGTCAGAGACAATATGCATGACAATGACCTTTACACAGCCGAAGGACTGTTATATAGAGTCAGTTATATGTTGATTAGATAGCAATTAAATGGAGAGAAATTTTAGCTCAATTGATAAATTACCAATAGTTAGAGTTTTAAATGGATAGAAAGTGGTATCTTATGAAATAATATCTGCTAGTATAATTCACAGAGAGCATAAATAGTCACCATCAGAGGTGTTGGAGCAACAATTTCTCCAGTTTTCTCATTGGGGAATTAGCCTTAATTACCTGAATACAAAATTCAACTATAGTAGCTCATAGCTGTATGCTATATATAGTTATATAAGCAGTCTCACACTTGTTTTCATTACTTGCCTATATCATTGAAATTGCCATCCCATTTGGCTGGTTTATACATTATTTATACTATTCCTCTCTTAGTCAGCTTGTGGTGTGGTTAACACACAACCCAGTTTCTAACTTAATCCCAGAATGGGATCTGTCCCTGAAACTCCCTCCTTCATTGACTTCCCTGTGGCTTCAGCCTTGGTCTCATCAAGCCAGTCTTCATGCCTAAACCACCAATGGTTAGTATGCTATGGCCTGAGGGCCAAATCCAGCCTGCTCCCTGTTTATGTAAATAATGCTGTATTGGAGCGCAGCCATTTCCATTCACTTATGTATTGTCTATGCCACAGCTGACTAGTTACAACCATATGCCCCAGAATGTAAATATTTACTGTGTAGCAATTTACAGAAAATGTTTACTGTCTCCTGCTTTAAACCACATTTCAGTGCTCCCTCCAGAAGTTCTTTTGGAATTCTCACTTCAGAATGACATCCATTGCTAATGCTTCAATATACCCAAGAGACATTTGTAGCTGCTGTTGTTGTTATATATGAAATGTAGATAAATGTGACTTATTTCCATAACTCATCACTGTATGTGTTAACAAAACACTGGCGGTTCAGTCTAGATCCTGCTGCTAACCACACAGAAAGCCAATCAAGGAAAAAGGCTTTAATCGGGTGCTGCAGTGAAGAGATGAGAGATCAGTTTAAAATCCATCTCCCTGACTAAAACTAGGGGTTTATATAGCAGGGAGCAGTGTAACGATGTGTAAGAAAACAGGAACTAGGATGGGCAATGAAGCAATCATGATGAGTGAGGTGCCTGGCATCTCATTGTTGGGATGTGGTGATCTGCTGAGTTTCAGTTATTTGATACTTTTTTGAGAGGTCTCAAAGTCCTTTCCTGAGGAAGGAACTCACATAGAACACATTGAAGTTTCATGCTTGAAGACTTGAAGGGACAATTTCTATGTTTATGAAAACACTACTTATGGGACTATTGGATCACTTTCATACGTATTCTTCCTCTATTTCCTTCCAATCCACATCACAGAACAAGCAATAACATGACAAAGCAAATGAACATGAATATATTTGGATTCCATTTTACATGGAGATATGCTTCTCTTAGCCCAAGTGGTACCGCCCAGTGCATTTCTAACAGAATTATACTCACTGTGGTCAGCCAAGTGCTGTAGTGTTATTTGAACAGTATAATAAAAGAGGGAAAATTTCCCATATTATACTCTTAAGTATAAAGCGGTATATTTCTGTAATAAATCTAATTTTAGAACCTAAAAAAATCCTCAGAAATATTTTAATGAGTATGTAACTTAGATCAGATTTTTTTAAATACATGTGTTTCAATGTCCTAATGTAAGTAATTTATCTTGTAAGTACATTGTGAGTACTTGCTGAGACAAAAATATAAATCATATTTCAAAATTTGGCAAAATATCTGTGTCAGGCATTGTTCTTGAAGTTTATACATTTTGTATGTAGAACATTCTGTTCTGTCATAGCCACCCAACTCTGCCACAGAGCAGACATTAATGAATTAGCATGATTGTGTTCCAATAAAACTTTATTTACAAAGACAGTCATAAGATTTGGTCCTCAGTACATAAGAATTTACATATTCTGTCTCATTACATCCTCATGATGATCTTATGAAATAAGCTCTTTAGATGAGAAAACGGAAACACACATTTGTGAGGGTAAAAAAACTTACCTAATGTCACGCAGCTTATAAATAGTGTAGTTAGTATGCAAAATGAGTCATAAGTGGATTTCCCAAGAATCCAGGTCTGTATAAAGCCTGTAGTTCTGTAGAATCAGGTTTCCTGAAATGCTACAAACTGGGTAGTAGCAATTTTCTCCTTGAAAGATCTTCCTTAGAAGTCTATCTAGGGAAGAATTTCCTCCTGTTCCAGTATTTATTTTTGTACTTCTATGTGGCTGGTGGAACTGTGATATTCCATTCTGAGCACCTGCTGCTAATCTAATTTTTTTAATTCCCAAGGTTATCCAATGTGATATTTTGTTTTTCTGTAATACGTCATTTTGTCTCACATACAGAAAACTCTGTGGTAGACTTAAAGGGAATATGACAACATTTTCTAGTATTAAAAATTTTCTTACAAAATCTAATTTGATATTGAAAGCAAGAGTGGATTACTTCTAAGTCTCAGGGGTTGTAAATTGGAGATCACACATTTTGACTAAAACAATTAAATCAGGTTAACATGCTTTATATGTCTTCATAGCAATTCATGTTAGAATTGAATGTTGTCTCAATGTTTCCCTTTGTGAAAAAAATATATATATATTCATGTTTACTTTGTACATATTTTTCATGGGTCTATCTTGTCTGCACATCTCTATATATTGTATAAATTCTAGGCTTTCTTTTTATTCATCTTGTTGTTTAGCCTTTAGGTATGATGCAGACCTTGCTTTAACAATGTTTCCTACATAGACACCCTAAAACTCCCCTTTCATGCTTCTGGATTGTGTTCTCAAACACCTGTTACTTTTGTTTTTATCTAGTACTCTCTGTTCAAATTGTGTTTTGTGGTTAAATAGGCTTTTAATGGATATGTCCTGGGACCTCTAACACCGTATATATTAGTGGTCATAATAAAAAATATGATGTTGTGCTTCAAATTATTGATTTCAGTATAGCTACTATGACAATATCCACTCACAAGATGAAAAAATGTTTTAGGTAAACATACAAAAACATTTCTTCAGAGTTCTGCACAATCTTAAAGAGTTATAGTTTGAAGCAACATGTTGGACTTTCTTTTCTTTTTATTTCCTACTATCTCCCTTAGTGATTTTGTGTCTTCTATCTATAGGTCAAATATAATTTATATCCCAATTCCTTTCAAATTTATATTTGTTGTCCAGCACACACTTCTTGATGTTCCTCAAAGGCACTAAAAAACCAACAGGTTCAAGCATAATTCAGTATCTTATCCCATTTCCCATTCAATTTATGCCAGTCTTCACAACTGGTATTTCTCTCTCTCTCTCTCTCTCTGTTTTTTTTTTAATCTAGGCAAAGGGAATTATCACCCCTCAGCCATAGATGTCAGAGTCATGTCCGTGATTGCTGACTAACTCTCAACCTCAAACTCAATCAATCACTTAAAAAATTATTGATTTATACCTGCTGAATATCAGTTGAATAAAATACTTCTCTCAGTTCTCTTTGTCATTCATTACTCATTACTCTAGTTCAACCTATCTTCATATCTGGTTTAGGTTATGGCAAAGCTATAACTATATATTCAGTCTCCCAAATTCCCCTCTTGCCTTCTTTAAAACAGTTTCCATACTCTTCTCCATTAAAAACATTAAATTTGATAATAACCCTTTCCAGTTTATATTATTCAAGTCTTTCTGTTATTCTTATAATAAAGATTAGTTTCTGAGCACAGCCTTTAAGACATGGCAAAAATATTTTTAATAACTTCCATTTACTTGATGAAAATGTTTTTATAATAGAAAATTACTATAGAAATATGCCCACAAAATTATTCTGAAAGATTTCAAATGCTTCTATTTTATCAAAGTAGCTTTGGCATCTATAATTTTTTTAAAAGAAAAAATTTCAAAAGGTAGCATTGTGTGGGCAGGGGTTATTAAGTTTATAAAAGCTGCATTTTAAGTATAATGATAACTCACATACGTAGTTTATTCACATGTATCTGTTTTGAAAGGTAGACTTTTCTAAGCAGAATCCCTCAATAAGAATATTAATATCTGTTTACACTTTGAGATATTACCATACTACTCTCTGGTGTTGTTTTAACAATTATATCATACACTAGAAATCTATGAAAGTAGTATTTTCCCTGAATCTTTGTAAACATTGGCAGTCAGTATTTTATTTTAAGGAAAGTGTTAGGCATTAAATAAATTCACATTGCTGTTTAATTTACAAATGAATTTACAATATTTTAATGGCCATTACAATTTCTATTCTTTGTTATATGCAGGTAAGTTTTTCTGTTTTCTTATTTTTATTTTGATATGTTAATCTGTTTCTAAATTATTTGTAAGAGCACTTTATAGAATAGGATTATCAACACATTATTTTAAAATTCAGTGTTTCAGTATACTGATTTGTTATAAGTATTTCCTTCTAGTTAAGCATGTGCTACTAGATTTGCTTATGGTATTTTTGATAAAAATTAATGATAATATTTTTATCATTTTATTTTATACTTAATTCCTCTAGAGTTTCCTGTGATGGAAATAAATTAATGTATCTAATATTTATTCAAAAAAGTGATGAACTATCATAGCATATTGAGAAGTGTTTGCAATTTTTTCATACACATACACAGTGATGACTAGAAAGAACCTGTTTTAATCACATGGGCTATATAATTTACATTGGAGATTTTAATGTCACTACAAGGAAGTGACATTCCATCTCAGACCTAATGGAAAAATGAGAGTTTGAAAAGGCTTAATGGAAGGGTAGGGAGAAAAACATTTCAGACAAAAGATATTGAATCTCTGACAATTATATAGGAGGAAATTTTGGTAATATAGTAAAAACTGAAATAAAATTAATATGTCTTCAGTGGAGAAAGCAATGTGTGGGGGATGAGGGTATCATACAAGATGTCATCATCAAAGATTATGGACAACATTATGGAAGCCATGGTAAGCCATGAGGAGGAATTTATATCTTATTAAGTCCAAAAGAAACCATTACAAAGTTGTAAGCAGCAAAGTATATTTTGTGATTTATATTTGGAAAAGATCACTCAGTTGCTATATGATAACGATACAGGAGAAAGGCAGGCAGTGAGATTAGGTAGAAGCTTACAGCAGAACAAGAGAGATATTTACCATGTGTCTTGCAAGTAAATAGAGAGATAGAAATGCAGGAGAAAGGATCATTAAGTCCTCATGATGAATTTGCTTGAAGTATTAAGGAAGTGGTAAAGGTATTGACAGTTTTTAAAACCTAGACTAACAGATAAACCAGTGAAAAAATTTTCACTGAAATTAATGAGACCAATAAAAAAAATTTAGAATTCAACTTTGAATTTGGAACATGAGATATATAAGAACACATATTAAGTAGAGATTTGCATGTAGGAGTCATAAGCTTAGAATAAAATGAGATATAACACACAGATAGGCAAAGACACTTATGAACTAATTTTTAATTTTTTTTTATTTTTATTGGTTTACAGCTGGTACATAAGAAAGCTGTTTGTGTGTGTGTGTGTGTGTGTGTGGGTGTGTGTGTGTAATCATGTTGAACCTGACATTGTAATGAACTTTCATATTAGTTAACATAGGTTGTTACATAAACATCATCACAAATTCTTTGTATTAGTTTCTTCATCTATTACATTTATTTATTTAAGTCTCTTTATATTAGAATAAAATCTTTTCAGAAAAAAAGTTACAAAAAACTGTGATAGAGAATATCCATTTTTGCTCCAGACTTCTACAGGAATATCTTTTATTTTTGATATCTAATACAGATTGGCCTCACTGACACAATCAAAATTACCTGTTATTTTCACTTTTTTAAAGCTCTAGAAATAATACAGAATACTGCTAGTGAGATTTCTGATGCTGCTGTTGTGGAATGTTAACTATAATGCCAGTATCCTTCTGAAAAATTGAGAAATATATTTTTATACTAACCTAGTCTTTTTATTCTCTCTTCAGCATCCCAATCCTCTTCCACTCTTTACCAGAGATTGTCAGCTTACTCTAACAGAGTGTGATGACTCTGGGTGAACAATTAAAGGTGAAATCAAGAAATGCTGCCTTGAGATCATTCTGCTTTCCCTCTGCCCAACATAAACTTACTTGATACTTAGGACTTTCTCTGGAGCTTTATGCTGACCTTGGATCACCACATGCAATTAGGTCAGTGTATTAAAAATAAGATCTGCCTTTTCAGATTTAAAATCAGGCCAGCACTTTGGTGCCTATGCTTCTATTTCTTGTTGCAGAGGATAATGATACTGAAGAATTTGATATCCTTTCCGATGAAACGCAGCTCTCTTCTACCCATATTCATTGTTCTGCTGAAGGAGAAGCCTCTGTTTCATGAGTGAAAGTGTCGGGGAGTCACTCATAGTCTCTAGCGCCAGACCAAAAGGTCAAAATGAGGTTTGACCTTGGACAAGTTACTTCCTCTCTGTGTGCCTCAGTTTATTTTTGCTAAATGGGATGACGGGACACATGTCATAGGGTTGTTATAAAGATGAAATGAGCCAACCCACTTAAGCACTCTTACAGTGTCTAGCATTGTTTAACCCAAACTGTTATTATTCTTGTCATAGTTGTTATCCCTGCCTTGACACTTAAAGAGTTGTGTGACTTTGGATCCCCTGAGCTTTCATTGCTTTATTTCTATAATAAGAATGAAACCCTACTTTTCAATAATTACTTGGAATAATAAAATCTATATTGAATGTGTACTTCTCTGGCTGAACTAAAGAACAAATAATCATGTGTGAATAAACAGGACAAAAACACTTTAATTTGGCCTCTTCAAAAGTGAGCGGAGAGACTTGGATACTCCCAGAGCAATCCCCGTTAGGTTTATTCTACCACTGGAAAGAATAGATACTTCTCTCATTGTATAAAAAATGTGTTTCATTTGTGTTTATAACAATCTCAACATTGGTTCAGCAGATCAAAGATTGAGCAGGTTTTGTTTTAACATTTTTCTATGTGGCTAAGCTGGGAGATAGAAATGTGTCCATTTCATCTGGCATTTAAAAATGGGAACAATGGGAACTTGATATAAAATGACTGTTAACTTGAAAACTAAAACTGTCACTATTGTTTTAAAATTATTTCAAAGATTTCTATGAAAAATGTCCAATTATTATTTCCTAAATTTTTTTGTTTATAATAAAAAGACAAATGCATTTTTATAATTACTTGGAGAAAATTATGAACTCTGTCAGTTATTGCCTCTGTGATTCTCTATCATGATAAAATTTAACATTTACTGCAAGCTCTCTGGTAAAGTGGTATCTTTCAATTCCGAATCTTTCATACTAGTTAAATTTCAAGATTCACACACATATCTATGTGTATATATATATATGTTCATTTATACAAACATGTTTATTTCTACCAGATTTCTTTTTTCTTTTAATTTTTTGCTGACAAAAGAAATGAACACTTATAGTAATGCATTTACCTTTACCTTTTAAAACTAAAAGTTAAAAAATAACAATAATTAAGCAGTCTAGTTATTTATTAAAAGTACATTGTCTCACTTCTGTTCCAAGCATATTGGCTTTTTCTTAATCAGTCTCAGCAATCTCCTTTATGTCTTAGAGGTGGTATTTTTTTTTTCAAATATTTTTTATCATCAGTCCACACTATTTTGAGCCCTATTTGCCTCTTCCCTGTACAACTCTTATTCATCCTTCATTAGCAAAGATTTCATGGCCCTCTTTTGGGAGAAGTTCCTCTGTGGCCTAACACACAGGACAGTTTTCTTCTCAGACCTTGCCACATGAATAGTTAAATTACTATTATTTGGGCTTTGTTGTTGTTGTTTAAAGCAAAGAATACATATTTTTAACTGACTGCATTATTCATTAAGAAAGTCCTTAACTTTCTTGGCTGAAACCAAGTACTCACTTCTGCTCACATTCCATGTGTAGGATCTATGTACACAGACCCACTCAAACGCAAGGTAGCTATGCTAGGCGGTATAACCACTCTTTGGACAACTACATCCCACTCACTGTTCTTTTATTTTTATTTTTATTTTATTTTATTTTATTTTTTTGAGATGGAGTTTCACTCTTGTTGCCAGGCTGGAGTACAATGGCGCAATCTCAGCTCATGGCAACCTCCGCCTCCCGGGTTCAAGCGATTCTCCTGCCTCAGCCTCCCAAGTAGCTGGAATTACAGGCATGCACCACCACGCCTGGCTAATTTTGTGTTTTTAGTACAGACTGGGTTTCTCCATGTTGGTCAGACTGGTCTTGAACTCCCGATCTCAGGTGATCCACCCGCCTCAGCCTCCCAAACTGTTGGGATTACAGGGGTGAGCCACTGTGCCCGGCTCCCCTCACTGTTCTCTAATGGAAATAGCAGCGAATTTTTGAAAAACAAGAATATTAGACAACATTTTACTAATGACCAAGATTAATAAAACCTACAATAAGTTGTATGTGATAGATCGACTGCAAATAGTAATAATAATAATAATAATATAATAACGTCAACACCTAAAATTCATATCTTAAATCTGTATTAGGCCTTTGCTATTCAAAGAGATTTGCATTCATCACCACATTTTGTCTTCTTTAAACTAAAGAAGATGAACTCCAGAAATATTAATAACTAAGCCTAGAACATTCAGCTTCTAAGGAACCAGATACTTGAGCAATGAGCTTCTAGATTCAATTGTTATTACATTAATAGTGACTTCTTCTACAGTAATTCAATTAATATTTTTCTAAAATTATCACGTCATACTTTTATACCTTCAGCATTGCAAGGCAAGTGCTCTTCTCTTCAACAGCATGGATAACACCAGAGGGATAAGGATCTGAGCATATTTCCCCATTGAGGCAACAGCTGAGGGAATGAGTCCTGTCTTCAAAGTTTGAAGCAAACTCAGCTCAGTAATTTTTATTTTAAAAATGCATAAATTATTAGTAGTCACATTTGTGCACTGGGAAACTAAGATTCAGAAAATTTAAGAACTTATTACAAGATCATTAAATGAGCAAGTAGGAATTCAAACTCAGGATTTTCTGATTATAAATTCGACAGACTTCCCATTATACCAGAAGTGAGAAATTTATTATCTTTGGGTAGAACAAAAAAGAGAGATTTTTAAAAAAATGTCTACCACTTTAATTTTCATTTAAGAAAGGCATTTGACCATGAAAATCCCTTAGATTACCTGTTTAGCTCAGACTGAATGACCCGGAAAAGCAAAAACAGCTAAACTCAGCAAAAATTCACATCTTCATGACTGCATTCTTCGTAAGTATTGGAAAAGTGGAATACCTGTGGTTTCATGAAAGATTTTAGAGGAATAAGACATCAAAGGGTTTTTCACTTTCATTTAAAGACTGCAATGGCTAATTATTCATGTTCAGGAGACAGTATGCAGAAAGCTGCTGGTATAATAAACTTGGTGATTATAAAATTAAATTAGCTTACGCTTCAAGTGAAAATATTTATAATGTATAACGAGTAAGCACGGGAGATACTGCTGCCAGAAGTTAGAAGAGTAATATTAACTCTTCTTTTAAGAACTATCAGGAAAAAGAAATTATGTAGGCATTGAGTTTGTAGATTCCCTAGACAAGTAAATCTGCACAGGTTTCTAAAGTTAATTTGTACTAGCTACTTAATTAGAGCCTCTAGGCTTGTTCTGTGAGAGACAGGGACATTTCTAGTGAGTGTTGTTGCACATCCTCAATGATTAAAGAGATTTTTGACCCCGAATGCTCACATCTGGCAAACATACATCAAAGGTTAGAAACTCATAATCTACTTTATTTCATAGTAGAGAACTGAAATTTATCAGTATGAATTGAGAATGACAGAAATTCAGCTGGACAAAACAATTTCCATGACTAAGTAGGACCCAAGGAAGAAAAGGCACTTCTCCAGTATTTTTTATTGTTGAGATACAATTTTATCTTAAACCATGTTAATGTCTGCCTAGAAATCAAAAGAAGAGAATTCCAATTTACCCAACCTCTGTTACTTCGTTTGAAATGAAAACACTCGTCGTGAGTTAGGTAGGTAGCTAGAAATTGTGGCAAAGGCAACACGGAAGGCATAAACTCTAACTGATTTAAAAGACTGAGAGAGTCCTGTATCAGCCACTGCAGCTACTGGCACCTGCCCAAAACATGAAATTGAGCAGCAAATTATATTTTTCACAGTCTAAAGTGTAGTTTTATTTCCATCCCTACTGACCTATTTTAATGACTTCAAAATCATACGTTACAGGGACTGAAAGAGATGACTGTGATGGTACTTTGTCTTATGTGTTTCAAATGAGTAGGATTAAATTTTGAAGTATTCATTTCACAGGAGAAGCTCAAGATAATAGTATGGTTTATCTGGTGCAAGCAACAGAAAACAACATCATTTAATAGAAAAAAATCATTGAAATTATATGAAGAAGTCGAAAGTCAAAGGGAATTTATAACTAATGTGATAGATTGTAAGAAGGCCAACTCTGAGATGACTCAGGTCCAAATGTTTTTATCCCCTACTTAGAGACAAAGTCCAGGTAGAAAATGAGATGGGACTTGTATGTGTGTCACAAGCCAACTCTTAGAGTAGGAAAACAAAGAGCATCTTACTAATTTTCAGGTATGACATTAAAGATTCTTATGAGTATTTCCTGAAATAATACTGCATGTGTTAATAAAAATGAAGAAATTATGATTTCTAGGTAATATTGCGTGTGTCTGTTACACTCAGGATGACAGAGTGATTTGTGTATTCGTTTTCTATTGCTCTGTAACACGTGGCCACAAACCTAGCAGCTGGAAACAGCATGTGTTTATTATCTCAAAATTCTGAGGTCAGATATCTGTGCTCAGTTGGGTTTTCCACTTAGAGTCTCTCAAGGCCAATAGCGTTTTGGATACTCTTCCCTCTCTCTTTTACCTTTTCAAATTATATTAATATCTCAGGATCCTTTTAAGTACCATCATGAAGTTTTCGGGGCTTCTTGAGTTCTCTCTGGTCTCCTCTAAGAAAATGCAGTACTCATAGTTTGTATTATGTAAAATTAGATATTGATGGTAGTATTATTTTTGTGTTCTAAATTTTTGGCACTTTTTTTTTTTTACAAAGACTGCAAGCTATTACAGAGTGTCTATTTCACACACATGTTATATCACCCAGGGTATCAACCAAAGTTTTAAATATATGGCAGATAGTGGTTATTGATTTTTTTTCCCATTTATGGACACTCTCCAATAAGATATAATGTCAAAATAAAATTATTTCAAACCTGAATACTTTCTTTTAAACCTGAAATACCACCCTTATTTTATATTCAAGTAAACACTTCCTTTTGGAAACTCTTTTTCATTTAAGAGACTGCAAAACCATTTACTCTCCTCTCTCTTTTATGTCCGTCTCTGTTCTTTGTCCATACAAATATTTCCATTTGGTAACAAAGCAAAATCTGTAATTGGAAGATAAACAACTGTAGGCACATGAAATAGAGTTGATTATCCAAGACAAAACAAAACTGTAGAAAAGTCAGTGTCACATAGAAAAACGTCATATGGACTCCTCATAACCAGCTTTCTGTGCCCTGGGTAGATATGTTTTGGAACCAGGTGGTTGGCTTAATAAGAGCTCTGGCACTAAACAAAAGGTTTTCAACCTTCAGGGCTCATCATTTGAACATATTCTTCAGGTGCCAGATTGGGCTGCCCTAGAGTTGATGGGGATTTGATGAAACTATATAAATGTGCAGCTTAGAGGGACAGAGGGTCAGGATCCGGGAAGCAGGCAGAGACACTGAGAGAGGGAACTGATGAGAAATAACCTTAGAATGTACTGCAGTCTGACAAAATGCTGTGGAACTAGAGCCAGCCTATTAAGAAGCAAGGATTGGCCCCTCAAGCTGAGACATCTGGCCATTTCACCTTGGCCACTGATGGTGAAACAAAGGCAGTTCATCCTGGATTCAGGGAAAATTGGGATGGCTTTTCAATTGTCTCTGACATTTCCATTTTAGGACAATTTCAATGTGTTCTTATATTTCATATCAATTTTAGAAATCAATCATGTTTTCTTTTTATTATAGGCAATTTTTTATTGAGGTTATATATTATAGGGGCATTTCTTCTCAGATATAAAGGTCATCTATATAGAGAAAATAGCATTAAGTGTCCTTCACGTCAGATTTGGAATTGTGGCTAAAATGGTCATATCTAAAAGCGTTTTCTAGTAAAATAATTGGAACTTCCCCCACCTAAGAACCATTTTCATTCAGATAGAAAGTGCAAAGAATAAGTCTTGGGAGAGTCTTATTCTTGTACTTATCGTGAGGATTTCAAGCCTGGTTAGTTTGTGTTCCCTGAGGGACAACTTAGGCTTGTAGCATCTTGTATTTTAAAGTGTTGAGAAGCATGCTTCCATGTTACTCCCTCAATGAGGACCTCAACCTTGGACGGTGAGGAAAATATAGCTTGTATTTAGGGATTTCATGTAATTGTGAATTTAATTATCATATTTATGAAGGGAAAAAAGTATAAATAATTTTGAATGTTTGTGTTTAACATATATTATTTTCAGTATATTAATTAGATTCAGCCTTGCACCAGTCAATTAAAAAAGCAAAAACAAACAACAACAACTTTCTTTTTCCTAATTTGGGTCGAATTATTATTTTATAATCAATATGAATTTGTTAATTTAATAAGGATAAAACATACTTTAAGCAAATCTAAGAAAAGAAAAAGTCAATGGAATATAATTTTTAGCTTCTGGTATGACAGCTGTGAAGGTGGATCAACTAGTCTGAGGAAAGCCACACTCTCATGGAAAGGAAAATTAGGAGCAGGCATTCTAAATGATTTGAGTCCAGTGGATCGGTAAGGAGAGTTTCATTGGTGGAATTTTCATCCTTTCTACAATATACTATGAGGCCCAACCTCATTTTCTCTTTTTGTTTCCAGGCATAGGAGTCAATGACTAGTCAGAGATATGAGCTGTTATTTGTGTCTTGAGACACATTATTTCTGGGAGGTAAATGTTAACCTTAAGTAGAGGCAGGAGAATATGGGAGGGGATAATTGGTAATCTTTCCTTCATACAATACACAAATCAATAGGTCCACTTCCTTAGGAAAGAGTGTAAGCTTTTTGTATGTGCTTGTGGAATGAGGCATATTTTTGATCAATGATTCTAGTCTCTCCTAATCCCTATGGAATCATTTTGATCAATTATTCTAGTCTCTCTTAATCTCTATAGCTAAGAAGTCATTTTGCAGTCACATCCTTGCTTCCTCTAGCCCAATAGATGGCCTGGGTTTTCCTCAGCCAAGCAGATGATATATTAATAAATCATTGTTCACCAGCAGGTGCGTCCAGATTTTACCTCATTGCCCTCACATTTCTGTCTGGTTGCCCATGAAGGCTCTGACCTGGGTTCCAGTTAGACTGTCTCTCCTCAACCCTGCTTTGCAGAGCCAGTCCTTATGAGGCTCCTGGCTTGTTTATGCAGAGTTCTCCAATTTCTCTGTTGGAGCTGAAATCGTTTTGTTCTGTCTACTTCATTTGACTAGAACACTGACTCCTTAGGGGAAAAATATTGGTTTTATTTTTATTTGAATGCTTCCAGGAATTGTGCCAACAGTTTTGTTTTTGTGTTTATTAGCTCATCCAATCTTGAAAACAATCCTAAGATGCTGTTATTACTGCTACTTTATAAACAAACAGAGGTTTATAAGAATTAATAATTTACCCCGAATCATCTATTACTATAATTTTAGTTGAGAGAAAGCCTGATAATCATCTAAGGTCCTAAAGGGTCCCCATCTCCCAGTTTGCTTGCATTTTAGATCCTACTAGGTCTTCCAATTAACAAGTTTTTATGATTCTGATAATAAGGTGTTTTGTAGGTTGATGATTCTATTCCTTCACAATCTCAGTTCTAGCACTTGAACTTATTATCTATCTCCAGATGTGAGAATTTTCTCACATGTTGTTCATCTTATTTTATTATAATTATTTTGTAATTTCAGGTTATTTTAATAATGTATCTTCTTTTGACTTTACTGGATTCCAACTAAAAGTAGCTTAAACAAATTTAAAACAATAACAGCAATCATAAATATAAAATGGAAATTATTTATTTGACAAATCCAAGATGCAGTTTGGGCAAAGGTGAAATAAGTTGTTCATTCGATCGTAGAGCCTTTTCTTGTTTTTATTTCTAGGCTTTAATAACCTCTATCTAGCTTTATGCTCAGGCATCCTCTATCCATACAGGGCATAATGTTATCTTGAAGACTCAGTCACATAATTTACTACTTGAATCAAGCCATTTTGAAATACAGTCTTAATTTATAATTTGTGTAGAAAAATCTCAAGTAATTCTTGAATTGGACGAACTTGAATAATGAGGCCTTCACTGAAGCAGTCAGGTTGGTTTAATAATGGAAGATCTGATGACAATGTCTGGGTAAAGTAACTGGGGAAGGGTCAATCCATTGAGACCATCTGAAATTGGTTTTTATGGAGAAAACTATAGAATATATTTGTTTGTTACCAAAAGAAAGAAGAAATTGATTTTGGACAGGCAAACATAATCATTGTACACAACGTGCTTTTATATTTAAATGGAGAACAAGAATACGAATGATATAAAAATTAGGAAAGATTTTGTTTTCAACAAGGAAAATTCAAAGCAATTTACCTTATTAAATTATTAAGTATCTTTTTGGCCTTTTTTTCCAGTAATCTTTTTTTTTTTTAGACGGAGTCTCACTCTGTCACCCAGGCTGTAGAACAATGGTGCGATCTTGGCCAACTGCAACCTCTGCCTCCAATGTTCAAGTGATTCTCCTGCCTCAGCCTCCTGAGTAGCTGGGACTACAGGCACCACCACACCTGGCTAATTTTTATATTTTCAGTAGAGACAGGGTTTTGCCATGTTGACCAGGCTGGTTTTGAACTCCCAACCCCAGGTGATCTGCCCTTGGCTTACCAAAGTGCTGGGCTTACATGTGTGAGCCACTGCGCCCGGCCTCCAGTAGTCATTTTTTAAATAAAAACAGTAAAATATGATATAAAAGTATATTTCTTTCTTAATTATGTGTAATTTACATGAAAATTT
Organism: Homo sapiens; assembly: GCF_000001405.40. Classification (NCBI taxonomy): domain Eukaryota; kingdom Metazoa; phylum Chordata; class Mammalia; order Primates; family Hominidae; genus Homo; species Homo sapiens. The sequence continues at coordinate 65,087,425 of NC_000018.10, forward strand.
TACAATCATACGAAATTGCATTAACTTGTATTATAATATTTTTATGAACAATTCATGGGACCAACACAGAAAATGCAGAATTTATACTTAGTCACTCCCCAATGGTAGAAACAACAGTTTCTTCCTATTGCAATTCTGCGTCCTAAAAATAAAAAATAATAATAATAATAATTTTAAAAAATACAGGAAAAATATTGACTGTGCTACTTCAGGAGAAACTGGAACAAACAGAAAAACATTAAAACTAAATCAAACAAACATGAATTTAAGGTATTTAAACTTTAAATCAAGTTAAAACACTAAAGTTGGAGCTATCCCATTGTTCTCTATGTGGATGAATCCAGTTTCATTTTGGAAAAAAAGGCAGTATATAATCTCTATATCCAGTTTGAATAATTACTTCACAATTTTCATAGTATATAATTACAACCTAATAGATTCAAGAAAGTGGTGGGTATTTGTCCTCTTTTTTGATGTGTTCACAGCATCTAATGTAGTCTTACAGCACTTCATTAGAAAATTAACTCTTTTGAGAAGTGTCTGTTCATATCCTTCGCCCACTTTTTGATGGGGTTGTTTGTTTTTTTCTTGTAAATTTGTTTGAGTTCTTTGTAGATTCTGGATATTAGCCCTTTGTCAGATGAGTAGATTGCAAAAATTTTCTCCCATTTTGTAGGTTGCCTGTTCATTCTGATGGTAGTTTCTTTTGCTGTGCAGTAGCTCTTTAGTTTAATTAGATCCCATTTGTCAACTTTGGCTTTTGTTGCCATTGCTTTTGGTGTTTTAGACATGAAGTCCTTGTCCATGCCCATGTCCTGAATGGTATTGCCTAGGTTTTCTTCTAGGGTTTTTATGGTTTTAGGTCTAAATTTAACAGACACTTCTCAAAAGAAGACATTTATGCAGCCAACAGACACATGAAAAAATGCTCATCATCACTGGCCATCAGAGAAATGCAAATCAAAACCACAGTGAGATATCATCTCACACCAGTTAGAATGGTGATCATTAAAAAGTCAGGAAACAACAGGTGCTGGAGAGGATATGGAGAAATAGGAACACTTTTACACTGTTGGTGGAGCTGTAAACTAGTTCAAACATTGTGGAAGATAGTGCAGCGATTTCTCAGGGATCTAGAACTAGAAATACCATTTGACCCAGCCATCCCATTACTGGGTATATACCCAAAGGAATATAAATCATGCTGCTATAAAGACACATGCACACGTATGTTTATTGCAGCACTACTCACAATAGCAAAGACTTGGAACCAAGCCAAATGTCCAACAATGATAGACTGGATTAAGAAAATGTGGCACATATACACCATGGAATACTATGCAGCCATAAAAAATGATGAGTTCATGTCCTTTGTAGGGACATGGATGAAGCTGGAAACCATCATTCTCAGCAAACTATCGCAAGGACAAAAACCAAACACTGCATGTTCTCACTCATAGTTGGGAATTGAACAATGAGAACACTTGGACACAGGAAGGGGAACATCACACACCAGGGCCTGTTGTGGGGGTTGGAGGGACAGATAGTATTAGGAGATATACCTAATGTATATAGGAGATATACCTAATGTAAATGACGAGTTAATGGGTGCAGCACACCAACATGGCACATGTATACACATGTAACAAACCTGCACGTTGAGCACATGTACCCTAGAACTTAAAGTATAAGAGAAATATATGTATATATAAAAAAAGAAAAATAAAATGAAACTCAAAAAAAAAAGAAAATTAATAAGGATCTGTGGATTACCTAGTAAATTTTAAGCAATGCTTAGCCTTATGTAAGAACTTTTAATCAAATTTTATTGAAAATATTTTTATTTCTAAATCTAAAATTTAAGAAATAATGAAAATATTCATAACCGGGTTATTATATATAACTTTTGCATCAATCTGTCACTAGTATAAGTTTTATCAAGCTAATTTACTGCCCGTATAAGACACTTGAACAAAGATGATCTTGCTTTGTAGGATTTCCTACATGAATACGAGAATGAGAGCTAAGGAGAATTGGAGGGCTGCTCCTTCATGAGCTTTGAAGTTGATTTTGCTTGTATATTTTGAGAGTAGGAGTAGCTTTGCTTCTTAAAACTCATACCTAAATCCTGCAGAGAAACCACTAATAATCAGGATGCAACTCATTTCAAGATCCTTATACTTTGATTTTATTCCATATATTAACTTTTATTTTTCTCCATTTAACAAAATGCTATTGCAAGGGTTTATAATTCATTTTTTAAATAACTGCTCCCAATTATACAAACGTTTCCGACTCCTAACCAACAACCTAGAAATTGCTAGACTCTTTTCCATCCCATGCTTAGAAGAGAGAGATTTGTCACACATTTGGGCATAAATGGTGCATTCCTAATATCACAGAATTAGTCTAGTCATTACTGTCCACAACAATTTCTGTGTCCATCCATCCCTTCCTGGTATTCATTATGTGATCTATTTTTTTTTCACAATTCATTCATAACAGTATAAATAACCAGCTTAATTTTAGGAAGCTACATTTTACATCTTAGTGTTTATTTTCAACGTGTTATGTGCAAGATTGATTTTAGCATATGCAGCAGTGCATTCTTGAAGTTAATCTCACAACTTCCTGATCAGTTGTCCTTATCTAACATTTTAGGATCTTCTTACAAAATGATGCATTATTTACTGAAAACAAAAAAAAGTACATATTATTTAATATTTAAACAGCTAGTTCTTGTTTTTTGATTATTTATCGAATGCATTTGATTCGAAGTTCAATATAACAGACATTGAATAGACATGCTTATGAGAAGAATGAAAATAAGCCCAAATAAAAAGGGGCAGATAGGCCAAGGTATTCCAACCCTGTATGCAGGAAAATAACTATTTGATTTGCTTATCAAATTTTATATTTCTCTTTCTAGGCTTAGTGTTTCTAAAGCTTCACGCTGTGCTTCAGTATTAAAAAGTCGAGCTAATAATGTTGTCATTAGGGAGGACAGTGAATACGAATTTGGTAAGTTATTCATAAATGTTCAACATTATTATGCAAATTGTATATTGCAATATAGTACTGTATAATAGAAGATAACATAAAATTGCTTGAAATATTACAAATTGTCTTCCGTTGACATTGTTGAGAATTTCTAAATTTCTATATTCTTTACGCTTTCAAATAAATTTAATTTTTGCAAGTTTTAAAAAATTGCAAAGTAATATAAACATTTTTCATAGGATTGAAATGTCAAGTAAGTTAGTAAAATAAATACTGGTTTTAGTTCGAACTCTATATAGATAGAACAAAGGGATGTCAGAGATGAACAAAGGGAAACTCATGAGTTTTGGAGGGAGAATGGTGTTTTATAGAGTCACCTCACAAAATCACAGCATATGGCTTCTCTGTCTTTCCCTCCCTTCTCCTTCCCCACTCCTCTTCTTCTCTCCTCTCCCTTCTCTTCCCCTCCCCACCTCTTCTCTCTCTTCTCTTTTTCTAGCTCATCTTGCTTGACCCTGAAAAGTACCTCCCATCTCTCAATAACAGTATCACAAACACAGTACCATCCATATGTTAAATATTCAAATGAGGAGGCCTCTAAACCTGTTAGTCCATGTAAAATTAGTCCCTCAGTTCTAGGATTTCTAGCCCAGTTATGCAAGTTAAGTGTTTATCTAGTAAACAGGGTTGGTGTCAGATGTCCAGGTATTAATAAAAAGTGTCTTTGTTTTTCTTAGTATTATTTCTCCTCTCTCGGGATCACCAGAAAAGACTGAGGCAGGACCAGATTTCCTATGAAAGTTTTAATAGATCCCAATTATTGAGATGTGATTCACAAGAGCACTGTAAATCGAGGTACTCTTGAATAATTTGGACAAGTCCAGTTGTACTTCCTGTTTCCAACTAACTCATCAATAAATGGCAGTTTAAACTCACAGGTGTCTAAAGTAACTTATAGCCCTAAATTCTTCAAACTTGTTATCTTTTTTCCCTGTTATTGTATTTTAAAGTTTTTATCATTTATGTGTATGTCCAAGTGTATATCAGAATTACATTCCATATGTTATTTTGGCACTGAAATGCCAAACTATATCAGTTTATACAAGCAAAATAACAGACATCACAAATTTGCTGAGAATTGTCTGTATACAAAATGCTATCCACATTTTGTTGGCAATTTGAGCCCTCCATTGTGGAATATAAGTAGTGGAAAGAGTAGTTGATAGTCCATTGTGTTTGGCAGAAAAAATATGTATTCATGTGTCCTCTCTTTAAGCTACTATTTTAAATGGAAAAAAGTAAAATAAAAATGAAAAAAATCAAACAAAAGCCATTTGTTCTTATTTTATTCCCAAATAATGTCACACATTTCAATGACATTTAAAATCTGGTGAAGTTTGTTTCCATTCAAGTGTAGCATGGAAATAATTTCAAACCAACTTTGGGACAGCAGTAGCAAATTGCTTCTTCGAAGTCATTGAGCATGGTGAATCACATCTTACGCCATCTGTTGACAACATGGAATTCTGCAGGCTGGAAACTTTTGAGTAAACCCTAAGAAGTGTATTAGGCTGGAAGCTAATTTAGTTAGGAGAAAAACAACAACAACAACGCAGCAACAACAAAAAGCCATGGGGTGTCCTCATAAAAAAGCAAACAAAAGAAAGATCAAGAAGTGCAAACACGAAGCTTAGATTCTTCTTTATTTGCACACATCTGCTTACTGAACACATTCCAATTTAATTATATAGCCAAATTACCATCCCCTTACAGAACTATTGTCATGGTTTTCAGATTCTTCCAAGTGTCAATTTCAGTGTAACTCCCTGTATATTTTAAAACAATGCCTAAAAATTTTCCATTCTGTGCAATTATGTTACATCTGAGAATATGTGCATTTTTTTCTCATCTAATCAAATTTTTCACATGAGTTCCCTAAAAATGCACGCTTTGTTGCATATATATCTGCCCAGGTCATTTGCCTCTGAATCTTACATAAATATATTAAAAAATAAGTACTTGATTTTCTTAGAAATATTAAAAATATGGAATATGTATTTCCTTTATTTTAAACTTAAGTAAACTAAACTTTCTGCTTATATAATAAGTGACAATTTTCATTTTAACAAAGAAACTAACCCACTCCACTGATGACTGCTGCCATCAACCTCTGGAAATATTTTTAAAAACACATTTTTTAACAATAGTCTCAATTTTATAGACGTTGTGTTCTAAACATGAATTTATCCTAAAAATCTGTGCCAGAAGGGAAGGAAATTATTTAATGACAGGATATCTCATCCTGTGTTTTTCAACCAAAGGTACTTGTTGTTTAGTGTGACATGGACCTATTTATAAAAAACTACTGAGGTATTAAATACATGCCTATAAATAGGACTCATTTTAGAAAAAGTAAAAGATGTTTTCTATTAAATATGGTTTATATTATTTAATAAATCAATCGGTGAAACATAAGATATAAAAACTGAAAAATAGTCCAGAGTCTATATATATATAGAGACAGAGACTATATATATATATATATATACACACATATATATATATATATATATATATAGTCTACAGGCAAGATAAATTTAGTAAATTACCCACCAATTTATTTATTCACCAAACATTTATTAAATGTATACTTTGTGTTAAGCATAGTGAAAGACTACTTTTATATCCATAATTATATTAAGTTTACACAGCAATCCATTGAGAAAAATGTTTCTTTCCTGTGTCGAGATAACTTACTCAATATTGTATGTTTAAAATCTGAATTATTTAGTTGTATTATATGAGTACTATTTTGACTTTCCTTTCACAGTTCAGAGTCTCTCAAGTATTAAATCAACAGCCAAAAAAAATCAAGTTTCAGTAGAAAATGATTACAACGATGTTATATTCTACTGAAATGAGAAGAATTTGAATTTGCATTTGCAAGGAGAGATCCAGACTTTGTGTTGATGTAGTTTATATAATTTTTAGTCTTTGTAACCTTCATCAGCTGCAGAGTAAACCCATGACTGTGCATCAGAGCTGAACAAGGCTTTCGTTATACTGAACTGACTACATGGTACCCTGAGATTCTGGGAAAAACAGCCAGTGAATTCAGGCGGAAGCCCATCCATTTGGCAAATAATTGGTTTCTCCAGTGGCGACAGCTGCTCTCCTGCCTTCTGGCTGAAATGTACTGGAAAAAAAATCCCTACAGATGAAGAGGAGGACAGAAATGTTGGTAATACAGGGGAAATCCAAGAAAATAGGAATCTAAAGCCAAGAGAAAAGCAATTTGTAACAACCCGCTTAGGAAATTGAAACCCAGATCTTTTTAGGGAAATGCCTGTTGCCTTGTCTTTCTTCAAATGTGTTTTCTACTCTTCCCAAGATAGTTTTTAAAAGTATGTAACCATGAACTATCTTTCAATAGTGCAGTGTAAGACGGCAAGTTTTCCTGCATTGATTCAATCATGGGTAATTGTTCAGAATGTAGAACGTTCTTTGCAAGAATAAAAGCATCTTCGTTGATTAGCCTGGCAGCTTGCTTTATCAGCATTTCTATAAAACCGTCATCTATAAAATTTCTCAGAAGCATTTCTTGTAGAACCAATTAGTAATTTGAATGAATGACTGAATGAATGCTTTAATGCTATAATATTCATTTTGTTGTCTTGTGTCTATGACAAGGTTATTCTGCAAGCAATAAAATTCACTTATCTAGAACTAAGATTTACACCAGAAATTTGTTTTGAAAGTATCTGATTATAAATATTGTTTTCAGATTTTTCAAGGGAGGGTAGACTCTCTTTACCAGGGAGGCCACAGTGATTACCTAGAATCAGTGTTCTCTGAATAGGTAAACTAAGACAAAAAGAAACAATCAACAAAAACAGAAGAAACAGGGAATCCCAGTGAAGGAATGAACACAGGAGACATCCCTTAGGGATTTCTAAAAATATTCAGGTGATATTTAAATGGGGCTAGATGTGCCTCCATTTCAGCAAGTAGGAGCTCTAGAGAAAGATAATTTATTACTAATATAATCTTAGTATTTAATCTCTCTCTCTAGGGGACAAAGTTGCCTGAAAAATTGTGGTTAATAGGCCCTAATTTCAATTGATGCCTCAAAGATTTCCATTCTAACCTGTATGCTTAAAACCTTTTCTTCTTTTGGTAGCTATGATTATGCCAGAAACCATAACATTATATATAGAACTGTGAATCTTTACTGATAAAGACAGAGTGTGTTTGATATACTCTGATCTTCTTCATAATCTGTAATATAACAAGCTTAAGAACTTAACTATAAAACAAAAAATGTCATGAACTAACAGTGAAAAAAAGATAAAACCAATTCCAAGGGAATTTGCCCAAATTTTGAACCTCCCAAAATCATAATTCAGTACCATCAACCCTGACTCTCAGGTATTGCCCCCAGTCTTTGAAAACCTGACTATACTGCATATTTCAGGAGTAATGAGAGACAAAATAAAGCAATTACAAGTTAACACTGGCACAGGTTAACAGAGCTTTCCATAAACCATGAAAAATATATAATCAAAACATTTTTAGTTCATCCCATAATTCTGCTAATGAAAACAAAATCTAAATAATCTAACTGAATGCCATGTACTTTAATAATATTTGTTTACATTTTATTGATACTTTAAGCAAAATGTCTTTTCAACCAAATTGTTCAACATACTTTTTTCTCATCTCCTACTACATTAATTTTATTCTCTTAGGAGCTATAGAGATTTTGGATCCACCTTCATAATAATATTAACAAAAATCATATTGGAATAAAATACCCTTGGACTCTGACTAATATCTAGAGTTTCTCTCATTATATTTTTCCTAAATTATTGTTTTCCTGTCTGCATTAATGCAAACTCCTTCTTAATAACTTGAAATGGCTTTAGTAATAAGAATTGCACACACTGGTATGGAAATAGTGTACACTGAAACTTCCCCTAATTAAACTTCTTGAAAGTCTTTTAATTTGTGTTCCAATGAAAGACCAAGATCAGTAATGCCATTCATCTTCCCATAAGAGATTTGTTCCTATAAGGAGTATCTTGGAAACTTCACCTTCATGTGATAAGTACAAAAGATGAATTTCATGAAATTTCTCAAGTCTTAAAAGAATAAAATGTAATAACATAATAGAAAATGAATGGTTTTATTATATAATCTAGAGAACATAAAGCAAGCTAGCCCAAAAAGAAGCAGAAATAAACAGCAATGATATTAGAGACACACAGCAAAAACCCTGTGATATGGTTTGATTGTGTCCCCACCCAAATCTCCTCTTGAATTGTAACTCCGATAATACGCACGTGTTGTGCAAGGGACCTGGTGGGCGGTAATTGAATCATGGGGGCAGGGTTTTCCCTTGCTGTTCTTGTGATAGTGAATAAGTCTCATGAGGTCTGATGGTTTTACAAAGGGGTGTTCTCCTCAATATGCCCTCTGGCCTGCTGCCATGTAAGAAGTGGCTTTGCTCCTCCTTGTTTTCTGCCATGATTATGAGGCTTCCTCAGTCATGTGGAACTGTGAGTCAATTAAACCTCTTTCCTTTGTAAATTATCCGGTCTCGGATATGTCTTTATTAGCAGCATGAGAACAGACTAATACATCCTGATAAAACTGTACCTGAAGCCTGATACACCTCTCAATATTTCAGTTTCAAGAGACAATAAAGCCCGTTTTTCTGATTTGAGTGTTCTGTTACTTGCTGTGGCAAGCATTCTAAGCCATGCATTCAAACTAACTCTTTAATATTTTCTATTTATTTATAAATTTGGTTACCTTTGAGTAACTGGTTGATTAAACGGCATTTAATTGATATCACCACAAATTCTGTGTGTATGTGCAGTGACCATTTACCAATCAGAAATTCTACTAATTACACATTAGTGCAATAAGCAGTCATTTAACTTTTTTGCTTGAATAAATTCTTTAATGTATTTATTTGATTTAATAAGACAGAAATATACAACTAAAACTTTTTGGTAGGGGTTAATTTAATTTGTTGGGGGTTAATTTACCTGGCCACAAATGAACAAAAGAGGTTAAAGGCATAAAAGGTGATTGCTATAGAAATGCTAATTAAAATAATGATAGTTTGGGGAGCATATTAAATTGCTCGTGCCTGTAGTTCCAGCACTTTGGGAGGCCGAGGCAGGCAGATCACCTGGGGTCAGGAGTTCGAGACCAGCCTGGCCAACATGGCGAAACACTGTCTCTACTAAAAACACAAAAATTAGCTGGGCATGTTGGAAGCCTGTTATCCCAGCTACTTGGGAGGCTGGGGCAGGACAATTGCTTGAACCCGGGAGGCAGATGTTGCAATGAGACAATATTGACCCACTGCTCTCCAGCCTGGGAGACAGAGCGAGACTCCATCTCAATAAATAAATAAATAAATAAATAAATAAATAAATAAATAAATAACTGAATAAACATGTATATGTGACTATAATACAGGAATTGAGTATCACCTTATACCTGGGAGATGATACCCAATGTGGAGAGGACTTGTAAGCCTGTCATGGAGTTGAAATTTATCCTGAAGGCGATGCTGACCTGTTTTAGGAAGTAAATCGGAGGACCGACATAATCAGATGCACATTTACTTTTTCAACTCATTCTAGGCACAGTCAAGAGAATGAATTTAAGGCTATTGGTTCATCAATGGACAAAGCTGTCAGAAGAAAAGAAAAAAAAATCATTCCCTTTAAAAACACTGTTTTAAAATCCATCCAAAATTTAACAACAATCATTTATTGAGAGCATAATATACATCAGTCACAGTGAAATATTAAGATAAACAATAAGACATCCTATGTCAAAATGTGCACTTGATTGAAAATTATCATTTATTTCAATTGTTCTTATAAGTCTCAAGGCAAGGCATGATGAAAGTGTTGTTATATTTTGGGAACCAGCTTCCATTTCTTGCAACTATTCCTGGACAAATTTGTGCTGATATATTTTAACATTACAAGCCATGTCCTATGTTATATGACACACGAACAATAAAGTTTTGGAGCTGATGGAAATAAATTTTTATTGTAATCATCTAAACCATTCAACAAAGGTGACTTGGCATGTCATAGATGTTTGACTTTGTTCCATTACGCATAAATAGCAGGATAGTACTGTTAGCAGATGCATTTAGATGGGTTCTAAAATGTATCTTCTTGGTTACAGAAGAAATAAGTTGTGTAGACAGCAAAATGAAACATTTTTTAAAAAAGGAATAATCAAGTACAGACAAAATCCATATTGATCTCCTTACCTGATAGTCAGCATTGCCATGTGGAAGTCTGATTCTTACCACCCATGATCCTAGACACCTTTCCATTCCATTGAAGAGTAATCTTGGGCTTTCCTGGGTGGTGCAGTCATCCTCAATATACTTTTCAGTTGTTAAGAAAGAAGCACCAGAGATGCAAGTGATGAGTGGAAATGACTAGTTTTTGTGGATATAGCACTAGTTATTACAAGTCTTCTTTACCTTTGAAGGCAAACTGCTCAGTGAATGGGTGATACATATCTTTAGGACATTAGGCATTTCTGTCCTGTTGCTTTTGCTCTTCAAAACATTTAATCATTTCTATAGGAGGATTTACTCTGTAGGTATTGTCTGAATGAGATATTTCAAAGAAAATCCTGCAATCATTATGACTTTTTACACATGGCATTACATACAACTTGACTTTCATAGAAGCATGTAGTTTTCACATTAAACAAATGAAAAGTGACAATTAGCTATATCTACCCTTGATCAGTTTTCTAAAAGGTTAAATAATTTCAAAATTCATAAATTTGTTGGCTATCTTTTGAAATTGAGCATTTAGACCTTAAAAATGGACTTTCCTTGTTCTCCTTTTCTGTTTTCCAAGGGCTAAAATTGTTAAGCGGTAGATCTCTTTTTGTGACCTTGAGTGGTCATCATCCCATCTAGGATACAAGTCCCAGTGTAGTAGATATACATGGCATTGAAGTCAACTTGCTGAGGTGGGCTAAGACTGAGATGGATGTAAATCTGATCATTAAAAAGATGTGCAAACACTTTAAACTTCACAAGTAAGTTGTGCAATATTAACCACAGTAGTTAACTTGGAAACTTGAAAGCTCATCATGATGGTTCTAAGTCAGTACATCTTTTGCTGATATTTAAATATACCCTTCGGGATATATGAAGTATTCCAGGAGTTCAAACTCAGGTCACAAGAACATTAATTTCCCTGGGTTTTTATAGAGGTCATATGGTCAGGAAATGGCCAGGATGTTTCAGAACAGAAAATATGTGAATATATCTCCTAGATTCAAAGCCACAGCATAATATTACAATTCTAGAAGACCGTAATGGAGTATTTCCGAAGCTGAAGTGCCTAACCCCATAGCTGAACACTTGAATTTTATCTGATAGCATTTAACGTAAGCGCTTTCAGGTATAAAACAAATTGGATAGTAGTTAGAGCTAACTAATAAACTTCAACTTGTTTGAAGTTTGCTGAGCCTAGATTATTTTTTGAGAAACTCATCATTTATAGAGAGCCAGGTTCTGAAAGTAGAAATGAAAAATAAAGCACAACTTATATAAGACTTTGGGAGTGTCCATTTAGATGTAGACAGTACCTGTATCAGTATCTGTCTTCCTCTATATATCAGCATACAGAAATCTTGATGTCCAATTCTTCTGCCCTTTTGAGACTTCTTTTCTCCTCTCATGACCTGGTTTTATCACCTGACTCCTTTTGTCCTTACTGAAACTCGTCTCCCAAGTACATTTCACTCCCAAATATTTATTAGTCATCTCAGCACTGTTCTAATTGTTGAGGATATAGCCATAAATAAATAGGACTGTGACATCATGTTGTTTTACATGATATGGAGAAACAGAAAACAAATAAATAGCCAAGTAAACACATAAATGAAATAAATTTGATTAGTGATATTCAGCTACTGACAATTATTAAAATAATAAAACAGAGCAATTGGCCAAAGAATAACTTTGCAATACGGGAGAGAAGGAATGATTTTATAATGTAGGGGTAACATGACATATTTTTTCTTCTGTTCTTTTTCATATTATCTTTTGTGTTTGGTTGCTTTTCATTGGGTTTGGAAGAGTGCTTCTCACATATTATGCATTAAAGAAAGCTTTATCAATGTATATGGGTAATCAGTATACAAAATTTAAGTTAGATTTTCTATGTTATTTTCCTAACCTAAGCAGTACCATGGCATAGAATGCAGCTGTACATACATATATATTAGAGCTTTTTTTTGTTAATTTTCAGGTCTGCTCAAGTTAGGAAAATAACTTTACCATATATATATAACTTTACCATATATATATATATATATTTACTATAACTATAGTTAGATGTACTATCACTATATTTATGTATACCATATATATATAATCAGCTCTACTATATATGTGCGTGTATATATACACATATATATGTTTATGTTCACTCGTTGAAATAAAATACTGTTAAACATTTCGAGTTTTATCATTTTTTTCTACATAGTTCAAATGAAGGAATAAATGATGGAAAAAGCAATTTTACAAAAAGGAGATATTACGAACTGTACTAAGACAGAGAAAATGTTTCTCGAATAAGCCTAGCAGTTGGGAACAGTATTGCATTGATGCTTTTACCATCTAAAGTTGAACATCAATATCTGCTGGAGGGTGTAGATGTTCTATTCAAGAAGAAATTAGCACAGACATCTGAAAACTTGTGACCATAGCAGAGAAATGTAGAAACATAAAATAACATTTAAGTTTCTACAGAAACAATTTCTGAATTTTAAACAGCCATAACATTTCTAATCTTCCCAAACTTAAGTGTTATTTTATTTGTTTGTTCATTGTATTTATTACATAGTACCATATGTGTTTGGGGTTCAGAATAGTCAGCTACCTATATGAAACAATAGCAAAGCCTCCACTTTGAAATATTGTCCCAAGTACTCAAGCCTCTCCAAACCATTATTTCTCCCCTTTCCTCCAAAGAATAGCCACAATGCCCCCCACCCCCAGGTCATAGGTCCGGTCTATAATAAAGTCCATTTGTTGAAAAGGTCATATTCTGGTGGTCAATGGCCTGCTTTAAATCTTGGCTCTAACCGTTTTTCTTGGGTGGCTTTCAGTAAGCTACTTAAACATGCGTCTATAAGTATTCTCATCCATGTGACCTAAAGAATAACAGTCCCTAATATCAGTGTGTTGTGAAAATTAAATTAGTTAATGCATATAATGGGCTTGGAGGAGTGCTTTACCCAGAAAACTTTTCCTTATGAATATAAGATACTGTTATCATCATTGTCATTATCATTATTACTTATTTGGCTTTTATAATCCTGATTGCATTTTATTTTTTAATTTGGTCAGAGCTCAAGTGGAGAAAAGTGTGTCATTTTCAAGCACCGATATTTAGAGAATGGCCCAGGAAAACTGGAAAATAAGAAAGGAAGTAAAAATTAGAGCTTAAACCACAATTAGGAGATTTTAATAAGGCCAGGGAACATTGGTATTTTGACATTTGCAGTGTGGAGCAGTACCACAGCACAGAATGCAGCTGTATACAATTTGGGTGGAAAATGTCCTACAGCCTTCTTTTCCAGCCTTCATATTGACTGAAAGGGGGCTTGATATATGCATTGTTATAGATTCTTTCAGAGCCCATCAGTGAGTGAGTGAACCAGAAGTGCCAAGGAGGTAGGCACAGAATTACCCTGATTTCCATTCCTGGGGGAACTCATTCTTCTTCTTTTTTTTTTTTTTTTCTGGATAAATGAATAAAATGAGTGGGTTAGGAGAAGAAGAGCCAAAAGATTCCAAAAAGAAAATGTTTCTTTTCAATCCTGATGCTTCCTCAGAGGAAGAGGTTTTTCCTGCCTCTCAGCTGGCCAGAGTGCTTCTTGAGCACTCTTCCCTGCTCTGTGGGGTACAGAGAGGGGGAAGAGCAGGTGCAGTCACTTCTTTGCAGGCCTTGGCTCAGGTTTTGATAAACCTGAAGCCTGTTCAATTGTACAGGTCCTCTTAACCAAATTCAAGTGTGCAAATACAAAAGGTTGTACAGAAATGAATATATTCACCTTGAGAAAAGAGATTACAACAAACTTCACATCTTAAAAGGCTGATAGTTACCTTAAATATAAAAAAAAATCAAAAAAGGTATAATATTTTTGTCAAATAATGGCCCCATACCTCTATAATAACGCCACTCCATTTCCTTGGCTTCATACTCTTTGATCATCCCCTTTTATAAACAACAGTGTGTGATATCATTTTTATAGACATAATAGAAAATTTTGTCATTCTTCTAGGATATTTAATTATGACACAGATAAAATTTACTTTATGTTGACAGCTAAGAATTATGTGTTTCAACTTTACAACTTATAGTATGATGCCATATAAACTTTTAAAATCATTGTTAAATAGGAGAAAGTCTCTGTTTATGTTTCCTTCATAATAGCAGTGTAAGGTTTTTTTATTTTTTTATTTTTATTTTTTATTTTTTTATTTTTTTATTTTTATTTTTTATTTTTTTGACAGAGTCTCGCTCTGTTGCCCAACATGGAATGCAGTAGCATGATCTCAGCTCACTGCAACCTCCACCTCCCAGGTTCAAGCGATTCTCTTGCCTCAACCTCCTGAGTAGCTGGGATTACAGGTGCACACCACCAGGCTCGGCTAATTTTTGTATTTTTAGTAGAGATGGGTTCTACTCATTTTGGCCAGGCTGGTCTCGAACTCTTGGCCTCAAGTTATCCACCCACTTCAGCCTCCCAAAGTGTTGGGATTACAGGTGTGAGCCATGGCACCTGGCCCAATAGTGTAAGATTTAACATAACTTTCTCCAAGCTAACTTCTGGCTCTACATTTCAAACTCTTTCTCCTCCAGCTATCCTCATTGGTCCAGCTTTGGATGTCATGGCATGTAACATGACCTCTGATTTTTGCAATATGTCAAGATGCCCAGGGAATTCAGCACAGTTACATTCCTCTTTCTGAATGCCTACCACTAACCTAACTATACATGAAAGTGAATCACATACTTAAATTCCAAAAAACTCAAAGTAAATGTATCCTTAACTCAATATCCCATTGATGAATCCAAAACCAAATCTATACCTATAGCAACCTTACCCAGCACCAGAGTAAGTGTAATTGAGGGAAGTCAGTGTGAAAAGAGACCTTTGTTGTGTGTAATAGCAGGTAAAATCATTGTTTCTGCAAATTTTACAGAATATGGCTCCATTGATAAGGCCCACACTGCATCTCTCGTAAATGTGGGAAGAATAACTTGGGTGCGCTTGTCTAAGTTCTGTCCCTTCTCTCAAGAAAATAACCTAACGAGAGTTCTGCTCTGCTTTTCAACATACTAGTATTTTGCACATTCATATCTGAAACCCACTACACTCTCTCTCTCTCACACACACACACACACACACACACACACACACACACACACACACACGGGGAAGCAAATCCAGCCTGTTTTTCAGTCTGTTTTGCCCATGACTAGTTACATAAGTCTGCCTAGGGCTGGAATTGAGATCTCACATCCTAGAGGAGTTTACATTAGGTTACATAGTTCTATTTAACATTTGTTAATAAATAGATTGATATCTAGACCTCCAATCTGCCTTACTTGTTTAATTTGTCAAGATGTGTAAGAAAGAAAAAATGTGTTTGTTACAGCTTATCTTCAGTCATAGTTTCCCCTAGATAAGTTAACGTAATGCAGAATTTGTTGAAGATAATAAACTAGTTATTACTTGGACTTTTGAGTTACTCAGGTTTCTTGTTAAGGTCTTCATTTATTTCTAATGCTTGTTATTTAATGTGAAAAGACTTTTTCTTATTTGTTTCAGAAGAATATTCTGGAAAAAATCAGTTTTGAACCAACAGGATGCCTCTCACATTATTTGGACATCATTCACCATTTACCCAATCGCTTATGAGGCATTTTACATTTTAAAAAACACACTCTATATCAGACCAAACAATATTTTTGGGAGAAAAATTATGCTGTATATACAGAAACAGTTTTTGCTTTTCAAATTTGTCTTGGAGCCAGCCCTCTCACAGACACCTGGCTGAGTCCTGTGGAGACAGGTTGAAATAAGTAAAAATGGAATCGACTTTGACTAAAATTCCGTAGGCTTTCCAAGCCAAACATATATGCTTTAGTAGCTGTTTATTAAAATACTAAGGAAAGATGAGAGAACTTCTTTGAGTCTTTCTGATAGAATACAAGATTTTGAACTCAGTAAAATACAAACAAGATAGTGGTATTAAACAGTGACAATGGAGTTTTTAGTGGGACGTGGATCAGCTGGAATGACAGTTAAAGTGGACTGATTGAAGCTTTTGAAAAGAGAATTATTAGTATTCATCATTTGGGGGTGGGAGGATGTGGCTTGAGGTAGAAGTAGACACTATTAAATAGCTCATGATCAGTGGACAAGGCTTCTTATGCACAGAAGACACTCACTGGATCTTTCAGGGAAAAAAAGGTGTAAGAATTCACAAGTGGAAATTAGAGTCAGCAAATATAGAGTAGTGAGTTTATTATATAATAGACAACTACAGAGATTGCTGATTCATCATAACTGGTTCTTCCTATTTTAGGAGCAGATACCTTCAAAATATATTTTCTGCTTAAGGTCAGAGCTCAAACTCTTCTATTACATGTTCTTTCTCCAGAAGGATATTCTCTCAGTCTGATTACTATGTTGGTTTTAGGCAGTTAAGGTTTATAACAAATTACCCTAGACTGGGTGGCTTAAACAACAAACATTTATTTCTCACATCTCTGGAGGCTGGGAAATCCAAGCTCAAGGTGTCAGCAGATTCAGTGTCTGGTGAGGACTCTCTTTCTGGCTTGCAGATGGCTGTCTTTTCACTATGTCCTCATATGGCAGAGAGAGGAGGGGGAGAGAGAGAGAGAGTGGGGGAGAGAGAGAGAAAGAGAGAGAGAGAAAGAGAGAGAGAAAGCAAGTGAGAGACAGCAGAGGGAAAAAATTCTCCTGTCTCCTCTTATAAGGGCACTAATTCCACTTCATGAGCGCTCCAACCACATGAACTAATTCCCTCCCAAAGGCCACACCTCCCAATACTATCAGACTGGAGGTTAAGATTTGGATATATGTATTTTGGGAGGACACAAACATTCAGTCCATAACGTATGTCTATCTGAGTCTTTGAAAAACTGTATAGAAATATCACAGGATATAGATGAATCCGTGAGGATCTGAGATCCAGTCATAAGCAGGATGTCAAGGTCTCGCCTGTGCAATACTCTAACCTCTCTATGTCCCCAAAGCCAAACACTGACCCAGAACACAATGGTAGTTTAAGAAATAATTGTTGATTGGGTGAATAAATATAGGTCATAAAGTTATTTCTAAATTTACCCTTTAATTTCTTCTTATTCATAATGTATACATAGAATACTTAATTTTAACTGTGAATGAATGTTTAAATTAGAATATAATTATGTGTAATTTTAGTTAACCGAAGAAACCCTATTGAATGACTCACATACTCAAGGATGAGATACTCAAAAATAGGATCTAACTTTAGAGAAATTGTGAACTAGACAGACATTTTTGGCATGCCTCTCCAGTCTTCAGATAGCAAACACTATTTTTCTGGCTTCAGAATATTTTCCATTTGGCATACCTTTTACTTGTCTTTTGTGACCTTCCTCCAAATTCTGATAAAGTATTTCAAAACATCTTAGTTGTAATTGTGAGCTTATAATAGCTTAAGATATCATCTTCCTACATAGCATATTGGAAACTTATTTTTAAAAAAGAAAAAATTCCAAGTGATAAAACAATTTGAGTCAAAATGTAAAGGTACTATGACTGCAGTAGATCACATAGCCCAACATCACTTCAACAAGTGAGTATGTCTTCCATGTGCTCATTACTACATTGTGAAAATAACCCATTTGAATGGGTAACATTTTACAGATCTAACAGTGTCTTAGAGTTAGTTACTCAGTGGGATTCCGTACATATACTTCATGGTAATTGAACACTGAAAGCTTTAACAATGACAGATAATCACAATCATTCTCTCTTCTATGCTGGGCTAAGTGTGAATCTTCACACTTGTATAATACTAGGAAATTCTCATAGGTGGGGAGGGGTGTGCAGATAGCTTAATAAAAACATGTAGCTATCTTTTCACTTATTTTCAATGTTTTACATAGAGCAAAGGTTTCAAGTGTCTGTGATCAGAATGTAACCAAACAAACATCAACTTTTGGCTTTGT
This sequence comes from Homo sapiens, assembly GCF_000001405.40. Taxonomy (NCBI): domain Eukaryota; kingdom Metazoa; phylum Chordata; class Mammalia; order Primates; family Hominidae; genus Homo; species Homo sapiens. Next base: position 65,105,751 of record NC_000018.10, read on the forward strand.
TTTTTATTCTCAGTTTTAATGTGTCATCTGGCTAATTTGGAAAAGTTTTATTAATTTATTTTTCTTTAGGATGTCTACAAATCTTATATTCCTAAAAATGAAAAATTCTGGCAACTCAATAATTAACAGATAATGTTTATTGCTTTCTCTGAAGTGTGCCCTACCAAGTGTGGGACATAAATAAAAGATTAGTAAAACGATATCTTCACGATCGCATTAGATCCAGGTTTCAATACATGCATTTAGTCGCACTCTAGGGGAAAAAGAAGATTATGTAAGAATATAACGTATAGTATGATAACTCAAAAGTCAATCTTCCCATAAATGGTCAATAATGATGACAGTAGTTATAAGTAAGTGTTTCATAAAATGTTGTTTTCCTTCCCATCAAGAATTTCAATCTATTTTATTGGGCAATATATTGATAATAACATTGAGTTATATGTTACGTCTACACTGGCAAGAATTTGAAATGACAGTTGTGCTCAGAGGGTAACAAACCCTTGGGAGAATAGAAAGAAACATGACTGCATTTTCAGTATATTTGCATATCCTCTAGGGCTTTTTCTATGTGGAATGACGTTTCCTTTGTTATTTTTCTTCTGAGAAAGATATATGATATAATAGTTCTGAAAAACTCCTTTCCAAGGAATACCTATAGGAATAAATGTTTCCCAAGAGAGTACACTCACAGAGTCTAGTTACTCTTTTTTATTTATATTGGTGTTATGCTATTGTTTATAATCTTTGAATATCAAATCATTGTTATACTGAATTTGAAAATATTTTCTTAACATGTATATTATCCAAATCAGTATCACAGGATTATTTTATAGGGATAAGGAAGATCACAAAATGCTGCTTTAATTTGATTGTTAATGTTTATAATCCTTTTATCAAAATTTTATCATTGTTAATTATGAGGCCTAAAATACAATATTTTTTCGAAAATATTTTCTTGACTAAAAATCAAATAAATAGCAAAATAATGGAAATCATGCATTTTATTTCAAACAAATCTTAAAAGTTATCTGATCCCTGAAGTAAGCTGAAAAATAGAAAACTGTAAAGTGGTAAATTTTGTGTGCTGTGTAGATACATTCCACAGATATAGTCTTAAAAACAACAACAAAACACACACCTTTATCCACTACCTAATTTGGGCCAAATCTTGTGCCTGTTCATACATTTAAACCATTTAAAAGATGATGTTTCATATATATATTTTTTAAATGACAGAAGAAAAACTTAGTAGATAGCTGAGCTGGATATCTCTTTGACCATCTGTGTTATGTATTGTGTGTGTGACTTTTCCCATACCCAGCTTATATTTTCATAATTGGTCTCTAATCTAAATACCAAATGATCAACTATGAATGCCAGCTTGACTGGGACAAGAATTACAAGCATATGTACGGTACCTCAGGTTATTACTGTCAGAACACTGCAAAAATATGTTTGCCACTCTTGTATATAATTACACCCTGGATTCATTATAACTGGTAATAATGCAGTCTTTTATTCAAATCAGGATTTCTCTGGATCCAGTGTAAATGTTTCTCTGCTATATTAAGTCATTCACAACATAGATGACACCACTGAAGGTTGTTTAGGAACAATTGCAACAGAACTGGCAAATTCAATATCATGGGAGAGTCGAATGATGGGCTGAGAAAGGAAAATATGTTCAGCAGCTTTACCTGTTAGAGAGAAAACTCACCCAAAGGTTTTCCTATTTTTCTTCCATATACCATGGTTTGTTTGCAGTGGATGTCTAATATGTTGATATTCTTTATCTCCGTGATCATTGGTTTTAACAATGATTGTGGAACAACAATAAACAAAAGCTTATACCATCCAGATTTTGACAGAATTGCTTTGGCTGGGTTTGTTCAGGATAGAATGGGATACTAAAGAGATGGTATTTTTATCTGTAATTTTAATAATTTACTGTGGCCAATTTCAAGGTGACAGAGAATATTAAGTGACAGACTCTGCTGATGATAGACTACCCTATGACTTAATCCATATTTGGATCTATTTCTAGGTTGTGTTTATTTTTTGTTACTTTGGGTTAACTCGCATCTTCTCAGGATTGGCTCACCCTTACTTTTCCTTCTCAGTTCAGATAATATTTCCTCAAGGAGGTGTCCCTGAAGCCCTTTTTAAGACGTCCTTCTGCAAATCAGGTGCCCTAAGGTATACTAAATTGTTTGTTCTTTTTATGGCATTGATCATAACTTTTTACTTAAATAATTACTTGTTTAGTTTTAAGACATGGAATCAACCCAAATTCCCATCAGTGATAGATTGGATAAAGAAAATGTGGTACATATACACCGTGGAATACTATGCAGCCATAAAAAAGAATGAGATCATATCCTTTATAGGGACATGGATGGAGCTGGAAGCCATTATCCTCAGCAAACTAAACTAACACAGGAACAGAAAACCAAACACTTCATGTTCTCACTAATAACTGGGAACTAAACAATGTGAACACATAGACAAAGGGAGGGGAACAACACACACTGGGGCCTGTCCAGTGGGTACAGAGAAGAGCATCAGGAAAAATAGCTAATGCATGCTGGGCTTAATATTTAGGTGTTGGGTTGATAGGTGGAGCAAACCACCATGGCACATGTTTACCTATGTAACTAACCTGTACATCCTTCACATGTATGCTGGAACTTAAAATAATTACTTGTTTAGTTTTTCCATGATATAATGCAAGCTCCTTATATAAGGGTAAGGATACTTTTAGTCTTGATCATAACTACATTCCCAATACCTAGCGTAAGGCTGGTCATACAGTGTTGCTCAAAAAAGTATTGTCAAATGAATAAATGCTTAAATAAATGGCAAACATTTGAAGAAAATTGCTTAGTCCTAAACAGCGGGTTTGAATTTATTCTTACTTTGGTGATAGATACTGTATTAATTCTTATTAAGTTCACTTTTAATAAATCATGTATCACTGGTACCACAAATTTCAACATATTTGTCAATTTCTACAAAACTGAATATTGCTGCATTTGAGATGATCTCATTGTCTTGAACCAGGCAGGGTTATTTTTTTTTTAAAAAAAGGTGTCCTGATTTACTTTTTATTCTTGCTGTAGTTCAAGCAAAGTCCCTTGATTTGTTCTTCTCATCAAAAGAAAAACAGAGTTCAAGGGGGAGTTCAGCTAATTTAGATTCATGATCAATTTCTTTATGGCATTTTATTGCATTCTGAAGTTCTGAAATATTGTGGTTTTTGTTAACCTTCATTGGCAGAAACCAAGGAGATAATCCATTTATTTACATGGATCACCTTGATTACTCTTGAAACTGATTATTAGATAAATTGTGATGATATTAAAGGTTTAAATGAAATATTTTCCTCTTAAATATCAGATAGCCCTTTCTATTTTTATAAGTTATATATCACTAATACCATAGCGATGATTTTAATTATTCCTAAAAACCTATCTTACCACCAAACGATAAAATGATACAATTGTGAATAATTGGAGTTGAAAAACACTCTGGGCAACTGTTCTGCTTTGAAGATGAGAAAATGAAGGCCTTGCGATATTTCATAAATTGCTCAAAGTCAAAAGTTAGCTGGTGGAAAAACTCAGGGCTAATAGATAAGCATCTTGTTCTTCCCATTAAAATATTATTCTGGTTATAAATTATTACTTTAAGTAAGGCATCTACTATGGGGTATTATTTAATCTATTAAGAAAGAGCAGAATACAAACAAGGCAAAATCTTATAACATGTCTGAAAATGCGCCTTCCTTTTTTGTGTTTAATATCTTTGCACATGACATTTGGAATACCTGCTCATTCATGTGCATCCGAAGGTCTTTTATTAATCCTGTAAAATCTTGTTCTAATGTAACCATAATAGTGGGAAGTTCCTTGAACAACTATCCTCCATCCAATTAGATACCATTTAGTATGTATTTTGTGTACACTTTCTAATTACTATAATTACAGCAAGTATTACTTACATTTATTACACACAATAGTCTAAACATCTTTAAATATGTTAATTTAAGTAAGTCTGTGAGCTGCTATAGAACAGAAGCAGTATCAGGTACAACAGTACATCTCCAGATCATCAGTGCTTAGCAAAATAGTCACAGAAAAATAAGGGTATGACATGCAGGAGAGAATGGGAAGGGGCTCTATTCATGTCTCTCTCGTCTCTTAAAAATATTCAGTGGACTTTCTTCTTCACCTGTACTTAAATAAAAACTTAGGCAGGTTCCATATGACCATTGGTCAATCTTTTGTAATTAGACATACTAAAACAATTTAACGTCACAGAAGACAGTTTTAGTTTAGCAACTTTAATGGCCAATTATAACAGATATTTTAAAGCCATTTTCAATTTGAGGTGTTAACCATCCTTCAAATTGTACCTACCTCTAAAAATGCTTTGACAAAAATGAGGTGTAGTCAGCACGTTCTCTTCTTCTTTCTCTGGGCCTCTACTTTTCTACCTGTATCTCACTAGCCAAAATTTCCAGGGCTTAGAACAAGTTCAAGGAAGAAGAGAAAGGTCTTCTCTTTACAAGAACTGCCATGAAAAGTTATCATCAATTAACTTAGTGGATATTTAAAGTGGAAGCTTTCTCTTTGGGGCATGTTAATGGGTGGTTTGCAGTTCATTCCGTTGCTGGGAATCTCTCCTCTGTCCTTTCCAAGAGGCAAAGCCAACTCTTTTCTGGTTGGGGTTGGTTGCCGAGACCAGCTCGGTCGGGGAGACCCTAACCCAGCGGCTCTAGAGGAATTAAAGACACACACACAGAAATATAGAGGTGTGAAGAGGGAAATCAGGGGTCTCACAGCCTTCAGAGCTAAGAGCCCCGAACAGAGATTTACCCACGTATTTATTAACAGCAAGCCAGTCATTAGCATTGTTTCTATAGATATTAAATTAACTAAAAGTATCCCTTATGGGAAACCAAGGGATGAGCTGAATTAAAGGGATAGATTGGGTTAGTTAACTGCAGCAGGAGCGTGTCTTTAAGGCACAGATCGTTCATGCTATTGTTTGCGGCTTAAGAATGCCTTTAAGCGGTTTTCCACCCTGGGCGGGCCAGGTGTTCCTTGCCTTCATTCCAGTAAACCCACAACCTTCCAGCATGGGATTTATGGCCATCATGAACACGTCACAGTGCTGCAGAGATTTTGTTTATGGCCAGTTTTGGGGCCAGTTTATGGCCAGATTTTGGGGGGCTTGTACCCAACATTTAGTATAACACATCCCACTAGATTTAGGCAACTTTCGGCCCTCTACCATTATCCATCTCCCTGATAATTACCTCAGCTCTCCGTGCAGTGTTTTTGGACACAGCCTAAGACATACAGACTGGCTTTTCCTTCCACATGGACTGACTTGGCTCTTGTGAAACACAAATGTGTTTCTTATCTCAACAAATTCTGGAAAGAAAGCTATTTTCCAATTTTTTTTTGTTTTTTGTCATAGACCACTTCTCATAGCCTTTTATACCTTGAATACAGGCTAACTAGCAGTGAATTGTACATCAGTAGGTTACTCAAGTGAACCTCTCCACTGATTTTATTACATTTGCTTTATCTTGACCTGAGGTGGTAGCTCCTTCTCTCCCCGCTTCTCCAGTAGATGGAATGGGGATCACCATACTGCTTTCTCCAACAATGTCTCCTCCTTTTGTTATATTAAATTCACCTCCTGGAAGCATTTTTTTGTATATGTGGGAATGAGGAGAGGCACTCTATCTGTCAATCTTGAGGGTCCAAGAGTCTCTAAAATAATCATTTGTGAATTTTCTCAAAATCTCAATTCCAGACCATTTTATGTCATCTATATAATGCAAGTTACAAATCTACGTACCTTTAAGTTATAGTATTGGTTTTCTAACATATTCTGTATTTTTTCCATGAGATTTAATGTCTTTCATATTTTTTCCTTTATTCTTGGGAAATTAACCTAGATTCTATTCAACTGCTTATAACATTAACACATTCCAGACACAAATGTGAAATATAATACTTATTCAATGAATAACTTATCATTTATGAATAAAGTGATATTTAGAAATCTGGTAGTTCTGCTCAGCTAAAGAAAGAAGGTGGATATATGTACTTATTTTGGAGGAAAATAATAAGTAATTTAGAAGAAACCCAAATTTATTAAAAAATTCTGGGGCATGTAATGTTGGAGATACATGCACTAAAATAGTGCAACCTTTTGCAAATTATTCATTTGTACATAAAATATCAGTATTACTTTTTATTTGTGAAATTGAAACTAAATTCTCAAATGATGTATTCCCAAATTGCTTGTCAAATAACAAGCTTATAAAACCGTTTTTGTTGTTGTTGTTGTTGGTTTTTTTTTTTTTCTTTTTTTTTTTGAGATGAAGTCTCACTTTGTTGCCCAGGCTGGAGTGCAGTGGCACGATCTCGGCTCACTGCAACCTCCATGTCCTGGGTTCAAGCGATTCTTCTGCCTCAGCTTCCCAAGTAGCTGGGACTACAGGTGCCTGCCACCATGCCTGGCTAATTTTTGTACTTTTAGTAGAGATGGGGTTTCACCATATTGATGAGGCTGGTCTCAAACTCCTGAACTCGTGATCTGCCTGCCTCGGCCTCCCAAAGTGCTGGGATTAAAGGAAGGAGCCACCATGCCCGGCATAAAACCATTTTAAAGCCCATCATTTAAATGACTATTAGGATATCTCAGAGGTAGTTGATATTGAATATAGCAAGGAAATACTTAATGGAAACGTAACTATCAGGTTATCATTTTTTTGCTGTTATTCAAACTATTTTTTGTGTTTGTTCAAGCTGCCTGTTTTTATAGCATACAAAGAGGTCAAATGTCAATATTGTTCACAGGTTCTGGAACATTGACTTATTTGCCAATGCAATACTCTTTATTATCAAAGAAGAAAAAGGAGAAGGAGAAGGAGGAAAGGACATTTTACTCTTGCAATGCTTTCACATATTATTCTTTTTGTAGTACCAACCTGAGTAAAATAAAAATATATTGGTCATTACTCGTCCTCAAGAAAAACTCTGATAGAAGAGAAATGCATACATGAGGGGATAGAGGTGATGCATCAATTTGGGAGGCAAATCTCCTGTTTTATACCAGAATAAAATCTCTCCAACTTCCTTTCTCATTTGGGCTAATATGAATAAAAGCACTTTTAGACATCCTAGAAAATTTTGAAATGATGCCATGATTATGAAGAGCCAGTGCGTTGAGGAACACATCAGAGCTAAGTCCGACATGAAGGGGTCAACCTAAAAACACACCAAAAACAATAATAATAAAGTGGAGAGTAAGTGATAGAAATGTTTCTTAATTTTATTTAGGATTGGCTAGTGACTTTAATAGTAGAGACAGTCTCAGGGAAAGGCAGTAAAGGTACATTTGGGCGTCCATGGTCTTGAAGTTTGAAAGATGGAGACACTAACAGCATTAAGGAAAGACAAAAAATCACTCTTTTCAAAAGCAACTTGTTCTAAAGATTGTATCATGGAATGGCCCTAAAAATGTACTTACCAAAAATGAAAATGAATCTATGGTCAAATAAGTTTGTGAAACATTATTACATAATGTAAAATGGCTCATATCACATAACTTATCTATCACCAGCCTCATCAGGTGATACAGTAAAGAAACTTAAAAAAAAATCTTTCCCTAACTTTGTACAAACTCTTTAAAACAAAATATTTTTTCTTTTTCCTTCAAAAATATGAATGAATGATTATTAATACTCCATCTTAGTTGAGGTTCCCTAAGAAGACTCTGAAGGATACAAATGCATGCATTCTATTTAAGAGTTGATCCTACATTAGTAGGGGAGGGAAGGAAGTAACACAGGGAAAGAAAGATATTTCAGAAAGCTGCATTGTCAAGCAAATTACCACTGCGGACAACGGTAGCTCAATTTTACTGGTGGACTTGGACAGAGAGTGCTGAACATGTCCAAAGTTATTTCAGTTATTTCATGCAAGGGAAAGAAAACTAGGGGACTTTATTTGCATACTAATATCTCTTCTCTCCTTTCGGGAGGATTAACAGATCAACACGTCTGGAGGAGGATGGAGTATGTTCCTGTGATGAGACAAATGCCATAGCTGTCTCCAATAAGCAGAATTCAGCACATGGAGCATCTGAGTGTAGCATCTACATTATCATTTGCTCCACCCATCCTCTGTTCCATGGAACATACTATAGGAAAGATCCTCTGAGTTCATTTGATATGATCAACCAATGTCTTTGATAGTAGGGAAAACTAATATAGGATTTTTATTTTATCTTGGAAACAAAGTGTGTCCTTTTACATGTTTCTTGTACATTTTTCTCAAAACATCATTTTTCTATTACGATAAGAAGATTATTTGAACAATGTCAATCTAAAACTTAGACATGTGATCATTGTGTTTTCTAGTCATCATTTCATTCATGTATTCATTTCTCAAATATGTATAGCTTAACAATTTCTTGATTTTGTCGACGACACAGGGAAAATGGAAGAACTTAAAGACAGCTTAATAGGAGGGCTTATGACATTTGCAAGTGTCAAATCATGAACTAGAATCTTGAAAATGAACAACTAGATTATTTTTGATCATCAAATTTTTGTTTACCATTTGTAAAAATAATCACTATATTAATTCTGAAATTTGGGCAGATGTCATGTTAAGCCCATTTTAAATATTACCTACTTGAGAAAGTTCTCCTTATCTATGGACTCAGATAGGCTTAATATCTCACCCATTTGCACGAATACATTGCCTTCTCCATACTTCAAGCACATTATTATAGGTTTTAGTAATTTATCTATTTAAATTCTATCTCCCCTGTATAACTCTGAGCTCTTAGAGAGCTGCCATTTTATCTTATTTGGCTGTATATTTCCAATATCTATCACAGAGTATCGTATATATTTTTCTTTAAGAATCCCACAATTTAATGACAACTAGAAATAATAGGTATACAAGGGTATATAAGTAGACAATATAGTGCCTCAAGATCAAGGAAAGGTAAACAGTATCCACAGAAATTAAAATAACTATAATGGCCAGTTGCCTGTTTTATTTCAGTGCCCAATCATGTGAGCAGTTATTAGAAATACGATTGTGTAATTTTAGAACAGTGGTAGTATCAATCCTTTAGCTTTTAAAAACCAAATGATAAAAAAGCAGTTCCAAAAATGGAAATCATCTTTCAAAAATGTTATAAGCCACAGTTTTACAATAAGGAGCTGTTTGTTTCCTTAGGTAAACATAACACAAAAAAAAATAGACTTGCATTCTTACAGTTGGATCTAGTTAATAGAACATATCACTAGATAAAATGCTTTTGACAGTCACTGCAATGTTCTGTTTATAAATCATACTTTTCCTTAATTTTGTAATTTCCTATTTTATTCTCCATAAGCAAATAAATATGTGACTTTGCAGCATCAAATATTTTCTCTTTTGAATGTTCTTTGCTATCAAATTTCATTATGTAGCTGACCAAAAATATTTTGTCACCTGAGCGTTCTCTTCCCACTTGAATAATTTCAAGTGGGAAAATATTGCCATGATTTCAGCAGTTAGTCTGTATAGAAACTGAAAATCTTAATATAATGCATCTGGCCAGAAAAATTATCTAAGAAAAATGAGGAAAAATAATAATAGGTTAAAAATAAACCTCAGGCCTTGACTAGATGTCATTTGAAAGGCTGAAGAGGTCCACATAATTGGTCAAATAATAGATAAACTTTGAAACTTTTAAAATATTATATATATTTTGAATATAATTTACTTGAATAAAGCTAATATGTTTGTATGGAAACAGTAGGAATCCATATTAAAAATATTTTGAGAGCTTTTAAGTTTATTCTAAAATTGAGGACTGTTGCATGTAATTGAGGAATACAATTATTTAAAAGTCTTCCACTTGGCTATTTTTTAATGTATTTGAAGTAAATGAACATTTATCCAAGCATTCCACCATAAAGCTTCCTCTGAATGTCACAGACACAGATGGATCCCCATTTTTGTCGTCATTTTTTGGAGCTTTTGGACTGACTTTTTAAAGACCCCCTAGTTAGATTGTATTATAATTGTTTTTGCCTATATATTTTATACATTTATTAAGACCAGCTAGTGAAAAGCAATGGTACATTTTAATCTTTTTTAACCCCCAAATCTTTCATTAGTTATCTAACTAATTAATCTATCTTCTGGTAGCATTCCTAATGCCAGTTCCATCAACGAGCATTATAGAGAAAACATATATATCCTTTTTAAATAACTTTCCTTCCAAATTTTGAAAGCCCCTGTCATATTTGCCCTAAAACTTTTGTTTTATAGAAAAAAAGTCTATTTTTAATCTAAATAAGTTTGTAATTCCCCAGTATTACATTTATTCTTTACTTACACAGTGAAACAGTGAAGTAATAGGGCTAATATCACTTGTGAAATATCAAGAAATACATGCATATCCTAAGCATGGTCTAGCTAACAAAAAAAGAGTAATATTTTCTCTTCTTATTGTTGTAGACATTCTAATTGTAATTACAGCCTAAGTTTATATAAAGTCTTTGATGGCCATTTCAAATTTAACTCATAATAATGTTACTTTCATTTTAGGCAAGTTTTGGACAAACATTTTCTCACACGTGCTCAGTTGACAGTATGTCTTCATGTACCCTTAAACCTCACACATTTCTCCTACCCAAAATGCATTTCTTTCTTGTTTTATAGTTAGATATTAAAACCTAATATTATGAACTAACATTAATCACCATTTAATTCATATTGTGTTTTGAATCAATGTTCCAGCACATACACATAAATAATGCGGTATGATTACACACATTCTATACATACATATTAATCTTGTCACATAAAATACTTGCTGTTAGTATCAAATAATAATAGTCACAAAAATTACATGCATCTTTTCTATTTTTCATTCCAATCATTCATTTAGTTGGTAAATCAATTTATTAACATACATTGGGGCAAATATTATTAAAATATAGAAACATTTCTAAAAATGACATAGAAATGCATTTGCCACATATTTCTAAAAAAGACAATTCCTAGTTCACATAAATTTATTAGTTTGCTTCAAATATTTTTAAGAGCATTAAGAAATATACTGAATCACTAATCCACTTACTTATTACAATTTGTGCTTGATGTTTTTTGTGTTGCCTAAATCTACATTATTAGGAATGGTAACAAATACTTTGCCTAAGCTTGAACATTCCATATATGGTAATATGATTATCTGCTGATCATAAGGTCTGCTAATAACTCCACTTGAACTTGTAGTGAACATGAATTTCTTTTCTAAGTCATTCAGAAGCCATCTAGCTGTTAACATTATTCTAGAATCTACTCTCTTGCAGGTGTCATGTTTATTGCTAGTGTGGTGAAATGACTTCTTTGCCCTTTTTTAACTTCTATATCCTGTAAGTTTGTGTTTGTTACCTATACACTCCCTAGATGCTCTGAAAAGAAAGGCACATTTTGGTGGCCACAGAGTTCTTAAATTTTTGGAATATATAATAGTCATATGTATGTACGTAGACTGGCCTTGATCCCTTTGGTGTTTCAAAAGAGCCTAACTAGGCTCTTTGGTGTCTCAAGTAAAGCATCTAGATATCATGTATTACTTACATTTTATTTACTATATAGAGAAAACATATTGTTTTCACCTTCCCAGCATTTACTCATATTCACTGGCTGTTCTGTCACTTGAAAGTGTGGAACCCAGTTTCTTCTACAGAGGTTATTCGAATGGAATGATCTAGAAAATTCGTTAAGCACATGTATAGCTATCAGAGGACATATGCCTGAGACTGCTTATTTCCACCTTGCTTATACACTGCAATTTGGTTAATTTATACCAGTAGGCCAACAGTGCTCAGTTTGATTGTTTATAGTTATAATTAACTGGTAATATAGATAAGCATATTTTATTTCTCATTTTGTTTTCCAAATATCAAATGACTTTAATATCACCATTCTAAATGTTTTAATTAGTAGAAATGATAGTCTTATCTTCCATGTTATATAAGTTTTCAGAAAAAAATAAACAGATTAAATGTCAGATCTAAAAAGAATCTGAATGATCACATAGTCCAGTCATTTCTGAGAGAAAATTTTGAGTGAAGAAGGCACTGTCTAACGTCAAACATCTAGGACTCAGCAACTGTCAAGTCAATGTTTTGATATAACTAACAACTCCTAAAGTTGGGCACAGATTGCATCCTATGGTCTCAGGTTGGAATGAAAATTGAAAGTTACTGAACACTCAGCTCTTTTACAGTAGATAAACAGTAAACAGTGAGAATTTGACAAGTGTGCTCCTCTTTTAGATATGCAAATTCCTTTACTTAAATCCAAAATTCTATAGCTATCCCATGGCTAAAAATTGCTTTACTTAAAATACTACCATGTGTTCTATTATATTATTTGTTTTCTAATATATTTCGCTAGGTCATATTTTCTAACATAGTTAGAAAAAGCTAGAATAAATGAAGATATCGGCTACAAGCTAGTATTTACATTTCTCTAACACTTCCCTAAACACTAAGTCTTCCCTAAACTCTAAGCTTTATATTTAATGTACCCATGGTCACTTCCATCTCTATGTCCTACAATCGCATCAAATTCAACATTTCCAAAATTAGAGTGACTACCTCCCCAGCAAATTGGTTGCTTTCCCAGAATGTTGGGGTGATCAGACCCAACACCTTTATTAACAGGCAAGGGTGTACTACCATCAATCCTGTTACTGCTTAAGGCAGAAAGGTTTTCATTATCATTATACACTTTACAAAATGTCACTTAATCTTGATTTTACTTCATTTTATCTCTGTTCCTTACATATTCTCCCTGCTACTTCCTTTGTTCTGATTCTCAAATTTTTCACTGAGACTATTGGAAAAATTCCTAATTGTCACCTTGTCTCTGTCCTGGAATGCTTCAATTCATTCTTCACAACTTAATACAAATGTTTTGTCTAAAACACAAGTCATATTACGGAGTTCTACTCCCTGAAAATTTTATGAATTTTCAGAGATTTTATTCAAAAGGCAACATCTTCATAAGTGAATAAGCCTTTGATCTTAGCTACCTGTATAGTTGCTTCAACTTCCCTCCACATCCTAAATCTCCATCACATATTCTAGGCAAAAGCAAACAAAGAAACAAACAACACTGTAATATATGAGATCCCCAAAAAGTTTCCTCTCAAAAGCCTATTTCACCCTGAGTATTTTTTCTTTCTGTTGTAAACTTAAACCCTTCACTCAAAGTTAACCAATAGTTTTTCGCCATTTCCTTTTTTTGGCCCTCATGCAATTTATTTCCTGTATCTTTTTTTATGAAGGTAGGGAAGGATTAACATTTTGCTGTAATGTTTTCTCTTTTTTCCCTCTTGGTGGATAATTAAAAGTTGCCTGTAGCCATGGCAGCTTGTAGTCAAAATCACTTTCACTGAAAAAAAAAATTGCCATACAGGACCTGTTACTAATTTAGAGACCTCCAAGCAATACTTCCACATGACCATAACTTGATTTCTAGGGTTAGTATATGACATTATCCACTAAGGATTAGTGCTGGAATAAGATCTGAGCACGGTATTAGAAAAAAGAATACAATACTTCTCTCTACATCTGACATCAATCTCAAGTTTTTAGTCATTTGTGATTTTCAGATGCTCTAGGGCACGTTTTTAAGAGAGGAACCCTTATAATAAATGATAATCACCAATTCTTAATGGTTATTGCACTTGACTTGCTATTTATCTTCCCAGTTATTTCCACTGTTTGCATTATTTCTCTGCTATACATAAAACAAAACAGAACAAAACAAGCCCATGCATGATCCTAGCTGAAAAGAAAAACATTACATACACAGACATCCAGACCTAGCCCCTGTTGACTTTTTTTTTTTTAATGTGATGAAGACTATATTCTAAAGCAAACATCACTAGGTACATCCAAACATGGACAAAGTAGGCTGAGCCTACGGGAATTGGCACTGAACAAAAATTTCACATTTCCAAATACAAATGCATTCCTGTGACTGCATGTATTTTTAAACGAAAAATAAATTTTGGATTTTTTATTCCTTTATTCTTATAAACAATGATGAGTTAGCAGCCTATAAAAAATAAACTAAGACATAAAACATATGTACATACAAACATGAATATATAGACATAAACAAACATAAATATGTATAAATATATTATAAAATAATACTAGCCTAATGAAGATAACATGGAAATGTAGAAATATATGTAGAGTAAAATTACATAAACCTATCATTCCAAAATTGCTGCAAATCTTTGTGTCAAAGGTTTTTTTTTAACTCTTCTTTTTGCTATTGTTTATGTTGATCTTTTTCTTTGACTTATAGGCACAATAAATCAATGATACAAAATATATACATATTTTCATATTATATTCATGTTCATTTTCATATATTATTAAAGATTATTTAAAATATCATTTAAAGTTTTATTATTCTACATGATAAAGTATAATTTATTGAGTACAGACTGAATGTTTTTATTTTACATATAATATTTATGATCATTTTATGTGTAAATTCATTTAGGTAAGTTTCTCCAGATGAGAATTTATATGAAAATGATTATACAGTATTTTATCTAAAATAGGTCTTAGCCATAGAATTACTGGTTGAAGGCATCTTACAATTTTCATTATTCTTCAGACACATTAAAATGGTATATCTCCAAACAGTATGCCTATATCACACTTGTTTCCTTTTATTTTAGAGTGTCTTTAGGATGATACTCTCAGGTGCTTTAAGAAAAATCCTTATTTTGCTTAGTTTCTTTTTTCATCCTTGCCTATTTAAGTGTAGAACATTGATTGTTTATTATGATGGAATGAGCTTTTTTTCTTTTTTTGCTTATAGAGGAGAGCATTTTTGAAATGTTGGCAAACTATTTGCATTGCTCATTTTGAAAGTGTCTTTACTCATATGCTTTTAACCTATTGCATTTTTAATGTTTTCTGAGTTCTAAACTCTATTCAGAAATAAGGAAGATTTAATTCATATTTTTTTCCAGTCCAAAGTAGATCTATAGCTGTGTTTAAGTACCTTTCTTTTTGCAAAATGGAGTTGAATGTATTTTTAGCAAATGTTAACATTGTTGCAGTAAGTAATGAAATGACATTTGTGAAACTGAATTTGTGGAAAAGTTGAAATGGTGAAGTGAATGACAGATGTTACCAAGTGATGAAAATTGAAACATCTACTATTTTATTTTCATTATGGTAAACGTTTGTGCTAGTCTTGGTCCATGCAGTTTCAGTGAAGTGAACCCTCAACATTACATTCCCAGAAGGAAATATAATCTGAGTATGAATAATCTATTTCCTGTATATACTTGGTGAGATTTCACATGCCTGAGTCAGCATAGAGGTAAGCAGGCACAAGATGAAGTTCTAGAAAATTAGTCTTAAAGACATTGGTGGAACTCTTCTACCTAATGATGCCTGCCTGATATGGTTTGACTGTGTCCCCACACAAATCTCATCTTGAATTTTTGTTTCCATAATCCCCAAGTGTCATAGGAGGCACCCAGTGGGAAGTGATTGGATCATGCTTTTCTTGCAATAGTGAATTATCATGAGATCTGATGGTTTTATAAACATTTGACATTTTCCCTGCTGGCATTCATTTTCCTGCTCCTCTGTGAAGAGGTGCAT
Organism: Homo sapiens; assembly: GCF_000001405.40. NCBI lineage: Eukaryota > Metazoa > Chordata > Mammalia > Primates > Hominidae > Homo > Homo sapiens. The sequence goes on from NC_000018.10 coordinate 65,121,502, forward strand.
TCCATCATGATTGTGAGTTTCCTAAGGCCGTCCCAGCCATGCAGAACTGTTAATCAATTAAACCTATTTTCTTTATGAATTACCCAGTCTTGGTTGTTTCTTCATAGCAGCATGAGAACAGACTAATACAGTACATTGATATCGGGATTGGGGCACTGCTGTAAGGATATCTAAAAATGTGAAAGCGACTTTGGAACTGGGTAACAGGCAGACATTGAAAAATTTGGAGAGCTCAGAAGAAGACAGAAAAATGTCAGAAAGTTTGAAACTTCCTAGAGACTAGTTGAATGGCATTGAGCAAAATGCTGAAAGCGATATGGACAATAAAGTCCAGGCTGAGATGGTCTCAGATGGAGATGAGGAACTTGTTGGGAACTGGACCAAAGGTCACTCTTGCTATGCTTTAGTAAAGAGACTGGTGGCATTTTACCCCGGCCCTAGAGATCTGTAGAACTTTGAACTTGAGAGAAATGATTTACAGTAACTGGCAGAAGAAATTTCTAAGTGGCAAAGGGTTCAGGAGGAAGTAGAGCATAATAGTTTGGAAAATGTCTGATGATGTGGCAGAAATGCCTGATGATGTGACAGAAAAAAAATTCTGGGAGAAAATCAAGCTTGCTGCAGAAATTTGCATAAGTAATGGGGAGAAGATTGTTAATCACCAAGACAATGGGGAAAATGTCTCAAAGGCATGTCAGAAACCTTCATGGCAGCGCCTTCCATTACAGGCCTGGAGGCTTAGGAGGAAGAAATGGTTTTGTGGTCTGGGTCCAGGGGGACCCTGCTTCTCTGCGCAGCCTCAGGACATGGTGTCCTGTGTTCCAACTTCTTCAATTCCAGCCATGGTTAAACAGCCAAGGCATGGCTCAGGCCATTGTTTCAGAGGGTGGAAGCCCCAATCCTTGGTGACTTCCATGTCATGTTGAGCATGTGGGTTCACAAAAGTCAAGAATCGAGGTTTGGGAACCTCTGCCTAGATTTTCAGAAGATGTATGGAAACACCTTGATGTCCAGGCAGAAGTTCGCTGCAGGGGTGGAGCCCTCATGGAGAACTTCTGCTAGGGCAGTGCAGAAGGGAAGTTTGGGGTGGGAGCCCCCACACAGAGTCCCCACTGGGGCACACGGTGCTGTGAGAAGAGGGCCACTGTCCTCCAGACCACATAATTTTAAATCCACAGACAGCTTGCACTGTCTGCCTGGAAAAGCCATAGACACTCAACACCAACCCAGGAAAGCAGCCAGGAGAGGGGCTGTACCCTGCAAAGCCACAGGGGTGGAGATGCCCAAGGCCCACTTCTTGTATCAGCTTAACCTGAATGAGAGTCATGGAGTCAAAGGAGATTATTTTGGAGCTTTATGATTTGACTGCCTCACTGGATTTCAGACTTGCATGGGGACTGTAGCCCCTTCATTTTGGCCAATTTGTCCCATTTGGGATGGGTGTATTTACCCAATGCCTGTATCCCCATTGTATCTAGGAAGTAACTAACTTGCTTTTGATTTTACAGGCTCATAGGCAGAAGGGACATTCCACATCTCAAATGAGACTTTGGACTTGGACTTCTGTGTTAGTGCTGGAATAAGCTAAGACTTTGAGGGACTGTTGGAAAGGCATGAATGTGTTTCAAAAAGTGAGTACATGAGATTTAGGAGTGGCCAGGGGCAGAATGATAGGGTTGACTGTGTCCCCACCAAGTATAATCCTGAATTGTAGTTCCAATAATCCCCAGGTCCCAGGAGGGACTTGGTGGGAAATGACTGGACTGAAAGAGTGGTTTACCCCATGCTGTTCTCAGGATAGTGAGTGATATCTCATGAGATCTGATTGTTTTATAGGCTTCTGGCATTTCCACTGCTGGCACTCATTGTCTCTCCTGCTGCCCTGTGAAGGGGTGCCTTCTGCTATGATTGTAAGTTTCCTGAGGCCTTCCCAGCCATGTGGAACTATGAGTCAATTAAACCTCTTTTCTTTATAAATTACTCATTCTTAAATATATCTTCATAGCAGTGTGAGAATGGAGTAATACAATGCATCAAGCTAAACTATATTCGCTTGCAAGAAGTTCATCTAGTTTAATATTTATGTTATATTTTTAGATTTAATGATCAATTTAAATATTTTCCACATTTTATAAACTGATTTTAAAATATTTATTCATAATTTTATTTATCCTAATTTTGTTATATTTCGTTTTTCATCCTTTTTCTTATTTCTCAAATTGAATGCTGAAGGCTTTATGTTTTGTTTTAAAATAATTCATTCAATTAACACTAAAAATTTACATTTCATTTTGAGACATCACATAAGCTTAACTTATAAACCATTTATTATCAACTACTTGTTATTCAGCAGGTGAAAATTTTCATAAATTCCAAAGAGTCCAGTGAGAAAAGAAAATTGCAAGCAGTCATGGCTATAAATAGTGAAGGAGGGGGACTAACAAAGCCCAGTCTTATTTTCTTCCACAAATTTACATATATAAATTACTCATTGTTGTGATTTTATAAATATTATATGTTCCATATTGCATATCCTTTTTAATTATGAAAAGAATTTTAATTGCTAAATTGTTTGTTTTATTGTGTAAAGTTTTCTTATTTTATACGTGTTGCATTGAATGTTTTTGTATTCTAATTTTGCATTATTGTTTAATTTTTTTAAATTTGGAATTTATTGAAGTTTCTCTTTTGGTGTTTAATATTTATGTCTCAAAGGCAGTGAAAGATTGGCTATGTTTTCTGTTAATTCATCACTAAACCCACTTAATGTGAACTCATGTTGTGGGGAAACCAGTCTGCTATCTAATGCCTGGTAACAACATTGACTCTTTCACGTGGGTTGGTGCTCAAGATAGGTAGCAGTGGGTATCAAGCTGGATATTAAACTAGTCAGCTTTAGTGAAGTCATATCTAAATTGCTAAACTCATATATACAATCCATCACTGCCTTCATGGCTGTTTTTATATAAGCCCACTGAAAAAGCGCTAAGCTGACTGGGAAAGAACATTGAATGGAAAGGTCACCTTTTCCAATTAATCCTTAAAATGAGTCTCTTCCAATAGAAAAAAAAAAATTCTGACACTCTGAACACACCCCAAGGGGTCCATCTATAGATAACTTCTCCAAACCTTTTTTTCCCTCATCAAGTTTAAAAATATTTGCACTTGATTTTGTAGGCAGACAGATCAAACCATATTTAGTTTATGATGAGCAGTTCAGGTCACATGGTAAACAAATAAGTGGTCAACATGCATTTAGTCCCTACCATGGCCCCATAGCATGAAAAGAGCTATTAGTTAAAAGGACAATTTTACTTTTACTTTTACTTTCACTTTCCCTTAAAATCCCAAGGGCTGTGACTGAGATTCTCCTCTGGATGTCTGCCGCTGGTTCTGTACGTCTTGGTCTGCCACGGTTGATATGAATGAACTTTATTTGTTGGCTCACAGAAGCCAAGCATCAAAGTTGCTTGTACAACAGTCAGACTAAGATGAAGAGCCTCTTCTTTCTCTGTCAAGATTGGTTTCTCTCAAACCAAGCCTCTGAGATGAGAGAATGTTAATGAGAATTCTCACAGGATGATCACCTGGCACTAAAGGAAGCAGCATTGAGTAAAAAGAGAAATTGCCAAAGGACCTCAGCAAACATTGTGAAGAGCTCTGGAATTGAAATAATTCTTCATATTGTCATAAATCAAAGCAAAGGAACTGGGCCAGCATTACTCTGCATCACCGGTCATTGGCTGTGGGTTGTATAAGGAAAGAGGTGTGATATTCAGAATGACAGCACTTTTCAGAGGAACAAATTCTTAAAGAGAAATTTAGCCAAAAGCTCTCAGCCAACATCATTAACAGAAAATAGAGGAATGAATGTGTCAGTCCTGAAGGTGGAAAAGGTTCTGACTGGCACAACATAGCATCCACCATAGTCTAAACTATTCTTCTCAATTCAGGAACAGTCTCCTCTGTGATTCTGGTGAGCATTTTTCCTGGTGAATCTTTAAAGGGAAAGGTTAATGGGATGGTGTATCTTTCTCTCCAGATGAAACTAATATTCATTATCACCATCTTCTGATGCTCATTCTAGATTCTACTTACCCTTGGCTAGTGTTCCTGGGAATAAAGTTTACTTAAACTTAGACCCTCATCTTTAAGGCATCTGATACACCAGTCAAGTCACCATGCCCTTATCAAGCTGGAGCTAGTGGTCTTGTCCATTTAAAATAAAGCAAATGAGATATTACAAAGAAATATTAAATTATATCACCAACGTACAAAATATTCTTCCCTGTTCATTGCATAACAACAGACCTTCCCCCTTCTAATTATCAAGATCAAGTAGCATTGCGATATGTTGTCTTATTTGTCCAATCATCTCTTAGCACAAGGATATTGAAGTGAGTAGGTGGTAGGTGTAGTTATTGAGAATTGTTCTATGTCCCCTAGTGAAAGTATTTTCCCTCTGCAGCCAGAATCTTTAAATCTGCCCAAAGTTGTAACAATAAAAAGCAAAATTTCTTAATTGTGTCCCAAGACACATGTATTTATTACTTACTATGGGCACAAAATTCTATAATGGTCATTGGTTTAGAATGAACGTTTTAACAACTATTGCAGACTGAACTCCAAGTGAGGACTTCAATTTTGTATTAGAACATGTTTCATTACTAGGCTAGCAGCTACTGGATGGTGAGCATGTGACAACCCCAGTGGATCTCCTTGTCACCTGCCTAATGTTACATCTCTTTGGCTATAAAAACAAAACAAAACAAAAAAACCTTAATCAGGTGCAATATTATGTAAGGTAATGTGTTGCTTGATCAAATATGTTTACCAATCCTCAGATAATAATGCTTCCTGAGGCATATTTTGCAACTAACAAAAGCATATTTGTACTCCAAAATGAGTCAATTTCGGTAAAATTATACAATAAAGATGAAATTACTACTACTTCTGCGTCACAAAATATGGAAACAGCCCAGGTTTTAGGACTCCTAAGGGAGGATGCTGTAGGCATAATCCAAAAAGACCTACCAGACATTATACTTCCATCTTACTGGGGGAAGGTGTAAGTGATTGCCATTGTATTTGCAATTTGCAAAAGTCTTGCAATTGAAGTATCTCAGTATTTTTCTGAAAATGTATTTTGTGACAATGTCCTGAATTTTCACAGGGTTTATCTTTCATTGTGTGGAGACGCTTTGTCTCACAAAATTTCCTCATACACCTGCCAACTTGCTCAACAAATCTGATTAACGTGGTGTCATCAATATGGTGGATCAAAGTGATATTCCACAAAGTACATTGTCTAGGTCCCTGTGACTATAACAAGGGGCAGAAGAATGAAAAAACTTTTGAAAAGATACCAAAAATGTGTTCTATGTCTATTTCTATTGAAGGTAAAGTTTTTGGATTCTCCATTCCGACAGAGATGGGAAAGAATGCATTTGCCGTATCAGTCACTTCATATAATGAACCAAGGCTGTGTTCATGATTCTAGCTATAGTGTCTTTAAAACAGGTATGCTCACCCTCTTATCAGCAGAAAAACAAATAAAATATATTGCAGATTAGTGCTAGTCCTACAACAAAAAGATAAAGGGCCAGTGGTTCTCATTATGTATCATTTTAATTTACCACTGTGACCTTACAAAAGCCAAATGGATCCTGAAAGATGACTGTGTATTACTTCAAACTCATCTAAGTATTAGATCCTAATTTATGGACTTCCACTTACCTTTCTCTATTACAATAGCTTTTACCCCACAGGTAAAGAAACTAATTAATTTGGGGATTCTATCAATGACCAAGTATCCCATTTCAACTATAATTTCAGGAACTGGAAGAATAAATAGCAGTGGTTCCATGGGTCCAGTGGACTCACTGTGAGCTACATTGCAGCCAGGATTTCATTTGTTTCCTATATTTCTATATATGTCCCCACTCAAATATGGAGTCACGATGAAGTTTGGAACACTGGAGATTAATGTAAACTTGAACAATACGTCCAACAATTCTCAAAATAATTGGGCCTTACACTTTCTTGACTGTGTAGTTCTCAAATAAATAGCAATTATTCCTTTGGAAGAAATGAGAACTATTTTTTTATAAACACTTGGCAAAATATTGTAAGAGTGTTTCTTCCTGAAGATCTGACCTCTCCATCTATATAGAGATTCCAACATAAAGCTGATTCAGATATGGAAACTTGGCAAGAGATTGTGACACTATTTTTATAGTCATTTAAAAACAGCTTTATTGATATATAAATTACATACCATAAAATACACTCTTTTAAAATGTGCAATTCAGTGATTTTTTGGTACTTTTACAGCATTGTGCAACTACTGTTTAATTTTAGAGCATTTTTATAACCCCCATAATAAAACCTGTGCCCATTAGCAGCCATTCCCTGTTTCTCCTCTCCCCAGACCCTGGCAGCTACTACTTTGCTTTCTGTCTCTATCAATGTGCCTATCCTGGAGATGAAACATACATAGAATCATGAAACATGTGGCCTTTTCTTTCTAGCTTCTTCCATTTACTATAGTTTCTTCAAAGTTCACCCATACTTTAGTGCATGTTATTTTTATGGTTACATAATATTCCACTCTATGGATATAGCATATTTTGCTCATTCATTAATTAGTTGATAGGCATTTGAGCTGTCTACTTTGTTACTAGCAATAAATAACGTGTCTCTAAATATATATAGTATATAGCAAGTTTTTGTGTAAACATATTTTCAATTTTTTCAAGTGTATACATGAGTGGAATTGCTGGATTGCTTGATAACTCTATATTTAACATATTTAGGAATAGCCTGTTTTTCAAAATGACTATGCCATTTTAGCACTTTACCAGCAGTGTATGAATGTTCCAATTTCTCCACATCCTCACCAACATGTACTATTGTCCCTGTCTTTATTTTAGCCATTCTTGTTTGTGTGAAGTTGGCTCTCATTGGGGTTGGATTTTAATTTCATTAATGATGAATCACGCAGAGCATTTTTTCACGTTCTTGTCTCTCTGTATATCGTTTTAAAAATGTGTCTTCATATATTTTGTCCATTTTAAAATTAGATTATTTGTCTTTTTATTATTAAATTGTAAGAATAAATTATATATGCTGGATATAAGTCCCTTATAAGTAATATAAATTGAATTTTTTTTCCATCTGTGGATTGTCTGTTCATACTTTTGTTGGTAAATTTTAAAGCACAAAACTGGTTAAAATTTTCATGAAGTCCAATTAATCAGTTTTCTCTTTTGTCACTTGTGTTATGGTGTGATATCTAGGAAACAATTGCCTAAACCAACGTCACAAAGAGTTATTTCTATATTTTCCTCTAAGAGCTTTATTCCTTTTTTCCTTATATTTAAATTTTTGATCCATTTCTGGTTAACTGTTGCATATAGCATGGGTTGCAGGTTCAACATCATTCTTTTGCATGTAGGTATTCAGTTGATTTGACAATGTTTATTAAAAATATCAATTTTTCCAATTGAATTTATTTAGCCTGTTTATCAAAAACAAATTAACCAAAAACACAACTGTTAAAATTTGTGGACTCTAAAATGTATTCTATTGATGTGTATGTATAAACATGCTGTCTTGATTACCTGGTACTTTTCAGTAAGTCTTAATTTGGAAAGTGTGAGTCCTCCAACTTTGATCTACACTTTCAAAATTGTTTTTAGCAATTCTAGGTCCCTTGCATTTTAATGTGAGCTCTAGATAAACCTCAAAAATTTATGTAGAAGTGATATTTTGGGATTTTTATGGGGATTTTGTTGACTCTATAGATCTTTTGGGGGAGTACTGTTATCTTAATAATGTTAAGCCTTTTAATCCATGAACTATTATATCTTTTGATTTACTTAGCTCTTTAATTTCTTTTGACAATATTTTGTGGCTTTCAGTGGACAAGTCTTGAACTTCTCTTATTAAATTTATGACTAAATATTTTATTCTTTTGGATGTTGTTGTAAATGGCATTGCTTGATGAATTTCATTTTGAGATTATTGATTATGAGTGTATAAAAATACAGTTTTTAATCTTGAAGATCTGTCTATATTGATCTTGTTGAATATATTTATTAGTTTTAATAGCATTCTTATATATGTGAATTTCTCAGAATTATCTATATACCTGCATACAAAAGCATGTCATCTTCAAATAGAGAAGATTTTAATTATTTCTTTCCATTTGTGATGCCTTTTATTTATTTTTATCCCTTAGTGCTGTGGCTAGAATGTCTAATACAATGTTGAACAGAAATGTTGATCTTAGACATCCTTGACTTGTTCTTAATCTTAAGGAGAAAGTACCCATTCTTCCACCAATAAGCATGCTCTTAGCTGTCAAGTTTTAGTAGATGCTCTTTATCAGATTGAGGAAGTTCTCTTCTATTCCTACTTGATTGAGTACTTTCTTTGATGATGAAAAGGTAGTAGATTTGTTAAATGCTTTCTTCATTTGTATTTAGATGATTGTGGTTTTTCTCTTTTATTTTGTTAATATGGTATATTAAGTTTATTTTTATATGTTAAACTAAACTTGCATTCTAAGGATAAAACTTACTTTATCTAGGTACAGACATTTTTTATGTTACTGGATTTTATTTGGTAGTATTTTGTTGATTTTCCGTATCTATATTCATATAGAATATTAGTCTTCAGTTTGATTTTCTTGTCATATCATTGTCTAGTTTAAGTAACAAGGTAACACTGGCTGCATTAAATGAGTTGGAAAGGGTTTCCTTCTCTTCTAATTTTGAAAGAATTTGTGAGAGTTTGTGTTAATTCTTCTTTCAATGTTTAGTAAAATCACCAATGAAACCTCCTTAGACCTGACCTTTTTTTTTTTTTGCTTTCATTATGAATTAAATCAATCTACTTGTTATAGTTATATGCAAATTTTCTATTTCTTCTTGAGTCAGTTCTGGCAATTTATGTCTTTCTAGGGATTTGTACCTTTCATTCGGGTTAGTTTGTTTATATATACTTGTTCATGGTATTTTTATCTAATATTCTTATCACTGTAAGTTTAGTAGTGATAGAACTTTCCTAACTTCTTTTAGTTATCTCAATCTTTTTACGTTTTATTTCTTAGTCTAGTTAAAGCTCTGTCAATTTTGTAGATCTTTGAAAAAAAACACAAGATTTTGTTTATTTTCTGTACTGTTTTTCCACACATTTTATTAAATTTCACTCTAATTTTTATCATTTGCTTCCTTCCACTTGTTTTCAGTTTTGTTTGTTCTTTTTCACCGTCATAAATTGAAACATTAGGTAATTGGTTTGATGTCTTTGTTATTTTTATTTTAAAATATTTAATTGACAAAGTGAAAATATTCAAGACATACAATGTAATAGCGTGATATACATATATACTGTGTAATTATTACTACAATCAAATAAATTAACATATCCATCTTCCCTTGTTTTTAATTATGTGACTTAAGTTAGTTATTTGTATGGACACTAGAGGAAGGTAGGGGATTTTACAAAGGCAATCATGTCTTAGAAGTCAGATGTGGGCTGGGGGATAGCACTAACATTTAACAAGAAGCAGAGGTCTACTTCTTTAGCCCAAGGGTTCCAGAAGAATATTTAGATTCAAATTATTTTACTATAGCCAACAGTAACGTCTTGAATCAGTGTTATAGTTGTATAAAATTGTAGTGATTTTGCCCACTGCCTATGTACTTCACTTCTAGTCTCCTCATGGTCAACCAACAATGTTAGCATCTTTGTGGGACAATCTATTTTGATTAACTCTTAATCCTTCTTGTCCCCAATGTCACTATTACTTGCCTCTGCAAACTAAGGGTCTCTACTATTCTCTGTCACTCTAGAATCACATTATCTTCAATAAAATCATAAATACATTACTAAATTTTTCTTCTGCTATGTTAGTTATCTATTTCCGTATAACAACTTAGTATTTTGTTGATTAAACTTAGCTTAAAATATAGTGGCTTAAAACAAGAAACATGTATTATCTCTTACAGTTTTTGTGAGTTAGGAATTCAGAAGCAGCTTGGCTGAGTATTTCTAGCTTCAAGACTCTCATGATATTATGCTCAGATTCTCAGCTGAGGCTGTAGTCATCTAAAGACTTGACTGGGACTGGAGGATGGACTTCCAAGGTGTCTCACTCACATCCTTGTCAGGTTAATGCTTGTTAATGGTAGGAAGCCATAGCTCAACATCAGGTCAGTATCTCCATCAGCTGCCTGAATGTCTTTATGGCATGGCAGCTGGCCTCTACCAGAACTAATGTTCCAGAATCACAATGGAAAAGTCACAATGTCTTTTATAACTCATCATCAGAAGTCACACATCATCATTTCTGAAATATCTGATTGGTTAGAAAGATCAGCTTTATTTAGTTTGTGAGAAGCTTGTAGCGTGTAGTGAATTGCAGGAGTTAAGAATTATTTTTGAGGCTGGCTACCATACCTCCTACAGAGACTACAGGGACTTAAAAATTTTAAGGATGCTCATGATCACTAGCTAACATTTTTAATCAATGCATTGATGAATTAATTATCTTCTGTTCTTGCTCAAGAGACATACTCTTTTGGTGAGTAAGTAAACTCATATGATTAATAAAACACTTCAGCATTCTCATTCCACTGTTTTACTATTTGTTGTATATAAGAGGTTAGAAAACTATGACAGAGCCTGCAGCCTATTTTTGTTTGAACTCCAAGTAAAAATGGATTTTATATTTTAAAAGTTGTTTTTTTAAAAGGAAAAATATGAAGAATGTGCATCAAATATGTAATATGGCCTATAAAACCTAAAATATTTACTATTTACCTTTTCAGAAAAAGGTTCTGACTCCTGTCCTAGATTATACCAATAGACTGTTGTTTTTCTTGCTGTTGTTTTCTTTTTCTTTTTTTTTTAGATGGACTCTCACTCTGTCACCCAGGCTGAAGTGAAATGGTGCAATCTTGGCTCACTGCAACCTCTGCCTCCCAGGTTAAAGCAATTATCCCGCCTCAGCCTCCCAAGAAGCTGGGATTACAGGCACCCACCATCATGCCCGGCTAATTTTTGTATTTTTGTAGAGATAGGGTTTCACCATGTTGGCCAGGCTAGTCTTGAACTCCTGACCCCAGGTGATCCACTTGCCTCGGCCTCCCAAAGTGCTGGGATTACAGGCATGAGCCACTACGACCAGCCTGGTTTTTCAACTTTATCTATTATAGCTTAACATGGACCTAAAATCAAGTAACTCAACCGGGTAGAGAAACAGAATTTATTTTAGTCATTCTATGTGTCCTATAGAATTCAAAACTTTAGATAAATTTTTCATAGTGATAAAACCATACCAATCTAAATATATTTTCCTTGTATAAAAACTTCAAAATCTGTATCACATGTATTTCAGTGTATAACATCTTTCAATCTATGCCACACATATTCCCCACACTTGCACCAATATTAATTTATAAACACATTTTATGTTTACGTCTTCTCCTCCAGGGTTTAACTACCTGGTTATGCTGAATTGGAGTTTAGTAAGAAGCCTAGGGTCAAAGTAAAGTAATAGGAGCTAGACACAATCAAGTTTGGTATTTTCTTCCAAAAACAAAAACAAAGAGCAAAAGTAACCTACCTTAGATGAAATCATTACAGAGTCTTGAACCCGGCTCATTGGATTTTACTGTACGGGACATTCAGTAGAATAAACAGGTTTATGCTTCTTGAAAAAAACTAACCCTCCTCAATACCCTATTCCAATTTTGAACATTATAGTCACCCATTTCTTGTCCTAATTTTATATATGAGAGCTAGGAACATTGTGAATTTGTATGTAATAATTCAAATATCTGAAGGATTTATCTTTTTACAATACCTCTGCTACATGAATGTTTTGGCTTCAATACACAGAATATTATATTTTAGTAGTCATAGTTGCTCTCTGGTTCTTTGACAATGCCTCGAGTTGTATTTCTACTTGCCTTTTTTATTTTTAAATTCTCAGGCAGAGTTAGAAAAAAAACATTTCCACCTGAAAAACATATTATTTCTGCCTTTTATTATGGGAAATACTGGCATTCATTGAAGTGTAAAAGTCTTGTTCTAAATATAAATTTTATTCCAGGTGACCACCAGTGATGATTCAATAACTGCATTAATAGAGTTATCAATATCTGCAAAAAAGATCACTTCTCGATTCTGTAATATGCACAGATTATTATCACATTAAAAAAATACTTGAAAGCCAAATTCTTATGTTTCCTTTTTTTTTTTAATTGTCTGAAAATCCTCATCAAAAATACTGCATTTGTCAGCATTATTTGGTAAGATTACAGAAGTCACCTAGTAAGAGTGGATATTACATGACCCATAAAATCACTGAATGTCCAGGGGGAAAGACTCTAGGCTGAGCTTTCAGAATTAGCATCCTGAACCACACACAGAACTGTCATGATAAAGTAGACCTTGACCTTGAAACCATGCTATTTCTACCACAACTTAAATCAACAAAGTGAATGTCCCATAAAGAATCCATTTTTTGGCCGGGCGTGGTGGCTCATGCCTGTAATCCCTGCACTTTGGGAGGCTGAGGCGGGTGGATCCCTTGAGGTCAGGAGTTGGAGACCATCCTGGCCAACATGGCAAAACCCCATCTCTACTGAAAATACAAAAATTAGCGGGGTGTGACGGTGCTCACCTGTAATCTCAGCTACTCAGGAGGCTGAGGCAGGAGAATTGCATGAACCTGAGAGGAAGAGGTTGCAGTGAGCTTAGATCATGCCACTGCACTCAAGTCTGGGTGACAGAGTGAGATTCCGCCTCAAAAAAAAAAAAAAAAAAAAAAAAGAGTCAATTTGTTTATGTAGCTTACATAGCTTACTTCTGAATCAGTCTCATGTATATGTTTTTAACCAACTGCAGTTGACCCTGGGATAAATTTTTTCATATGCAACTTTAAAAAGCAGATTTCACAATGTAATGAATTTTCAAAATGTAGAAAGCTAGTTCAAAGTTTTGTAGCAAACCAAATACCATATGACCACTTTTTGGCCACTTGCTCTCTTCATTCTCTTTCTCATTTTCTTGCTGTCTTAATATCTTGTTCTCACTCTTTATGATCTATCTTATTTTCCTAATAATATCATGTTTTATGAATTTTGATGCTATGACATTTGCCTACTGTTTATATTATCTATATGAAATGAATTCCCTATTTAGTATTTTATTTGATTGTGCTTCAGTATCAACATTGCAATCACTGTTTTCTTTCATTTATGCTTGTCTAATGTAATTTTAGCCTTCATTTTACATTTAGGCTTGATGGGTCAATTTTTTAAAAATATCTCATCAACCTGAAGTCACTTAATGTTTATTTTTTAATCCAATCTGTGAGCCATTTTAAGAAGTTATTTTCCTAAATGAAACTTTCATTTATATACGAGCTCATCAATCTAAATTCCTTCAAAATTTAATCTAATAGTTGCTACATCCATCATAGATTTTAATTCAAAGATCTTATTTTTCGTCTCTTGTTGAATCCTTTTAAATCTTCACAAAATAAGGTTGTCCTTCTTCACGGCATGTTGCTTTGTTTTCTTAGGAAGAGCAAGCATGTTTTTGAAAGTTCGTGAAGACACAAAGTCATTTTTCAACAAATGTGTTTCCCTTCTTGCAGCAAGTCTTTTGTAGAAAAACCATGTCAAAATTCAAAAGAATTGGATACTCCTTCTTTTGCACAGCAGAATTACCTCAAATGCTTCCATTTTTGACTTTATTATTTTTTCTAGTTAAGACAAAGGGATTTTAATACAATGAACTGGTCAGGTATATGGAAAAAGTGAAATATTAGCCAGTGCATAGAAAGGCCAGCCAGAAATAAGGAAGCACAGGAAGCACTGGCATCCTGGGCTATCAGGAGTGACAGCGGAGTCACCTGACCCAGAGCACAGCAGAAAATGACAGGGAAGAGATTTGGCCCTGATGAAGTTGCCCCTCACCAACAGGAGGGAAGGCGAGAAATGCTGTCATTCTCACTCTCCTTTCCTGCAGCTCCTTGTCTTTTTTCAATTTCTCTTGTTGCCCAAAACAAATGAAAGAGACATGGAAGTCTAGTAAATACAGGCTGAAAAGTTTATCTTTCCTTTTAGAAGAAACAGAGTAAACGAGAAGAAAAGAGAGACAGCAAACAGGGTCACCAAATAGGCACTATCTACCTATTTTGCTAGTCAGCAACATTCTCACTCATCTACCAATTTTAATTTACCATGCAAACGTTTATGGTCCCACCTAACCTGAGACAACTTCCTGTTTTTAAAAGTCAAATCACTTACATCTCTTTTACAAGGAGGAGAGACTCAGTCTGAATAATCATAAATTTTACTTATGGTAAATAGCAAAATACATTTTGAGTTCTAAACATCTTACAAAATCAACCATAAAAACTACACAAAATATTAAAAGTATTTGCTTGAAGACATTGGAGAATTACTAGGGCAGTACAGACTACAGGCTCCTAGATCCCAGATAAAAGAGAAGTACAAAGAACTGAACATGATAATTGTCACTGAATTTTGTAATTCTCAAAACAGTGGAGAGGCTGAGTAAGTGAGAAGAGCTTCCAGCAGTCTTATGAGGCTAGAGGGGCCAAATCTCCACCAACCATTAAATACCATGGGAAATTTCTCAATTTACCAATTGGTTCTTCCAATGAGTAATACCCTTGGAATAGCAGGAAAAACAAAAGAAAATAATTCAGTCCTTGTAAAGACTGAAGCACTACACCAAAATAGTGCAATCTCTGTTTGAATTAGGTAAACTGGCGCCAATTTAATTGCCTTCCAAAATCAGCATTTTGAAAAGTCTCTGGAGAAAAATAATAAAATCCATAGCTTCAAAGTATTTCTAAAATATTTAATCTACAATGTCCAGAATCCAATCAAAATTACCAATATGCCAGGAAAGGAGATTAAATGAGGACAAAGAAGAGAGAGAGACAGGAAGAAGAAGAAGCATACACATAGAAGATACAGATAAAAGTTAGCAGACTATGTTAATCAGGATTCTCCAGACAAATAATACCAAAAGGATATAGATAGATAGATAGATAGATAGATAGATAGATAGATAGATAGATGATAGATAGATAGATGATAGATAGATACATACATACATAGATACATAGACATATAGATACAAAGATAGATACATAGATACATCAAAGATAGATGGATATTTACTACAAGGTATTGGCTCACTCAGCTATAAAGACTGAAGTGTCCCACAGTCTTCCATCTGCAAGCTAGAGGCCCAAGAAATCTGCTCCTATAGCTCTAGTTGTAATGGAAAGGCTGAGAACTGAGGAAGCCAGTGGTATACAGTCCCAGTCCCAGTCAAAAGAACCAGGGAACCCAGTGTCTGAGGGCAGGAGAAGACTGATGTCCAGACTCAAGCAAAGAAAGCAAATTCTCTCTTCCTGTATCTTTTTGTTCTATATGGGCCACAGATTGGAGAATGCCCACCAACATTGTTGAGGGTCATCATTCCTACCTGGTGTATTGGCTCAAATGTTAATCTATTCTGGAAACATTCTCATGGTTACACCCAGAAACAATGTTTTGCAACCAATCTGAGAACACCTTAGCTCAGTAAACTAAACATCACAGAGTAAGAGTTTTTAAATTAAATATATAGATATATTTAAAAGATTAGACTAAAATCTGAAGAAATGTATAATGAAAACTATAATAAGAATTAAATGAGAATTTCAGAATTGAAGAAAGATATAATGAAGTTTAGGTGAAAGTAGGTAAGTTAGAAAATATTTTAGATACCACACAAGAAAAGATTATTGAGCTTGAAGATCAGAAAAAGTAGCACATTTGATACATAGATAAAAATGTGGACAAACAGCCTGAAAGATCTGTGGGGCTGAGTTAACAGTTTGAATACACGTGCAATTGGAGTCCCAGATTGAAACACAGAGGTGCAGTAAGAGATAAAAAGGCAAATAACAGGTAAATATCTAGCAAAATCTAAATTAATACTGTTGTTTAAAATAACATCTTCCAAAGCTTAAAATATGTATTTAGTATTATAGAATTAATACGTATGATTACAATCACAAAACAAGTAGGAGGAATAGGTGGATTAAAAATATTTTAAGATTTTATATTATCTAAAGAGGAATAAAAGTATGACTTATTAGATTTTTAGTAAGTAAAAAGTTTATGTTGAAAACCCTAATGTAACACTGAAAAAAAATAAAACTGTTTACTGACAAGCTATTAGAGGATAAGAAATAGAATAATCTGGGATGTTAAAGTCTCCCATTATTATTGTGTGGGAGTCTAAGTCTCTTTGTAGGTCTCTAAGGACATAGGCATGGGCAAGGACTTCATGACTAAAACACCAAAAGCAACGGCAACAAAAGCCAAAATTGACACATGGGATCTAATTAAACTAAAGACCTTCTGCACAGCAAAAGAAACTACCATCAGAGTGAACAGGCAACCTACAGAATGGGAGAAAATTTTCGCAACCTACTCATCTGACAAAGGGCTAATATCCAGAATCTACAATGAATTCCAACAAATTTACAAGAAAAAAACAAACAACCCCATCAAAAAGTGGGCGAAGGACATGAACAGACACTTCTCAAAAGAAAACATTTATGCAGCCAAAAAACACATGAAAAAATGCTCATCATCACTGGCCATCAGAGAAATGCAAATCAAAACCACAGTGAGATACCATCTCATACCAGTTGGAATGGCGATCATTAAAAAGTCAGGAAACAACAGGTGCTGGAGAGGATGTGGAGAAATAGGAACACTTTTACGCTGTTGGTGGGACTGTAAACTAGTTCAACCATTGTGGAAGTCAGTGTGGCGATTCCTCAGGGATCTAGAACTAGAAATACCATTTGACCCAGCAATCCCATTACTGGGTATATACCCAAAGGATTATAAATCATGCTGCTATAAAGACACATGCACACGTATGTTTATTGCAGCACTATTCACAATAGCAAAGACTTGGAACCAACCCAAATGTCCAACAATGATAGACTGGATTAAGAAAATGTGACACATATACACCATGGAATACTTTGCAGCCATAAAAAATGATGAGTTCATGTCCTTTATAAGGACATGGATGAAGCTGGAAACCATCATTCTCAGTAAACTATCGCAAGGACAAAAAAACCAAACACTGCATGTTCTCACTCATAAGCGGGAATTGAACAATGAGAACACATGGACACAGAAAGGGGAACATCACACACCGGGGCCTGTTGTGGGGTGGGGGTAGGGGGAAGGGATAGCATTAGGAGATATACCTAATGTTAAATGACGAGTTAATGGGTGCAGCACACCAGCATGGCACATGTATACATATGTAACTAACCTGCACGTTGTGCACATGTACCCTAAAACTTAAAGTATAATAAAAGAAAAAAAGAAACCAAGAAACATATTAACTCCTGCAATGGAAATGCATAAAACATAAACTTAATAAGCACCAAGCTCCAATATATTTTTGTGCCTGAATTATCCAATTGAGATATTTACATATATTAAAGTTACTGTCAGTTCTCCATTTAAAAAAAAAAGAAATAGAATAATCTAAAAAAATTCCAAAGAAAGTTAAAAATGGTTACAAGAAGGAATGAGGCAGAAGTGAACAAAAAGAAAACAGAGTAAGATAATATATTTAAACCCAAATAGTTCAGTAATTATATTAACCATAATTAGACTAAATCTTACTGTTAAAAAGCAAAGGTTGTCAGATTGAAAAATAAAAAGACTATCTAAAAGTAGATACAAATCCTTAAATATAAAGATACAGAAAAGTTGTCAGTAAAATAATGTAAAAAGACATACTATGGAAACAATAATATTTTTAAAAGTTTTATAATAAGTAGTTAATTAGGCAAAACTATGCAAAATTTACTTAGTTTTGGAGTAAGTAGATTTCAAAGAAAAAATTATTACTAGAAATAAAGACAGATTACAATGATAAAAAGTAAGATTTGAAAGATTTGCAACAAGATTTACAGACTTACCCTAAAAGACCTGTAGAGAAAAATCGCACTCAAAAATTGCAAACTACACGTTTTCCTCAAATACACATTTAATATTTACAAGTTTAGATAATATGCTGGATCATAAAAACATATCAAGAAAATGAAAAGGATTAAAATTATGCTTAAAATATTCCCTGACCCCCACTGGCATTAGGCTACAAATCAATAAGAAAAATATAACTGGAAAACTCTCATATGTTTGTAAATTAATTAATATACTTCCAAATAATCCATGAATTAAGACACAAATATATATGGAAATCAGAAAATAAATCTTGAACTGATTGAAAAGTAAAACATAATTGTGTAACTTCCATTGTGTCTTTTCAGAAGTTTGATACAAGATCCACATTAACTCATGAACATTTTGAGCTTCATCAAATCTGGTGTGTCTAAGGCTTAACATACAATATGGCTTTTGATAACATCCTAGACTTGATGCAGAACCTTTTCTTCTCTTTAGATTCCACTCAAAACTAGGAGAAGCCTCAAAGTTTATTTGGTAAAATAATATGGTGACGATGCACAAGTTTTATGGTATAGGTTGCCTCTACAATTAAGAAGCACATAAGTGTTCTATGTTTTGTCAGCATTGGTACAAAATAAGACAACTTTTCCCTTTTTTGTGGTGATATACTGTTATTCCCCCAGACCATCTTCTCCCCAAAATATTTACTAAAATGGAAGGTCCCTGAATTTTGCAATATTATTCTTCCTTTGTCAAATATACATCTAACCAGCACATCTGTGGTGCTTTCCCTGACCTGCTCACCAGGGAAAATCTGAATACTGTTAGGTTGAGCAAATTATGATTGGTGGGATGCCTACAGGACAAAAGTCCTAGAGACCTAATTTTAATACTAAGAGAAGAGTTGCCCTAACCCTGAGAGAAGATAGTGAAATTGTATTTACTAACTCTCCCACGTGAAGGCAAACTGCTTAGATCATCCTTGGTGACTGGCATGGGGAAAAATATGTTTCCAGGCCAGTAGGGGTATTTCAAGGCAAGACATGTGTTTATTTCCTCTAACAAACACACCATATCTGTTGCAGCAGCTGCAGTTGGAGTCACTAATTATATTTTCAATGATCCATATCATTTTCAACATGTACATGATTTTTTATGACAACCAAACAGGTGAATTAAAAGTGTGTGTAATAGGAATGAAATCTATTTTCAAATCTTGATGACAGATTTAACAATCATGATTCTCTAAGAAGTGTGACATTTTTTAAATAAAATGATAAAGACATTTATTTCCATGGGGTTTCACTTGGTCTTTCCTATTTTTCTGGACTTCACACCATAGGTGAGAGAGCTATTCTGTGCAGAGAGTCTGCTGGTTGCTGACTAGGAATACTCCAACTGGTTTTATTTTGAATGACTTTGCAGCAAATCTGCATTTATTACTTGAGCTCTTTAATTCTTTACTTGGATGCTTGAGTAAAAGCAGAATTGCAGGTTGCTAGAAATCACATAAAATCAAAGTCAGCATAACATTTTTAAATTTTTGAGTGCTACTTTTCTCCCATTGCCTGCTTGTCGGAAGACAAGTTTGGGAGGAAAACTGAAGAAGGATTTCAATATATTCTAATTGCAATGTCCTTCCTCAAGGAACTCAGGCTGAATTTTAATCAAGGGACTTCATTGGAGTGACCAATGGTCTAATCTGCCTAGGACTGGAAGGTTTCACAAGATATGGGATTATCAGTGCTAAAGCCAAGACTTAAGACAGTTAGAAACCCAGTCTATGAATTGACTTTGGTGTTTGGGAACTGGGAGAAAAATTGTTACTCCTCTTGTGGTGACAAAAGTGGGGTTTCTGTTCACCAAACACCAAACAAACCTTTTCATATTATATTGGTTAATACATGAGTAGGCTGATTTATGAATACATCAGTAGGCTGCACATCTATGACTTTGAGTTCTTTTAACGACCACCACAAAACCTTGGGTGCCAAAGCATTCTGATGACCACTCCAATACGATTGCCTATTATGGTAATTGAAGTTAGACTGTCTCACACACTTAAACCCCAGTTTCCCACTCTTCAGAATTCCATTATTAAAAAGGACCTCAATTTTATGATAACTCAGTTCCATTATTATCCTGAGCACGGAGATGACAGCCACCACAGAGCTTTTAAAATACTGGTATTCTCACCATACATTTTTCAATTCCTTTGTAAAGGTACTGTCTTCTGGGCACTCCGGAGATACACTGATGAGGGAAAATGAGAGAATTGCACTTACCAGATCTACTGCAGTATTACTTTCCCTCTGGAATCCAAATGTCTTCCCCTACATTATACAGAGAAAGGGCTGGCATTTTTTACCTCATGAATACAAGCTTTGAATCTAGACTTCAACAGCCAAATTAGCAAACAGATCAAATTTCAACTTCTCTAGCACTTAAATTCAGAATGAAGTTTAGTTAAACATTATAGTAAATTCGACTTCATCCAAAATTAAATTTTGTTCTTTTTGGATGACTCTGTGAATCTAGTACAATTATTGTTTTCCAGATATGTACAGATAAAAATAAATTATATTTTGGCATATATACTATATCCTCCTAGAATTAATTCTCTATTGGGGGCATATTGGGAAATAAGTATTGTTATCACCTTGAAGGCAGTTGGAGATTGTGGAGAAGGTTTGAAAAGACTAGGAATGCACAAACTGAATCAGGTGGCATAATTAAATAATATCTGTCTGAGGGAAGTCTACCTTTCTAACAATGAAGTTGGAGTTTGTGCCAATATTATGAAAAATGGGTGAACTCTGGTGGTCAGACAACTCTGGTTGTCTGCTCAAGTGCACACAAATGTCAAATCTCAGAGTTGTGGTACTTCTTTGCTCGTACCCTAAACAAAGGCATTAATGTAATGCTTAACTGATACTGCTGTACAGTCAACTTGTACTTTATGCTTCTGAAGATTTAAATTTTTGTTCTGATCCTTAGCCACATCTGCCCTGAAGCTATGGAACATAATAAACTCTTTTAAAGTTATATACCCTAAACCTGCTTTTAACTGAAAGTTTATAGACGTAAGTGAACCTCTTTTTTGTCAGCCCTTCTTTACCTTCAGAAGTGGGCAGCATGCCCCTTTTTTCTTGTAATTATCCTTATTTCCACAAGAGTTGAATATAACAACAGCTTGATTTTCCAAACCCTTGACTTTGACCAGCCCTTCATTTCAAGTATCTATAGATAATTATTTAGGTTAAATTGATGTCATTGCATGACACAGATTACAATTCTCCCATTTTCCAACTTCAAGGTCTTCATGATTGTGTTCTTATGCAAATAGGCGATGAGCTCACTCCTGGAACCACATCATGAGAGGTATTTTTCTTCAACCACTGCTGAGATAAAGTTCTACACATAAGAGTAAGTGTCGGCTGGGCGCGGTGGCTCACGCCTGTAATCCCAGCACTTTGGGAGGCTGGGACGGGTGGATCACAAGATCAGGAAATCGAGACCATCCTGGCTAATACGGTGAAACCTCGTCTCTACTAAAAATACAAAAAATTAGCCGGGCATGGTGGCAGGTGCCTGTAGTCTCAGCTACTTGGGAGGCTGAGGCAGGAGAATGGCGTGAGCCCGGGAGGCGGAGCTTGCAGTGAGCGGAGATCGCCGCCACTGCACTCCAGCCTGGGCGACAGAGCGAGACTCCGTCTCAAAAAAAAAAAAAAAAAAAGAGTAAGCATCATACCAGCATACATACACCTCTCTGAATACTTGAGATCAAAGTAAATTAATACAGGAAACAGGTAACAGATGATAAAAGAGGCTAAGAAGATGATTGGAGATTAGTGAGAAATACATAGATTAGTAACAGCAGGTTGTCACCACTATACATAGCTTGGAAAAAAATAATAACACAAAGCAAAGAGGCAATGGCATTGGAACCTAAGAGCCTGGTCAAGGGGTCACCAGGAAGAAGCTGAAAGCAGGAAGCCTATTAGTGGGTGTTTGAGGCAAGAAAAGTACGTGTCCATTGTTGGACACACCACCCAAGACAAGGGAGAAAGAAAAGTATCTTGGCTTCTTCCTTCCTTCTTTCATCTAATCTCTCTTTGATACCTGTTGTTATCCAAATGCTTACAAAAGACAGTTGACAAAAAAGCAGAACAGCCCTTCTGGCCTACAGAACCCTGTATGGGAAAGATGAGGAACAACTATGAGGACAAAATGTTTAGGGTTGGCTCAGTGGGACAGGTAGTAGTGGAAGGAAGGCAGGAATGGGAAAAAATAAAGGAGGAATGTACCCAGAGTGATAGTGGTGTTGGGGGATGGGTGCTGATGAAGGTAATGGGGGCAGTTTGATAGTAGCATAAAGCCATGGTGAATATCATATTTCTCAGATTTGTAATTCACCCCCTCCTCCACCCAATAAATAGCATCCCCCAAGAAAGTATACCACCACAGAGTTCTCTCTCTTTTTAGACCACTCCTGGAAAAGACACATCTCTGGGCTGACCAAAGATCATAATCCATCTCTGTGCAACATGGAAGACAAGACACCTCTAAGAAAAAACATGGTACATTTAATTGCTTTTGATAAATCTCTAGTGTTAAAACTTCATAGAGAAGGAAGAAGCAGAAGTGAAAATATCCAAATGACGTCCAAAATACTTCAAACTCCCAACCAACTCAGGATGTGGGTGTTTCAGGACAAAGATCCACGTTCAGGAAACTTTACTCTTTCAGGAGAAAACTGGCATGTCTGCTGGAATTGTATACGCCAGCTGCCAGTGATTCCTCTGAAGGAAAGAGAGAGATAATCCATACATTCTACTTGTAGTATCAGTAGAGTTTGGGAGAGGAGAGGTTGAGGTAAGTGCCTAAGCCAAAATTTTGCAAGTGCTTTAATGCTTTGTTTTTGAAGTAAATGTAGGTTCTCATTTTTAAGGTGAATAATTTATTAATGACATGTCCTAAATTGTTTCTATATAGTTCATGCCTCATACTCAAAATAACATATGAGATGTCATCTGTTACTTCTGAAAAGTATGATTTTAATGAAGGCAAAATAGAAAGACAAAGTTATACATCTTATGATTGAAACTGAAAAAAACTCAACAGGTACATGTAAAAAATAATGTCTGAGTAGAATTACACCAAAAAATAACTTTGGAAATCACTGGAGAGTTAGAATATGTGATCATTTTCTCTTCCGATAATTCTTTTAATTTTGTGCCTATTTATAATAAGCATATTATAGTGTTACACGTAGGTTTTATTCTTTAAATAAGTGAAATTTAAGTCACTGACTTTCAATTATTACTATATTTCCAGATAACATTTCCTCACTGCTGCTCTTTAATAATTTTGTAATAGTTTATCCCTTTTTAATATACTAAATAAGATGTCAAGATGTATTATTATAATAATATAGTGTGCTTCTGCTGTCTAACACCTAATATTATTTGTAAATGAACTCCAGGAAAACGTCACTTGAAAGGGAATAATTAAGTCTGGATGACTGCAAGTGCATCTTATATTTTTAAAGCTGTTGATCTTATCACACTAACTAAATTTGCCACAGCAACTTATATAAAATAATAATAGATTATGAATACTGTTTGCCTCTTTGAATAAAGTTGTGATGTTCTTGCAGCATTAATATGATGCTCTATAATGTGCATTTTTTTATTTTGTATGTTAAGAATCTGCTTCCAATATCCTTTATGGCATTAACATCAAAGAATTTTTATTATTTATCATGTTATAACATTATGTTGTCACCCTTCTGTCCCAATGAGTGAAAAACATCACTAAAATGAATCCTGTAATTTGTGTTCCCAAGGTCTCACAGAAATTGAGTAGCAAATAGGAAGATAAGCTTGATAAATGTCCAATTGCCATCTACTGCTCTCCTCTCATATCCTCCCAGGGGACTAGATAGCCTAGGAGATTTTCATTAATTTCAAAGTCACTTGCATAAATCTAGCTCACACTAGGATGATGGAAATCTTTACTTTCTACTAACATGTATTGGGTTCTGTGGAATGAAGGAATGCTTTGGTTGAGCTCTGAAAGCATAGTTGTCTTTTTCACCAATGCCACAAGTTTCAAGGGAGAATGTAAAGACTGTGTCAAGAATAAATAATCCTTTTATACCCACAAATAATTTCTATTGGTCAGGGTATAGTCACACTAACAATTAAATGTACAAAAAATTTCACTTCCATAACCTGTGCTTTTATCTATAAGGAAACATGGGGGATTGATTTCTGATAATGCTATTCCTGCACATTTCCTGAAAACAAAATGCACTTAGCAAATGCAAATCCTTGCTAGACAAGGACTGCATCATTGATTCTTATACAGTGGTCACAAATGTAAATATAATCATGTGATGCCTGAATTACTACATTGTATAATTTTTGTCCTAATACCAACAGACAATATATTATTTTGGGTCTCTGAATGGCTCAACTGACTGGACAACAGATCAGAGACTTAGTCTCCTGAGGTTAAACTCGAGGTTTAGGTGTGCTCCTTTATGACCCTGAATAAATCAATTAATCTTTCTGCTCTAGTTTCACTCATGTGGAGCAGAAGTTGAAGCAAAATTCTGACTTAACCCATAATATCTTTGTCAATAGTTATACACCTGCAAGAATACACACACACAGACACACATTTTTGAAAGACTCATTTAAGTAACATTTTATTTAACTGATTATTCTCCCAGCTATGTAAAAGAAAGTGCTGCAAATGAAATACCTCAAGTACAACATATGCTCATGCACACTACAGCATTAGCAAGGGAGAAAAATGAGAGCCCTTGTTTCATGAAAAGCAACTATTACTTTTGTCATTTCCTTCAAATTCCATATAGAACTGCATTGATCCAGGAAACTGTTGAGAAGCATTAAAAAATCTTATGCTGAGGGGAATCCAAGTTCCATTCTCTCAGGATCTGTCACTTCACATTTGAGTTTGATGGAGTGTGTTTTGCTAAATGCATGCAGCGATCATTTCAGGTTTTATTGAATGGTCATGCTAAGGTAGGCTGGATCTGCAGATAACATAGATCTTGTCCATATTAGCTTCAAAGTGTCACAGACAAGCCTACTTGATAGCAAGGTATAAAGGCATCTCCCTTTGAAGATTCAACTGTTTGCTTTCTTATATCCATATACATAATGCATTTGTTTTCCTTTGTCAGCTTTCAGAATGTATCGTTATTCCCTGCTCTCTGCTTTGGGCCTGCCATAACTGTTAAGAGTGACAGCTTTTGGCAGTTTACATTAGCATCATTAGGAGCCTGATGATGTGCTTTCTCACTGGGGCCCTGTCAAGGTTTTATCCCAACTATGTAGTACCAACTTCTGTGATTTGTGTAGATCTGTCATCAGCAGAGAGGTAGCAGTTTTAAAGACACAAAGAAAGGCCTTTGTACAGAAATAAGATAGTATCAAATTTGCTCTCCACTGTATCATTGTTCAGATTACAAAAGAACACCTGGTGATTTTTCAACATAACAATTTTTAATCATTATCAATTTGATATATTATTTCTGAAATTTAGATATAACATGGATTTTATTTTTTTTTTATTCTGTAAAGAAGGAATAACAGCTAGATTATTTTTTAAGGACACATTTAAATAAATGCAATAAATGAATGTTATTTATAAACTAACAAGAAAACAGGATTGAATCAGAAAGTATCTGTATTTTCTATAGTATATTTTAGTTACAACAGTATTATTAAGTTGTCTTTCTGCCAAGGAATATTTAAAAGTAATTACAATTCTGAAATTTAACAGTTATCATACTGGTTTTTTTTTCTGTGATAATCTTTTAATTTTTGAAATCTGGGTACATGATAATAAATCTCTAATTAGCACATTCTGGTGAGTAAATGATTGCTCTAACTTGTTTTGAATACTTTTACTGTTAGTTTTTTTAATGTTTCCTAACCACTTCAAAATCCCATATATATAAAAATTAGAAGAATACATTTAAAAATGTTATTTCAGAACGTTACAGAATACTATATTTTTCTCCTGGCCAAGTGCTCTTATTTGCTCATTTTCACCTACTCTACCTAGAATACAGAAATATTTTATAAAGTGTTGTGGAAATTAGGTAGATAGATAGATAAATATATTTATATTTATTGTCTCTCTCTACATATATATGTACACACTCATCTATATATACACTTTTGTTTATGTACTAAAAAAATATAAAAACGGATTTGTAGACTAAAGACAAACCAACCTCCAAGTATGACGGATTCTTTAGGCTTTTTTGTTTTCTCAGTCTCTTAGGAGGTCGTCTTTTCTTTAGGCAGAATCAAGATCGTACTAGAAAACATAGTTTATGCAACTAAACCTGAACTTAATGTTTTATGTTTTATGAGATACCCACTTAATTATGAAAAATGCACGGTAAAATAATTTCATTAGAATGTATTAGTTGCTGCTTTTTCAAAAAAAGAAAGTTTATAAAAATCAAGTATTGGTAAAAATATCTCAGGGCCTACACTCAATTTTATTATTTGTGTTATGGGGTATTATTTTATTATTTGTGTTATGGGGTATTAAAGCAATTATCATAGAGTAAAACTTAAGTCTCCACTATGGCATATAAGATCCTGGATCATCGGATCTAATTTCCCTTAACCCCATGCATTATTCTCCAACTTCCTCCGTCCAGCTGCACTGGCCACATCTTGGTTGCCCAGACACCAGACATATGCCAGACTCAAGGCTTTTAACTTACACTTTTATCAACCTAGGACACCCTTCTCCCACATATCTGCTTGCTTCACACCTTCATTTCCTTCAAATCTCTGTATACATATTTTATTTTTATTACACACTACACTTCATCCCTTCTTCTTCATGCTTTCTTTGCCTCTTTCCCTACTCTATATATTTCATAACACAACATTTTTTGACATTCTGCAAAGTGCTATGCAAATTCAAATGGACTTCCAAGCGTTTGTGGGAGAAAATGAGATTAAAAGATAAAAATAAAGGTATATAAAATTTATTTATCAAACTAAGCTCCATTATGCTCCAAACAATTTTGTAAGCAATGATACAAACTACTTAGTCCACCTTCTAATGTGACCACGTCAATGCAGACTTTTATATATTATTCCCAGAAGAAAAATTGGTTCCTATTACATTATTTTTAAGATTAGGAAACAAACAGAAGTCAGAATGTGCCAAATCAGGACTTTAAGGTGGATAACTAATGACATCCCATCTGAACTCTCACACAATTACCCTTGTTTGATGAAAGGAATGAGCAGGAGCATTGGTGTGGTGGAGAAAGGCTCTGAGAGTTTTCTCAGGCATTTTTCCACTAAAGCTTTGGCTAACTTTCTCAACATGCTCTCAATATTGTTCTTTTGTCCTCCAGAAGGTTAACCAGCAAAATGCCTCTTGGTAGCCATTGCTTTGATTGCGCTTTGTGTTCAAGATCAAACTGGTAAAGCCCTGCTTCATCTCCAGTTACAATTCTTCAGAGAAATGCTTCAGAATCTTGATCCCATTTATTTTAATTTTCCATTGAAAGCTCTGCTCTTGTTTGCAGCTAATGTGCATGCAAACTTTTTGGCACCCATGAGTGCAAAGTTCACTCGCTTTTAATCTTCTAGTCAGAATTGTGTAATCTGAAACAGTTGAGATGTCTATGGCGTTGAGTATTGTTTCTGCTGTTATTGATCTTCTTCAACTAGAACACCAACAAAATTATTTTTTCCTCAGAAATTGTGGATGGTCTGTGGCTGCAGGCTTCATATTCAACATTTCCTCATCCCTTCTTAAAATGAATTATCAATTGATAACTTGCTGCTTTATTTGTGTTTCCTATAAACATTTTAGAAATCATTGATGATTTTGTTACCCAAACACAGGGGGTTCAGACTAGGTCCTGCTGCTCACCGCAGAGAAAGCCAATCACTGAGACAAGTACTGCCAGGGAATGCTTTAACTGGGTGCTGCAGACAAGGAAATGGGAGATCAATCTCATATCCCTCACTCCGACCAACTAAAATTAGAGGTTTTTATAGCAAGGAAGAAATGGCCCTACATGCAGAAAAGCAGGAATTAGGGAAGGGTAAAGAAGAGGAGTTGGTCACCAGGAAGCAGGTGGTTGCTTAGGCCGTTATCATGGGTGAGAGATCTGGCATCTAATTGTCCTGATGAGAGGATCTGGTGAGTTTCAGCTCTTTGATCTTATCTGGGAGGACTGATAGTAGGCTTCCTGAGAAAGGAACTTAGATAAGACAAATATAACTTTCTTAAATGTTAAGACTGGGTGGGTCAATTTCAATGTTTATTCAAAAGAAACTATAAATATCAGATCTATGGGACAACTGGGTCAGTTTCTGTCCCCCATTTTCTATTAATCAATTCTTTAATCTTGGGAAATTTGGTCGTGAATCTCTCTTGCTGTTTCATGCTGAGGAGGGGCATTGTGGGTAGCTGCATACCATGGGTGATGATGTGGCCACCCAGGAAACAAAAGTTAATTTAATACTATAGTTTTGTACTGAAACACAGTCTTACTCTAGTCCATCACTTCCACCAAAGATAAATCACAACAGGGCCAACCTATCTGTAAAATAAGCTTCAGTCCCACCATACTTGACCTGATTACCCACACAAAGTACAGCAAGAATCGTTGTCCACATTAGGCTGTCCTAAATTAGCTTGGCTGGAACCTCTCACAAGGCCATTTAGGCCACAGCCCTGGGAAAATGACCACTTTGTCCAACTGTGTCCCCTAATAAATGAAGACAGATTCTTTTTGAACTTATGCAAACAACCACATTGCCATGAATTAAGAATATTCATAAATAATTTACAAATTCTGGAAAATTTAGGCAGAGGGAGAAGAATATTTCTTAAATTCTTTCTACAAGAATATTCACTACTCAATTGGTAAGGCCAGATATAACTCAAAAAAAAATAAAAAAAGTTATCCAGACTCTGAAAAAAAAATAAGAAAACAGCAATGTGTCAAACAAAAAAAAAGCCATGAATATATTTCTGTCCTCCATTAGCATAGTTCATGCAATCAACTCCTGCTCTACTTCATATTGGGTTAGCAATCTTTATGAACATGTCAGCCTTTCCATTAGAGTCCTGGAAGTTTTCTGTGTAGTCCTATGGCATAATCTTCAAGGTTTTCAGAAATCTGCGTTTGAGAGTACATTTCATGAACTCCCCTGAAGAAGCAAGCCCTGGACTGTAGCTGATTATAGGCTACTTTTTGAGAAGAATGAAAGCAAAACAATTGTGGATCACAAAAATCTTAGGACAGCCATAGGGAAAGACATAGTTGACAAGAAAATGTGGTTGTTTATGTGACATAAAATAATTTAACATCATAATCATTACTGATAACATATACTAAGACATATCACAATTTCAAGAATCTCAAAGTTAAAGCTAATTTTAATAAAACCTTATGAACAAATCTAATTTTTTAAGATTTCCATAAACCTTTTATATCCTTTAATAATTTTTTATTATTTTACTAATTTTATCCCTTAAAATTGGCTCTTAAAATCTCACATGTCTGCCTCTTCTGTGGAGGTCCCTGGGCCTATAGGGATTGAATAATTTAAATTCCGGCCCTGTGTTTTTCAAAAACAATTCATTTTGATTGTCATCTTCTCCCTGGTCTGAAGATGAGGCATTGACAAGTGTCAATGCTCAAGATTTAGCAGAAGCTAGTGCCTTTTTTAGCCCCAGGAGTCAAAGCCCTCTAACTTAATAGCATAAGGATTAGCTGATAGGAAATTTGTACTGCAGAAAGTCCTATCATTTCTCTCTAACATGTCACAAGTTAAAACATTGTGATTTGGTGTCCAGAAGTTACTGCCTGCAGCACTTCACACGACTGTATTGAAGGAATTAGGTTACTCACTGCATATTTCTAGTTGCTAGCATTCTAGTGATAGAAATATGACCAAATTATCACAGATGTAATAGCTCTCATGCCAAACTTATCAAAGTAAGACAATTAACTTTTCTCTCCATCATTTACAAAAATGATAAACGTAAATATCAGTTTTGGAAATCTAATATGAGAATAAAAAGTATCATTTTATACTATAAACAAAGAGCAAAGTAAGAACAAACACATTTTTTTTCAGCTATTTAAAAGAGCATCATCACACATTTCCAAGATTGGTTGCTAGACACAGTATTAACAACGGATTAGGTAAATTTCAGCACTAAAATCCTCAAAACTATTCAAAGTTTTACATATTTTGTTTTCCAGTACTTGCATGAAGGCCCATCAGTAATAAATGGCTTGGGATCAAAAATCACCAGACAGTCTCAGTTTTTAAAAAACTTGCTATGTAATCCAAGTGAATGTCAATTAATTTTAATAATAGTGGATACAACTAAAGTAATTTTAGAGAATTACCAACAAATATAATTTCTTAAGGACAAAGCCAATCTTTTCTGAACATTAAAATGTTGTGTTCATACCAGTTTTTCTTCATTACCTAAAGGAAAAGATCTAAAACCACTTCAAAGTATTCATAGAATTGAATATCCTTTGAAACAAGCATGATTTAAACATTTCTATTCTCATCTACTTTTCCAAATAACAAGATAAAAACATATTATTTATATTCATAACTGATTAAAATAAGTATTTTATTTATTTTTTCTAGGAATCTTAAATCTCTTAAAGCTCTCTGGATTATCAGACATAAGCAAAACCAATCCAATTATAAATGGCTGGTGTGCTCTATCAATTATTGGGTGCTTCACAAAGATAGCTTATGAACTTTAGATAAAGAGAGGAAATCATAAATTGCTGGAAATGCATAGAAAACAATATAACTATTCCTAGAAACAAACAAAAGCTTTCCATTAGTAACGTAAAAGCATCAATGGTTTTATATGTGTGTGTGTGTTTATATATATATATATAAACACACACATATATGTACGTATATATATACACACATATGTGCATATATATATATGCACATATGTGTGTATATATATGCCAAACCCAAAGGAGAACAAAGAGTAAATGAATGAAAATTAAGAGCAAAATTAAATAAACAAAAAGCCAAACTCCAAATTTCCTCCTACTCAGTTAACTTTGGAGGCTACAGTGTTACGCAGAGCCTTAAATAAATTAAATAAATAAAAACACACAAGATAAATATTTTGTTCCTGATATACAAATTAATGTTTTTAAATCTACCAATACCAATACTAGTATACATTTTGTGCAATTAAACAATTAACTTCAGGTACATGAGCAGTAAGGAGGTTAGTGCTAGTACTAACTATGCAGAATGGCAAATATTGTGTGAAGCAATGCAAATATTTATGTGATATTTGCCTTCATGCTAAATCTGGCTTTATGCTGAACTATATTAAAAAAGAATTGCCAAACTGCTAACAAATTTCTTTACAATATTTCTTAATTTAACTTCACCAAGGCTAAGAGCTTTAACTATGAGCAATGCTAATTAGCCAAATTTTTTCAATTTTCTCTCAAGTTTTAAATAATATTTTACATGTAAGTTTTTTCCACTTTTTTTTTCTCTGTATGTGCATGAGGATAGGCACACAGAAAAACGAAAACTACATGTGATGTACACGGACCACCTATGACATGCCTGGACTTTGTTTTGTCCTTAATTTTCTTTGTTTTTTTAATAACTAGTCATTTTACTTTAGGACAAAAATTTACCATACAAATCTTCTCTCATACAAAAATATTACCTTTTCTTTATAACTCTCCTTACCAGATTACAGTCTCATATCCATGACTTTCTCCAGCTCTCTCTCCCCTACTAACTGATTCCTTTCTCTCTTGTTTCATAAATAACATTTTCAAGTCCAAAATTTGAATTAATCATTAAATAACTCCTTAATTAAACAAAACTGTTTCTTAATAAGAATATATCTTCTTTGGCATATTTTATATACAAAATTACATATTAACTAGAATTCTTATTCTTAGTAATGTTAATTAGCCAAATTTCTCCAATTTTCTATCAGGTTTTAAAGAATATTTTACTATCTAAATTTTTTCTGCTTTTTATTTTCTCTGTATGTACATGAAGATAGACAGAGAAACAGATCTGCATGGGATGTACACAGACCTCCTATGATATACTTGGACTTTGTTTTGCCCTAAATTATTTTCTTCTTCTTCTTCTTCCTCCTTCTCCCCCCATCCTCCTCCTCCTCCTTCTTCTTCTTCAAATAACCAATCATTTTACTTTAAGACAAAAATTCACTATACAAGTCCTTTCTCATGCAAAATTGTTCTTTTTTCTTTAAAATCTTCCTTACCCATACATCTTCATATCCATCACTTTCTTCAGATCTCTCTTATATACTTACTGATTCCTTTCAGTCTTGTTTCATAAATAATGTTTTCAGGTCCATAATTAGAATTAATCTTTAAATAACTTCTGAATTAGACAAAACTATTTATTTTCCTGGTAAGAATACATCTTTTTTGACATATTTTATATACAGAATTATACATTAACCAGAATTCTTATTCTTAGTAATCTTAAATTTCATTGGAAACCTAGGAAGCAAGAAATTCCAAACTATCAGATATTTGCATTTTATAGATGAGAACATTTCACAAATTTTAAAATCCTATTTCCCCATATCATAATCCTTTATTTATTGGCAGTGACCCAGATCTTCAATGAGCATCAAAAATAATTTTAAGATCTGAAGTTACACAAAAAGTTTATCTACAACATTTATCTCACTTACATATACCCATTTTTTTGTTTCTAATAGTTCATCTAATTTACTCTTGAAAACTGAGGTATTAGACAAAGCTAGTCATCATTTAAAGTTATTTTCTTGTTAACCATTTTCGATAGCTTAGGAATATCAAGTAATCACTTAAGTAAGAAATTTAAATACATAGTTTTTTGCCACAAAACTATAAAAAAATTATTTAATATTTTGTTTCAATTTTTAACACAAAAATATTGAATTATGAAGGGCAAGTATTTTTTAAATCATATTTCAAAGGGATATGTTCACTTATTTTTTTAAAGTAAGTTAAGATTATTTTTATTACAGAGGACTAATTATTTACAAAATGCCATTAAACAGCTGTATGATCACACACTTACTTTCAAAAAATGTAAGCAGCACTCTCTTTAATTTTGTAGAATAATTTCAGTCATTGTAAAGTAAATATTAAGAAACTTTTTTTTAATTACAAAGTAATACCTCCTCTCCCTTCATTTATGTAATTATAGCCATGGTCCTTGACCTAAGAGATCAAATGTGTTTTTTATAACACAGTTTTTCAGTGGTCCCATTCAGAAATAAAATCCATAGGAAAATTAAATTCTCACACTTTCCTAGACAAGAAAAAACAAAAAATTCCAAGTGCTTGCTCTAAATGTAGAACCATGGTGTATACACAATTGCAATTGAGTGGACACAAGTGTGTTTTAACAGGAATGCAAATACAGACAGCAGAACTGCTACTGACCTCCTGGATTCCCCAAACACTGAACAGCTCCACAATGAATTTCTGGAAATATCCAGTGTGTAATAAAGTCTGTAAAAGTATTTGGTATTTATTTGTTGAACAAAATTAAGATCTAGTTTATTTCATCTAAATAAAGCATTTTTTTAATCATATACAGGAATGGTTGAGAGGTCATTAGGAGTTCCTACAGGACACTGAAAAATATTGTGTTATATACAACTGTCCTGAATTCCATTCATCAATTATGATAAGAACTAAAACCCTCATGCAATTTCAGAAAAAAATCAAACAGGGCACTACTAAATCACAGGCTTAAATCTCATAGAAGACTTTGAATGTACAAATATTACAAAAATTGATGGCTAGGTATTTTTGTTAGAGAAAATATCAGGGCAATCAAATGCAATCAAAATAATTTAAGATTAGTCACAATTGCTGAAAATAATTATAGTGTTTGGATTACTATCAGTTGACCTTTTGTTTTTTATTGTTTTTTTCTAACAATCTATTTCTGTCTGTCTCTCTCTCCTCTCTCTACATAATTACAAACACTTGTACACACTATATTATATATCTGTAAAATCTAGAGTGTGTCTGCTGAAAAACTAGAAACCTCCAAACAAATATCTTGATTTTGATTTCCAAAACAACTAACAATAGCCCTTCAGTCTTAGAGATATTATAATTCTTCAATTATTCTGTATTTTAGAAGAAAAGGCAAACTCAAAATTATTAGAAACTTTCATTCATGATCCCTCTGATTTGGTAACTATTCTGGAAATTTTAGTTTACTGGATTCACTTCTTTTTGGGAAACTGAATGTTGGAAAGGTGTAATGGCTACTCTGACCATGTATCTGCCTTATGTCAGATCCATAATTGCACTATGTATTATAGACTTAATTTATTTCTTCCTGATTCACATGCAGTGAATAAGACTAAAAGATCAAAATGCTTATTGGTATCATTTTTCTTATAACACCAAACATCTGCTGCTTTCTCTTCACATAAAAGTATTATTTCTTCAAAAATTTATTTTTAATTTTAAATGATTATGTTACACGTTATTCGTAAAACTAATTATTTATAATTTACTCTGAAAACTATAATTTATAAAGCATAATATTTGTTTAGAATCACTATTTAAAATGTCTTCAATTTTTAAAATGTTTTAATTACACATTAAAATACCCACGTTAGTAAAAAATATGATTTCAAATTTAGAGTGTACATCTAATTTTGCCTGGTAAAATTTTTAATTTCTGTAGCCAAATGATACTGTGTAACATGTCACCTGAAAGTCATATATGTGCTCCTATGTTGAATGTTTTCAAAATAAATAAAGGGACAGGGATATTTTTACTTGAAATAACCTTTACAGTACAGACAGACCTGGTTTTACTGTGTTTTGCTTTATTGCACCTCTCACAGACAGTGTTTTTTACAAATTGAAGATTTGCGGCAACCCTGCATTGAGCGTCTATCTGTACCATTTCCCAACAGTATGTGTCCACTTCATGTATGTGTTCACTTCATGAATCTGTGTCACATTTTGGTAATTCTAATAGTGTTTCAAACTTTTTAATTATTATTACATCTATTATGTTAATTATGTTAACTTGTGATAAGTGATTTTTCATGTTAGTATTTTCATTGTTTTGGGACCCCATAAACTGTGACCATATAAAACAGTGAACCTAATTGATTAATGTTGTGTGTTCTGATTACTTCAATATTTGACTGTTCCCTTATCTTTCTCCCTCCCCTTGAGCCTTCCTATCCCCTGAGACACAATAATGTTGAAATTGGGACAATTAATGACCTTCAGTGGCCTCTGAGAGTTCCAATTAAAGGAAGAGTTCAAAGCTTTTCACATTAAATCAAAAGCTAGAAATGAATGACATGTCTAAATCAGAGGTAGTCTGAAAGCCAGAGCTCTTGCACTGGTTAGCCACGTTGTTAAGGCAAAGAAAAGGTCTCAAGGAAATTAAAATTGCTACTTCAGTGGAAGCACCAAAGGTAAGAATGAGATAAAGACTTATTTCTGATACAGAGAAAGTTTGAATAGTCTGGATAGAAGATCAAACCAGCCACAACATTCCCTTAAGCAAAAGCCTAATCCAGCGCATAGCCCTCTCAATTCTATGAAGACTCAGAGAGGCTAGGACGCAGCAGAAGCAAAGTTTAAAGCTAGCGGAAGTTTGTTCATGAGTTGGAGGACAGAAGCCATCTTCATAATATAAAAGTGCAAGGTGAAGAGGCAAGTTGTCCAGAAGATCTAGTTAAGATAATTGATGAAGATGGGTACACTAAACAATAGTTTTTCAATGCGGACAAAACAGTCTTCTGTTGGAAGAGGAGGCCATCTAGAACTTTCATACGTAGAAAGAAGTGAAATGACAACAAAGGATTTAGTATATATTAATAGCATAAACTTAGTTGATAAAGCATCAGTAGGGTTTGAGAGGATTGTCTCCAATTTTGAAAGTTCCACTGTGGGTAAAATGCTATCAAACACCATCGCATGCTACACAGAAATCTTTCGTGAAAGGGACAATCAATGCAGCAAATTTCATTGTTGTCTTGTTTTAAAATATTGCCAGAACCACTCCAAACTTTAGCAACCACCACTCTGATTAGTCAGCAGCTGTCATCATCAGGAAAGGCCCTCCACTAGCTGAAAAATTACAACGTGCTGAAGACTCACATGATTATAGTAATAAAGTATTTTTGATTAACCCTTATTCCATTCAGAAAAGAAAAAAGCACAGCTCACTGCCAGTGCTCATTTAATTTTACATAAATACGTTCTTTGAGGCTGAAGCAAATCTGGCTGATTTTTTCAATGTGAAAATAAAATATAAAAACTGTTCTTGGAGGTAATTCTACATGGAACTAACGTCAGAATTATCTGAATCAGAATCGTCTACTTCAGAAAAATTGGATTCATCAAATTAATCTTCGGTCAACAATTGTTCAAGAATGCTGTTAACATCACATGTAGAAATGTTTAGTTTTCTAGGATTTGGCATTTTTAATGATAAAGAATTACTACATTTTGTAAATGGAAATGCCACTATTAAAAACAGAATGTTTTTGTTTCCAAAGTCAATATACTAGAGCTTTGCGAAAATAATAATAAAAGCAAGGTATTTAATGGCAAACTTATTTCTGGGTAAATGCTGCAGTCGCAAGCACCATGGGTTAGTATTCTTGTAGGGGCAAACAGGAAATAAGGTATATACATTGTATATAACTTATGTGTATAGGTAATGTAATGTAAGGTATATATGTTGTGTATACCTTATATATGCTCTTGCATATATAATAAGCTACAGTATAGTGTAAATATAACATTTATATGCACTAAGAAACAAAAAAAAATGTTACTTGCTTTATTGCAATATTTCTTTTTTGAGGTGGCCTGCAACAGAACTTGCCATATCTCTGATGTATGTCTATAATATCCTACTTGAAAATATACTGGTGGAAATACATTTTGTTGCATACTTAAAAAAATAAACTATTCAAAGTAGGATATATAAAAACCAGAAATTTTCCCATTTAATTAGTTGGATATTCACATGAGGGAAGCATATGGAAATAAACTAATAGTCACTACAGAAACAGTAATGCTCACATTATGGAGACTGATAGTGAGTGTGTGTGTGTGTGTGTGTGTGTGTGTTAAATAACAGCATTCATGGTTCTTTTGAACATTTTGGCAAAGATGATGTTTGCTGATTAGCATATACATAATTTTCTTTCTTTTTTTATTTTAAAGGATAAAAACATCATCTTGTTAAAATATTGTTGATTTAAAGTTATATTATCGGATGCTTATTATAATGACTCATGAGAAATCAGACAGAGTCAGATCCCCTCACTTCATGAGCACAGATGATATACTAACTTGAGAAAGAGACACTTGGCTGGATGGGAATTCTGGTTCCTGTGCTATCACACTATTTCCTCCGTTTATTTGCTTGGATAACTCCTTCTCATTTTTATTGTTTCAGTTTACATGTTACTTTTCCCAAAAGACGTTTCTTATTCCTTAACCTTAATCTGGATTATCATTTTGTTATGGGCTTCATGAATTTTAACTACTCTTATCATCTCTTCACACTTTTATGAGAGTTCATCTCAGTGTCTTGCTCTTTTATGGGTTGAAAACTCTGAAGATAGAAAAACCCCAGCACACACGGATTTATTACTCTATCCTAATCTCGATCAGATGGCCTGGTTTAGAGTAATCATTTACTGAAAAAATAAAAACAAAACATAGACTTAAGAAAGAAAAATACATACATACATACATAAGTAAATAAATAATAAAAGGCAAGACACGTCAGCTCATACCTATAATCCCAGCATTTTAGGAGGCCTAGGTGGGAGGAATCACTAGAGGTCAGGAATTCGAGACCAGTCTGGTCAACATAGTGAAACCCTGTCTCTACAAATAAAGTGTAGAAATCACCTGGGAATGGATGGCATGCACCTGTAGTCCCAGCTACATGGGAGGGTGAAGTGGGAGGACTGCTTGAGTCCAGGAGTCAAGGCTTCAGTGGTCCATGATTGCACAACTGCACTCCAACTTGGATAACCAGAGCAAGGTCCTGTCTCAAAAAAAAAAAAAGAAAAAATAAATAAAATAAAAGGCAAACTAATTTTGCCATCTGCAATGGTGTATGGTATATAAGAAGTCAAATGAATAAATGAACAAATGAAAATATTTAAAAATAAAACAAATAATGGTTGTTTACTGCACCATATCTTGTAAATACACCTTATATAGCTGTTACTGCATTTTATTGCCATCAAAAACATCTTGGCTGCATTCCATTTTGATTTGACAGCATTTTGTTTGAACAGAGGTTTGGCAGTATGAGGTGGGTCAGCCCAACGTTGCTGCCTTTGAAGGTGATGGCAGTGGCAGCTAGTTGGCAACCTTAAGGAGCTGGAAAAGGCAAGCAAATAAATTATCCCCTAGTGCCTCCCAAAGAAATGCATCCCTGTATACCCATTGCAGATTTCTGACCTCCAGAACTATAAGATAATAGATTCATGTTAAGGCACTATGTTTCTGGTTATTTCTTAGAGCAGCAATAGGAAACTCGTGCAGATTTGACATATTCAGTGTCAGGACTGACGTCTTGTCCTTCGCAATCTCTTCTTCCATCTATGTTTATAATATTCTTACATCTACCTGCCCTGTGTGCAACCTCAGCCTCCAGGTGGAATGGCTTCACTTCCTTCACACTTCTTGTGATGATTGCTGCCCTTTATTCTCTGCTTTCTGGCTCCACTCTGAGTGTCTTTTGGCTTTTTCTCTTCATCTCATTTTTTGACAGTGATTCTTTAATGGGCTATGCTAATTAACACCACACTTCCTGTTTAAAATCTCAATGCCAGTCCACTTCATTAGTAATGGTTAAGACATTCTATATATATGGAATGTGTGTGTATGTGTGTACGTGTATATATATATATATACATATGTATGTACATATATACATACATATATATGTGTGTATATATACATGTATATATATGTACATATATATGTACACATATATATATCCATACATATATATGTGTGTGTGTATATATATATATATATCGCCATTCTATATAGACTTTCCTAATATCAGTGAGCAGGGTTAAAGTTCCCATGAAACCTCATGCTCACTTTGGGTGAGGAACCAACTAAAGCTGATTCCACAGCCGTTGTACTCATTCATATATTATACCTAAGACATTACTCCTTGACCTCATCGGAGACTAAAAATATAGCAGTTTTTCTATCTTATGTTCCCAGCACCCAGTACCAGGCCAGATGATTATCACATAGCAGGTGTTAAATTAGTAAAGTTCTTTTTGATTGAAAGAGATTACAAAACACACTGAAATACAACTAATGTATGGACAAGATACTTCAGGGACCACAAACTTATTTTGTAGCCATTGAGATGACTGCTTAGATAAATATTAAAAGTGAAAATTAACTTCCCAATCAAAAGTAGAAATCATAACATTGCTATTTAATAATTGTCCCATCAGCTGAATAAAATGCTCTTGAAGATTCAGTATGATTTGAGGACTATAGATTCTCTATTTCTAGTAAGTAGATAGTTATAGCGAAAGGATTATCTTTGAACATGTATCACACTTTTGTTTTTAACTTCAGAAATTCCTGAGTGGCTATTCCATGACATTTTGGTGGAGTACAACATGTGCCAAAATAGTGACTTGATTAGGTTAAATTAAGAAAAGTGGAAAGTATTTTAACATATATGTAGCAACAATGGAGAGGTTATGGCAAATATATTTGATTCGGAGACCAGAAAATTACAGTGCATAATGTTTTCTGACTTGTTATGACCTGGACCTTTAATCCAAATTTAGTATCTTGACATCAGAATGTAAGAAGACTGTCCTCACATTGTCTGCACATAGATTGAAAATGACTTCATATAGATGAAATGGTCAAAAACAAATGGAATGAAACTTGATATGGAGGGGAAACAAACTCACTTATAATATGAAAAGCTATTGCTTGTAGAAATATATCTGGAAAAATGAAAAGGTCAAAGCTGCTTCTGTTAAAAACTGTTAATAAACTATATAATTTATTAACAATTCTCCAAAGAGAATATGCTACTGAATATGATAAGGCTTAAGTTACCAACAGACTGGTGACAATAATTTCCTCTTATTTGTCAATTACGTGGGAACATTAAAAATAATCAATCAAATATCTCAAGTAATAAACTCTCTTCTCATTTGGGGTAACATGGATTAATGGTAGAAATTAAAAGAGTATTGCATTCTCATCCTTTTAGGAAATTGCAAAATGTTCCAATAATGAATGATACATTGAGAGTAATTTTGAATAAAGTTTTTCCCAACTTCCTTGTAAAATATATAAGAAGAGGTTAAAAAGAAAGAAGGAAATTACAGCTTGGCAAAAAATAACACACAATTAGGGTCGGGTGCGGAGGCTCACGCCTGTAAACCTAGCACTTTGGGAGACCAAGGTGGGCAGATCACAAGGTCAGGAGATGGAGACCATCCTGGCTAACACGGTCTACTTAAAATACAAAATGACAAAAACACGTCTCTACTTAAAATACAAAAGATTAGCCGGGCGTGGTGGCGGGCGCCTATGGTTCCAGCTACTCGGGAGGCTGAGGCAAGAGAATGGCGTGAACCCAGGAGGTGGAGGTTGCAGTGAGCCAAGATCGCGCCACTGCACTCGTTGCTGCCAGGTTAATACTAGAATATATAAATTCTAATACTAGAATATATAAAGCCTGGGTGACAGAGCGAGACTCCATCTCAAAAAAATAAATAAATTAAAAAAACAATTTAAAAACCAGAATCCAGATAGTATAGTCACTAAAAATGTTTTTAAAGTAGTTAATGGAGGAAAACCTATATAGGCACAACTGTGTAACATAAGCCAATTTACTTCATAAACATTTATGTGAAAAAGATAAGCTGACACTTCCCATTTCTCTCAAAGTCTGATTTATGACCCAGATACCTAGATAGATTTCTGTAACAAGAAAGCTGTGTTCTGTGTCGCTGTCCCTCTACAACCATGGTTTCCCCACCTTGGTAGCACAGGGTTACGAATATCTCCATGCTCTTGACAACCAGCCTTTCTCAAATAAGGCTCCTCATTTGAAGCACTGAATACAATAAATTATAGGAGTGACTATTTTCTCAATTATACCAACAAGAGCATAGAGCTAGTAACAGTATAGAATACATAGGAGAGTAACTGCTTATATGGATGACTTAGATCTTTAGAATTCTTCTGTCACACAACTAGTTAGGATGTTTTGGTTTAGGACCTAAGTATCAGTACCACACAGGGGCTGCTTTGTGAAGGCATCAGTAGTGTACTCCTTCTTTTTATCTCTCATCTCATGACAAACAATATTTCTAAATTTATGCAGAGAATGAAAACCTTAGGAAACAGATGCAAGAGAAGAGTAAGTAGATTGGCATTCCGGAAAAATAGAAACCATGTATAAGGTATAATATGGAACTGAGATAGAAAGGACCCCAGTGTAAGAGCATCACGAGAATTCACATTTATCAAGGAATCAATAAGATGCATTTTATCAGAATAAGATGTTGGAAAAAGAGGAGGCCGCTTTGCCAAGACAACTGCAGCTTGTCAATGCCCCCTCAAATGTACTGAAAGCTATTTGTAGTAGCTGAACTACTACGGTACACTGTTAAACAAACGCTGCATGTGTATAGGTCTTACTATGCTTGAGACTAAGTGAAAACAAACCAAAAAATAACACGGTGCCTAAGAAAAATGCTTCTGAACAAAACTGAGATGAAACTTTCAATTTTCATTCAACAGTATTTACTAAAGGGTACTGGTGAGTTGTGGAATCTTGGTGATTTGCTTTTTCAGCATTTTTTTTATATATGTTTTTTTCTTTTTGAGACAGAGTCTCACTCTGTTGCCCAGGCTGGAGGGCAGTGATGACATCTCAGCTCATTGCCAGCTCCACCTCCACCTCCTGGGTTCAAGCGATTCTCATGTTTCAGCCTCCCATGTAGCTGGGACTACAGGTGTGTGCTACCACACCCAGCTAATTTTTGTATTTTTAAGTAGAGATGGGTTTTCACCATGTTGGCCAGGCTTGTTTCCAACTCTTGACCTCCAGTGGTCTGCCCATCTTGGCCTCCCAAAGTGCTGGAATTACAGGTGTGAGCCACTGTGCCCACCCTTCATATATTTGTGAAACTAAAGAGTTATGTAATGTTTGAAAGATAAAATTAATGAGAATACTATGTGTTAAAACATGGAAAACCCACCAAAGTAATACTCGGTGGAAATTTA
The DNA here is from genome assembly GCF_000001405.40 of Homo sapiens. Lineage (NCBI taxonomy): Eukaryota > Metazoa > Chordata > Mammalia > Primates > Hominidae > Homo > Homo sapiens. Next base: position 65,163,958 of record NC_000018.10, read on the forward strand.
TAATTTTAATTGCAAAAACAATAGCAAATCCAGAAGGACTAATAGAGAAACACAAGCACTATTTTTTAAGATTGATATAAAAATAAACCAAACTCTGCTAATTGTAATTCAAAAAAAAGAGATAAATGAATTTCATGCTATGAAAAATTAAAACAGTAATATACTCATATTGAAAAATTTAAAAGTTGTAAGTCTTTTTGATGTCAAAGTTTCTACTAATAAATTTCAAATTTGGAAAAATGAACAAATTTCTGGGAATATATAAATGAACAAAGATCACCTAACAAATAAAAATCAGAATATAACAATAGTTTTGTATATTATGCTATTTTCTGTATCAATCTCTCCTAATTTAATGACAGAATGCTTTTTAAATCGTAAAGAAACAGATAATTCTTTCCCTTTTTAGTCTGATCTGAAGCACAGAAAAAGATGTTTCAAATTTATTTATATATTCTAGTATTAACCTGATATTCCAAATTGCAAAAGATAGAGGAGGAAAAATGTACAGACAAATTTCAATATCGAATATTGTCAAGGGTATTTGGAAAAATGGGTACTTTGATAAAAAGGCTGTTGAGAATAAATTAGGATAAGATTTCTGGAGGGCAAACTGTGGATATCAAAAGAAATACAGCTTAGAAATGGGCATGGATATATTGAAAGAGCTATCTATAAAGATATTCATCAAATATTATGTATAAGAGCAAAACAACAAAAGCAATAAAATGTGCAATAATTTGATATTTGTTAAATGAATTTTTCACCATGCAAATAAGCAATTAGCACTTAAGTTTTGGGGGAGTCAAAAGCTGTATATGGATTTTCTACTGTGTGGCAGGGAGGTGCCTCCAACCCCATTGTTCAAGGTTCAACTGTAGTTTATAGTTTGCCCTCCATCTAATAATTAGTTATTCATAGCCTTCTTGGTGGCAGAAGGTGACCTAAAACAACTTTCAACTTATATTTTTAATCCTAAGTATCTTAATATTTTGAAAAATCTATTTAACTGCACCAATAATTTATATGAGTTTTAAAAATAATATCATAATATATAAATATACTTTAAATTGAAGGACAAATTTGTCAAGATTTTATGCTGTTAAAGGCTATTAATTCCCAATACAGCTCTTTGCTGATGAAAACAGAGATGAGATTCCGTCTTCTCTGCAACAAATTTGATAAACATTTTCTCATGTAAATATTTCCTAGGCATACACTTCCTGTGGTACATTGCATCAAGAATGTGGGGACAGTGCAAATATTGGAAGTCTAACAAGTTATAGTAGAATCCTGTTTAAATAGCATAGCTTCTTTGGAGATTTGTGCTTTTTATTCCAAATGATAAAGATTCTCTTCATAATATGTTAATATAAAAATTTCTCAATTCTATAGGTGATAAAGAAGAGAAAAATAACGCCTTTAACAGAGACAGTGTTTGATTATTTTATGTTACATGGGAGGGAAACACAGCTTTTAACCAAACAGAGATGGGTAGTTTAATGTATTGCTGAAGATGAACTGTAGCTTTTCCATAATATAAACTTGATGATAAATTTCATAATGAAGGAAACTGACACAGTAATGAATGAGTAAAATTTTGTGATTTTACACTTGTAGGAAGTTGAAGGGATCAATGAATTTGATTACTGCATTTACATTAATATTATCACTTACCCCAGCTTCTTGCTCCATTAGTCACACTGGTCTGGCATTCTGTAGAGAGAAAAGCAATTTATTTAAGCCAACTAATGTATCTTACTTGGATACAAGGAGTCAAGTGAATTCTTGGTAGAAATTGTGTCCATCACAAAACATGGGATCTCATACAATTAATTTTTTTTTTACTTAATGAAATTGTCTTTTACATAGATGAATTACAGTCTTATTGATAATAAAATATGGTTGTTGTTGTTTTTATTTTTTTTACAAAATCCTACTTTTAACACCAAATATATTCACCTTCAGGAAGATCTAGTATCCCTCTTGTCAAACTTAACTGATGATATGATTGTTTACCTAGAAAACCCTAAAGATTCTTCCAGAAAGCTCTTAGAACTGATAGAAGAATTCAGCGAAGTTTCCACATACAAAATTAATGCACAAAAATCAGTAGCTCCTCTATACACCAATAGCAACCAAGCAGACAATCAAATCAAGAACTCAACCGTTTTTACAATAGCTTCAAAAAACAAAAAAATACATAGGAATATACCTAACTGAGGAGGGGAAAGAACTCTACAAGGAAAACTACAAAACACTGCTGAAAGAAATAATAGATGACACAAACAAATGGAAGGACATACTCTGCTTATGAATGGGTAGAATCAATATTGCGAAAATGATCATACTGCGAAAATAAATCTACAAGTTTAATGCAATTCCTGTCAAAATACCACCATCATTCTTCACAAAACAAGAAAAAAAAATTCTAAAATTCATATGATGATTACTCAGCAAGATGGCCAAATAGGAACAACTCCAGTCTACAGCTCCCAGTGTGAGGGACGCAGAAGACAGGTGATTTCTGCATTTCCAACTGAGGTACTGAGTTCCTCTCTCTGGGGCTTGTTGGAAAGTGGGTGCAGTCCACGGAGCATGGTGGGGCATCGCCTCACCTGGGAAGCGCAAGGGGTCGGGGAATTCCCTTTCCTAGCCAAGGGAATCTGTGACAGAAGGTACCTGGAAAATCAGGAAACTCCCACCCTAATACTGCGCTTTCCCAACAATCTTAGGAAACGGCACACCAGGAGATTATATCCCGCACATGGCTCAGAGGGTTCCATGCCCACAGAGCCTCGATCACTGCTAGCACAGCAGTCTGAGATCAAACTGCAAGGCAGCCGCAAGGCTGGGGGAGTGGCATCCTCCATTGCTGAGGCTTGAGTAGGTAAACAAAGCGGCCTGGAAGCTCGAACTGGGTGGAGCCCACTGCAGCTCAGGCAGGCCTGCCTGCCTCTGTAGACCCACCTCTGGGGGGAAAGCATAGCGAATAAAAGGCAGCAGAAACTTCTGCAGACATAAACATCCCTGTCTGACAGCTTTGAAGAGAGTAGTGGTTCCCCCAGCACCGAGTTTGAGATCTGAGAACAGACAGACTGCCTCCTCAAGCAGGTCTCTGACCCTGAGTAGCCTAACTGGGAGACACCTCCCAGAAGGGGCCTACTGACACCTCATACAGCCAGGTGCCCCTCTGAGATGAAGCTTCCAGAGGAAGGATCAGGCAGCAACATTTGCCGTTCTGCAATATTTGCTGTTCTGCAGCCTCTGCTGGTGATATCCAGGCAAACAGCGTCTAGAGTGGACATCCAGCAAACTCCAACAGACCTGTAACTGAGGGTCCTGACTGTTAGAAGGAAAACTAACAAACAGAAAGGACATCCAAACCAAAACCCCATCTGTATGTCACCATCATCAAAGACAAAAGGTAAATAAAACCACAAAGATGGGGAGAAACCAGAGCAGAAAAGCTGAAAATTCTAAAAATCAGAGTGCCTCTTCTCCACCAAAGGATCACAGCTCCTTGGCAGCAATGGAACAAAGCTGGACAGAGAACGACTTTGACGAGTGGAGAGAAGAAGGCTTCAGACGATCGGTAATAACAAACTTCTCCAAGCTAAAGGAGGATGTTCGAACCCATCGCAAAGAAGCTAAAAACCTTGAAAAAAGATTAGACAAATGGCTAACTAGAATAAACAGCATACAGAAGACCTTAAATGACCTGATGGAGCTGAAAACCATGGCATGAGAACTACATGACACATGCACAAGCTTCAGTAGCTGATTTGATCAAGTGGAAGAAAGAGTATCAGTGATTGAAGATCAAATGAATGAAATGGAGTGAGAAGAGAAGTTTAGAGAAAAAAGAGTAAAAAGAAATGAACAAAGCCTCCAAGAAATATGGGACTATATAAAAAGACCAAATCTACGTCTGATTGGTGTACCTGAAAGTGACTGGGAAAACGGAAGCAAGTTGGAAAACACTCTTCAGGATATTATCCAGGAGAACTTCCCCAACCTAGCAAGGCAGGCCAACATTCAAATTCAGAAAATACAGAGAATGCCATGCCACAAAGATACTCCTCGAGAAGAGCAACTCCAAGACACATAATTTTCAGATTCACCAAAGTTGAAATGAAGGAAAGTATGTTAAGGACAACCAGAGAAAAAGGTTGGGTTATCTGCAAAGGGAAGCCCATCAGACTAACAGTGGATCTCTCAGCTGAAACTCTACAAGCCAGAAGAAAGTGGGGGGCCATATTCAACATTCTTAAAGAAAAGAATTTTCAACCCAGAATTGCATATCCAGCCAAACTAAGCTTCATAAGTGAAGGAGAAATAAAATCCTTTACAGACAAACAAATGCTGAGAGATTTTGTCACCACCAGGTCTGCTTTACAAGAGCTCCTGAAGGAAGCATTAAACATGGAAAGGACTGGTACCAGCCACTGAAAAAACATGCCAAATTGTAAAGACCATCAATGCTAGGAAGAAACTGCATCAACTAATGAGTAAAATAACAAGCTAACATCATAATGACAGGATCAAATTCACACACAACAATATTAACCTTAAATGTAAATGCTCTAATTAAAAGACACAGACTGGCAAATTGGATAAAGAGTCAAGACCCATCAGTGTGCTGTATTCAGGAAACCCATCTCACATGCAGAGACACACATAGGCTCAAAATAAAGGGATGGAGGAAGATCTACCAAGCAAGTGGAAAACAAACAACAAAAAAGCAAGGGTTGCAATCCTAGTCTCTGATAAAACAGACTTTAAACCAACAAAGATCAAAAGAGACAAAGAAGGCCATTACATAATGGTAAAGGGATCAATTCAACAAGAAGAGCTAACTATCCTAAATATATATGCACCCAATACAGGAGCACCCAGATTCAGAAAGCAAGACCTTAGAGACCTACAAAGTGACTTAGACTCCCACACAATAATAATGGGAGATTTTAACACCCCACTGTCATCATTAGACAGATCAACGAGACAGAAAGTTAACAAGGATATCCAGGAATTGACTCAGCTCTGCACCAAGTGGACCTAATAGACATCTACAGAACTCTCCACCCCAAATCAACAGAATATACATTCTTCTCAGCACCACGTCACACTTATTCCAAAATTGACCACGTAATTGGAAGTAATGCACTCCTCAGCAAATGTAAAAGAACAGAAATTATAACAAACTGTCTCTCAGACCACAGTGCAATCAAACTAGAACTCAGGATTAAGAAACTCACTCAAAACCACTCAACCACACGGAAACTGAACAACCTGCTCCTGAATGACTACTGGGTACATAACGAAATGAAGGCAGAAATAAAGATGTTCTTTGAAACCAATGAGAACAAAGACACAACATACCAGAATCTCTGGCACACATTTAAAGAAGTGTGTAGAGGGAAATTTATAGCACTAAATGTCCACACGAGAAAGCAGGAAAGATCTAAAATTGACATGCTAACATCACAATTAAAAGAACTAGAGAAACAAGAGCAAAAACATTCAAAAGCTAGCAGAAGGCAAGAAATAACTAAGATCAGAGCAGAACTGAAGGAGATAGAGACACAAAAAACCTTTCAAAAAAAATCAAAGAATCCAGGATCTGGTTTTTTGGAAAAGATCAAGAAAATTGATAGACCACTAGCAAGACTAGCAAAGAAGAAAAGAGAGAAGAATCAAATAGATGCAATAAAAAATGATAAAGGGTATATCACCACTGATCCCACAGAGATACAAACTACCATCAGAGAATACTATTAACACCTCTACGCAAATAAACTAGAAAATCTAGAAGAAATGGATAAATTCCTGGACACATACACCCTCCCAAGACTAAACCAGAAAGAAGTTAAATCCCTGAATAGACCAATAACAGGCTTTGAAATTGAGGCAATAATTAATAGCCTACCAACCAAAAAAAGTCCAGAACCAGACAGATTCACAGCCAAATTCTACCAGAGGTAAAAAGAGGAGCTGGTACCATTCCTTCTGACACTATTCCAATCAATAGAAAAAGAGGGAATCCTCCCTAACTCATTTTATGAAGTCAGAATCATCCTGATACCAAAGCCTGGCAGAGATACAACAGAAAAAGATAATTTTAGACCAATATCCCTGATGAACATCGATGCAAAAATCCTCAGTGAAATACTGGCAAACTCAATCCAGCAGCACATCAAAAAGCTTATCCACCACGATCAACTTGGCTTCATCCCTGGGATGCAAGGCTGGTTCAACATATGCAAATCATTAAATGTAATCCATCATGTAAACAGAACCAAAGACAAAAACACATTATTATCTCAATAGATACAGAAAAGGCCTTCAACAAAATTCAAGAGCCCTTCATGCTAAAAACAGTCAATAAACTAGGTATTGATGGGATGTATCTCAAAATAATAAGAGCTATTTATGACAAACCCACAGCCAATATCATACTGAATGGGCAAAACTGTAAGCATTCCCTTTGAAAATGGGCACAAGACAGGGATGCCCTCTCTCACCACTCCTATTCAACTTAGTGTTGGAAGTTCTAGCCAGGGCAATCAGGCAGGAGAAAGAAATAAAGGGTATTCAATTAGGAAAAGAGGAGGTCAAATTGTCCCTGTTTGTAGATGACATGATAGTATATTTAGAAAATCCCATCATCTCAGCCCAAAATCTTAAGCTGATAAGCAACTTCAGCAAAGTCTCAGGATACAAAATCAATGTGCAAAAATCACAAGCATTCCTATACACCAAAAACAGACAAAGAGAGAGCCAAATCATGAGTGAATCCACATTCACAATTGCTTCAAAGAGAATAAAATACCTAGGAATCCAATTTACAAGGGATGTGAAGGACCTCTTCAAGGAGAACTACAAACCACTGCTCAATGAAATAAAAGAGGACACAAACAAATGGAAGAACATTCCATGCTCATGGATTTCTTCACAGAATTGGAAAAAAACTACTTTAAAGCTCATATGAAACTGAAAAAGAGCCCACATTGCCAAGATAATCCTAAGCCAAAAGAACAAAGCTGGCGGCATCACGCTACCTGACTTCAAACTATACTACAGGGAGACAGTAACCAAAACAGCATAGTACTGTTACCAAAACTGAGATATAGAACAATGGAACAGAACAGAGGCCTCAGAAATAATACCACACATCTACAACCATATGATCTTTGAGAAACCTGACAAAAACAAGAAATGGGGAAATGATTCCCTATTTAATAAATGGTGCTGGGAAAACTGGCTAGCCATATGTAGAAAGCTGAAATTGGATCCCTTCCTTACACCTTATATAAAAATTAATTCAAGATGGATTAAAGACTTAAATGTTAGACCTAAAACCACAAAAACCCTAGAAGAAAACCTAGGCAATACCATTCAGGACATAGGCATGGGCAAGGACTTAATGACTAAAACACCAAAAGCAATGACAACAAAAGCCAAAATTGACAAATGGGATCTAATTAAACTAAAGAGCTTCTGCACAGCAAAAGAAACTACCATCAGAGTGAACAGGCCACCTACAAAATGGGAGAAAATTTTTACAATCTACCCATCTGACAAAGGACTAATATCCAGAATCTACAAAGAACTTAAACAAATTTACAAGAAAAAAATCAAACAATCCCATCAAAAAGTGGGCAAAGGATATGAACAGACACTTCTCAAAAGAAGACATTTTTGCAGCCAAAAGACACATGGAAAAATGCTCATCATCACTGGCCATCAGAGAAATGCTAATCAAAACCACAATGAGATACCATCTCACACCAGTTAGAATGGTGATCATTAAAAAGTCAGGAAACAACAGGTGCTGGAGAGGATGTGGAGAAATAGGAACACTTTAACACTGTTGGTGGGACTGTAAACGAGTTCAACCATTGTGGAAGACAGTGTGGCGATTCTTCAAGGATCTAGAACTAGAAATACCATTTAACCCAGCCATCCCATTACTGGGTATATACCCAAAGAATTATAAATCATGCTGCTACAAAGATATATGCACACGTATGTTTATTGTGGCACTATTCACAATAGCAAAGACTTGGAACCAACCCAAACGTCCATTAATCATAGACTGGATTAAGAAAATGTGGCAGGTATACACCATGGAATACTACGCAGCCATAAAAAAGATGAGTTCATGTCGTTTGTAGCAACATGGATGAAGCTGGAAACAATCATCCTGAGCAAACTATCGCAAGGACAGAAAACCAAACACCACATGTTCTCACTCATAGGTGGGAATTGAACAATGAGAACACTCGGACACAGGGTGGGGAACATCACACACTGATGCCTGTCGTGGGGTGGGGGGAGGGGGGCAGGATAGCATTAGCAGATATACCTAATGTAAGTGATGAGTTAATGGGTGCAGCACACCAACATGGCACATGTATACATATGTAAGAAACCTGCACGTTGTGCACATGTACCCTAGAACTTAAAGTATAATTAAAAAAAAGAAAAGCAAAAAATAAATAAATAAATAAAAATAAATAATAATAAAAACAGAAACAAACAAAAAACAAATGCTTATTTGCCATTTGTATATCTTCTTTGGTGAGGTGTTTGTTAACGTCTTTGACCCACTTTTTAAATTGGATTGTTTGTTATATTTGAGTTTTAAGAGTTCTTTGTGTATTTTGGATAGCAGTTCTTTATTAGATATTTCTTTTACAAATATCTGTTGTTAAATAAAATGATTATACTGGCACTATGAAAAATTTCATATGAAGCCAAAGAAAAGCCCACATAGCCAAAGCAAGATTAAACAGACAGAACAAATCTGGTGGCATTACATTACTTGACTTCAAACTATATTACAAGACTATAATTACCAAAACAGCATGGTGTTGGTATAAAAAAAGGCATATAGACCAATGGAACAAAATAGAGAACCTAAAGACATACACCCAAATACTTACAGCCAACTGATCTTCAACAAAGCAAACCAAAACATAAAGTGAGGAAAGGACACCCTTTTCAACAACTGATTGTGGGAGACTGAAACTTGATCCTCATCTCTCACCTTATACAAAATTCAAATCAAGATGGATTAAGGACTTAAATCTAAGACCTAAAAGTATAAAAATTCTAGAAGATAACATTGGAAAAATCCTTCCAGACATTGGCTCAGGCAAGAATGTTATGACCAAGAACCCAAAAACAAATGAAATAAAATCAAAGATAAATAGCTGAGACTTAATTAAACTAAAAAACTTTTGCAGCTGGGTGCGGTGGCTCACGCCTGTAATCTCAGCACCTTGGGAGGCCTAGGCGGGTGGATCACCTGAGGTTGGGAGTTCAAGACCAGTCTGATCAACATGGAGAAACCCCATCTTTGCTGAAAATACAAAACTTACCTGAGCATTGTGGCACATGCCTGTAATCCCAGCTACTTGGAGGCTGAGGCAGGAGAATCACTTGAACCTCAGAGTCAGAGGCTGCAGCGAGGCGAGATCACGCCATTGCACTCTAGCCTGCGCAACAAGAGCGAAACTCCGTCTTAAAATAAATAAATAAATAAAATAAATAAATGCATAAATAAAGCTTTTGCACGGCAAAAGGAATGGTTAGCAGAGTAAATAGACAACCCACAGTGTGGGAGAAAATATTCACAATATATAGATTTGAGAAAGGACTAATATCCAGAATCTATAGTGAAATTAAACAAATCAGCAAGAAAAAGAAAAAAAAAACAAAGAATCCCCTCAAAATGTGGGCAAAGGACATAAATAGACAATTCTCAAAAGAAGATGTACAAATGGCCAACAAACATTTGAAAAACTGCTTAACATCACTAATGATCAGGGAAATGCAAATCAAAACCATAATACAATACCACCTTACTCCCACGAGTATGGCCATAATCAAAAAATCAAAAAATAGTTGATGTTGGCATGGATACAGTGAGTGGGGAACACTTCTACACTGCTGGTGAAAATGTAAACTAGTACAATCGCTGTGGAAAACAGTATGGAGATTCCTTAAAGAAGTAAAAGAACCACCGTTTGATCCAGCAATCCCACTACCAGGTATCTACCCAGAGAAAAATGAGTCATTATACAAAAGATGCTTGCACATGCATGTTTATAGCAGCACAATTTTCAATTGCAAAAATGTGGAACCAATCCAAATGCCCACCAATCAACTAGTGGATAAAGAAACTGTGGTGTATATATCCGATGGAGTACTAGTCAACCATAAAAAGGAATGAATTAATGGCATTCGCAGCAACCTGGATGAGATTGGAGACTATTATTCCAAATGAAGTAACTCAGGAATGGAAAACCAAACATTGTATGTTCTCAATCATACCTGGGAGCTAATCTGTGAGGATGCAAAGGCATAACAATGACACAATAGACTTTGAGGACTCCAGAGAAAATGGTGGGAAGGGGGTGAGGGACAAAAGAATACAAATAGGGTGCAGCATATATTGTTCAGGTGGTGTGTGCACCAAAATCTCACAAATCACCACTAAAGAACTGACTCATGTAACCAAACACCACCTGTTCCGCAATAACCTATGGAAATTAAAAAAAAAATTCTGACCAGTAGATCTGCCTTTTGGGATTGATTGAAAATATATATGCTAAAAATTTTAAATGTTGTGTAAAGTGCCATGTACAGTTCCTTCCTAACCCACATCTAAGAACATAGTTGAAATGTGCTCAGCGTTCTAAGAATAAAAAAAAATTATATGTTTTTCTATATAGTGTTTGCAAATTAGATGCACTCTCATATATTTATGTGGGATGCGCAGGCTGAGGAGAGAGAGCAAATTTGTGTGAATGGGTTGGGGATAGAAAGAAACAAACAAAGATGAGGTATGTTCAGAAGTCTCAATTGTGCTTGGGTATCAGAGTCAGTGAATTTCAAGAAAAAGGGGGCATGCATGGGAAGACAGGAGAGTCTAATTAGCAGGATTCTGCCTGGGCTCTGGAAGGCACTACTGGTTTCCAAGTCTTGCCTAGTTATGAGACCAGTTTTGTTTAAGCCTTTGTTATGGTTTGGCTCTTTGTCCCCACCCAAATCTCGTGTTGAATTGTAATTCCCGTGTGTCCAGGGAGAAACCTGGTGGGAGGTGATGGAATATAGGGGCAGTTTCCCCCATGCTGTTCACGTGATAGTGACGGAGTTCTCACAAGGTCTGATGGTTTTAAAAGTGGCAGTTTCCCCTGCACTTTCTCTTTTCTCCTGCTGCCATGAGAAGATGTGCCTTGCTTCCCCTTCGCCTTCTACCATGATTGTAAGTTTCCTGACGCCCCCCAAGCCATGCGGAACTTTGAGTCAATTAAACCTCTTTCCTTTATAAATTACCCAGTATCAGGTACTCTTTATAGCAGTGTGAAAATGGACTAATACAACTTCAGTGTTGTCTCTCTTGGCAACAACATTATGAAATGTTAAATGTTAAACATTTAAAACAACAACAGTTACTACTACTACCATATTAAAAAACAGAAAGTGAAAAATACATCATAAGAAATGTAAGAACAACAACAAAAACAGCACCATCTTGCTTTTCCATGTTATGTAGCATCAAATTCCGAAAAAGCAGGGGGCCAAATTACTTATGAAATCTAATAAATATCATTATAATGATTACTTCTATATGATGAGTACAGTATTTTATATTAATAATTATACTGTTTTTACATTAATAAAATTATCTAAGCTTACACCATCTGGTGCTGCAGGTTTTAGTGTATCCCTCATTTTACAGATACAGACAGTGCAGCTGAGAGCATTAAAACAGCAAAGAAAACTTCTTTATGGGCCAGCAAGCTTGGGCTTGTGGAGCTTGGGCTCAAAACCAGTTGAGTGTAGCTCAGCCCACTTTACAGGATGCTGTAATGCCTCTTTGAATGGAAACAATGTATCATTATTCATTTAACCAAATGTATGCAGTATCGGTAAGGCACAAGACATCCTCATGATCCGGGATTTATAGGCAGAATAATAGTACCATTACTCTAGCAGCTCCTTCTGTTTTCTGGTCTGTGCTCTAAGTTATTATTAAATTCACCCAACAGCCCAATGATGTAGATGCCTTACCATCCTGATTTTGTAAATTCAAAAAATTAAACAGATCAAAAACACTTTCAACATCATATAGCTATAGATATTATAATCCTTGCTCTCAAGGAAATATTTAAATGGGACTTATGCAAAATACCTATCCAAATAATTATACTCAACATTGAATACTAAATGCTAAACACACTTGTTACATGAATCATACAGTATATATCATTATTATAATATTTCCAATGTTGAATTTTAAATGTGAGTATTCTTCACTAGAAAAGAGGAAAGTCTTCTGTATATATTCCTGGAGAGTACCAAGAAAAGAGTAGAAGTGAATAACTAACTTTGATTGATAATAATAATGGTAAAAGGAAAAACGATTTCCTTAGGAACCTATAGGAGACTACAAAAGGGATCAGTATTTGGGAGAGGTGATTTAAATAAGTTTAATACTGTCAGAAATACTTTTTCAACTGATTATTTTCAAGCTTATTTTTAAATTTTTTTTCTCAAAATTGAATTAGTAAATTGTAATGTTCATTTAAAAACCATTTGTGTTTATTTGTTTATTTATTGTTTGCGACACAGAAGCTGAGCTTTAGGCGGAAAACCTCAGTGGTCTTGTGAAACATAAATACATTTGAAGGGATAAACAAGGATTACAATCTTTAACCAGCATAATTTCTCATGGTAGTCATTCTTGATGATCTGTCTTAACCTGATAAAGTTTCACAATTTTTGATAGTCATAAAAGTTTATATTTAGATGGGTAACAATATAACTTATCAGCAAATAACAATTCATTTGTGTTTTGTTTTGTTTTTTAGAATGAACGACAAGAAAATTTGATACAGGAAATCCAGTCTGATAGTGTAGGGTCAAGTTTTTAGTCTCACTTGAGACTTCTTAATCTAATTAAGTAGCAAAAGAAGAAGGGGAGGAGAAAAGGGAGGTGGAGGGGAAAAATAGATAAGAATTTTAAGACCTTGATAAAAATTTGTTTATCTTCTAGCTTCTCTTACTAGTAAAGAGAAGGTGATTTACACAGCGAAACACCTGAATGATCAAAAACTTAAGTTCCAGTGATATACTTATTGTCCCTGTATTTAAATTAATTCCATGCTTAAAGTGAAATTCTCATTTCCAATATCATGTTTTCATTGTTCCAGTAGGGTCCTTACATTTTTCTAATTCTTCACCCTTGAAGGTAGTCTTATATTTCTGTAATTAAAGAATGGAAAAAATGATTTTCAGGAGATTCAGATTACAGATAGAGACAAATGCATGTGACCAATTGTTTTAGTACATCATTATTTCACATCCATTTAACAGCATATAAAAGTCAATTACATGATTAGAGAATAGTGAATAACCCCATAAGAAGAATGGATATGGATATGGAATTGTTAAAATTGTTATACTGAGCCCCTAGAGAAAAATAACATCTGCAATTAAAAATGATCTAAAAGAAAATGGAAATAACCCAAGGTCACACATATATGGAAGGACTTGGACAGTAATCCAGACATTTCCTCTAATTGTCAAGTAAATATTAAAAATTAACTGATCTGTTATCCTCAAAGAGTACATTTTTTATATGTTTAGTCTTTTCTTAATGCCTATAAAATAAGACATACTTCAGCCATTCTTGTCCTAAAATTAGAAATTATACATCCTCTTGGTTTTTTTGTTAAAAAACATTAGTTCATTATTTATACACTCAGTATGTTTGTGGGAAAGAAAGAGAAACAGAATTAGAACACATTAACTTGTTGATTATAACTTAATATTTTATTTTCTTCACTATTTAGATTGGATAAAAGGTTATGGGAGGCTTCGGAAAGCTAAGTGTATATAAAAGCAACTTCATCTTCAAATATAAATAATTACACACAGTGTAATAAAATGAATATAATATGCTCTATATATGTAACAATTTGCAATGACATTTCTCTTAAATGTTTTCTGATTAGGTAATTTTTGGTTTGTTGGCATTCTTGAGTTACTAGTCAATCTAGAATATGTTTGTTTTAGATGTGAGTCTGTTTTGGCAGAAGAAGACAAAAAAAATTCAGAAGGCCCCAACATGATGGGTATTTGCTATCTACATGGCAAACAAAAATACGGTAATGATGGAAACAAGAATTAACCTGCATTGAAAAGTTTGTGTTAATTACCACAGACTTCTCTGCTTTTCTGTCATCAAGTGGTTGGACCATCATACATTTTGAAAACTCTTGGATGAGAAATAGATGGAAACACAAACACTGTATAACCTAGATATTTTTGCATAACAATTACAATCTTCATTTGCTGCACAATTGACTTTTATTTTTCTCACAAGTCTAGGAATCAGTTGGGAAGATCTACTCATCGGTGGAAGGGCCTGAGCTGGTACACATTGTCTCTTTTCCTCCAGCAGACTGGCTGGGCTTTGTTCCTGTGGCGGAGGCAGTCATAAAGGTGGGGGAAAGAGAGAGAGAGATTGAGAAGAGAATCAAGCAGCGTCTTCCGAGGCCTAATCTGAGATACCAAACAGGAACTTTTATGACAGTCTATTGGCCAAGCAAGTCAAGGCTAGCCCACATTCAAAGGTTTAGAAAATAGACTCAACTTCTCAATGGGAGGTGCTGTAATCATATGACAGGGAACATGAATCAATGGAGGGGTGAAGAATTAGAGCCATTCTTTTGCAATGAATTTCACACAAGGAATATGTACTACATGACCAAGGTGGCCTTAAAATTCCCCTCAGGTTTGCTAAACTTTAGACAGGCTTTTTTCCCTGCTTTTAGGCCCCTGACTGCATTTTCCTTAGAGCATTTACTCTTTCTCTGATGCTTTGAAATGTGTGTAAATCTTCTCCCAGCCTTTTGACAGTTTTGCAATCCAGGAATATCTTTCACAAGAACCAGGGAGTCATCCATTTGAAATGCAATCATGAAGGAAGGTAGCACCCCTCTCTCCTAGACTCTGTAGGAGGGCAGAAGCCTTACCTTGAACTCCACTTAGCAAACACAGAAGGCCTCATCCCAGAGAAAAGTGTTTGCAATCTCAGGAATAGCTGAGTATATGTGACACATTCCACTGCTCATATTCCCTTCCCTATGCCCTACAGTACTTTTATACTCCCCATAGCACTTAAAATACTTCCAGCCTTTTGTTTCAGCAGAGTTGAATTCACCCTCCTATTTCACTAGTTTTGATTAAAGTCTTTCTTACCTCTTTAACTTTGTCTAGTGTAATCTTTTTGACATGCTCAGAGAAAAGTTTGAATTCTGCTTCTGAACACTTTGCCTAATCAGGCCCACCTGCATCACCATGATACAACTAAATTGAGTTTTTGCAGAAGGAAAGCCCAGTCCTGTTCTGTGTGTTCTCTATACAACCGTAAAAATAAATTGGCAGAAATTGACATAATTTTGACAACTAATAATGCTTTTAAATTAATCTTGCAAGTTAATTTAAGGAGCAATGTGCTATTTAGCAATTAAGTAAACTTTCAACTGTGTTTAAGACTTAATAAGTGTGTGGAACTTACCCCTGCTTTCTTGATAAGTCTATAAAGAGATAATTTCAATCTCAATCTAAATCATGTTGGAAGAGTAGGTCCTTAGAAACACCAACTTGGCATCTTCTTCTGCCTCCTATTAATGGAAGATCCTTGGTGAAAAGAAGGAAAATCCGAGGAAATATTTAAAACACTGATTGTAAGTGATGCTGCTGTTAAAACTGTAATGGATCATTAAACTCTACTGCATATGATCTTCCCTCATTTGATTATAAGAGATGTCTCAGAATTTAATTTTGCCATTTTTGAATTTGTCATCCTGTCTCTTGGAAAAGTTTAAGAAAATGTTTTAAAAATCCTATGGCTAAAGTTAAAAATAATTTTTATGCATGAGATTTTTTAAGCAAAAAAATAAGCATTATTAGTAACTCATCCAAATGAGTACATTGGAAAAAACCTATGTGGAACTGAATCCCAGAAGAGATGAATTTAAACTATATAAAGTGTGAGATCTAGAACTGGACAATGCAAGTGAAGATGTATTTGGTAAAAGAATTTAAGCAGAAAAGTTTAAAATTAAAATTTTTGCAAATATAGAATTCATAGTGTGGCACTGGGTTTTTAAATTCTAAAATAATTTTAAAATGATCAAGTTTATGGATAATAGATGCTGTCATTAGGGTTCTTCAGAGACAGAACTAATAGGATAGATGTATATGTGACGGGGAGTTTATTAAGGAGAATTGACTCACATAATCACAAGGTGAAGTCCCAAAATAGGCCCTCTGCTAGCTGAGGAGCAAGGAAGCCAGTCCAAGTCCCAAAACCTTGAAAGTAGGGAAGCCGACAGGACAACCTTCAGTCTGTGACCAATAGTGCA
The DNA here is from genome assembly GCF_000001405.40 of Homo sapiens. Taxonomy (NCBI): domain Eukaryota; kingdom Metazoa; phylum Chordata; class Mammalia; order Primates; family Hominidae; genus Homo; species Homo sapiens. Next base: position 65,180,406 of record NC_000018.10, read on the forward strand.
ACCTTCAGTCTGTGGCTGAAGGCCCAAGAGTCCCTGGCAAACCACTGGTGGAAGTCCAAGAATCCAAAAGCTGTAAAACTTGGAGTCTGATGTTCAAGGGCAGGAAGCAACCAGTATGGGAGAAAGATGGAGACCAGAAGACTTAGCCAATCTAGTCTTTCCACATTCCCCTGCCTGCTTTTATCCTAGCCATGCTGGCAGCTGTGTAGATGGTGCCCGCTCAGATTGAGGGTGGGCCCCCCTTTCCTAGTCCACTGACTCAAATGTTAATCTCCTTTGGCAACACCCTCACAGACACACCCAAGAACAATACTCTGCATCCTTCAATCCAATCAAGTTGACAGTCAATATTAACCATCACAGATGCTACTCTCAAAAAGTTCTATTTGCTGTTTAGTTAGAGCAGAGTTTCTTAACCTCAGTCATATGTGCATTTGGTTCCAGATAGTTCTTTGTTGGGGCATGGGTGTAGGAAATGCTACTGTGTGTAACATGGGGTACTCAGCAATATCCCTGGCCTCTACCCACTTAATACCAGGAGACTCTCCTCAGTGGTGACAGCCAAAGATGTCTCCCAATGTTACCAAAAGTGCTCTGGAAGACAAATGTGCTCCAACTTAGAACCACAGATTTGTTGAGTGTAGGCACAAAATAAACAAGACACAAATAGACTTTTTGAAAAATGCCTGTATGTTTTGAAAGAATAGAAGACATCTAACATTTCTCAAACACCCACTATATGAAAGGCACTACACTGGTGAATTGTTTTATTCAATTCAATGATGGCTCTATGCAGTAGGTCTAATCACCCTAGACATAAAGAGGCATTCAGGAATTCACCCAAAATCACACAGCTAGTAATGCCAGGAGCTGAGATTAAAGAGTCAGTTATGACTACTCCATAGTTCTGTCATTTCTCAATCTGTCTCTATTTGTTAATTGAATATGATCAATAAGGACTTCATATTGAGAGAAAATAAGACATGTCTTCTGCAGAAAAAAGTATAACTTTGTGTTATGAAAGAGAAAGTTATAAATCACTGATAGTCCCCTTCATTGGAATTAGTTTCTTCATCACTTTTGTTTGTAAAATATCAGTTCTAATTTATCTTAAGATGTTATATTTTGTGTCTTAGTTGTATATGTACATAATTTACTCCATTAGAAGGCAAACAAGCTGAAGTTACAGTATTTTCATTTCTGTCATTGGATCCCTCCTTTGTCTAATATTGAGCTGTTCATAAGATAACCATGAGCCTCATGTTATATCGAGTGCTTGAATTATGGCTACTCTAAATTCAGAGATGTTGTAAGTATAAAATAAAAATCCTAATTTCAAGTCTCAGCATGCAAAAGGTAAAATAATTTATTCCTATTTATTATAGACTGAAAGAATAATATTGTTTATATATGGCATTAAATAAAATATATTTTTAAATTTTTTCACCTATTTTATTTTACTTTTTCATGTGTCTATGAAGACATTTTCATTTGCATATGCAGGTTATATTATATTTTCAGTGGACAGTTCTGGTCTAGCATTAAGTGGCTTTTAAATAACTGTTAAGTTGAATGTCAAGCAAATGGATGTATTTATTTTGACTTTTAATTTCATGTACAGATTGTTTATATAATACAATTTTAAAAGTTTAATAACTACATGTCTGCATGTGATATAAATAAGTGTGTGTCTGTGTTTAAATGAATGTACACACAGTAAAGTCTAGAAATTAGGTAATTTATTATCATATTATTGCCCTGTAATAGTTGCTTCTGGCAATGACTTTCCACTACATTTAATGGTTTTTTTGGTGAATAAATAGTAATGTTCTTATCGTGTATATTAGAACAGGGCACTAGAGTTAGTTTTAAATATAGATGAAGTGTGTTTCCAAAATGAGGTGATTTCAGGATCAGCAGAATTATGCCTCTGCCTCCCCTAACATCTCTTCAAACTGAAGGTTAATACTACAATTTATATAATGTGCTGTTTCCTTAAGACTTGATAATTCCTATTACAATAAAATCCTCAGGTAATATTTATGTTTTCATCAACAATTTAAGATGCACGGATTTCAGATCAGATAACGAAGGACACTTGTTGGCGAATGGAGTAATAATAACATGGTCAAGGAATTTTGAATGGAAGAGGAATATAAATTGAAAAATAGTGACACCAGAATAATTTTGGACCCTTGAACCTCAGATACAAATCTTATTCTTCATATTGGACCACACAGATATAAAAACACTTCTGTCATTTCAAAAACTTCTATTGGTTTGCACTGTCTAGTGGTTTGTATGTGATATCAATTTTATTTTATTTATTCATTTATTTATTTATTTTGAGATGGAGTCTCGCTCAGTCCCCTTGGCTGGAGTGCAGTGGCTCGATCTCAGCTCACTGCAAGCTCCGCCTCCCGGGTTCACGCCATTCTCCTGCCTCAGCCTCCCGAGTAGCTGGGACTACAGGTGCCCGCCACCACGCCCGGCTAATTTTCTTTTTTTTTTTTATTTTTAGTAGAGATGGGGTTTCTCCGTGTTAGCAAGGATGGTCTCGATCTCCTGACCTGGTGATCCGCCCGCCTCGGCCTCCCAAAGTGCTGGGATCACAGGCGTGAACCACCGTGCTCCGCCGTTATCAATTTTATTAACAGTGGTAACGGCCTCTCAGACACATCCACGTCTTAATCCCCGAACCTGTAAACATGGAAAAGTGAAATTAAGATTGCAGATGGAACTAATTCAGATGACCATGAAATAGAAAGATCATGCTGGATTTTCTGAGTGGTCTCAATGCAATGACACAGGTGTTCACAAGAAGAAGAAGAGGCCAGGGTGATGGGACATGATAAGGGCTTGAGGCTGGAGGAAGGAGGCCATGAGCCAAGAAATGTGGGCTCTCTCTACTCAAAAAATAAGAAAATGGATTCTTCCCTAGAATCTCCAGAAGGAAATGCAGGATTGCTGATGCCTTGGTTTTAGCCCAATGTGTTTCTTATTGGACTTTTGACCTGCAGAATTGTAAGATAGTGTGTTTGTGTTTTTTCAAGCCACTAAACTTGTGGTAATTTGTCATAGCAGCAATAAAAAATTAACACAAGTATTTATCTAAAGTAATCTCACTCACTATTTACTCAAAAATACAGAATCTATTTCACTATTTTTACCTGGGTGAGAGAGGGTATGTTCTAGGGATGGAGCATGTTTTTTTCTGGATAATTGTTTCTTGTTAATAATTAGGTTAAAACATGTGGAAATTATCTCTTCCTTTTATCTCCAATGTATTATATACATTCAAATTCTAAAGCATGGTAAAACTTTAGTTAATGGAACATAATTAATGAGAGCTCCAGTTAATTGAAAATGTGTGTGTCATCGGGGCCTGTAGTGGGGCGGGAGGAGGGGGGAGGGAAACCATTAGGAGATATACCTAATGTAAATGATGAGTTAATGGGTGCAACACACCAACATAGCACATGTATACATATGTAACAAACTTGCACATTGTGCACATGTACCCTAGAACTTAAAGTATAATTAAAAAAAAAAAAGAAAGAAAATGTGTGTGGTGTGTGTGTGTGTGTTTCTTTATTCAACTTAAAAGGGGAAAATGATAAATGTAGGGAAACTTGCATGAGGAATTCAAACCAACAAGCAAATTACCCTTGTTCTGGGGAAAGAATCCAAGCAATTCAATACTCTATATTTTTAGCAAAAAATAATTTTTAAAGCACTTAAATTATTTTCAGTGATGTAATAAACATAATATTAGGTGGATGAATGTAAATGAAGGTTAAGGTAAAGAGATCCAAAGTAAAAAAAATATTTCTTGTATTAGAGGTTATAATAAACGGTTCATTTTTAAAAATTACAGTTACTGGCTTCTCCAATTCCTATGAAAGCAAAAGAAGGTTTAAGGTTGAGATGTTTCCAAAAAAGAAATAAATTAATCATTAAGATATTTTCCCCAATTTCATCCGGTAGACTATTAATCTTTATAAATAAAATACCTATTAATCCCATTTCTTTCATTTGACAGCAAAAACTGTAATTTTCTTAGGATGTTAGGGGATGCATGAATTTCCATGCTCCTGTATGTTACTTAAACTTTTTATGCTTTGAAATTTTCTTTGGAACTTCCAAGATATCATCATAACTTTTCAACATTCGAGCTTATGTTTTAAATGAGGTAAAGCCTAGTATTTCTGAATATGTTTTAATTTTCATGATAAATATATATATATATTTATCAAAATTCTTTACGTTATTTTTGTGATTTACTGTGTGGTCCTTTACCTTAAATGCAGAAAAAAATATACAGTAAAAATTCATTGGCCGGGTGTGGTGGCTCACAGCTGTAATCCCAGCACTTTAGGAGGCTGAAGCAGACACATCACCTGAGGCCAGGAGTTCGAGACCAGCCTGGCCAACGTGGTGTAACCCCATCTCTACTAAAAATACAGAAATTAGCTGGTCCTGATGGCACACACCTGCAATCCCAGCTACTGAGGAGGCTTAGGCAGAATCACTTGAACCCGGGAGGCAGAGATTGCAGTGAGCCGAGATCGCGCCACTACACTCCAGCCTGGGGGACAGAGCAAGACTCTGTCTCAAAAAAAAAAAAAAAAAAAAAAAAAAATTGAATTGAATCTGTCCTAAGGATAACAAATATAAACATATACTTACACACCCTCCAGAGTATTAAACTGTAATAGTTAAAACTAAACACTTAGGGGAAAAAAGTATCTTTTTAAAAATTATAAACAAATGGATTCATTAAATTAAACTAGATTAAATTTGATTTTTAAAAAGTAGCTGGCCCAAAAGAAGGCAATCTTATAATTGTATTTTACGTTATTTTCATCACATTTCCATATTACTTTATGATCTATATCGATTTAGCTGATGATTATTTCAGATTATCTCCTGTAACTCTACCTTGAAATCCTTTTGTAACTTTTAAAAAATTTATTATTCTCGATAGAAACTCCTCCATTCATAATTCTTATGTGGTACTTATAGTTCAGTGAGGCAAAGAGAATCTTTGCTTGGCTTTTCAAATAGAAGAGCGTTAATAAAGGGAATTAAATATATAAGAATTAACTGCTAAAAGGGAAGGAAGTGATCACTGTGACAGACGGTGAGAAATAGCTAAAACTTGGCTAAAGAAAGAAAAGAAAAGGATAGGGTTCCATAACTTCAGAGCCGAAAGGATGTGCTGGGTGGAACTAACGCTCAGAATTTTAAAGAAAACAAATTCGACAGCTGTATCTAATATTTCTGAAGTTTATTCTGGTATGCAGAAGACGGTTGAAATCAGTGGAAGCTTCAGAGACCAGCAAATTCGTGGCGTCTCTGGCCAATATGTGCTCTCAAACTCCCTTGTAAAAAGTCTTAGTTTTAGGGCCCATTCCCAAACTTAACTCATTAAGTCTAGAGTTGTATACATTAAGAAGTATCTCCAATAGTGAAAATGTTTCTGTATAACAGTTTAAATTTCCAAAGTGAAAGAAAGCGTATGTATGTGTGTAAATGAATGAATTCTTAAGTTGTATAATATTTCACTCTCTTCTTCATCTTTACCTAAAAAGGCAAAAGTTTCATTTCAATATACGTGCCTAATACTATATAACCATTTCCATTACTAGAAGAATTTGATAAAATTCTTATTTTATTTTCAGAGAAAATAATTGATTATATAGTAGCCACTGTTTTTTGGGACAACAATGTTAATTGTACTACAGTTTCCTTCTGTAGTATCTCTCTATTTGTGGCCATCAAAATCCAGTCCATGCGTTTTTTGTAAATGCGACTTCATCTCCCAGTATCAGAAGGAGTGAAAATCCAGAAGTAAGTTAATCCTTGCTTTACATTTATTAGAAAAATAAATCATTCAGATATTGACATATGATCCCTCAAAGCTAATAATACGAAATTCAAGTGTAAGTTTGAGTTCTCAGAAAAAAAATTATCTTTTTATCCATAAACTGTAAATCTGAAATGGTTTAGGGACTAAAGCCTTGGTATGTCATATTTAATACTATTTGATGCTTAAGATTAAATCCAAGAAGCAGGCATGGAGCTCAAATATGAAGAGACATGAGAGTCCAGGCTTAAGTGTTGTTTGTCCCATCCCTTGAATTTTGAGATTATTTCAGTCAACAAATACTTTTTCAGCTTGAGCTGATTTGGGTTGTGTTTTCAGTTAATTGTAACCAAAAAAGTTATAACTAATTAAATAGAGTATATGCTTTGTGAGATATGTTGCTTTTATGTAATCACTAATTTATCTCAAATGCCAAGATCTGATATATAATATACACTTAGTAACTATGTTTACGATAAAATATATGAAATAAATTTTATGCAAAATAAGTTTGATTTTGTAGACTGTATAATAACAATTAGTTAAACATTGTCCTCTAGGTTTATTAATTTTGAGGCATTTATAGATGGTCTTTTTAAAGGGAAAGAGAATATCATTTGGGTAGTTTAATCAATTTTTATCTTTCTCTTTCTAGCTTTTACTGAACTTGAATTTCAATGTGAACAGCAAGATTTGAATAGAAACACTTTACTTTGACAACAATTAAAATTATTCATACCATGACACAGTTCAATATATTACAGACTAATTAACTGCATTTTTACTTCATGATGATAAAGAACTCTAAATAATACTTCCTCAAATATCTGTGGGGTACCATTAGATTCCAGAGCTTTTGATTATTAATAGCTATACTTAGTACCATGGTCTTTCATCTATTGATATTCCAACAGTGGCCTTTCCACTTTATTTCTTTATGCTTTTGTTATTGCTTACAAAGAAAAGCCTTCATGAAGCATACAGAAAGCACAATATTTTTCATTCTATTCATCTTCACTTTCAAGCATTTGGGACTCCTGAAACAATGGAAAATGATCATTCTCTCTTATTTTTAAATTGGATTTTAATTAGAATGTACAAGTTCTGCATGGTCTTCAATTATATTCTATATTTCATGTGATTCCATTTACTGTTTAATCATAAATATCACTTCTGTTAGTACTTTAAGTACTGTATAAAGCACTAAAACCATGGCAAAAATTACAAATTCTTATGTTCAAAATAGGAAGGACCTGTACGTTCAATAAAAATCTTATTTTATTGTATTTTTATATTTACATTACACTTGTTAGCTATATCATGTAGGTTTTTATATCATGGGTTTGATTTCAATGATTTTTAAAGTCTATCTTTTAGACGTAATCTCTCTCTCTCTCTCTCCCTCTCTCTCTCTGTTCCTCCCTCCCTCTCCCTCTAGCATTTTATTTTGAGATAATTTTAGACTTCCAGAAGAACTGAAAAATAGTCCAGGGAATTTCCATACAATCTTTAGCCAGGTTCTTCATATGTTAACATCTGAACAAAACCATGGAAAATTATTAAAACTAAAAAAAAAATCTTGGTATAATGCTATTTTAGCTAAACTACAAAATTTATTCAAATTTCACTGAATCTTTCTCTAATGTTCTTTTTCTTTCTGTTGGATTGGGATTTATTTCAACAGACTCCACCACTGGTGCTAACTACATCTGCAGTTTCTACCTTCTTTCTCCTTTATTGGAGAGCTTAGCTCTTACATTGAAAGTGTTAATTTTCATCATCTTCCCCAAACCCCTCTACTTTCTCTTTTATTTAAGGCCTATGTTTCTATTCTGTAATCAAGAACATCAGTACTACAGGTATATAGACAGCCAGTTTAGCTTGAATGAAATTATTATAATATGAAATTATTATAATTTATAATATTATAAATTAAAAACAGATGAATTTTTTGGTTTAAACCAGTCAATGCCTATATACTGACATATGTAAAATAAAGCACTACTTTCACTGGAAAACTCTCATCCCTCAATTTTTATTCCTCTTTTGCTCTTGGCAACTCCCATACTTCCACACTAATGCTTATTCTCCTTCTTATTGGTAACAAAAACTGTCAGTTTATCCCCAGCGATTCCTTTTAAATCTGCTTTTTCCCCCTTTCATCCCTGTGGCTATTCTGTCTTCCAGTCTCTGCCCACCTGTTAATTTCTGACTGGCCTGCAGTTGCCTGCGGTCCACTTCCCCTGAGATTCCCCACACCAATAATCCACAGCATTATCACTCCTCTCAAGCACCTCCTATTCCACAGAAAAAAGACAACATCTCTGAACAGAGTTGGCCCAGCCTCTTCTCTTGACACATTGCTTTATCAAATGTGTACTCTCTCTTCTCTCCCTCACCCTCTTTCCGTCAATTGTCTCCCATCCCTGGGTAAAGGTACCTTATACTTAATGCATGAACATGCTCCTGTCTCTGTCCTCTCACATGTAATTCCTTTTTATTATGTATGTTCTCCCTCAAGGCATTCTTTTCTGTCCATTGCAGCCTCCCTCCCTGACATTATCAGTTCTGAATCATTTACCTTTTCTCACATAAATCTCTCATGCATCAATTCCTCTGCATATGACATTCACCTTGCCAGAAATTACCTCACCTCTGCCCTCCAGATTGAATTCTCCCAACAAAGAAGCCTAAGCAAGCACAAGTGTCCTTGTCAGTGTCATGCTTTGCCTGGCTTCACACAGAGGCAGGTGTCACTCTAGTACCTGTGAGTTCCTCATTGGATAGCTTAGCTCTTAAATTGAAAGTGCTAATTTTCATCATCTTTTCCCAAATCTGCTTATGTTTTCATCTTTACAACATCGCCTACCCTTTATTGCACAAGACCCTAGGAAGCACTCTATGCATGAGTAGAAATAAACAAATAAATGAATACGTTCAAATGGCCTACATATTTTCTAAATAGATCCTGAATAAATAAGGAAGGCAAGTGCCATCTCTAGTGTTGTCACTCTACTGTCACTTACTCTTTGAAATCTTGGGCATGTCTTCAGCTTAGATAGCACAAGGGAGAGAGTGAAACTAATTAATTAATAATTACTTACAGAGAAGCTACTAGATTTTTAACGCTACAGTTATCAGCTGAGAATAGCTCATAAACTTGTTGGAAAAAACTAGACTTTCTTATCTTTTTTATTTGTCCCTGAATGCCACAATTTATATGCATTAACTGGAAAATAATTGTTTAGCAATAGGCTTTTACCCCATATAGGCAAGGTGTGAAGTGTGGGATCTTCACATGGAATTATAATTAAAAATTTTTTATGAGTGATACTTATTATTTAAAGCAGCCCATTCTAAACACCAGAATATTTCATATTGTTGGATAAAATATGGTATTATATACATTATATTATATTATATACATATATGGTAACATGTATTTTAATATAATAAAATGTAAACATATTTATATTAATTTAATACAAGTAATATCAAATTAATACAATTTTATTCTATTAATATATTATATAAATATAATATAATATAATATTTAACCCATTTGGATTGAAGCATAGGTGTAGCATAGAGTTTGGAAATTTGTCTGCATATATATATATATGTATTGGTAGCACATATTTTATCCAACGATATGAAGTATTATATATACTTCATACATAATGTGTATATATATGTGTATATATATATATATATATATATATATATATATATGCAAGTCTATATTCATACATATATGTAGAACCTCAGAAGGGATCTTCAGTTTGGAGCTTTATAAAGATTCACAAGAATTTGTTACAAATTGTTTAATATGTATTCTACAATAAAAGTTAAATATGGTTAAGTATACTGTTTATTCAGGCAGAACTCTCTCTATATATATCGAGTTCTTAGATAAAGTCCTGTAATAGAATTTCAATTTTTTTCTTATTGAGCATCTGATGATAACTTCTAAAACACTGTAATTAAAAGAATGATCTTATCTGGCCTGCTCCAAATTCCTGTCGTCCTGGTGTTCCAGTTCTGATCTTTTCCTAGGGGGTGTTTTCCCTTTTTATCCTACCCCCAGTAAGCCCAATTTATCTAATCTCTTCATTTCTCTCACTCCATTCAGGGATGGGATAACATTTCATTAAGTTTATTATTTTCAGATATTCCTTGCTCTTTGCATCTGCAAATACTCTAATTTGACATCAGGAAAACTTCTAAGGTTGTATAAAATGCTGGCTAGTAACCCAACTGTCTAATGCAAAGCTGTGTATATCACAACACACAGGTGCTTCCGTCAAAAGCATTCTTGTTTACCCACTGGCATTTTCTAACATTTTCTCAATAATCCAGTGGAGGCTGCATTATTTCCCCATGCATTATATTTTGTGATGTCTTTAATTTCCCTGCTGTATTCCTTGACACAAGTCATTCTCTAGAGTAGAGACGTCAAATAAGTCTCTTGTAAATTGGAATATTGCAAATAAAGTGCATATTACTTCTAGCTCTGACAATGTCCATATCACTTATAACACCATTTACATGCTACTTACAAACAATTTTCAGTGGATCAAAATTATTGTGTTCAAAAACTTTCATGTAGCATACTGGACATCTTTTTTTTTCTGATAGAATTTAGCTATGATTAGGTCTCTACTGTGGAAAGCAGTAAGTTCAATTAAATGTCCTGCTGTTTGTGCCATACCGCATGCTGTGTAAAACTGCTAAGCAGAGGCAGCCCAGGGGTCGTACTATTCATACATCTCAGGCCCATAAATGAGTGGTCTGTAATGGGTGTTTATTTAACAAACACACACACACACACACACACTCATGCACACATCTACATATCTTGCATGTCATGGATGAGAAAACTGAAGTCAGACAAATTAATTTGGCCAGCTACTAATGGGGAGAATCGATATTGGAACCCAAGCCTGCCAAATCCCAGAGTGTTTAAGTTATAATTTAGTGAGGAAAGTAACTAGCACAGAAAAGGTTTAAGGTAAGTGTATAATTAAAATGAAAAGAGTAAAATTTGGCCTCAAAGGTCAGTAAGAGTGATCTAAAAACACTAGAAAATTTTTCTTGGAAGAGATGGAATAGACTGGATTTTCAAACTTAGTCAATTGTTTTGGCTAAAAATGGGTAGGGTAAAGGGCATACATAATTTCAACCAGAAAGAAAAAAGTATAATCAAAGTCACAAAATGAAAAAATATGAGCTGTCCCATATGTGATAAACTTAAGATATAATATTTAACCCATTTGGATTGAGGCACAGACAGAGCATACTCTTTGTAAATTTTTCTGCACTCAACAATGCTTAGTGTGCTGCCATTGAGAAGTTCATCCCAGGTCTGTGAGATGTGAAGATCTTGTTCATTCATCATTTATTGAGCTACTAGTTTCAGACATGAGAGTAGGTGTGCTACATATGTTACATGCACTATTACTACCTTTAAGAAGCTTTTGAGATAGGAAACAATTTATATTGAGCAAACTTAAACATATTCACTATATCATATTGTATTATGATGTACTGTTAATTGTTGCAGCTTTCCAATTTAAGGTAGATGACTTTAAATCATTATATTAGCACAGGGATATTTAATCTAAGGACCACCTTATATCAGGTGTAAGGTTTTCGTCATTATGCGTAAACATCTCTGAGACCTAATTTATTCATCCCCATAAAATGGAATTAATAACACCTCACAGGATTTGGAGAATATTAAGTTATCACACATACATGAGGGGCACAGGATCTGTCCCATGCTTAATCAATGCTAGTTCCTTTCTCCCTGTGATAGAGTGCTAAATGTAATGTTTTGAACAAAAGATATCAGGGTTCAGAGAATCAAAGGTCAATGTAGGTAGGAAAAATGGATAACATGTTAAGAAATTATTATGAGATTTTCTGACTTTTTAACTAGAAAGACCTATTATGAAATTCTCATAGGCAAAGAAAAAGAACAAGTGTGTATGCGTAAATTTATGCATACGACAAACAGAAAGGAAGAAAGAGAGAGAGAGACCATTTCAGGGCTGTTGGCACATCAGTATAATATGGCAAAATAAGGGCATTTCTTATTCAGGAAGGATCAAGGTGGGTGCCAGGGGTTGATGTGCTACATGCCAAAGTTGGAAAGTTTGATTGAAGGTTACTTATGAGTAATGAAAGGACTACCGAGAATCATACTATTTCTCTATCACTACTTACTTCGAGTTTCCAGACCTAAGTTACACAATCTGAAGACTTCAATGGCTTCAGTCCGTCTCATTGTGAGTATTATCCCTCCTCAGATTGCCTCACTGTGAGGGGATCTATTTTTCACTCTTTCCAATGACTAATCTTTTTGCTGTCTCTGATGCTTGGACACTTAATTAAATAGGATGGATACCAATGAATACAAAAAGGAGCCCACAACTCATGAACATCCATCACACCTATTTTACTATATATTCCCACGACAATGCATCATGTAGATACCTGAATAACAGAATAGTTAAAATGTGGCAGGTTGCTATTGAAAAATAATTTAAGAGTTTTCAAACAGATGTGCTAAGTTTTTGCATTAGATAAATTTTACTTCTTCAGTTTTTCTCTGAGCATTAGAAATGTCACCACCTTTAAAAAGGTCACATAAACTTTAAATTAATCAAGATTTTTAAAAAGTACTCTAGAGTGTCTTTTTAAAACTGTTTTTGGCTTCTAAAATTTAAAACACTTGCAAAAGGTAATCCAATTTGGCAAGATGAGAGTTTTTCTCTATTTTAATGTTCACATAGTGAAAAAGAAAGTTAATTAAAAATGCTTGAAATGTCCAGTGCATTTGATCTGTATACATCTTTACTTCTTAAAATTGCTATACATTAAGTCAATATAATCATATAAATGCAATTCTAAATACGTTCTTACAAACACATTTGAGTTAGCAAAATTATTATTTGCAATAGAACCAAACAATCTGCCTCTTATTGATACATTTGCTAATAAATTTCCTTTATGTACTGCTTTAGCTCAAGTCCACTGTTACATTTACAGATACCACATTTACATGGTGTCATAGTTAATGAATCAGTGCTTTGAATACCTCATTTATAAATGCATACATATATGAAGGTGATTTCATGCCAAATTCAAGGGCTAGAATTATTTTCACATGTATTTTCCTTTGTATGCCTTTATTTTGACCTTAGAAAACCAGCATATTTAACCTAAATGTTGTAATTGTTTTTCTTCTCTGTTCTAAAGTAGGCAAGTTTTAAGGAAAGTCATATCTGATTAAAGTGAAAACTAACCTTTTTCACTGTGACTTATCCTTTTCTAAATGAACTCATTATTATACATAAACAATCCTATTGTCTCTAGCTTAAATGAAGGACCCCATTATCTTTTCTTATCATATTAGAGCCCTTGAAATATGGATTTAGCACAATTTTATTGCTAAGGGTCTTCTTAACTCTGATAGGAAGTATTACAATGAAGTGCATACAGTATAAGCTACTTCAGTGAATAGAGCTTTTCATACAATAAGGAAAGAGAAGAAACTTTCTTTTCTCAAGTCTTGTTGTTTCCCATTAGGAAACCCTATGTGGTGAGGATACAGAAAAAATGTATCTGAGTTTTGTGTAGCACATCCAGAGAGAATAACATACGATTGACTATTTGCTTCATTTGTCTTTGAATACCAGAATCTCAAATCAGATAGTCAATTGGTGTTCTCTTAGTTCAGTTACCTAAAAATAACAATGCCTGCAAAAGTGTTCTGTGAACTTGACCAAATGAGTAAAACCACAAACTGTAATTAACATTGTATAAAACTTGTAATATGTAATTAAATGTGAGGAACCATCAACGGTACATAAAAGATTATGATAAATCTCTAGTTTCTCATTTCTAATGAGAGCACTAATCACTTTCGCTGAGTGAATGGGCTTGGTGATAGTTACATTCAACCCTTGTTCAGGTCATCTGAGATATAGTAGGATATTAATGACAGCTTTCAGGGCCTCTGTTACTTAGTTGTTGGTCTAGCTCATGCTCTTACTGAAAAGTAGGTTTTACTTTTACCTGTTAGCCTAGAAATGGAGTTGTGACAGCAGCACCAGTGTTCTCTAAGCTAAGCATCTCTTTGAGACTATCAGCTTTTGTGGATCCGATGGATACAGTACTTTCTTTCTCTGGAGTACATTCTCTGTATATAGGAAGGACCTTAATGAGAATGGATGAAAAGGGACTCTCCATTTCTGTAGGGCCATGAAACTTCCTGGGAAACATCATTAAACATTCCTTCAGGAGACATAACCTGAGGAGAAGACCACGGCTCATTTTTCATTATGTAAGCTACATTAATATATGCCATATGTTTAATAAACATTATAATATTTGTCTTTTGTTAATTATAATGAAAAAGAGAACAATGAAAGTCAGAAAAATATCAAATGAAAATTCTAAAAGCCTAATAATTCCAACACAAATGGGTAATTTATATGCATTTTTATGTAACTGTGCAGACTTTTGTAGAATTTTAAAAGGTCTGTAGTATGCCACAGCAATAACATTCTACTGTTTTATTGAAGTTGTTCATAATATGTCTAAAACTGTAATGAGTCATTTTATAGCTATACATGCAAAACAATCGTTTATCCAGGAAATTTTCAAAAAATCAAATCAGTTGGTCCTAATTTGTACATTTCTCAAGAGTTAGGGACACATACACCAAAAAGCTGAAGCCTTCTTGATAATGTTTTAAAAATATATCAGCATAAAATGATTATAGATTCATAGGAAATTACAAAATAGTACTCTTCACCAAGGTTCCCATAGTGATCACATTACACACAATTACAGAACAATATCAAAAACAGAATGGACACTGGTGGAAGGTGTGCATGTAGTTCAATGTCATTTTATCACATGTAAATTTGGGTGCCCACCACCAAACTCAAGATAGTTTATTGAATTGCAGCGAAGACCTCCCTTACACTAACCTTTTATAGTAATACCCACTCTGCTCTGTCCTCACCATCCTCAACTCCTGGCAACCTGTTTGAATCCATATAATTTCACCATTTCAAAAATGTTATATAAATGGCCTCCTACAGTATGCAAGCTTTTGAGATTTGTTTTGTTACTCAGGAAAAGGCCCATGAGAATTATTCCAGTTACCACATGTACTAATAATTTATTTTCATTTCTAAGTGTAGCTCTGTTTTGATCTATCTGTACTGTTTTTGCATGTATCTCAGATAGTCCTAAATCCAGGTGTGAGCAGGGCTGTGTTCCCTCCAAAGACTCTAGAGGAAATGTCTTCTTGCTTCCTCCAGCTTCTGGTGGCTGCAAGTATTCCTTGACTTGAAATGGCATAACTCCAATCTCTGCCTCTGGGATCATGTGCCCTTCTCTGTGTGCCCTTCCTTATGTCTCTTATGAGGGCACTTGTTGCATTTAGGGTCCACTGAGTTAAATCCAAGCGATCTCATTTCAAGATCCTTAACTTAATTACACCTGCAAAGACCCTTTTTGTAAATAAGGTCAAATTTGCAAGATCCAGGGGACATATATTTATGGGATCATCACTCAATTCACATCAAGGGCTTTAAGCATTTATACTCCTATAGTTGAGTGTGCACAGCTTCTTAACTGGTTTCAGTTTCCATCTTCCCTAATCTACAACAAATTGTCCCATACAGAATCCCAGAGTAATCCTTCAAAATTCAAGTCATGTCATGATTCTTCTCCACCCAAAACCATCAATGGCTTCCCTTTTCACTCACAGTGAAATCTGCAGAATTTTTCAAAGGCTGCAGGCTACAGGATCTGAAAACCTTACCACTTCTCCTCTGACATGACAAGCCTGCTTCTTCCTCATGACACCTAGCATCTCCTGACATTGTTTCTTTTCTATCTTCTCAAACTACAAGCTTAGTTCCTTGAGCACGTGGCATCTCTTTCTTTGTTGTTGTAGCTCACCATATAGCAGACATCCTGGCAAAGAGTAGGTGCTCAAAAGTATCTGTGAATTTAATTAAAGAGTAATGTTGCCAAACTCCCATCCTAGAAAAGTTCCATAAAATTATGGTATGTACCTACTATTTATGACTCATATTGCTCATTCTCCCAAACTTTTTTTGGCAGTAGCATTGATTTTCTTTTTTATTTTTAATCTTTACCAATTTTGTGAATGAAAATAGTATCCATTAATTTTAACAAGCATTTCTTTATTAGTGAGAATATATGGTTTCATGTTTAATTGGTAGGGATTTGTTTATTTTTCTTTGATAAATTATTTCTTCATAGTCATTAGTTACTCCTCTCATTAAATATTTTTTTATTTTTTAAAGTTTTCTCTATATTAAAGACATTTAGTTGTCTATTATGCATTTTTAATTTTTTAAAAAGATTGTCATGCAAATTTTAATTTGTATGGATATTTTGCTACATAGAAATGCTTTCACACAGGTCTATGTAAATATTTTTTACTTTGCAATTTCTCCATCTGTTCAATTTATTTCTGAAAATGCTAAATTTATTTCTGAAAATGCTTAGAAGAATAGATATTTTTTCCATTTCTCTAATATTCTTATTCTTCTTAGCCCCAGTGATCCTCCCACTTTAGCTTCCCTAGTACCTGAGACTACAGGTGCACACTACCATGCCCAGCTAATTTTTGTATTTTTTGTAGAGACAGGATCTCACCATGTTGCCCAGGCTGGTCTCAAATTTCTAGGCTCAGGTGATCCAACTGCCTCAGCCTCCCACAGTGCATGAGCCACCACGCTCAGCCCATTTTTTCATCTGATTCAAAAGCTAGAAGGAATAAAAAGGATAGAGGAAGAATGAATAATTCTATCTTCTGAAATTTTAAGGATTGCATTCTCAGTCCCCCACGGGAACTGATTCAGTTCAATCAGTAAATCAACATTGATGTCATTCCAATATGTATTACCCTCCAAGTGACATCAACTGACGTCTGTGTTCTTTTTCACATTTTACTCTTACTTGTGACAGCATTTGTATAAGTGAAAGTGAAATCATGCTTTAAGTAAATAAGCTGGTGGGTTGGCAGATTTTAGGGGATAAATACGCAGACTCATCTTTCCTTGAATATGTCAGGAAACAAATCAGTTTTCCCTAAGTTTTTGAATCTTTCTTCTGGGAGGAAACTGGAGTCAACACCTCCATATTCCAGTCCCAATCTGACTGTGAAGATCTGCATTACCTCCCAATATCAAAGTCAGAAGCTGCAAAGAGGCAGAGTAAAAAGGTTGAATTGAAGGTGCCTTTATTAGTGCACCCCTCCATGTTTTGGGCTATATGGGCTAAATAACAAAGAAACAAATGATACTTTTGAAAAATGTACTGTTATAAATTCGCATGTGGCTTTACAGATGAGATCTATGAAGAGAGAGCCTTCTTTCCCTTAGAATGTGAATATCCTAATGTTTTGGCAGCTGGTGTGTTCTTCCCCTGTGGAATTGACGTTCTGAAAGGTTTGGTGAGAAGAGAGGGTCTGGATTTCTCAGTGGGAAGAAATTTGATTAGGAGCTAGGTGGAATACTACTATTTAATCATATCATGTTTATATTGTGTCACTTATATACATCATATAATACTATATGTAATATATTTTCATTGTGGTTATTAATATGTACACAGTAATATAGTAGCAGAGAACTATTTAGAATTTTAATTTGTTGCCCTTTTGTAAAGCTCAGAAAAGTGTCCTCAGTTGATAAGACACTGTGAAGAAGGGTGTTTTCATAGAAAGGGAGGTGAGATGCTACCAAGGAAAGAATCCCCCAGGTGAGAAAAAAAATGTTTCCTACTGGCATAAGTGTAGAAAGATAAGTGAAAAGACAAAATACTAGCCACTTGACACTATTGAGCAGGTATGATCAAACCATGACAAGAAAATATTTCCATACATTATTAGTCCTTACTTGTTGATAAATACAATATCAGTCGTTACAAACTGCTTACTTTGTTGGAGAATATCTGTTGAATATCAATGGCATTTTAAAACTCTCCCCTTTCCCCATTTTCCCTAGGTTAGAGAGCTAAAAGGCAAATATAATTATTCATTCACTTTTAAACAAATACTGGTTAAAAGCCAACTTAAGCTGAAACTGCACGCAGTTCAGGGGGCAACGGTGATGCAGACAGGAAAGAAATCTGCTCCAAAGGACTTTAGGAATGTAACGAAGTATCTTTATTTCTTCTAACATTTAACATAATTCTAATTAGAGCACTTGGTTCCTTATGTTCGAAGATATCCAGTTGACAGTGTAATTAAGTGAGATCTTAGGAAGTATTTCTTTTCAACCCTATTCCCTTGTTATCATGGATTTTAAAGATCAATTATGCCAATTATGTTTGTTGTTTCATTTACTGGATTTAAGGGCAGGCTACATTATGTGGTATCAATCATCTTCCAAGAATCAGTATGTTATTTGTGGTATTACTAAAATGTAATCTCTTACTTTGAATTTTTTTTATCCAAACCTTCAGACACATATGGATGCACATACACAAAGCAAAATAAATAAACAACAAATAAATAAGCGGTACAATTTCAACAGTAAGGACATTTGTATGTTTTTTTAATAGAAAAAGAAAATTTGAAAATCAAGTTTATGCATTTATTTATACCTCAACAGTTTATTTTTCACACTGCTAATCTCAAAACCACTTCCCATTATGTATACTTTCATCTGTTCAGCTGTATTGTAGATAACCATGTTGTCAAAATAGCAAATATGTTTAATAAAGAGTTTCAAAAATCTTTCCTAGATGAATTAGATAGATGCATGGGCTGTAATATAGGCAGAAATTTTGCTTAGTCAAGAAAATGTAATTTTTCTTGAGTCAAAGGTCACAACTGCCTGTGCAGAAATAACTCCTGTGTCATCCTTCACACTGTCCCTAATCTCAAGCAACTCACTAACAACCTGTATTGTTTCTTAATAGTTAAAACATTGTTGAAAAGCACATATTTCTGTTTCGCTAAAGTCAAACAAATTTGCTCAGTGCAGAAAAAAGAAAAAAATTCAGAAATGATTTTTCCAATGGTGATTAATTTACTGCCAAGACACTTGATTTATCTCATTGTCTCATTTTAAAGCAGAAATAAATAGAAATGGGTGGACCAAATTTTCTGAATTAAGTAAATTTGTGAGATGTAGTTCACAGATTGTAATTCATGAGTCATATTTTATTTAAAATTTCATTATTTTTGTAGCTAGCTAGAGTTTTGAACATAAGAAGTGTTTTCTCTGATTATCTGAAGTTATAGACTAAATGTCCATTTAGAAAGAATAGAGATCTAGTAAAGTTAATGCTGCTACGATTTCATGGCCAAATATTTTACATAAAGTGATCCCAAGTTAACAGATGTGTAGATGTTTAAAATGAATTCAAAATGACAATAGGTAGGCAAATGTATACTTTACAGAAAGGAAGTAACAAAACTGATGCCTGCAATGAAAGCCATGTGCTGCTAGGATCCTTCCTTAAATCACTGTCTAGTAGCTAGCCAGTACCTGGCTGATAGACCTTCAGTAGGCTGGATGTCATACTGAAGTATAGGTCCAGAAACATCACTCCAATTTGTTAGTTTCAACATCTAACAATGATCATTTGTAGTAGATAGGCAGCTGTTTAACTAAAATTTATTATTTTCAATGAAGAAAATTATTAAAGTGTACACAGACACATGCACACACAGTGCACATGGAGCCCAGGCATATAATTTAGTGGGAGGAATGAACTGCTAAATTATTCAAATAAAAATGCTTTAAAAGAAAATATTATAGATCAATAACATAAGTTTATTTTTTTTATTTAAAGCAAGAATGAGGTTTTTGAATAATATCATCTTTATCTGTGTCATTAATAATTGGAACTATTAGTATTTAAAGTTCAATAATAGAATAATAATAGCAACACAGATTTGTAATACTTTTATCTGTTTATAGAAAGAATCCATATCCACTATCTCATTGGAACTTCAGAATAGCCCTCTAAGTTTTAATTCTTTTTCACTCAAAGTAGTCCTTTAAAATAGAATTTAATACTGTTTTTCACTCACTTAAAACAATGGATATTTGAGTAGTTGAGAGATTTGACAAAGGCCACATAGAACACGAGTGCCTGAGCAAAGAGGCTGACACCCTCCTACCTTCGCACTACAGCTCCCACTCCACATTCTATTGGTAGTAATTGAAGAACTGGATTAAAGAAAGTGGTTTTATTCCCCAGGCACTTGTTCATTTTTCCAAACCATTTTAAGATCAGCCTCATGTGACTCTTAACAATTATTTTCTCTGTTTCTTCTTAACTTCAAAATTTGCCACCTATTTATATTTATTATCAGTTTTCACATGCTGTTCTTCCCGTCGTGTTGTCTTCTTAAGTGTTAAGCTCGTTGTAGGCTCAGATGAAATCTATTTCTTCGTTCTTAACATCCCAGAAACTACTATGTTGCTTACGACCTAGGAGATTTTAAAGCTTATAAAAAGAGATCCACATTCAAATGTTTACTGGTTAATTTAATTCCTCTTCCTCTCTAGGATTTTACTGGGTGGAAATATGATGACAGACTAATACCACACTTTAGGTAACTAATGTTTGCTCAATTGATCGATTTTGCTAAGTGTGTTAATGGTAACAACATATATTTGAGGAGAAGATATTTTCTAAATTATAGTGATCCTATTTTTCAAAAGAAAGATGAAATCAAAATTCTACTGGCTATAGGTAGAGATGCAATTTTATTATTTAAGGAACCATAGCTTAAAGGATAAATGAAAATTGTCCGAATGGTCTCCCTGCCATGTTTCAATAGACTTATGGCTTCACCAGCCAGTTTTACACCAAATATTTTAGTCCTGAAAATCCATTGAAGATCAATGGATCTAAGTGAGGAACATATTTTTCCTGCAGTACTCCTCTGGGAGCTAGCTATACAGCTTATTTTTGATGATTAAATGTTTATATGGAATTTCTAAGATGTTTGTTGGTTTCTATTCATCTTTCCCCAACCTAATGTATGTACTTTGGGGATTATTTCTGATGGAGTTTTACAGCTAGCTATTAATTCTTAGATGTTGTTTTGTGATGCTGCTTTCTTTCTAGTTTTTCTTTTGTTGAAAAATAAACTTTTTTGTTACTTATGATAATTGAGACAAAAATTAGCCTTTTAAAGTACTCTGCGTTGGATCCATATGCAACGAAAATGCTCAAAATTAATGTGAGATTGTAATTGATCCTCTGGATATATTTAAATACACCCTCTGTGTGTACATGTGGCTGTGATATTTCTCACACTTTAAACTATTTTTACACGAGATAATAATAATCATTGAAATAAGGCAGCAATAACAAGTTTCCAAAGAAGCCAAAGGGCTGAGGAAGAGGGGCTTGGAAAAGAAAGGGAAAGAAGGATGGGAAATGTTTTGTCTCTGGTTTCTCAGCATCTCACCAGACTGTGAGTCCAGATGAGACCGTTTGCTTGAAAAAAACTGCATGTCATTGTCTCTGGCCCCTGTCTACCCCTACATATGACAGCATCTTGAAGTAAACCTTTCTGGATTTCCTAGAAGATGCCCTAAGGGAATTTCAAATGTGCTTGGTCACAAGTTCTCAAGGATATCAAAAATTTAGTCCAAGACAGCAGAGCACCGGACAGCTGCTGCCTGCCTCTCCCTGTGAACCTTTATGCTGATTCTGGACACATCTGTATCTACAGAAAATCCACATCACTGTTGAGCACCAGGACTTCTGCAATTAGGACGTCTTCTGAGTGCCTCTGACTCTGAAGCCCTCAGGTGCTACATCATGGTGTGAAGTAAAGGACAGGGAGCTCTTTTACTAGCTCTGGCCAAATATTGTAAAGAGGTGGTAGAACAGTAATATTTATGTTCCCAATGACAGCTTATGTGTTAGATGCCTTTCTTTTCCTCTCACCCAAAACACGTCTGATCTCATCAGGACCTGGACCCGGTCACGTGACAGACATCATGATGGGAAAGACTGGGTCCTGGGTTTACATTATCCACTTTGGCTTTCTCTCATTATGGCACATTCTCTTCCATGAGACATTTCTATCCTTCCTACAAAAAAATTATGTTTTTAGTTAGATGTTGCTCTGAAACACACGGTCACAGGCATCTATGTCCAAGCAACCATTTGACAGAATGTGTAGGCTCCTGTGCTACCTAGATCTAAAGCTCTATTAAGGCAGCAAAGAGCTGGTAAAACTCCCCCATTATTTGTTTTTTCTAGCTCCTTCGTCTTCCCTGAGTTTAATGTGCTCTGTAAATTAGAAAAGTATGCCTAAACTAGAAAGTCACTTTTGCATTTGTTTCAGTGTTCAGGCATTATCCTAGTGTTTTATTTCTTTTAGCATAGAAAGAAAAAAATATAAATGGAGAATAACTTTTTATAAAAGAGCAAATCAAATATTTCTCATTCAAAATGAAAATAGGCTTCTTGAGGCCTATCTATTTTATTTATCAGATTTACCCTAAAAAGAACTCTTAGGTCATATAGGTAGAAAGAACTCTCCTTGGGCACATATTTAGTGACTGTGTAGACAGTATCACATGTCCTATGCTAACATCCTGGCTAATATTCACCTAGCAGAGATAGAAAACCATGCTCTGCTAGACTCTTCACTCAACATCTACTCTTTTAACAGACATTATATTATACTGTTTTAACCAGATTCTGGTCTACAAAATAAAAATTACATCTGTGTCTTAGTGAAGGGCTAAGAATATGCTTTCCTAAGAAAGCCAGAGATCCCTTTTCTACTTTTGGTTTTGTTTTATTATTTTATAATTGGGGGGAAAAACAAGCTAGGATTAAAAATTACACTTCTTTGGGAGGCCGAGGTGGGCGGATCACGAGCTCAGGAGATCCAGACCAGCCTGGCTAACACGGTGAAACCCTGTCTCTACTAAAAAATATAAAAAATTAGCCTGGCGTGCTGGTGGGTGTCTGTAGTCCCAGCTACTGGAGAGGCTGAGGCAGGATAATGGCGTGAACCCGGCAGGCGGAGCTTGCAGTGAGCCGAGATTGAGCCACTGCACTCCAGCCTGGGCGACAGAGCAAGACTCTGTCTCCAAAAAAAAAAAAAAAAAAAAACACACTTCTCAAGTGTTAATATCATCTCTGTCTGTGAAGCTGAGAATGGCAGAGAGAACATGTATGATGTTGAAACTCCCTGAGTATTCCTCTATATGAATTTCAAAAGTCCAACATCTTTTTCCTCAGTTAATTTGATTTGACTATTCAGTCTTACACTATTTGTTTGTTTCACCCTTATCCATTGACTCAAACTATAAAAACAAGAATAAAATCCAAAAATCCTAGAAACAAACAGCAAAAAGGAACAGATAAATTAATAACTGGTATCACTATCACCCTACCATTTTGCTGGTTTTTGACCGAGAGTAAAGTCATATTTTGGTTTAGTCAAAACCTACTAGATTCAAGAATAATCTGAAGATATAGAATCATATTAGTGGCTGTGGAATTCAATTGAAAATAGAATCATGATATGCAAATCTCTTAGATGTTATTCTTCTACTTACTTAATAAAGAAAATTGCCATTCCTACTCATAGCACAGTAATTTCTTAGAAATAAAATGCAGAAAGGTATTTGAAATGCATGTTTGGAAGTCAGGAACACCAATCAGCTTTGGAATATGGCCATTCTATGGCTGTACTACTTGATAGATCTATAGTCACGAACAAACACTTAGCCTCCTAGAATCTCAATTTCTTCATCAATAAAATGGCAATAGAGGCCCAGATCAGAGGCTCTGCTTCTACAAAGATACATACCTAGCATGAATGCTGCGTGCCACTGTCAAATCATCTACGGAGGTGTTATGGAGAAGAAATGTGAAAATATAGAGAAGAAATATGTAAGACATCCTGCCATTGATGGGGGGCCCTGTTGGACCGGTGCATGCGTGTGTGTGTGTATTTGAGATGGTGACTTTCACCTCCAATTAGGAGATAGTTCATGAAGGCCGTTTAGAAGCCACTCAATTTCTAGCCATTGCCTTAGGACAGTGATGGCCCCCACACTTGCGTAGACACAAACCTTCACCCAAATGTCTCAGGAGTAAATTCTGGGCAAGAGTGAGAGACCTGGACCTGAGAATAGATGAGGAAAAAACAAGACTTCTTTCACATTTTCCTTTCTAACACTCCGGAGCTCATAAATGTTAGTGAAATTAGTATCTCCTTCTAATGCTACTTGTTCCAGGGGCCAAAGATTGAAACCTTTGCCAGACAGCTTTATGGGATGAGAAGTAAATGTGGGAAATGTGTTTTGTTGTCTGGGGGTCCACAGTCTAGGATTCTTTTGTTTCTCATCTTTCCCACTGAAGGTCCTTGGAGCTGACTTTCTTAAGTAGTTCATCCCTAATAACCATTGCCAGAAAGAGTAACTAATATGGGGTTGAGGTAAGAGATTAAGGATTAAAAAAAATAAGACACTTATGGAACAAAATATTTAGGAAAACATACTGGATTTTGGATTTCATCAGACACAATGATATTAAAAGTAAAAGACCAAGATTTAAAATTAGCCTAAATCACCTACTAACAGAGGAAGATATTAGCCAGTAAAAGAAAACATATAAATATATATTTTAAAAACAGCCAAGCAGAAATTTTTGACATTAAAAATAAACCCAAAGAATATAGATGATGAGAGATAAAAATGGAAATTAATGAAATAGAAAAAAATGGTTGCAATATGGAAGGTCTTTTTTAAAAATGTTCTAAATATATAGGCAATCTCTAATTTTAAACTCTACAAAATTGTGAAACTTTGCTTATTGGAGACACTTTAGATAAAATGAAAAGGCAAATTACAAATATAAAGATGTTTGTGAAACAGAAATACCAAAAATATTTTTAAAATACTTACAAGTGAACTTTTGTAAAGCACAGATAATTAATAAAAAATTGGCAAAACCTATGAATAAATATCTCACACCAAGGAAGCATATGCAGCTACTAAACATACGAAGAGATGCTGAAGGTCATTAATAATCAGATAAATGCAAATCAAATGCAAAACTTGCAATTGTACTGCTATGGACCATACTGAGGTAACTTTTTTTTAAAAATCCATTTGGTGGACAGGTGATTAACGTCCAAATATAAACTAAAGGAATGCATGTGGTTACTCTTCTATTGCTAGTGGAAGCACACACAGGTACAACCACTTTGGAAAATCATTTGGCTTTATTTCTTAAAGTTGAACATGCATATTCAGTTGTATAATGAAATGCAAATCTTGCAATTGTATGACTCAGTACACAGAAAAAAATATTGAGAGCAACACTATTCATAATAGCAGCAACCGGGAAACAACCAAAATGCCCATCAAAAGGTGAATTATGAAAATAATTATTGTATATTTATTAATGCACAATGAATTTTATACAATATTATAGGCAATACAGTAATATCCAACAATATGGATGAATCTTAGCAGTCTCACGTTAAAGTGGAAAAAAGTTAATTATAACAAGTGATAGCATAATACAATTTTATAAATATATATTATTTTAGGGGCTCTTTCATTTTTAGGGGTGTGTGTTGATACAATAACTGTGTTAATGAATCAAATGGTTTATGTGGAATTTAGCTGGGAAATTATTTCTGGAAGGGACTAGATGGGGTTAAGGGGTCAAGTAGATGGACATGGAGATTATTTTCAAGGTCCTATCTCTCCTTTGCAGTAGTGAGTTTGTGGGTGATTAATACATTTTAAGTCAATAATTAAATAGCAAGTAAACTTAAAAAAAAAGAGAAAGAAAAGAAAAGAAAAGAAAAAGTCCAAGTATGCAGCAATGTTGAAAGTATGTCATGATTCTAGTATTATTGATAGCGACAGGAAGCTGACAATTTAGGCAGACAGGGGCGAGTCCCGGGTGAAACCCAAGCCCAGGACAGTTTAAGCCTAGCTACAAGTCCCGGGTAACTCCACGGACCAGATTAAGAACCTTTCTTCCCATTTTGCATGCTTTACTCTGATTAATCCTCACTCTTCACCTATTTTACATATACCTACCTTTCCTTAATTGTTTTTTTATACTGTCATCCCCACCACCTTTGAGTGGTGCCTTTGTTTTAACCTTTTTTTTTCTTTTTTGAATACTCAGAAACCAATCAGTGCGCACTCACCATTCTGAACCCATAAAAGCCTTGGGCCCAGCCTCACCAGGAGATAAACTGCCTGATTTCGGGTGAGAGACCATCCTTGTGTCCCCTCTTTGCTGAAAGCTCTTTTGTCTCTTAATAAAATTGTTCTCCGTCCTCCTCACCCTTCCACTGTCGGTGTAACTTCATTCTTGAAAGGGGGACAGTAATTCAGGACCCAAGGAATGCAGGTACACAGAAGGCTATGACACTGTGGCCCTCTGCCGGTGGAGGGCAGCCACCCCACGCGACGGGAAGCAGTGGCAGGGCCAAACCAACACCGGAGACACAGGCTGGAGCTGAGCAAGGGTCTGACAGATCTGCTAATGCGCCTCCATCCATCAGGCTGCGGATGGAAGGACTAAAAGAGCTAATGAGCACACTGTAACATTCCCTCTGGGGCTTTGGGGTCCCAGGCACCCCTGCCAGGGTGCCACCATGTTTCCTTCGTCTGGACGCCAGAGTCCACTGCAGGAGAGGCTTGCAACATGGCTGGTTCAGCTGCAAGCCCTGCATGGAGCCCGCTTTGGCTCTTGGAACAGTTGGCAGGACCTTGCACTCACTCGCACACACACCCACTCCTGCTGGGGGCTGAGCGCATAGTTGCGGGGGTCGCGGGATTTGCGCCATGTGCAGGCCGAGATGGGCGTCTGCTGCGGTAAACCCAGGCCCCAACAAGGCCCGGGGTTGAGGCGTCACCAGTCAGTGGTCTCCTGCTGGCAAAGTGATTGAGAAAAATCCTGCGTCATTATGATTAACCAAATTTTATGCACATGACATTTTTTTCAAATAAAATATAAACTAAAAATAAATTAAGACTGTTATGAAGATCAAATATGATTACATGTGGAAGGCACGGGCTGGCATAAAGGGGTGCTCGATATTTTTATATATCCTGTTAACATTTCTGTAAACTCTGATCAAATTGTGTTAGTTTATCTGTATACATAATTTGCTTTGCTGTTAGTGTTCTTTGCATTTTTTTCATTCTCCATCATCTTAAAAGAAATATGACATGTGCATTAGTGAGCATACAATTATTGCTAGAAGTGGATGAAATGATCACATTAATATAAATGAAATTGTGCCAAATCAAACCTCCCCTATAATTGCAACATTCTGTTTAAAAATAAACTCTTGAAATGATTTATAACAACTTAGTGTTTATACTTCTTAGGGATAAATCCTTCTTGTTGGGGGATGGACGTTTAAATGCTATTCATGCATACTAATGATGATGTTGAACAATTACAAATTATCATTAATGAACACAATTTATTACTTTCTTGTAACAAACATACAGTTCTAAACAACATAAACATATAAGTTACATTTTTTGAAAATTTTAATCATATTGACAAACAAGTGAATTTGACATAAAATATGTGAAGGAAAGGAGAGCCAGAGTTTGAGACTTCTGCTTAGTGGCACATAGCTAACTAATTCAGGGAAACACAGTTAGAATTCAGGTCTTCTTCCTAGTTTACTGTACTTTCCACATTTCATCTTACGTCATCTGCGAGTGAAAAAGCAAGATACGTTGGAATGTGCTAGAATAAGTGGTACTAAGCCATAATATTTCACATTCTTTTGATATATCCCATTGTTTGGAATATAAGATAGTTCTGCTATATACATTTTTAAACGTCTCTGTATGTAAAATGTATATCTAGATAGCATATCAGCTTTGTATTTACCATGTGATAACATAAATGTCAGGATATAAAAATATATTACATGAATAAAGCTGTCCTATTAGGCAGGATCACCTCCAAAATGCCCTACTTTGAAGAACGCAGTAGAAATAAAGAATACTCAGGATATTGTTATTCAAAATATTAACTTTTAACAAAGACAAAATGTGAGTGATAATGGTGTCCGCATTTGATACATTCTGGTATTGCTTAGTGGTGAAGCTAAATTAATCATGGTAATTACCTTTAAATTCTCAGAAGTTCTCATTGCCATTTCTTTAGCTTTTAGCATTAATATTTTATATGCATTTATATTGGGAAATGATGTCAGAGAAAGTGTTACTATGAAAATTATTTTTTACTTTGAAAATTAACTCATGTAGTGAGTAATGTGAAGACTACTGTTTTAATTTTTCTTCATAAATTAAGTCTTAAATTTTAAATTACCCTTAAATTGCTATTGAACAGCTAAGGAATGAGAATAACTCCTCATAATGGACGATGGATCCCTTAGAAGGAAAAATTTGAGTCTCATAACATAATCCTGGGAAAAAATCCAATTTAAGGTATTCCTGACAAATACGTTATCCCAGATAAAAAGTGTGTACAAATTTCATGTTCTAGAAATAGATAACAGGAATGTATCTAGGCAAAAACGTTTTTGTGTATTTGTGTTTTTAGTTTATAAAAAAAACAGCTTTGAGTGTCAAGTCATGCAAAATATCAAATGGCATTTTTAAATATGCTTTTTAAATTTCAAGATTTTTTGGTAGAAATTTCTGCCTTTAATGCTTTTACCAGAAATAAACTGAAATAAAGGATAAAATAGAGCAAACATTAAAAAAACCTCTAATATTTACAAAGTTTACATATGGTCTTGTCATTAACCAAGAAAAAAAGTTGATTCTCCAGAGGGCAACAAAATCATGGTGGTAGTTGGGTGGCAACATTATTGCTTGGGTAATTACAGAGTCACTGGAAAGTTCTTCTCTGGTCTCCACATCTACCTAATTACCTTCATAGTAGGAGAATCAAAATTTTAGTCCATATTAATATAATTTTTCTGAAAGTAAAAATTGTCTTGATACCTAGTTTAACCCTTTTGCCTTATCAGTGATTTACAATTTATAGTAAATGCATTTGAGACTTGTCCTTGAGAATAATTTTCAGAAGTAGAACCAAAGTAGATAATGGATCCTTAGAAAATAGAGGTTATTTGAATTTCTTTTTTTAAACTTATTTTTAATTTTGGGGGGTACATAGTAGCTATATATATTTTGGCAGTACATGAGATATTTTGATACAGGCATGCAATGTGAAATAATCACATCATCGAGAAAGGGGTAGTCATACCCTCAAGCATTTATACTTTGTGTTTCAAACAATCCAATTTCACTCTCTTAATTATTTTAAAATGTACAATTAGGTTGTTATTGACTATAGTCACCCTGTTGTGCAATCAAATACTATGTCTTATTTATTCCTTCTATTTTTTTGTACTAATTAACCATCTGCACCTCCCCACCAATGTTCCCCCACCCCCATCCCCACTACCCTTCACAGCCTCTGGTAACCATCCTTCTACTGTCTATGCCCATGAGTTGAATTGTTTTGAGTTTTTAATCCCACAAATAAGTGAGATCATGCAATATTTGTCTTTCTGTGCCTGTTTTATTTCACTTAACATAATGATCTCCAGTTCCATTCATTCTGTTGCAAATGACAGGATCTCAATCTTTTTATAGCTGAATGATACTCCCTTGTGTATAGGTACCACATTTTCTTTATCCATTCATCTGTTGATGGACACTTAGTTTGCTTCCACATCTTAGCTATTAAACAGGGCTGCAGCAAACATAGGAGTGCAGGTTATCTCTTTGATATGCTGATTTTCCTCCTTTTGGGTATATAACCAGCAGTGAGATTGCTGGATCATATATTAACTCTATTTTTAGTTTTGGGAGGAATTTCAAAACTGTTCTCTGTAGTGATTGTACCACTTTACATTCTTACCAACTGCGTGGGAAGGAGGGTTCCCTTCATCCCATAGGTCTTATGGGCTTCTAGACTGTTGATTTCTATTTGGGACTTCACCCTACTCTAACTTTTTGTCCTTTTCTCTTAGAGATATTCATCATTTTTTATTTATATTCATATTTGTATTTTTGGCTTCAAGACATTTGTAAAATTCCTAACAACCAAAATTCCAAAACTAAATAATAAATCGTCTTCTAAGAAGTTAACCAAAAAAAAAAAAAAAATCAAAAGTGAAACAGCAATTAACTTGAGGAAAAAGTTTATTCTTTGAATCAGTCTGACAAAGCATCACAACAACTAAGTTTAGGAGGCTCAAGGAGATGCATAAAGAAAATGAATCCCTTATGAATAAAATTCCTGTGAAAGAAAATCAGATGCAACAGCACCAAAATAGTGAAGACAGAAAGCCTGAGATAAAGAAACAGTTTTACAGGAAATTATATGATAGGATGATAACTTAAATTAAGTCTTTATTTTTAATCCTTAAGTTTCATAGATTCTTTGTGGAAGAAAGAAACTGAATAGAAAAAGCATCGTTTATGCTACAAAAACAATCTATACATTTCAAAAGAGCAAGAGAGAAATAGAAGACAATAAGGAAAAATGTTTTTTTTTTAAATTTGACATTTACATGACAAAGATAATCTAGAAATTTTAAAGAAGAATATAATAGATAAATATAAAAATGGAATAAAAGAACTAATAAAACAAAGTAAACTGTTAAGCAGAAAAAAATACTATGGCAGAAATGTGTCCAAATATATCTGTAAATGATAAAGATACATATTTCAAAATTGAAAACAAAGTTCTCAGTATATGTATGTTGTTTACTAACACTATATACTATAAAGTAAAATAATAAGATAAAAATAAAAAATGAAAAATATGTCATTAAATGTCACAAAAATACTACCTAAAAAAGCTGTTAGGATATTACTACTATCATAAAATATTGCATTTTCTATGTGAGTTAGCAGACTGGACTGAACGTTTATGTTTCCCCAAAATTCATATGCTGGAATCCTAATGTGCAAGAAGATAGTGATAGAAAATGTGGTCCTAAGAAAGTAATTAGGGATAAGGGTGGAGCCACAGGTGAATGGGGTTAGTGACCTTACAAAAGAGACCCCAAAGAGATTCCCCTCTCCTTCTGCCGTGTGAAGACACAGTAAGAAGATGGCTATCTATGAACCAAAAATTAGGTCCTCACTAGACAGCTACTCTACTGCCATCTTAATCTTGAACTTGATAGCCTTCAGAACTGTGAGAAATAAATTTCTGTTGTTTGTAAGGCACCCAGTTTATGGCACTTTGTTATAGTAGCCTAAATGGAATAAGACAATTATGAATATCCCTATTTCTTGTTGAATATTTTATTATTAGGGAGAGTGATTCTTTATTCAATCAATCTGATGCTTTTTTACTTAATAGTAAGAACACAGAATCAAATATGCAAAGCATAGTCTTATGTATACACATTAAATTGACAAATTTATAATGATTGTGACTGGCTTAAACACAATCTCATAAAAAAGATCATGCAGACAAAAATAATTCTCAAAGTTTTAACAAATTTACACAGATTTACATTAAAAATAACAGATATTAAATCTTGAACCAAGTGACTAGGGAATACACATTTTTAGAAATTAACTTAAAATTAATATATAGTAATTTTTTAATTTGACATGCTTTTAATTAAATGGGAATATAAGCTCTCAGAAAAGCCTTAACAAATTTCAAAAAGTTACTGTAATACAGAACATATCTTCCTACAAGTAATTTGATTTTGAAATAAAAATTTAAAAGTTTTAAACATTTTCTATGCTTTTCTAAATAGCTTGTTTTAAGCAGAAAATGATCACCATTTTTAAATAATGAAAGTATTTGTTATATTAGGTTCTACTTAGAACCAGAACCAACAACATACGTCTGTATATAAGAAGAGATATATAAAGAGTTATTATGAGAATTGGCTCACACAATTATGGAAGCCAAGAAGTCTCATAATCTACCATCTGCAAGTTAGGGAATCAGGAAAGTCATTGCTGTGCAGTTTGCCCTTCGTCTGCCTTCTGTACTATTTGGACCCTCCATAGGTCAGACGATGCCACCTCACATTGGTGAGGATTGGTCTTCTTTACTCAGTCTACGGACTCAAGTGTTAATCTCCTAGGAAACACCCTCACAGAAACACATGCAGAAATATTATTTTACCAGCTGTCTGAGCATTTCTTAGCCCAGTCAAGTTGACACATAACCTTAACCATCAGAGTACAAGATCTCAAACTTGTCTGAAATTAAATGAAAGCCAAGCCTGCATTATTTAAAAAAAAATAAAAGTTGTTGAAAATAAATGTCTTAGAATTTCAAGATAAATAGCTGGAAAGGTATAGTAAATATAAAGATAACAGGAAAAAAATGGAATAATATTTTAATAATAGAAATCAGTAAAACATGAAAAAGATCTGACCAATAAAACCAATTTTTATGTATCAATTAAAAATAAATACTAAAAGAGAAAAACAAAACACAAACTGAGCTTTTGGGGAAAAAATACCAGTAAAATAGACTCAACTGAAGCAAGGACCTACAGAAAATAAAAGAAAAAAATTTAATAGCAATATTAAGAACAAAAGTGAAGGCAAAAGCATGAGTAGATATTTTATAAATCACAAGAGAGCAGTATCTGTGGAGTTATAACATATTTGAATGTTCATATAAATTTTCTAAACTTACTCTAAATTTTATCAGCAGTGTTTCTCTGAGTAATTAGAGCATGCATTGATTTTATTTTTAGTGTAATTTTCTGGATTATTGACCGTTTTTACTAAAAAAAATTAAATCAAAAAAGTTTTAGAAGGAAAACTGTCTTGAAAATATATTCAAGAAATCAGGTATCTCAGAAAAATTCTAGGACCCAAAATATTTCGTTATTTTTATCTTGTCATTCCGTACTGTGGTAATGTAGAAATCCAGATACTGAGGTTATAAACTCTTATAAATCATTTATATTCTCTTTCATTCAACTGTAATCATGTGCAAAGAAAACAGAGGAGAATCTTTGTTATTCAATTCCACAGTCTGATTAAATTACACTTATTAAAATTTTAAAAGTGACAAATAATAGAGCTTCCTTCTTAAGCACCTATGCCATAATCCCATCAGAGAGTACAATAGATAGAATTCATGGAGCTACTAGAAAAAAAATGATATATATTCAATTTTAGTGACAACACTCATACTCAATATTCAGAATAAGATGGCTATAACATTTCCAGCACTTATTTTGTTTTAGTGGGCATTAATATTAAACAGTGAACTAATACTTTTTTAAAAAAGATTTAATATTCTTACATGCATTCTAGAATTCTG
The DNA here is from genome assembly GCF_000001405.40 of Homo sapiens. Lineage (NCBI taxonomy): Eukaryota > Metazoa > Chordata > Mammalia > Primates > Hominidae > Homo > Homo sapiens. The sequence goes on from NC_000018.10 coordinate 65,213,623, forward strand.
CAATTGAATTAGTTGTCTTTATATAAAGAATAATAATTTTATTTATCCATAAAGGAGTTTGCCTGAATGATAAGGCAAGCAGAAACAACAGCTTAAAATACTATATTGAGGTAAAATGGAAAGTACCAGTGTCTATCAGTTCTAGAGGTAACAAGGCTCTTATTATTTAAGACCAAATGAAACACAGTCCTGATTAGAAAGTTTCTAATTTCTGTAACTCCAATCATAAGTCATTATCTCTGAGTATCCAGGAAATGAATTAAACTCTACTCCTAGTGGGTAAAGTTCCCCCTCAGAGGTAGTGCTTCAATCACTGGCTGAGTTTCTCAGGAGAAAGAACAAACTCACACTCTGTTTTCTACCTAAAATTGTTTTTAGCTCTTGTTCTCTATCTTAATAAAAACCCGATATCCTTCTGTGCAACTTACCTTATAGCTGTTGTTTTCCCAGTCATCATACAAACCTGTTCCCTTGGTTACACATGCTCATTGATCTCTCCGTCTTCTTTGTGGTATTTATCAAAATTTTATTTATGTAGTCCATTCTGTAGTAACTTTAAAAGTGATCTTCATAGCTAGTGTCCTGGCTTCATAAGGTTAGAAACTGGCCATTTTGGCCACATTGTGTCTTCAGTACCTGGCAGAGTGCTTTGTGTTGTTAACAAATAACAATTTTTCATTTCATTTCATTTCATTTCATCTCACCTTTTAAGTGCCCCACTCAATGTATTTTTCTCGTGTAAAGCACAAAACAATGACGGTTCTGGAAGATAACTATTACTATCTGCATTGTCTTAATAAAGAAATTAAAACTCAGATTAACTAACAAGTTCTCACTATTAATGACAAAGCCAACATATGAACCATTTTGGCTGCCTGTGAAGCTTGGACTCATCATACCAAAACTTCCATTTCTGCATGAGTCCCTAAGGCCTGGCAAGCGCTTCTGTATAGCAGCTGCTCAAGAAATGAGAGACAAGATGTAAATGGGGACAGTAGCCTAGTGTGCAGCAAACCAAAGTAGGATTTAAATTCTAACCCCATTGTCTTTGTGCTATGAGACTTTGAGTAAGCTAAATGACTTATCTGAGCTTTAATTTCTGCATCCGGAAATGAGACTCATTGAATGAGAACAATAATTACTTTGTAGGGCTTTGGGGCAAATTAAATGAGTTTCTTTGTTTGTAAGATTATATTAACGTTTACTTGCACTTACTAAGTGCCAGCCCCTTGCTATATGCTTTAAGCATACTGTCTGATTTTATTGTCACAAGAATCCTATAAACTATGAGAAAGGGCCAATTTTTTCTCCCAAATTTAATGATAAGGATATGAGCATGGAGAGATTAAATGGCCTGCCTCAAATGAGCCATCTTGTAATGAAGAGGTACAGTGCTTTATAAGAATGAGATGTTCACTATAAGCTGGCTGTTATTATTTGGTAAAGGAAAAGATGACTAAGTAAATGAATGAATTTACTACTCGTAGCCTCAGGCCCTCTAAGAACTGACAATCTCACTGGAAATATTTAGGAAGATAAGCAAAATGACAAAGCTGAAGTGTATTTCATATTATGATGAACACAAAATGGTCACACCCTTTTTAAAATTTATTTATGTACATCAATGTGGTACAAGTGCAATTTCGTTACATGCGTAGATTACACAATGTATTGCTTACATACATTTTTTCAGTTATCTAACTTCTCCACCCTTTATTAAATACAATAGATATTTTTCCTGTTTTTTCTTAATAGCGGAAGTACTAATTTGTTACAATGTGCTAGGTAAAACGACACATAATAAAGATTTGTTACGATTATAATGAAGGCACTGTTCCTCTATTAGTTTCACGCTTGACAGCAAAGAGGATCCTTCTCACAGCTCCACATATCCATTTTTGAAGGAAAACATTGCTCTGCCTCTCTATGGTGGTACAAGGTACAAGTTGAAGCATATAGGAAATTACTGTGACGTTATATGGTATTTTTCATCAGTACAAAATCTATTTTTCAAAAAACACAGATCTTTTAGTGGGCTATTATTTCCCTCTTGTAGGCAACAACACAAGAAAATGTTGGCCAAACTTTTTATAAAAGTGAAGGTAAAATCGTATGGCTAGAAATTCCTACAAAGTACTGTTTAAATTGCAGAACAATTTCCAGTTCCACTGTAGCAAAAAGTACTTAGGAAACAGAGATGACGGAGAATGGAATCTGCGTCCCCAAACAGCAATTTTAAATTACAACAGTTGGGACCATGTAAGAAAGTCTCCAGAAACGATTTAGAATAGCTCTAAAGGGAGGCTTGATCCAGGAGATACAACATCTGTGAGCACGTTTGTCAAAAACTGCAGGAACGGAACGTGCGGGAGCAGCAAAGCATAGGAAAGATCAGAAGGCAGCATGTTTGTCCTGCAAGCATGAGAAGACACAGCTCATGCAAAGAGATAAACCTCTAGACCATCTGAGGAATGGCTGGCCACGCTCGTGCCTGCAGGGTTCCTTTATGTCCGTGCTTAGAACTAATTGTCTGAGAATTCAGGTGTGTGTAAATAATAGCCAAATAGACCAGACACCTCTGGCTACAGCCATGTTCTCCTGTGGATGCTCAAAGTTTCACGGACAGCAATTTGATTAAGCAAAAGTAAATAACAGAAGTGGGAAGGCTTCATGATCTAATCTTTAATCTCATCACTGAGTAATGGATTTGCAATAAAAAGTAATGTAAATAAAAATTATCTTGGCATTCTGACGAGAAAAATGAGATATATTTTAATGTTGTAATATGATAATTGGTTGATAACCATCTTTAAAAGTCCGAAAGGAAGTGGATGGGATTATTTGAGAGACAGAGCCATCTACACAGTTTCAGGAAAAACAAACTGGGCACACACAAAATCATCCACAGGAAGGAAGAACAGAAGGAACAAAAAGCCTGAATGTTTCTAAATAGAGCAAAAGAAGTTTGCTCTATTGGAACTAATGTACCAATAATTCTCAGTTTTATACACAAACATATATATATGTGTGTGTGTATATATATATATATATACAGTGATATATATATATCTGTGTATATATATATATCACTGTATATATATACTGTATGTGTATATATACATATATGTATATATACATATATGTATATATACACATACTTGTATATGAATACATATACATATGTATATATACAGAATACATATGTATACATACATGTATATATACACACTGTATAAGTGTGTATATACACATACATGTATATATACATATATGTATATATGTGTGTATATATATACACTGTATAAGTATATATGTGTATATATATATATACACACTGTGTGTGTGTGTATATATATATACACTTCACTGGAGTGAAGTGGCATGATCATAGCTCACTGCAGAGTAGAACTCCTGGGCTCAGACAATCTTCTTGCATATCTCCTGAGTAGTTAGGACTACAAGCACGTGCTACCACTCCTGTTTTATTATTATTATTATTATTATTAGTTGTTGTTGTTGTTGTTGTTGTAGAGATGGGGTCTCCTTATGTTCCTCAGGCTGGTCTTGAAATCCTGGCCTCAGGTGATCCTCCCACCTCAGCCTCCCAAAGTGCTGGGATTACAGGTGTGAGCCACTGCACCTGGCCCCTAAATAATATTTCGTTATTTTATTCCTTAGAAAGCCTACTTTCTGTTGGACCACAAACCATTCAGCCAGGCACTATTGTAGTAGGTTAAGAGTATTCATATACTCTGGACTAGGGCTCATATGGATATTTCTCTCTCTCTCTTTCTGTCTATCTCTCTCCTTGTTTTCCTTTTGTAATATTCTTGCAGCCAAGATGATACTATTTCTCCTACTCTCCTACTTTATATGTCTTCATATCCCCAGTTGCTTTCCAACTAAATAAATGGTGGCTGACTAGAAGGAAATAGCATATTCCTGAATAAGCAAAAAGATCTTTGAATCCATCTATTATAACTACAAGTTAGTAGCGTGTGTATGACTTGACTTTACAATCATTTATATTTAAAATTGTAATTTCAAGGACCCTTATTTCATGACAGACTCTCAATTATCCATGCTTAGCTCACTGAATAGTAGCAAGGCACCAATAAATGAAAATGATAAATAACTTCAAAGTTCTATTAGCTCATAGTTTCAACTTTTTCTCCATTCTAACTTTCAGGAAAAGTTACTAATAATACACATTAAATGTATATTTTATACATCTGCCTCCTTTTCTGGTCTGTATTTTTATGGAAATGTTAATGAGCAGTGAAATGATCAAAATGGGGTAATCCAATACATATAGAGAAAAGAAAAGGGAGAATGATGTTTCAAAATCTAAAACATTATACCCTGAGATTAACCATGATTGTACTATGCAATGTAATGTTTCATTTCTGTTTATAAACCTTCTACCTGAAATGGCTGGACCCTAAGTTTAGAATTTTTTCTTGGTGCTTGGAAACATGATAAGCTCCCATCAAATCTGTGTCTAACAGCTGTTTCTGGCTTTTCTTGCAAGGAAATTGGAAAGCAAATCTTAGTGGGAGCTCCTGTTCTTACCCAAATTTAAAATGGTATCAAAAGGCCAACTGCAATAAAATGAAAAAAAAAAAAAAAAAAGAAAAAAAAACACAGAAACCTGCATCACAGAATCTTGGACCTGGAAGACACTTAACATATGAAAGCATTGCAACGCTTTGTCAAATCTTTATGTTTTTCAAAATATAATTTTGTTAAGTATATAGATGACAGTCAGTAAAACAGACACTGGTGAAACTTCTCTGTTTGAAGTAGTGCACTGTGTTTCATCCTTTCTGCCCCCTCTTCCAGAGCACTCTCTAAGACTCCAGTAAAAAACCCTGAGATGCTATAGAATAACATTTAATAAGAAGAATACTGAATGTGTATGGATGATGGAGCCACAGAAGTCGAAAAGCTTGGGTCAGCTATTTAAGTAACTTACCCAAGAGAGACAATAACCTAATGATTTATTCACTATGATTTATTCACGTATCCATGTCTCTGTTCCAAAAGTACAAAATTCTTCAAGGTGAAAGATTCAAGATTTTTTTCTCTGTGTCCAGAACATGGGCATAGTACCTCTCCCATCATGTGCTCAACCATGTAAGCTGTCTTCCCTGCTATCCATTCTAATGTGACCTAAATAAGAGATAATGCATAGATGAAACTTGTTAAGATTTGACTCGAGACTTTTTATTGGAGAATCGTTCTTTAATCATTCTAAGCTATATAAAAATTGTGTTATCAACAAAGCTATTAGCATTTTTCACTATTATTTTAATTTCTATTTAAACCAAAGACTAAAAATAGCTTGTATTCTAAGTTATTAAGTATTTTTTAATTAAAATATATAACAAGGTAGGTTTGTGAGACAGAAAGAAACGAAAAGAAAAACAATTTGATAGTTCAAAGCTCTTACTAATAGCGAAGTTCTTTTCTGGTCTTGCAAGAAGCAAAATCTCCCATTGTTGTATTATTACACAAGAAGAAGTTTCTCAGTTCTTACCAAAGAAATCAAATGTAAACTGGCATTTCTGTGTTCTACAATACACGAAGATCCCAATATCAACGACTCAGTTCTAGAACATTGTTACATGCTTGCAGAAAACACATTCCCACAGTATACATTCCAAACGCTACAAGCTGGCTTAGATATTCTTACACTGCACTCACAGTAGGGTACTTAAGTTAGTTCCCACCACATGCTGTGCTCTCTTGCTGCCCGCCCAATGACACACGCTTGCTAGAGCATCCTGACCCTTCCTTGACAGATCCTACTTATCTTCCACTTTCGTTCACATTTTGTAGATATCATCTACTCCTTAAACCAAGTCTACTTTCATGCTTCTCTTAAATCCATTGTACCACTTTCTTTCCATATTTCAGCAATAATCACACTGCTTTTAACTTAGATCTGACCACGTCTACCATCAGACCATAGATTATGGTGATCAACATTTTATTTATTTGCAGAATAACTGAATTAATTTTCTATGGCTGCTGTAATGAATTACTGTAGAGTTGGTTGCTCAAAAGATATGCATTATTTTGCAGTTGTGTAGGTCAAGAGTCTGACGAGGAACTCGCAACTCTCCCTAATCTCCACAGGAAAAAACTGTCAACTTTCAATAACTCATATAAACAGATTAGACCCACTTGGATAATCCAGAATAATGTCTTCATTTCAAAGTTGATAATTTTAATCATGTCTACAAGGTCCCTTTTGCAATGTAAAATAACGTATTTACACATTCTAAGAATTAGGGTGAGGGCAACTTTGGGGTGGCCCAATATTCTGTCTACCACACTGATGTAGACAATAGTATTAGTTTTGTCAATATTTTATGTTTTCATCTTCATACTAGTCTTTTAAAGAAGTTAATAAAGTGATACTCGGGAATATGGCATAAAAATTTGATGCCAATATTTTCATTTGTGTTTAATGTTTTGGTCCCAAGCTTGTCATAAAATATTATGCTATAATGTACAAAGTTTTCTCCGTAATTTGTACAGAAAAAGGAAGAAGAGAATTGAGCCCTGACCAGATCCGCAAGAGAGTATAGACCACTACAACCACTGTGACTGATTGATGTGGTTCTTGGACTCCAAATGTATATATTTGTACCAAGTTACTAGTAATACACAAAATCTTTAATAATTTTTTTTACATTTTAAAAATATTTTAATATCAGTTCAAGGATGGTCTATCAAAATAAGAAAATAATGTTTTTAAAAGAAATTAAATTGTTCTAAAAGGATAAATTACAAAGATAATTCTCAGAATGATGATTAAAATGATAGTTTATCATGTTCAATTTCAAAAGAATCAAGTAGACATAAAGCAAGGTATTACATGATGAAAGTCAGCATCACAAATTAATTTTATAAAACATCGTATATCACATAGTATTAGTGCTAATTAGAATTTTATTGGTTATAGTTTTACATTGATTTAATTTGTAAATGGATTTGGTCTTTATGGTAGTAAAATTCTATAAACATAAGGAGTTTATCACTAGTTTTAAATATACTTATGCAACATTGAATGTTTATCTTTAAAAGTTCTTGGGAATATGCTTTGACATTCTTCAAATCTCTCGTTTCGATATACCCTTATGTGTTTTCTTTTTTTTTTTTTGATATGGAGTATTGCTCTAGAGTGCAATGGCCTGATCTTGGCTCACTGCAACCTCCGCCTCCCGGGTTCAAGTGATTCTCCTGCCTCAGCCTCCCGAGTAGCTGGGATTACAGGCGCCCGCCACCACGTCCAGCTAATTTTGTATTTTTGGTGGAGATGGGGTTTCTCCGTGTTGGTCAGGCTGGTCTCAAACTCCTGACCTCAGGTGATCTGCCCACCTTGGCCTCCCAAAGTGCTGGGATTACAGGCGTGAGCCAACGAGCTTGGCCATTTTTTTTTTTTTGAGACAGAGTCTCCCTGTGTTGCTCAGGCTGGAGTGCAGTGGCAAGGTGTCTGCTCACTGCAAATTCCGCCTACCAGATTTAAGTGATTCTCCTCCCTCAGCCTCCCAAGTAGCTGGGATTATAGGCATGCGCCACCACACCTCACTAATTTTTGTATTTTCAGTAGAGGTAGGGCTTCGCCATGTTGGCCAGGCTGGGTACTCCTGACCTTAAGCGATCCACCCCCCTTGGCCTCCCAAAGTGCTGGGATAACAGGCGTGAGCCATCCCGCCTGGCCCACTTATGTGTTTCCTTATCCACAGAATTGATTCTGAAATACTGCCATTAAAATGCTAAAAGTTATTTTTACATACATTATACATAGGAACTGCTGTACTCATTTTGTTTTAATTTTCATGACTATTTCACCTGTTTATTCTCCTTTATCTGTCTAATCTATTACCCTATTTCTTTTTATTAGATGAATTTATGTAATTAAAACTCACCAAAGTTAAACATAATTATAGCCCACAGTGCCTAATATCGTGCAAACTGCACTTACCTCTTCTAAGAAACAGAAGATAAATAAAATTTTCAGTTATGCTTATTTCCTGGGCAATAATTCTCTTCCCTGTGTATTTGTGTCTTAAAAGAACATACTCATTAATAGTTTTTGCAAAAAATATACATATATTTTTAAAATATATACATATATACAAAAATATATACATATATACACAAATATATATATATTATATATATATATTTGCTACACTACCACCGCACAATGAATCCTGCAAACAGTAGCTACCATTAAGTCATACTGACAGAATAGTAATCCTTTTTCAAACAAGTTAATCACCAGGAGGGGTAGTTATTGCTGGATATTGGAGAACAGGTTTAAAAGTGTTAACAGCTGTGTCAACATTGCTACTTACTTTAGGTTAGGAACTAAAACATGACTGGATTTTTAGCATATGCCATACCACAGGTAGTTTGAAATCTCTGCAAAATAGTGAGTGACTGATTTATTGATTTCTGATATTCTACATTGTCCCTGATGCACAAATCACAAGAAAATCCAAAATGTATCTATTTATTAGCAGTAGAGAGCAACCAGAGATCATTTAGTCTTATGTGTAGCACTATTATTAAATTGTTCAGCCCTCATTCTTGCTCTTGGTAACTAACATAAGCCTAAGCATTTGCAAGTTTGCATCCTACTTTTCTTGTACAGAAAATATATCAAATGTTCCAATTGCTGGGCTTTTGCCAACGCAGAGAGCCTCTCATCCAAAAGTATTTTGAAAAATTAGTTCAGGTCTCTGTAGAGTACCTTCCTGAATGTTGAGTTTCTTACCTTTCAGACTAGCTATCCATCATAAAACATTTTTATTGCCTTGCAAAATTTTCTTTTTTAAATCTCATTTGCTATTTCCTACTGGCTGTTATACTCTGAAAGAAATTTAGTACCCAGACATATTTCCCAGAACCTGGGCAGAAGCTACGTTCATCAGTTTCAAGTTGTGTCCTATCTTTTAAGTGGAAAATATTACAATCCATTACATTATTTTACTCTGAAATTTGGATTGTTAAGCTAATGCACATTAATATCTTTTTGAGTCCTTCTGTGGTGTTTCAGTTGTTTGTTGTTGAGACCGAGAGGGAAAAAATCATTGGCTTATATAATCTTTTACCTTTCCTATCCTTCAGATTCATAAAATCAAGGGGTTGAAAATGACATTGTCTAAAGCTCCTTCCATTTCTAACATTCAAAGTTTCCATAATTGGGTAGATCTCCATATTGCTATCTCTATCCGTTTTCTACAGTGATTTAATGTTTCTCAATTACTAATGGAGGTATTTAGTATTTTTCTTAACATGTCAGTAATTTGTTTACTGGATATTGAATTCATCAAAAGTTTTTTTTTTTGTCCTCGTAAACACAAGCAATTATCCCAATATCTGACATATATATTTAATTAATGGTTATCAAATGAATTAATATTGATATTTGGCATCTATTTACTGGGGGGAGGCAAAGTTTTTAGGAAGGTCAAGTTCTCACTTGTCAATGCTGATCTCTGCTTTCTTATTTTCCCAACCTAGGAATCAAGGGTTAACCTGATTATAGTAGGTTACATTGAAGAAGTCAGGAAGATGGACTTTTCAAACTGACTCCAGGAACAGAACAAGGGCAAACTTCCATCTCACTTCCTACTCATGGAGAAACCAGTTATTAAGCATAAATTTACTCCCATCCCCACATAACTCACCACTCTTAGTTGTAGTCCTACCTGTATTTTCTTCACTTATTCAATACTAGAGGTGCAAATGACTGCCCCCTTCCCTGCCACTTGGCTCTCCCAGGCTAGTTTGTCTACCTTCTCTCTGAATCCTTTCACCTGATACCTTATTCATTTATGCTTCTGACCCCTTTATCTTTGACTTTTTCCTCTCTACTGTTGTTTCCCTTACCTATAAGACATATTCAAATTTTGCCAATTAAAAAAAAAAAAACTGGCTGGCCACATGTAGAAAGCTGAAACTGGATCCCTTCCTTACACTTTACACAAAAACCAATTCAAGATGGATTAAAGACTTAAATGTTAGACCTAAAACCATTAAAACCCTAGAAGAAAACCTAGGCATTACCATTCAGGACATAGGCATGGGCAAGGACTTCATGACTAAAACACCAAAAGCAATGCCAACAAAAGTCAAAATAGACTAATGGGATCTAATTAAACTAAGGATGTTCTGCATGTCAAAAGAAACTACCATCAGAGTGAACAGGCAACCTACAGAATGGGAGAAAATTTTTGCAAACTGTCCATCTGAGAAAGGGCTAATATCCAGAATCTACAAAGAACTCAAATTTACAAGAAAAAAACAAACAACCTCATCAAAAAGTGGGCAAAGGATATGAACAGACACTTCTCAAAAGAAGACATTTATGCAGCCAAAAGACACATGAAAAAATGCTCATCATCACTGGTCATCAGAGAAATACAAATCAAAACCACAATGAGATACCATCTCATGCCAGTTAGAATGGCGATCATTAAAAAGTCAGGAAACAACAGATGCTGGAGAAGATGTGGAAAAATAAGAACACTTTTACACTGTTGGTGAGAGTGTAAATTAGTTCAACCATAGTGGAAGACAGTGTGGCGATTCCTCAAGGATCTAGAACTAGAATTAACATTTTGACCCAACAATCCCATTACTGGGTATAAACCAAAAGGATTATAAATCATACTACCATAAAGACACATGCACACATATGTTTATTGTAGCACATGTACCCTAGAACTTAAAGTATAATTAAAAATAAATAAATTAATTAATTTTTAAAAAACTTAAGATAAACTAAAGAAAGTAAAACAAAAGTAAAGAAAACCTTACAGATTTCACTGGTAAACAACCTACTGCCTTTTATTTTATGGTTAATCATAAAATAAAATATCTATAGCTATTTCTCCAGTTTCTAAGCCAACTCCTTTCGTGCTAAACCCAACATAATAGTAATCTCCTGCACACTGTAAAATATTTTCTCTTAAAGTAGTATGACCTCTTATCTTCCAAATCAAATGATTTTTAGTCCATTTAATCTCTCTGAGTGTTTGGTTTATTGAATTCCCTGTTTCTTGAATTTTGCAACTTCTTTCCTATTTGAGTGTTAGTCTACCCTAAGTTTACTTTTCTTTTCTAAATACTCAATGACTTTGTTCTAACATTGTGTGAGATGGTGTAGATAGGTAAATTATCATAATATTTTAAAGTAGTAGCTGTTAATAAATATGCTGGTTACTACTACTTTTTTTTTCTTTTCTCTTAAATTTTGATATTTATGGGGTTCTTGCATCAATTTTTCTTTTTCAACCCCACAAAATTGCTTTGGGTGATTTCAAAGATAGTAATGTTTTTAACTACCTGCTATTTTATCTCCAATTCTTTTTCTTCTTCTTAAGGAGCTTTCACTTTTTAACCTGTGCAATAGTCTGAATGTCTGTATCCCTGTAAAATTTTCTGTTGAAATCTAATCACCAGTAAGGTGCTATTAGGACTGGGGCTTTTTGGAGGAGGTTAGATCATGAGGAAGGAGGCTTCATAAATATGATTTAATGTCCTTATAAAAGACATCCCAGAGAGCTGGCTTACCCCTTCCACCATGTGAAGGGACAGCAAGTGAGAAAGCAGGATCTATGAACCAGGGAGCAGGCCCTTACCAGGCACTGAATCTACTGGCCCTTTGATGGTAGACATCCCAGCCTCCGGAACTGAAATAAATTTCTGTTATTTATAAGATACACAATTTCTGGTATTTTGTTATAGCAGCCCAAACAGAATAAGAAAATCTCCATTCCATCATTTCTATGTGTCAGACTCAGAAATTTATTATGAATGTCCTGATCTAATGTCCTAATTTCTGAACTACTCACTGTTTCTCTCTTAATTTTTGCTCACATCCAATTCAAATAATCCTCTGAACTAAATGAGGATGATCATTCTAAAAACCCTCCAATAATTAAAATTCCTTGATGTGCCACCATATGTTGAATTAACATTTCTTTGGTAACCATTCTGTAGTAAGCACCGTGGTTGTGCTTTCCAGACACGCCTGCATTTTGAATATACAATTATACATCCATTGTTTTTAGAGAGATCACTGTTTTTGACTTAGAAGAGAAAACTGAATGGCAGATTAGAGTGAATTGAGATATTATTCTAATGTCTGGGCTAGATATGATGAGGGCTACAGTAGTGTCACTGAGGATCTGTGGTTATTTAACATAGAGAATCAGCAGGACATGGTAATTTCTAGAATGAGATATTAGTTAATGGGTTCAGGAAATTGGATGGATGATGTTAATATTAATCAGGGTAAAGAAACAGGGACAGAAATAATAATGGAAGGTAGGACATAATAGTGAATGCTGTTTTAACCTCTTGAGTTTGAGTTGCCTCTTAGACATCCAAGTGGGCAGGTCTAGGAGGCAATTGGATATGGAGTTTTAGCTTTAGAAGATGCAACTGGGCTGATGGTTCTGATCTGAAAGTTAATGGTAGATCACAGAAATATGATTAATCATCAATTATGTACCCCTTCCAGGGTATCACAGTCAATGTTGACTCTTAAATCCTTATATTTTAATTCAAGATATTTCCTGAGAATAACTTATTTTAGTCAAATCTTTTTTCAATAAAATCAAAATAGATTATTAAATGTAGACTACAAAAAGCAAATATAAGTACCATTGCAAGAAACTCAGAGCACCAAGGCAGTGGCAAACAGAATATAATGTCAACTTTTGAAGAATTTTAATTATTTCTTATCTTTCCACAGTTTGGGGCCTGGAGAGAACTGGAGCTAGACCACAGTATTCACGGGATTCATTCTGCTGGAAAGATGATGTCTGGGAATATCTTAGTTAGCTTCATATGAGGAGGTTCTATTTGGGAAACAAGCAGTTATTATAAAACTCTACTAATATAAATACTTGAAATTAACACATCAGCATGTTTCTCTAGGAGCATGCCATGAAGTCAGGCACAATGGCAAGCATATTGCAGTTACTGCCTCAGATTTACAATGTTTATATGCCACTCCTTCTGAAATTCATGCCTCATTGTGCTGCTTATCAGCTAGAAACAGAAAGCTGGTAAACATAGAGAACTGTTATTGTTTTTTTGGTCCAAGTTTCAAGTTGGGCAGGAAGAGTTGGAATTAGAAGATAAATTTTTCAGCAGCAAAGCTCTTCCTCAAGATAAAGCCACCAGAAGCTTCCAGCTCAGGAAGAGTTCTGCAATTGTGTTTATGTAAAGGAGGATCTAAAATTCATCTACACTTCAGGGGAAAACTTAGAAGACAATCTTGACCACATGATAACGAACAGCAGTCGTGAGGAAAAATATGACCAAAACCTGGTCAGGTAATGCTGAGAAGATACGGTGATAGCCCTTATTGGGGTCTGAGTTGCAATGGTAGAACACATGTTTTAAGTATGTGTTTACATTAAAAAGAAAAACATTTGCTTTTCCCTTGCATTCTACCTTCACTTTCTTATTTCTTCAGAACACCTCCAGTAATGTTCTTGAGTGTTAGAATGGAAACAAGGCAGGAAAACAGGAGAAAGCAGAAGAACGTGTCCACCCCAGCCCCCTGGAAGGCTGTTGATTCTGAGGCAGGCAGCCATGAGACACCAGTAGCGCCAACATTTGGAGGACGCAGATTTTGACTAAGAGCAGTTTTGCACTCCCTTTAACTGTTGATAATATGAGCTAACTAAATACATAGTATGTTTCAGACATTGTATTCATAATAAGGGCTTTATGAACATCGTGTAATTTATTTCTTACTCCCCATGAACTAGGCAGTAGTGTGTCTATTTAACAAACAAGCAATCAGTTTATGAGGCTTTAAGGGCAACCTGCATAAGATCACACTCCAGGGAAAGGATCTGGGACCCAAATCTCAGCTTTCTATTTGACTCCCAAGCCTCTGCTCCTGCATTCGCCATTACATTGCTTACTAAAAGCACCACGCCTTGTCAGTCACTGCAAACAGAATTCTTAAGCTAAAAACAAACACAACTAAACAGCAACCAAGGAAGAAAGAAGTTGTCTGAGATTCAGAAGGGAATATCCAGGATAAGAAAAAGGAATATGAGGAAATTCAGTAAAGGGACATAAAGGAAATACACACATTTGCCAAGTTTAGAAATGCTCTCATCAAGCAAGAGCGGCTTGGGTGTTTCAATCTATCACATTTCCCAGTACTTAGAAAATCAGAATCCTAATTTATTTCACTGGCCTCTTTGGCATTACTGTTATTACACACACACAAACAAAGCACAGATAGAGTAGGCCTGGTTCTTCTTTTTTAATGAAGGCTGTGGGCGAGTAGGGAATACTTCTCTCTGGAAAGCAAATACCCTTTCTCTCTTTTTTTTAGTCCCTGAATCTCATCCACCTCCACATACACATTAGTGAATAAATATTACACACCGTTCTTACTACCAAATAGGCAAAACTCTCAGAAGCTGATACTGTTTCTTTCTAGCCCATGTGGAGCTTTAAAGAGAATCACCATGCCCCTGGTGGACAATTGAATGTTGCGTTAGCCAAGTAACCTTCTCCCACAGAACTATTAATGGAGACTCTGGGGCGCCTCTTCTTAAAGCTCCTGCTTTGAATCACTGCTATGTTCAACTGAGCAAGTGAAAAAGTGAAAATTCTGACACAGTGAAATTGAGATTTGAAGATTCCTGGAAACTACCAGGAGTACAGTGTGTTTCTGCCAACCAGAAATGGGATCTGTTGGAGCACCCTTCCTAAAGGGGGCAGCTCCCAACATCAGCCACTCTGAAATGTAGAATATCAATTACTGGAAACATCACCTTAAGCACATGTGCAAGGTGGTATGAAAGGGGCTTTTCAACTTAGAATTTCATAAAGTTAATAAAAAGAATTATTTTGAGGAAAAAATGACCGTTAACTATTAAGTAAATTGTGCATTAATATTTGAGCTATTATATTAAGCATGACTTTGTTTAACTTGTTATAAATAATATGTGAATATTTTCATACCTTAGCAAAGGATAACTTCCTATTGTTCTTATTGTCTTTTCTTTGGTTAAAAGTTAATTTTCAGGCACTCTATCTATAATGCTTCTAAATAAAGAGAGTGTGTGTGTGTGTGTGTGTGTGTGTGTGTGTAAAATATGCACATATGTGCATATTTAAAAACCATTTAGAGTATAAAAACAATAACAATAAAAAATTTAGAAAAACACTGAACATAAAAATGATGATTATCTCATCACAATCAGATAAATTTATTTTAAAAAAACCATCTGTACTTCCATAGGGGAATATATTAGTCAGCGTTCTCTAGAGGGACAGAGCTAATAGGATATATAAATATAACTAACAGGATATATATATATAAATACATTATATATATAGGAGTTTAATAAGTATTAATTCACACAATCACAGGGTCCCACAATAAGCCGTCTGCAAGCTGAGGAGCCAGAAAGCCTGTTAGAGTACCAAAACTGAAGAACTTGGTTTCTGATGTTCCAGGGCAGGAAGGGTCCAAGATGGGAGAAAGATGTAGGCTGGGAAGCTAGGCCAGTCTACTCTTTTCACGTTTTTCTGCCTGCTTTGTATTCTAGCTGCACTGGCAGCTGATTAGATGGTGCCCGCCCAGATTAAGGGTGGGTCTGCCTTTCCCAGCCCACTGACTCCAATGTTAATCTCCTTTGGCAACACCCTCATAGACACACCCAGGATCAATACTTTGCATCCTTCAATCCAATCAAGTTGACACTCAGTATTAACTGTCACAGGCAGAGAAGTTGTAGCAAGCATTTTACAGAATATTTCATTGAAAGTAACATTTTTATTATGTGTCTGGATCTATGCAGAAACAAAATGAGTGGTTATTACAGAATATGTATGTGTGTACATATACGTGTGTGTATGTGTATATATGTGTGTATATGTACACATATATGTATATATGTGTGTATATGTACACATATATATGTGTGTATATGTATACCTTTAATATTATTAAGAGTTATTAAAGAATATGTATATATGTGTGTGCATATACATGTGTATATGTGTGTATACGTAAAATATGCATATACACACACATATACACATACACACAAATACACACATATATGCACACACATATATATACACACAGATGCATACACATACATATTCTTTAATAACACCATTAATTTTGCTTCTGCATAGATCCATACAAATAATAAAAATGTGACTTTCAATGAAATATTCTGGAATATACTTGCTACAGCTTCTCTGCCCTATGGAAGTATTTGTGGGTTTTTTACAAATTTAGTTGATTTTACTGAGATAAGCATCATTTTTATATTCAATGTTTTTCTAATTTTTTTTTACTGTACGTAAGCCCTGTAATTAATGGTTAACTCTTGATTTATAATATCAACTATTAATCCCAGCCAGTGCAGTCAGAGGTAAAGACTTGTTACCTTGCCAAAGGTGTACAGCTTAATCTGGAAAGAAGTTCTTGAAAAATAAAAGGAGAAAATGGATGATTTCAAAATCATCACTTTCAGGTAATATGCTTATGGGAAGTTCTTATGTATTTTTAACTCCCCCAGGAAAGGCAAGCTGTACATGAGAGTTACTACTGAGACATCTTGCCTTGTTCTCCTTGAAAATTATAGTTCATATAAGAAACATGAAACTAAAAAGAACTGACCTATCTTTATGTAAGAAGACTCATTTTCTTTATGTATTGTCTTGATTGAGAATAGTTTGGGCAGACAAGTCAGGAATCGTCAATTGTTTCCTTGAAGATTGTACATCTTGCTAGAAGGAGTTTCATGGGTACAGCCTTATGAGCTCTGGTTACAGTCTTAGCCACTGATGCCTTCAGCGGTTACATGATCTTTTGTATCTGGGTCATCGCATCCAGACAACAGCTGGAGTTCATGGCAGTTTTGTGACACCAAAAAACTATTAAAGGGAGAAAGAACAATAAAAAAAATGTTATATGAATCTTACCAGAAAGTAATTTTATTTTCACAAAATCAGGATGACCACACTACCTCCTCAACCATCCCAGTTTGCCCAGGGCGGTCCTCACTAATGCCCACAGTACTGGCAAAGTTATCAGTAGCATCTGCTCTCTCTTTCAACATTTTGGGGGGAGGATTTGGATAATATATTGTAGGGTTACCTACTCAAGTGGGAAACAAGGAATGATTCCATTAATGAGAAAGAGCTAGCACAGTCATTTTCTTTAGCTGTCACTTAATAAGTGGACTAAATAACCTGCAGAATGTTGTTTCTTTTCCAAGTTAATTCTAATAAAAATACATTATAAGATGAACAGGTATTATTTCTCTCCCCATTTTACTTTCTGACCATGTGCCAGAAATGGAAATAATCTGACATTAAAAAAGAGAGTGTTTAAGATAAATCCTGTTTCGTGCTTCAATTCCAGTCTTGTCTCAATTGCTCTAGGAACAAGTGTTGTCTTTATTTGAGATGCAGCAACATTTCAGTCTTCAACCAAGCAAAGTATTTCAGTTGTAAAGGATTTAAGAATAGAAATAGAAAATGATTCAGAGTAGCACTAGAAAAGGAAGCAGAATATAACAACCTCACTCCTTTCCCCTGGTGGTTTTATTTCTAGGAGGAAGATGCTGGAAAATTCCAAATCCTGGGGCTCCAAAACGTCTTTAAGGTGAAAACTCCTGGGACTTGGTGGCTTTTCAGCCTGCAGGATTATATCCTTTAAACATATTTTATTCCAACTACTTGTTGAGCTGCTGTGAGATTCTATATAACTTTAGGGGGCGAGGGAGAAAGAAAGTAGGTCTGCAGTCTGAGGACAAATAGGAGTGTTTTTCTCTTCATCTCTTTAGTTCCTGGTTGTTAGAAATTACAGGGAGGCTTTTTGCTACATAAGAATGGGCGTAAAATTCTCTATGAACACTGACGATCACAAAGAGTTTTCAAGAAAAAAAAATGTGGAGAGAATTAGAATACAGCCAAGTCGTGTCTGATTTTCTATGTCATAGAATGTCCTTCCTTTGTCAGTTGAGTCTCTGGTCACTTTAAATTAGAACTAAAGCATATTGCTATAGTCAAAGTCTACAGCTGAAATATCTCTTGGTGACACTAAACTTTATAAATTGAATTCATAATAAGGCTTAATCTTTTCATAGATGGTAAAATTCTCTTTTGCTAAAATGTGTCTCATAATTCCTTTTTCTTGCCAATAGTGATATTAGCCAGAGAGAAAATCTAAAACTTTCATCATTCCTGACAAGAAGAATGATATGGCTTGTCTCTGTGTCCCCACCCAAATCTCACCTTGAATTGCAGTAATCCCCATGTGTTCAAGGGCAGGACCAGGTGGAGATAATTGAATTGTGGCTGTTCTCTTGATAGTGAGTGTGTTATCACAAGATTTGATGGTTTTATAAGGGGCTTCCCCCTTCGCTCAGCACTCATACTCTCTCCTGCCACCCTGTGAAGAGGTGCCTTCTGCCATGATGGTAAGTTTCCTGAGGCCTCCCCAGCCATGCAGAACCATGAGTCAAATAAGGTTCTTTTCTTTGTAAATTGCCCAGTCTTGGGTATTTCCTCCTAGGAGCATGAGAATGGACTAATACAGTAAATTAGTACCAGGTATTGGGTTGCTGCAGTAAAGATACCCAAAAGTGTGGAAGTGACTTTGGAACTGAGTAACAGGCAGAAATTGGAACAGTGTGGGGGGCTTGGAAAAAGACAGGAAGGTGTGGGAAAGTTTGAAACTTCCTAGAGGCTTCTTGAATGGGTTTGGCCAAAATGCTGATAGTGATATGGACAATGAAGTCCAAGCTGAGGTGGTCTCAGATTGAGATGAGGAACTTGTTAACAACCGGAATAAAGGTGATCATTGCTATGCTTTAGCAAAGAGACTGGTGTCCCTGTCCTAGAGATCTGTGGAACTTTGAATTTGAGAGAAATGATTTAGGGTATCTTGTAGAATACATTCCTAAGCAGTAAATCATTCAGGAGTTAACTTGGGTGCCCTTAAAAGCATTCAGTTTTATGTTTTCAAAAAGATATAGTTTGGAATTGGAACTTATGTTTAAAAGGAGGAAGCAGAGCATAAAAGTTTGAAAGATTTGCAGCCTGACAATTGTGATAGAAAAGAAAAACCCATTTTCTGAGGAGAAATTCAAGCTAGCTACTGAAATTTGCATAAGTAATGAGTCCAAATGTTAATCACCAAGACAATGGGGAAAGTGTCTCCAGGACATGGCAGAGATTTACACGGCAGCCCCTCCCATCAAAGGCCCAGGGAAAAATGCTTTCCTGGGCTGGGCCCAGGGCCTTGCTCATTTGTGCAGTCTCAGGACTTGGTGCCCTGCATCCCAGCTATGGCTAAAAGGGGCCAGCATACAGCTCAGGCCACTGCTTCAGGGGGTGCAAGCGCCAATCCTTGGCAGCTTACACATGATGTTGGGCCTGTGGGTGCACAGAAGTCAAAATTGAGGTTTGGGAACCTCTACCTAGATTTCAGAGGATATTTGGACGTGCCTGGAAGTCCAGGCAGAAGTTTGCTACAGGGGCAGAACCCTCATGGAGACCCTCTGCTAGGGCAATGCAAAAGGGAAATGTGGGGTCAGAACAGAACCCTCACATAGAGTCCCCATTGGGGCACTGCCTAGTGGAGCTATGAGAAGGGGGCCTCCATTCTCCAGACCCCAGAATGGTAGAACCACAAACAGCTCACACTGTGAGCCTGGAAAAACAGCAGATACAATGCCAGCCCATGAAAGCAGCCAGGAGTGGGGCTGTGCCCTGCAAAGCCACAGGGGTGGAGCTACCCAAGGCCAAGGGAGCCCATATTTTGCATCAACATAACCTGGATGTGAGAGGAGATCATTTTGGAGTTTTAAGATTTCACTGCTCTGCTGGATTTCAGACTTGCATGGGGCCTGTAGCCTCTTTGTTTTCAGCCAATTTATCCCATTTTGAACAGGTGTATTTACCCTATGCCTGTACCCACATTGTATCTAGGAAGGAACTAACTTGCTTTTGATTTTATAAACTCATAGGTGGAAGGGACTTGCTTTGTCTCAGATGAGACTTCAGACTTGGACTTTCGGATTGATGCCGGAAAGAGTTAAGACATTGGGGGACTTTGGGAATGATATGGTTTGGCTCTGTGTCCCCACCCAAATCTCACCTTGAATTGTAATAATCCCCAGGTGTCAAGGGTGAGACTAGGTGGAGATAACTGAATCATGGGGGCTGTTTCTGTCATGCTGTTGTCATGATAGTGAGTGAGTTCTCACAAGATCTGATGGTTTTATAAAGGACTTCCCCCTTTGCTTGGCATTCATTCTCTCTCCTGTGACCCAGTAAAGAGGTGACTTCTGCCATGATTGTTTTTCCTGAGGCCTCCCCAACCATGCCAAACTGTGAGACAATTAAACTTCTTTTCTTTCTAAATTTTTCAGTCTGGGATATTTCTTCATAGCAGCATGAGAATGGACTAATACAAAGAAGCTATGGATTTTTTTTTCTAAGATGAACTTTCCAAGTCAGCAAAAGCTATCTTTAACAACTCTAGCCACAGCTGCTGAAGTAGACTGTAAACTTCTTTCCTTACTCTTATTATGCCCAGCTACAAAATTAAAGGGTCAGCTTTTTATTTATATTATGGAAAGAATTATAAATAATGGGTTTAAAGACATTTGTTTAAACTTTTTTTTTCCAAGTAGCAATTTCAGAAGTGGTGATTAATGATTATATTGGCTGGTATGGGCAGAAGCTAGAATCAAATTTCCCCATTAGTGCATATCATTTAAAGAACATAACACTGATGCTATTTCAGTTATCTCAAAGACTAGGAACTCAATATCAAAGTCTGTGTAAAAGAGTGTACAATGTATTTGAAGATGAAAATATGGATTATCATCTAGTGTTTAATGCCTACATTATTCTTAAACCACAGGTATCGACATTAGCAGTGGGAAATAATGTTATGTAAACTAGAAAGCTTGGCTATCATAAATAAAGCTTAATGAACAAGTCACTATAATTTGTAATAATTTTTCTTAATCCTATTAACTATGCAGTTTTGTCAATTAAATAATATTGTCTCATTTTCCAAACTCTTGAGGTATATGAAAAGCTCCTCTATGTCAGTCTCTAGTCGCAAACAATTCCAATGAAAAGCCATCAAACAGATATGTATAAAAACAGTTAAAATAACCACCACAATAACATCACCAACCACCTTTTACCAATGGTCTGATTAGAACTAATTATTGTTCTATCACTTTGCATACATTAGCATCACAAAAAAATTATTTAACATCTGTGTTAGACAGTTACTATTTTTCCCATTTTACAGATAAAAATTAATATTATCCAAATTAGCAAAAATGACATGTTATTTTACAGAGAAGATGGGTGTCTTTTGCAATAAGGATGTGTATTCTCTATGCATTTTACCTCTTAAATCTCATACCAAGGTTGTGGTTAAGAAGAGAGTACTTTTTTCCTCAATGGGCAAATATCTACGTAACTTTTATTATTAATCTAGCAGTTTAGTAAGATTTAGAAATATTAACTTTCTGAAGTGCTTGCTTGATTCCCTGTTAACTTAGGTACAGACACTTATCCTAGCCTTCCTGCAAACATATACATGGATGAATGTCCTCACTCCCATTGTCATGGCTCAGCTCACTTGATCCATCAGCACCCTGTTTAGTTTACCTAGTAATGCATTGTAAATGTGCATGTAGACACACACACACACACACACACACAGAGAGAGAGAGAGAGAGAGAGAGAGAGAGAGAAAGAGACTGAAGGATAGAACTATGATAAGCCTAAGAGCATAGTATGCTCACCATACAAGAAAAACTAAAAAATGTGTGAAAACCCCCTGAGGAAGGTTGAGCACAATGTAGTGTCCTAATCACTGCTTTGTTTATGCTCTGAAGGGTTCATTGCCAGGTTGTCCCTAAAAATAATATTTACCTAATGTTCCTATTGATTCTTTTCCAAACAGGCTTTTCTTCCTTCTTTTCCTAGTGGAAATGTCAGAAAAGCTAGCCTCTGCTTGTACTCACTTTTTTATCATTCCTGGAAGTTGAAAACCCAAGAAACTGAGTACTTATTATCAAAACTTTTCTCAGAATGACAGGCTCTGAAAGTCCTTGACATTTATATGTGACTTTAGAAAACAGTGACATAAAATAAATGGATTATCAGCCATTTGTCCTGGCAATAAAGGAACTCCTTGTTGTCCCATTTTTGGGTTACAACCTCAAAATCTTGCCTAAAACTAATTCTTGTTAAGGAAGGCTTTTTCCAGCTGGTGTGTGTGTGTGTTTGTGTGTGTGTAAAGACAACCCTTTCCTTTTATGCTCAGTATTCTAGGGCATTGTGGCTGGCTTCTGTGTGCTTACCTGCATGTTTCTATGTGTTTTTTTCCTATTTGAAAGTGGAAGGACCTTCTAGGAACTCCATTAGTGAGCAATGCTGAGTCACAGCTGCATGCATGTGGGAATCTGTTATGTCAGGTTGGTTGAGAAGAACAACGGAATAAAGCAGGCAAGCCAATCTTCTGGGAGGCTGACAACCTGACTTTCAAACCAATGCAGCTTTAAGTGTCAATTTAAATTAAAGGACTAGGAGGCAGGGGCAATACCAAGCTGTCTCCATACGACTGCAAAATCTGGACCTGGTACAGATGTCTTTTACTGAAAAGTGCCTTTAGTGTCCTCCTGAAGCCATACTTAACAACTAGTGACAAGACAATATGGTCTTGGCGACCAGCCAATCCCCCGGCACTAACACAAGGTTTGCCATAACATTGCTTTGGTGGGCAGGAAGCGTGAGGAGAACAGCTGACAGGAAGGGATGATGCAGCTGTCCTGTCTGCTCCTGAAGACGCTGAATGCTGGCAGGGAAGGCTGAAGAAATGCCCTCAAACATAGACAAAAGCGTAACTGAGTGCTGGTGCTTGGTTGTGAGTGGCTAAACTGCAGAAAGAGCATGGAAACACTGGAGCAATACAAAAAAGTGAGGAATAAAGGGTTTTTTTTTTTAAGGAGAACATTCAGGACAATAGGGTCTAAAATTCAACCACGACTAACCCTCACAACTAAAGGCTTATCTGCTCTCTCTTGGTTGCCTTTGGTGTATTTGTAACAAGTGAATGCCTCTAACAGGTTTCCCACTTTTGAGGCTGCATTCTCCAGGGTACCTGTGTGTTGTTTTAATTGGGTTTTTCAATCTGGAAAAAAGCAGATATTGTTTGAGTACAGTGTTCTGTAAATAATAAAAGGGACTATATATAATTTATTAACATGTTCTAAACATGTGTGGTTACAAGTGATTAGGCCAAGCAAATGGGCAGGTGTGGTCAAAGGCTCCAATTTTTATTTTTATTTTCTTAACAGAATAAAGTTCCTTGCTGGTTCACATGGTTCAGTGAAATCGAAGGGAGATATTGGGCTGGCAAGGTAAACTAGGTGAAATACTCCCAGCAGCAAAGAGTAATTTCATAGCCAGATTAATGTCATAGACTGCAGACCTATCTGGGGGATTTAAGATGAATTTCAAAAAAAGTCAGGCGAATTCTTCGGTCAGTAATGCCTAGAGAGATGTCTGACTGATCTGTCCTAGTAAATTGCTATTTAACAAACAATATTAAGCACATGCTGTGTTTTTGGATCTTTGGTAGGCACTTGGGATATCATTTAACAACATTAATCAAAGCAGTTAGAAAATGTTAGCTCGTTGCCAGGTATGTCTCGTAGTGTTCTACATGTACTGGTTAAATCAAGCAGCATCAAAGTTTTGTAAGCAATTTTATTAATTTTAATTTTAAAATTATTGTATAAATTATTTTGTATTTGTTATTATTTTGAAGAAACAGAGGGACAGCACACAGACTTCCCAGAGTTGCATTGCACTGAATGTATTTGCACTTAAGCTCTCGGTGTCCAGGGACTAGGTGGCAATTTTGGCACCTCATGCTTTCTTCAGGGGCTTTCTGTCCCTTAGAAGTGTACTGTGACTCCCCTTTTTTGATAATTAATTGTTACTGATCTGTTTCTGCCTTATCTTTCACTGTTTGATGTTTCGCACAATATTTATATTTATCTATCTATCTATCTATCTATCTATATTTATTTATGCGTGTGCGTGTGTGTGTGCGTGCACGCGCCACTCCTGCAGATGTGGTAGGTACAACAAGCTTCCAAAGAAAAAGTCTAGATAAAAAATGCCAGTGAACCAATTCTATGGCTGTGGATTGAGATTTAAAATATCTCTTTGTTTTTTGATGATTGCAGAGTTGAGTTGGTACTTTAAAACAATGTCATAACCCAGAAGCTCCTTATTCCAGGGTCTTTTTCAATTTTTTCCTACAAAACCCAGTACCCCTCTCTAGAAATCCCCTGCTTGGCCCTGGTTCTAACTGTGTTGTCTATGGCTAACACATGTTGGCAGCATCAATAAAGCTTAGTTGATTTACTATCTGATGCACATTTACAGGTTAATCAACCTTACATATCTGAGAGCATCCCAAACAGTTTTGTGGCAGTAATAACTCTTCTCCTGAAGAGGTAGATGTGAGTAAAAAAGAAACAAAGAAAAAACCCCTTTATTTATGTATTGTATTTAATGAAACATTTCCAAGCTCTGCTTCTCAAATAGCAAACTATTTTTTAAGGAAGAAAGGAAGAATGGGAGGGAGGGGCAGTAGTAGAAGTAAGAAAAGAAGAAAAGAGATTTTTTTCTGTCCTTGTATTAAATACAAAAAGTTAGCAAATAACTAATGAAATCTTTCAAATAGGGGAAATGATGAATTCAAGCTGGATTAAGAAATTAAACTTTAAAAAAAAATCTTGTAAATTTAACAGATATTTCAAGATTTCAGTGGTATATTTAAAAAAAAAGTTTAATAGATTTTTTGTCGCTTTTCTGGTCTTTGTTACCCACACCACATAATCGCACTAATAAGACAGGCAAATCTAACATCTCATAGAAGATTCTTTTAATACTTATAAAATTAACCTAAGAAAATTCTTTCTGTATTTATGCTGTTAGGTTGTTACCTTGTTAAGGGTATAGGCTCTGACTTTTATAAGCTTAGTATGCTAATGATTCCTTCACTTGGGATCCATAAAAATATATGCAGTCTCTTTCCCATTAACTGCCAGGCTTTCCAGATTTTTCTGGTTTTCTGAATTATTAAAACAACAGCCCTTGCTGACAGTTGCTGCCATCAGCATCACACATTTATGAAGTACATATATGCTTCCATCAGTGTTAGATGCTGTACAGAGTGAGTTTAAGAATTGACCCCTTTAATCTACAGAAAGGCAATCTTGTAGAGAGAACTGTGAGTGACATGACTAAAATGAAAATATTTTTTGACTTGTGAAGAATAAAATAATTTGTATATGTGAAAAGAAGCAATTGATTTTTACGTGGTAGTAAAGGAAGAAACGTCATATTTGTGTAAGATGTAAACTTGGAATAGACTTCATTAACCTAAGTAAGAATTTCAAAGAGGTTTGGATGAAAATATTTGGGAACTAGAAAACACTGAGTTGCTTGATTAAGGTAATGGAGGCTGCGGAGAGAGAAGTTGGTAGAGCAAAGCAGGGCAGGGGGATTTGAGCTAATGACAATTAACTATTATTTATTCAATGTCTAATAGTATGACAGCTTTGGGATATTTGTTTGGTAAATTTTTATCCTGGAAAGATTAAGTGTTAATAGAAATTTTTACACTTTCTGGGCTTGCTGAATTGTCAGAAACAAACACATACATATTCACACAGAGACAACTACACAACACAAGCATTCCTCTTTTTTAGTAAGATATTCAGTACATAGTATAACAGAAACAACAACAACCAATCTTTATCTCATCCATGTTCTCTTGGCATCACCAAAGGAGAATGATTGCATTAGACTGGACAGAATGTGAAAGTGATGATGAAACTTATAGTTTACAACTGAAATGGGTTGCACTGGAGAAAATTATAAAATTTGTCTTTCCATAAAACTTGATAAAATGTAATTCCTGGATTATGTCTGCTTGTGTATTCTCACTTCAACCACATTCTATCATATTGGAAGCATGCATAGATTGGTGGTGTGTGGTTTATAAAGTTTGTGTGTTAAATGCTATTTTATTAACTGTTTAGAACAAGTGTTGTACCAGGGGATTTCATTTAATTTGAGATTATTTTTATTCTTAATATTTCTAACTTATTGAAATTTGACATAAAATCTTGGCTTCCCAGTGATGAATAAAACAGAATATTTCATACACTTACTTGAGACAGCATTAAAGGAAACTGAAGCCATGAAAATGTCATGATGCAATCTAGTGAAAATTTATCTTCACAGGGAATTGTTCAATTACAAGTGAAATGAGATTGGAAATAATCTTTCCTTCTATAAACCTTACACCTGGAAGACAATACATCTGTTTAATATGTTCTATTTGCAAAATTCTGATCTGTACCTCCTAGATTGAATTAAACAGCAGTCATACATGGTATTATTGATACCTTCCCGAAAACTAAATAATCACAATGATACATCTCACACATTCATTTTAATTAGTCCTTTCATTATGAAAAAAATAAATTGTCATTGCTTTATTTTATGGTTGAAAACATTTAAACATTAAAGATTCAGGTATTTTATATTTCAATTTAACAAAAAACATATATCTTCTTCTATAATCTAAAAATGAATACATACACACATATACACACATACACATACACACACAACATATACACTTAGATTACAAAACTAAGGATTTTTGTTTAGTATATATTTGTTATATATATGTTATATATGTATCTCTAAATATACATATTCCTAGTTTTATATCTATATATGCACACATCTATAATATATATCTTTAGTTTTATGAACGTAAACATTAAAGTATTTTAAGAATTAAATTTCTTTTAACACGTATCCTGTTTTCTCAGTGATTGTCAATATGTGTCTGATGCTTTATTTCTTTAAAAAAGAAAACCTCTGTTTATAAAGTGACAAGTTTAAGGAAGGAAAATATGCAATGTCAACAGTATTGTTTCTATTCTGAGAACATTCTATGAGACTGGTGAACCAAACAAGGAATATTGTACTCAACTTTTCTACCCTTTCTGCTATTATTTCCCATATTTTTTATATCAACCAAACTGGTAACACACTCTTTCTTAAGCCCTACAGTACCCCGCACTGTTTTCCCCAAGCTGCTTTCTTTGTTTAGTCTGCATTTATCCCATTGTTGTTTTCATTTCCACTTCTTAAAATTGTGTGAGCTCTTTAGGTTATCACAAACCAGCCCAGGGAGGAATGTTTTATAATCCCTCTGCTTGCCAACTGAAATGATTTTTTCCCTTATTGTAAGACCTAATATTTTCATGTCTCTTTACATTTTTTTACATTTTTCATATAATTGTTATATGTGTACTTGTAGAATATTCTGGATTATAAATTTGTTATTTTGATTTATTATTGTCTTTATCCATCAATGTTTTCTTTAAAAATCCAAAAGAAAATTATAATTTACCTTGGTTATTACTTTAATGAGTAGGGAATGATTAATACTGATGTTGGTATTACTGACAAGCACATTTCTTAGTTCTTTGTAATTATTATATTGTGTGTGTCATGTTTCTAGTGAAATACAGAATGCTAAATACTTCCTTACTTCAAACCCTTATCAGTATTACTATGCTATCATAATTACTTTATATAAGCCAAGTTACCTATTATATTTATTTTGAATGATACATTTTTCCTAAGAGGTAAATAAAATATTAATGTTAGAGCACACACCTACAGACAAATTACTGGGAACACTAAACCTTCTTGATGAGTCTATTAACTTATCTGTAGCTGATTCTGGAACTCTAAGTGTTCTTAGACTGTTCAATTTTACTTTGGTACCATTTTAAGCCCTAGGAGATTTTATACACTTATATACAATGGAAAGTTTTCTTTGACAGGATACCAGCTTAGTAATTTTCTTCCATTCACTACACAAGAAGCAGATAATTTAGAAAGTAGACAGCTACTTTTTGTGAGATAGAGAATTAATGACAGTAACTAAATGTTCCTTTCATTTACTATCGTGATTTCAATGGACTGGGAAATAGTTAGAAGTGTATTAATGGAAACAGATGTCAAAAAACATTTTTACAATTGTTACCTTTTATAACAATAACATGAAATTACTTGATAATACATTCTCCTGGTCACTGTAAATAGACACAAGAAATATTTGTAGGATGTAAAATTTACATTGAACATTAATGTATTGCTTTGTTAATTAGTATGCTTAATTAGTTGTTTCTTTTTCACCTATATAAAGTTAAAAAATAAAGTTTTGTATTAGTATTTTTAGATACAATTTTAAACATGTAAAATTTTCAACTTGAAAGAGGCACTTTGCTTATTTACAAACTCTGACATCTTTATCATGTGACTCCTTAGGTGGGAGCCACACCTGTTGCCAATATCTGATGTTTCTAAGTATTTTAAACTGAGTTAGACATCACGTTTTCTCACTGGGAACTAACTAGCACACTGTCAGCACCCAGTGTGCAATTATAAATTGTGAAAAATTTGACTGAAAAGGCTGAGGAAGTACATGCCTTATGCCAGTCTCACAGATTAGTGTAGGAAATACTTGTGGATTCAGAATCATTCTTGGCAAACACAACTGGGAACTTCAGAATAGTACTAGACAACAAGGTCCATATATTGTGATCCGGAGTTTTGGTCAGAGATACCAGGCGCCAAGTGGAACAACACTGAATGGAAAAAACAAACTTTGCTTAATTTCAGTCTTTGATGTCCATCAGATCACTTGCATAGAGGATTCATTGAGAGTGAACTGCAAAAGAGATGCTGATGGCCAGATTAAATGTTAACGTATTTCACTAATAAGGCTTTTCTCAGTTACCAAAATTATCTGGTTGTGAGCATATTGACTATATTGGTATTATTCATTTTGACACCTCAGATTCCAAACACATCACTAAGCTTCGAAGACATCCTTAAACTATCCCTTCTGGGCATTTCCTCATGGGATGAAGTAATCATAGTCAGAAAACCTGAGTTGGACAACTCACCTGTTCATTGCTGAAGTGTGAAGACCCAACTGCCTAGATTCAGGTTTTAACTCCTCTGCCTTTCAACTAACAATGTCGTGATAAACTGCCACTCAACTTTGAGGATCAATTTCAGAATGGACTGTGGTGTGGTGGCTGTAAATATTTCCTCCTCCCATAAGATAGGTATAATGTTTTACTCTCTTATCTTGAAGTAGTAGGCTTTTGATGAGTCAAGTTAACTTTCTTTGATTGTGAGGAAATACACAGAAAAGATAGTTTTGGGAAATGTTAGAAGCTCAGTGATGTGTTGGAAATAACAGGTGTAAAAATAAACAATAGCACAGTGGGTATTCTCATTAATATTACAATCTAGTGAAGGACAAAATATAAATGGGTAATAAAAATACAGAGTGATTAATACTATTAATGAGAAATGCATGTATAAGGGACAGTCAACCCAGACCTAGAGATTCTGATACTTTCCAAAGAAAATGACCTCAAGTTGAGAACTAAAAAAAATGAGTAGAGGTTTGCCTGGTGAAAGACAGAGGAGAGAAAGTTTTAGAAAGAGGAAACAGCTTGGGCAAATGTTTGACAGGAGAAAGTGTTTTCTTGCACCTGGAAGTAGTTCAGTGTGGCTGGAATATAACATGTGAGAAATGGAATTGGGCACAGAGGAAGTGAAGGATAAGACAGAGCCAGAATAGGAAGAGAAACACAAAGCCATTTGAAGATGTTGAACCTATACTGAGGGCGATGTAAAGCTTCTTTGTATGGTCTTAACTAGGGAATGAGATGGCTGGATATAGGTTTCAGAAAGATCATTCCGGGAGTAACGAATGAAGTGGCCAAGTCTGAAGCTGTAGTTGTAGTGGATGGGATGGTCTACGGCTTAGGCAAGAGCTAATGGCAGCCTTAAGGCTGGTGTCAGTGGGAATAAAGAGCTGTCCCCATGAACCTAGTAGTTAGGAGGTGGCACTGAGCCAGACTTGATTAGTTCCTGGCTATGGGGTGGGGGTGGGATGAGGATAAATGAGGAATCAAGAGTGACACCCAAGTTTCTAACCTCAACAAATTATGTTTATTGAGTTTCAGCATCTGTGCTTCATGATGAGTGACAGCCAAATCTAATAAAGTCAAAACTCTCACTGATCCAGATTAAAAGGCAATGGGAAATGTTTCTCCAGAGTGAAAAGGCATTCTCTTATAATTGTTTATGGAGAGGAAGGTTTTGAGATATTCTTCTCAAGCTCCCTCCGGGAGGCTCTGACAAACGTGGATGTCTTTCACCTCCCACTCTCAAGTGCTGCCATGGAGAGGTACAAAATTGCCAGTATGGATGGGGATATGCCCTATCCTTCAGATAGTTAGTTTAGAAGCAATAATGAAGATTAAAAAATGATTAGGACTTCACTTTTCTTTCTTTGTAGATTGACCATTACTTATGTAATCTATAGCTTCTCCAAATGTTAATCTTATCCCCTCTTCAGCTTCTCTTCACTTCAGTATTTATTGGGCATCTGCTATCAGTCATAACTAAATACTCATGACTGTTTTCTGAAGGAGCTCACAGTTTGAGTCTTACCTATTCAAGTCACAAGTAAAAAATGCCTAATACAAAAAGGACTTATTTTGAGATTATCAAGTACCAGAAGATTAAATGTAGATTTAAACCAGCTAGGAAGGGGCAAACACTTAAATGTAGATTTAAACCAGCTAGGAAGGGGCAAACATTCAAAGAAAATACAAGGTACAAGAGAAGATAACCCTCTAAATTCTGGAACCTGCACATGGTAAGGAAAAAAAAAAAACACTGAGTAATAGGAATAAAATGGAGAAGCTGCCTGGCTCACAAGGATTTCAGCAATACCGCTATCCTCATAACCCTCTACTCCTCAAAAATCCTTTGAGTAGGCACCATTGCTCTCTCTACTCTCATTTATTATATGGTACTCATGAGCATTGGTTGACCCCATCTCATGGGCCACTGTGCTTGGTTTAAGGGTGCATGTGAGACTCAAGCTGAGATATTCAAAATAATCCCTCAGAATTTTCAAACTGTAACTGAGAGCAGAAAACTCCTTTTTTTTTTTTTTTTTTTAATGAGAAACTGGAAATATGTGAACTAAAGGCTGGCCAAAGCTCTCTAAACTACTATATGGGTGAAACCGTGTATAATAAGAGAACATAAAGCTTCCCCACAAAAAGGTACAAAATGTGCCAAATGCCTGTTTTAGTTTGTCTCAGCTTTACCATTCATGGCTTTGTATATGACCTAATCATTGCTTTTTCTATTTCTCACCTGAGTTTATTATTTTTGTCTTGCCTATGTATTCAAAATTGCCTTTTATGTATGTGGAGATCTGAGCAGTCTTGAAGCCAATCAAAATCTGAATGTTCAGCAATCCCTACGATTGAGAAATACCTACATTGCTTACATTTGGGAATAATTTTGGTATTCAAGGGAACTTCCTTTACTAAATGCAAAGTAAGTACATAAGCTTCAGATCCTTTTATATTCTAATTATCTCAATAAGTTGTCCAAAAAATAAGTGGAAACAAGAATGAATAATATTTCCAAAAGTCTCTTGCCAGAGAAACAAATTTGTAAATTTAATAAATATCAATTATAAGTCAAGTGAACCTAATGAAAACAAGATCATTATTGTGCAATATAGAGCATGTGTTTACTTAAAACTTTTATCTGTCCATCACTATCATAATTCCAGAACCCTTTTGGACATTTTTTGGTTACTTGTTTTCATTTTTGAGAAGTCCAAGACAGGTAAAATTTTTACTAGAGGTAGTCGCTAATTTACCAGAGTTTCATTTTCATTTTCTCGATAAGATTAACTGCCCCGAACTTCCAGTAATTTTATTTATGTTCACATTTTCTCTGGTCCCCAAATACTAAACTATGTCCACCTTCACTCCAGCGAACTCGCCTTCTATCAGCTCTTCCTGGGTTAGCCAAAGAGTAATTGTTGACTTATTTCAATACAATCATTCCAAACTGGAAATATTAGCATTTTCCTAATTCATGACATAGATTTATCATTTTACACAATTAAATATGTCTTGCATTCTATTTCTCAATGATTTTTATTACCTGAATTCTGAAGGTAAAATATAACAGAAGTTGAGATTATACAATAAGAGAAATAATTACCTTGCATATGTCTCTAGAGAATATAGAAGAAAGTCAGAGAAAGAGAAATGTCTTTTGTTGTCAAGATTATTTTTTGTTATTCTTTTTACTTGTGGGAGCAAAAAGTAGCTCCAGAAAAAAGAGAGATCGTTATCAATATTTGAAAATAAGAAGATGAATAATTTTGCCAATATTCTTGCATTGATGCAACGATTATATATCAATTTCAAAGAAGGAGCAGTTAGGTACATTCAATTCTCTAACTCTGAGTGTCTTCAGAAACAATTTTTGATCTTTAACTCTTATGATTTCGTCTTTTTTAGAGACTGCTGAGGTGACCATCAGGGATAATATAAGCCTATTTATTTGCATTTTTAAGCCCTGGAAAATTACACATGGCAGGCTCTCCTGC
This sequence comes from Homo sapiens, assembly GCF_000001405.40. Taxonomy (NCBI): domain Eukaryota; kingdom Metazoa; phylum Chordata; class Mammalia; order Primates; family Hominidae; genus Homo; species Homo sapiens. Next base: position 65,246,309 of record NC_000018.10, read on the forward strand.
AGCTGTGAATTCATGGAAGATTCATTGGTGGGTCCCAGAAACAATGGCAGGACACTCAAAGTTAGGCTTGGGTTTTTAAAATGGAAAAGTGAACTACATCCCAATATAATATCGAAATAGACGTGGAAAATTTAATATTTTTTACTAATTCCCATAAACAATACTAATGTAGATAGTGCATACTGATGTTATTCTACTTCCACTCTAGGAGTCAGAAGATACAATTTTGAGGATGTGCAATATCTTGATGTTTTTCAAATACCACTAACTGTCTAATAGGTAAAAGAAAATGCATGTGTTTCTATCATTTTATGAACATAAAATTAATTTTAACTTCCAAAATTATGTTTATCCACCATTTGTAAATACATTATAATATCTATGTTGAAGGAAAGAATGAACATTTTGCATGGAAATAAGCATGTTTAATTACATTTTCAGCCAAAATGATAAAAATTGCCATTCTTTTTGCCAATATCTATACTAGAGATTAATTTTGCTCTAAGATTCTATGCTTATATTTTCAAAAGTCATGTTCTACTTTCATAAGCTCACTTCTCTACAGTGCACACATCTTTGCAACTAAAGAGTTCAAAAGGGCAAGGACTAGAGAGAAGAGCTTGCAATTCTCAGATTAAATAACTTTTAATAAACTCAAGGAGGATATAAAGAGGATATTTGAGGAATTTTTAAAACTCAGTGCTTATAATTATTTTTAAATTTTCTGCTAAGTATAATAATCATAAATTTCCTTGAGGTGAAGGCATTTTCTAAGATTCTGCTTATATAAGCAATCACATGGAAACAGAACTGTGCAGTGTCTCTACTATGATGACTAAATCTAAAGCTTCTTACTGTGGTTCTGAAGTGGAAATTGGGCTAAAAATGAAGGAATAGCATAAGAAGAGAAAAGTTATCTTACTCCAGAGAGTTTAAAAAATATTAGAAAAAGATACAAAGAATAAGACTTGATAAATTAGAGAAAGTGGCTAAAGCTGACAGTAACACCAAGGAGACCTGAATTTTTACCCAAAATTTATTCAGTGACATTCGGTTCAAATGTGAACCTTAAGGGCAAGTTGTATAAATGTATATCAGATGGGAGAAAGGAATAATTTTAAGGGCAAGTTGTATAAATGTATATCAGATGGGAGAAAGGAACAATTTTAAATATATTACCATGTGAGATTTTAATCATGTAGGATTTTTTGAGGGGGTGAATGTAGCACTAGCATGGATTTTCAGACACACATAAAGCTAAAATGTATATATTTTAAAATTATTTATTATTTTCACTACCTCTAAAACACTTGAGCACCCATACGGTACAAAGCATTTTTGATTTACAAACAAAAATTAAAAAAAAAAAAGAACTGAGCAAACGAGTATGATAGTCAAGGAAAGGCAAATGTGTGTGTGTGTGTGTGTGTGTGTGTGTGTGTGTAGATTTTATATACTATATATAAAATCTATCTATCATCTATCTATCTATCTATCTATCTATCTATCTACCTATCTATCATCTATCTATCTATCTACTGAAAAACCCAGGGTAGGGGAATCTATTGAAATTGTGCAGAAAACAGCCCTGCTCTTCCAGGCAGAGCTAATTAAATAAAATTAATGAAAATGAAATAAATTACATCTCATTATATGATTCAATTATTATTACAAATATTTATTAGACTCATACTATGAGCCAAATACTATATTAAGTATTAGACAAAGATAAATAAAATGTGCACCATTCCTTCAAAGGATATAATAATCTGTCTTAGGTTACTCAGGCTATATGCATTCATTAGTTTCTTTCCAGGATTTTAATAAAAGCTTCACCCACATTTTTCAAATGTGATGGATTACCAGAACTTTTACTCTGTTAATCATAGATTTTTTTGATAACATTGTTTAAAAGTTCAATTTTTATAAATTTAAATTTCTCTAAATTAAAATCTTCCAATTAAATATATTTAATTTAGATGGCAAACAGAGACGTCCATGCTCCTGAAAATAAATTATTTTGTCAATGGACTTTTCATTTTAACAATGGCATTGAATGATCATGTGCATTTGGAAAAGGGAGTATCTTGAATTCATATTTTGTTCTACTTCTAAAATGAAATTTTCCGAAATACTGTAGTGATGCAGTTTCAACATTGGAATGATGAGGTATAGTTTCTAAGACTAATGAGGTTGTAATTTGAGAGAGTTTATGCTTTTAATTACACTTGTTATCTCTTTCATGTCAGACCATAGTTCTTTCAGACTAAGTCAAATTTTTGGTGACCTGATGTTAGTTTATGGTGATACGAGCACTCAGGAAGCAGGAAGAAATACAATCAAACAGTAAAGAATACAGAATGTTTTTGCAACACTGGGCTCTCAGTGTTGGAAAGCTGATATATGACACAGATAAACTCAGTCTGTACATCAGATAAGGCAACTCATTCTGGGAAGAAAAAAAAAAAGTGTTCTACTCTCCCGAAGAGCCAGAGTTGAATCCAGGACAATCTCCATTTTTTCGAAGCATGCATTTGGCCAAAAACTACTACAAGCCTGTGTGAATAGGGAAGTGTTCATAAATATGTCTTTTGCATACAAACAAAAGATAAAATTCCAGTTTTGAGTGATATTAAGAAAAAACTTTGCAAAGAGTATACATGACTGGACATGTAATGGTTATTGTAATAACTAATGATTGTTTTTCTAGATCTTTATTTTGCATGTCTCTCTGAAGCAGTGAATGTCACTCACCACCTTCTTAGAACATCTTACTTGGTTTCCTGGGCAATGCATTTTCCTTGTTTACTTGTATCTTCAGCTTCCTGGGCTGGCTGATGGTTCTTCAAGCCTGGACTCTGCTATCTTCTGTGCAGTGACATATGTTTTCCTACAGCATTTTTTTTTTCCTTGTATGACTTTCGTCCTAACTGCTCTACAAATCAGCACTCCTGTGTATAGCTTATGCCCATAAAACTAGAACAACAATAAAAACATTAGCAATTCTTACCTGAAGTCACTATTTTCTTTCACTTTTGCCCCTTTTCTCATGACTATCTAGCTCTGGAAACTATGATGCTGCCTAAATCCCACTTTCTCACAATATTTCCTGTCATAATGTATTTAAAACTCTCTCCGAGCCTACCTTCCCACTACCACATCCTGGTAGTGTCTATTATCTCCTTAGTTAGCTAAAATGCTTATCTGGTTTTATTTTATTTATTTTTTTGGAGACAGTCTCGCGCCTCTGCCCAGGCTGGAGTGCAGTGGTGTGATCTAGGCTCACTGCAACCTCCGCGTCCCGGGTTCAAGTGATTCTCCTGCCTCAGCCTCCTGAGTCGCTGGGATTACAGGCACGTGCCACCACATCTGGCTGATTTTTGTGTGTTTAGGAGAGACTGGGTTTCACCATGTTGGCCAGCCTGTTCTGGAACTCCTGACCTCAGGTGATCTGCCCGCCTAGGCCTTCCAGATAACTGGGAACACAAGCGTGAGCCATTGTGCCCAGACTATTTTGTTTTAATTACCTCTCTTCTCCCAAGCTTTTCGTTAGTCACTTTCAGAAAAATTTACTTAACATACTATTTGCATCATCTTGCATAAACAATTTGAATTTTACTTATATGAAAATCTAAAAACTAGAATCTTTTATTAGATTTCTTTATTTTAGTCACAGTTATAATCATTGTTAAATAAGTGATTACCAATCATACGGGCATAGCTATTGAAGCCTAGTATGGGAACCCAATGAATAAATATAAATTTATGATTAACTTTTTAATTTTAAGGAAAATAATGTAGTTGTACATATTTAATATACTAGCCATAGCACAGTAGTTAAAAGAGAGTCTTTGGAGTCAGACAAACCCAGAATTTGTATTATGACTCTGCCCTTACTGACTTCTAAAAGTAGATTAAACCAATAAAATGATTGGTCTAGAGCCTACCTCAAAGCAATGCTCAATAAACAGAAGGTATATTATTGGCATGATTATCATTCTGGACTTGGGATATGGTGTTCACCTATAAGCCATAATAAATCTTATTGTGATCTTATGTTCTACAATTTTCCCACTTTCTCACTTATTACCTTTCTATATACTAAAGTGGTTGCCCGCAAGTGCTTGTTTGTTCCAGAGGTTTACTTTTGAACCAAAAATACTTTTAATTTCTTTGAATATCTTCCAAATAATTAATTATTATTTGACGTCAGAGTCAAGTACAAGGCTACTACAGCAATGTATCAGAAAAGGGTGCTGAATCATAACATAGGAAGACATTCTGTAAAAGAAAACAGCCCACAAAATCCACCCTATTTGTTAAAACTACATTCAGTGCCATTTGTCAGCTTGATTTTCAGATATTAGTATTTCATTTGTTGATAGAGCATAAATACAAAAAACATTCTCTTAACACTGTTTTTTGTCCTTCGCATATTGAAATATTTCTTAGTCTACACATGTGTAATTTCTGGTCTTCAAAGAAACAAACAAACAAAAAGTACCTATGATATACATGGTATTTTCTTAAGAATCTTGAAAACAAAATTTGGTAATAGAAATAATGTTAATCACATTCTGACTATTAAAGTGTTACTAGGAGACTGGGCGTGGTGGCTCACGCCTGTAATCCGAGCACTTTTGGAGGCCGAGGCGGGAGGACCACGAGGTCAGGAGATGGAGACCATCCTGGCCAACATGATGAAACCCCGTCTCTACTAAAAATATAAAAATTAGCTGGGTGTGGTTGTGTGCACCTGTAATCCCAACTACTCAGGAGGCTGAGACAGGAGAATGGTTTGAACCTGAGAGTTGGAGGTTGCATGTTGCAGTGAGCCGAGATCACACCACCGCACTCCAGTCTAGGTGACAGAGCAAGACTCCGTCTCAAAAAAAAAATTAAAAAATAAAAATAAAGTGTTACTAGGTTGGCGAGAACTCTATTTTCTATCATACTTTCATCAAATAAAAAACTCATGAACGTTCTCTGGATATTTCAAACAATTGCCTAATACTTTTAAAATAACAGAAAAGACATTATTTGATAAGCAAAGGAAAATTTGTACTCTATATTACTGCCAAATTTCCACCAAATTTGGTATATTTCCATGACATTTTTATATCCTTAGTTTTTAAGGAAACATCCCATATTTGTATTCTTGAGTTAATCATGGTTTTATATTAACCCATCAACTGTATTAGTTGTTTACATACAATAAAATTTTATAAACTTAGATTTAGACAGACTATTTCAAATCAGCTTACTGAACTCTTATTTTTTGTCTCATAAAATTATGATAAATTTTGCTACACAAAAATAATGGCTCCCTCATTAATATTATACATTCAACTCAAACTAGTTGGCCAGCACAGGACATTGTGTACATACAAAACAAATTTTACGAAGCTGAAATTCTCGAGAAAAGGCAAAGGGATCCTGCGTTGCCAAACCCTTACCTTAGTCTACATCACGCTCCACCCATTCATTCTTGATATAGCAAAGTACTTAAAACTATTATCAGAATATCTAATTATTTTCAAAATAAAGAGGCCTCATTCTAAAAACGATAAAAAGTCTAAGTTATTATAAGAGTGCCCAGAAAAATATCATTTGAAGCTATTTTAGCAAAATAATCTTGGAAGATTTTTATCCTAAAAAATGAAGAGAGTACATCTAAGGATATAGATAACTGAATTAGCACTCATCCATTATGGCCAGGTATAAAGCATTTCTTAAGCAATAAGTACTTCTTGCTTACTAAATAATAAATGTAACAGTGAGAACACACAATGGCAGTATCTAGAGAGATTTAAATCTTGCTTTCTGTAGTGCCTTTGGGGCTTAGAGCATTCAGCTTCCATCTGGCAGCCTTTCTTCTCCTTGACTTCTAGTCCTTGTAAAACGCAAAGCAGACACACTAGTCAACAAAAACAATTTACGTTGCTCTTAATGAAGATCACAGTTTTACTAGGTTTGTTTAAAAAATGGAATGCTACTAAGTATAGGATATTTAAGCAACACTTGAAAAAAGATACATACATATGCATATGTGTGTGAGACCATGTTATGTACAACAGAAACATATGTATACAAGATCTTATAAACTATACACATGATATATAAGACATGGATCATGTAGTACCCATACGTAACAGTCTCTTTATTATGTGTAGAAAATGCTTACATTGGCTCATACAGTTAAGGTCACAAGCATAAAATATAGCCATTTTAAAAATTTATCCTAATTTTTTGTTGAGACTCTTGAATGTTTTTAAATGTCCTGGACAATCATAGATGGTGCCATTTATTTAACGACAAAGATGTTTTATCTTTTGCAGAGATATCTGCTAAGATATAGCTGGGAATAATTTAATTTTCAGTGATGTAAGGAAGTGCAGTGTCTTCATTCTGTATCCCAATGTTTTTCTCATCTTGATTGGATCTCTTTGTGTGCAGCTTGTTTGAGACTAAACCAATCTGTCATTGACTATCGGGCTCCTGCAAACAACTTTGTGGAAGAGTAAAACTTTTGTTGGATTATTTGTTTCATGAATTTTGCCAGAGAAGCTCAGTTTCCTTACATTGTTCTACTAAGCTTTTCTTCTTGCATTCTTGAAATGAAAAATTAAACTATTACAGGCATGATATAGCTTACCTATTTCTTGCTGTGCATTTACGTATTGTATCATCTAAAATAAATCAGCCTTAATTTGAGTATATAACAAGTTGTCTCCATTTTTACATCCAGCTCTTTAAAATGTTTTATTTATATGTGTTCATGTGTTTCTGTACTACCTTACTATACTAGTTTTCATCCCAATCATTGTTTCTGAAAAGTACAAATTGTCCTCTACTTGTTTTATAGTCACTGCTCCTTACCTGAATTGATTATGGAACACAGCTACACATTGAAAGAGCAGTATTTGTTACTACCCGAAAGATGAAGATCCACCAGGAGGGATTCTGTGTCAAGATGTTTAAGGTCTAAACTCTCAAAATAGAAAATAAGAAGGTAATGTGTGCCAAGGCTTACCTACTGTGTATCTCGTCAATTCTACGTGCTGACTTCCTTTTAAAAAGTGATAGGTTCTGCCTTTGACCTTTAATACATATTTATTTTTTTACATACATGAAAACATTTAAAACTTAGTTACAGCATTCATCTCTGTTTCTCTAACATCTCATTTCAGCGACAAAAATAGTCCCTGGGCCAGGTGGTCTGATCTCAAAATACATACGGCGTCAGTTCAGGCTCTTCTAGATAGAGATGACAAAATGAGATTAGACGCTCAAGAAATATATTGGTGGAAATGCCTGTGAAAATTGAACGCAGAGAGATCCAGAGCAGATTCTTCTTTCTGAATTTCAGATCTGACTTCTATGCAAGGAGACTGAAAGGATAGAGGACTGGGCAGGAAGAACCTCAGCACAGGGTGGATCTGAGAACATTTCAGCTAACCTGACTGGGAGTCCTCAGGCAAAAGTTGCCCATATGAACACGACTGCGACAGCGGGGAAGAAAGCCCATTAGCACTGTCCTTGACATGCCCTGTCATTGGCTTGGAGCAGCCCAGTGGAAATTTGGTTAAGGATTAAAATCCAAGATGCATCCAAATGTGTAGCAGCTGGGGCCTGTCCATCATCTATGCCCTACAGTAAGTTTTTCTAAGGTGGAGTTGGGGTATTCATGGAGCACCTTCATGGCTGCCTCAGATACAAAAATTTTCATATTTTCTTTCCTTTTTTTTCCATTATTTAAATCCTTACCATAGCATTTCACTTTATTACAAAAGACTCATCGTATAAACCAATTGCTATTTCTAAATGTTTAGTAACAGAGCTATCTTTCTCTTTATGTATATACCTAAATGATTGGATCTACTTGTTATGTAAACAACCATTGCCCTCCTGTCGTGCACACAGGAAGACAACTGTACATCTTAAAGCTGATAACCTCAGCTTAATATTCTTCTTAAGAAAGTCAAATCAAGAAACTGTTCCATATAAATAAGGTGAAAGCCAATTTACATTTCTTTTCCTCAAGAGTATCTTCAATATTCTTACGGATGACACTAAATAATTCCATTTAACAGTTAAGTTCACCTAATTACATGGGCATATATCTTGAATTTTAGATCTTTATAGAACCACTGAGTTGAAGACTTTTCATTCACAGCTAAATCATTTTTATAAATCTGGCCAAGGTTATTTTTACCATAGTGGGGGTAGGTTAGTAATTTTTGTTCACAAAATTTTTCATGCCTAATTTTTGGTATAGGATGTTGAGGCTTTAATCAAATCTACTTTAGAGCAGTAAATATGCTTAAAGCCATATATATTTAAGGGAAATTTTAGACCTGCCTCCAGAAAAACTTGCCATCATCTGCAGAGAATAGGTGTCCCTGTATCCAGGCACGAATTGTACTTTTCTTAAAAAAAATGTCAACTTTGAAATCTGTATACTTAGCTCGTAAAGTCCATACTTTTTTTTTTTTTTAAAGTCACATGTCCATCTATAACTCAAATAACTGAACTCCCAGTAAGTGTGAGAAAGCTTTTTAAAGTTGTTTGCCAGTTGACTTCTGTAACATGACTAACATCTAATGGGGATAATGTAAAAGATATTTAAACATCATTTTCTCTAATTTAAGCACTATTGTTATATATAAATCATATATAAACTGGTGTGATAACCACAACTCAAATCTTAGAGGCTTAATATATGAAGATTTCTTTTATTCATATCACATTTCCTTGAAGATTAGGGGGTGGATACTGAAGAAAATAAAAATACTTTAACCTCAAATGTATTTCTTTGATATTTTTTGAAATGGCTGCCACAGAGCCAGCAGACAGACGTGGCCACGCATAGCTATCTTTTGCGGGAAATCTTTGCCTCTGTAGAGAATCTGCACTAATGCAGCCTGGCCTTCCCATTCCAGGCCTTTCCTGGATCCAGAAGAGATTGAGAATCCGACCCTTTTAAAAGTCTAAAAAGAAACATTTAACGTTTATTCTAAGGGCTGCTACTTCTGAGGCTTCATCCGTATCACAAGGCCGCCTTTGCTAGCCAAGCGCCTTCCTTTCCTCCTCCCTTAAACTGTCTTGCTACTAAAACCTGTTTTTGTCCATCCCGTGAGCCTATGTTCTTTCTATAACTTCAAGATGGTATAGAAGTTTCTGTACCTTGTTGGGTGTTGGGTCTTCATTCTAAGTCTCCCTTGTATAGACACATTAAATAAATGTGTATGTTTTTTCTCCTATTCTTCAATTTGCCTCATGACAGTGATTTTTCAGCTGACCTTTAGGGGGCCGAGAGCCAGGGAAATACAGACATTTTTGAGCAGGATTGGCCTGTACCACATTTTGTAGCAAGCAAGTTTAACAAAATGTCTTATATCACTTCAGGGTTGAGCAAAAACATTTTCACAGAACTATGACCTCTCCTTCATACTTGGCTTTTATGAAATTTTATTATAGTACACAGTTACAAAAAAGTGTTTCTTATCCTTTCTCTATCTGTTCTTGAAGGTATTGGACATTGTTTTTCAATTCATGTTTGTAATATCCGATTGTATTAGAATATTTTACTCTATTACACTTCAAATTGCTTTATTTGAGAATGATAACTTTTTTGAAGTATTGTACATTTTATTTTATCTTATTTTAAGTCCTGGGATACACGTGCAGGATATACAGGTTTGTTACTTAGATAAATGTGTGCCATGGTGGTTTGCAGCATCTATCAACCCATCACCCAGCTATTAAGCCCAGCATGCAGTAGCTATTTTTCCTGATGCTTTCCCTCCCTCTGCCCCGTGACAGGCCCCAGTGTGTGTCATTCCCCTCCCTGTGTCCATGTGTTCTCATTGTTCAGAACCACTTATAAGTGAGAACATGCAGTGTTTGGTTTTCTGTTCCTGCATTAGTTTAGTTTGCTGAGGATAATACTGAGGATAATCCATGTCCCTACAAAGAACTTGATATCATTCCTTTTTATGGCTGAATAGTATTCCATGGTGTGGACCACATTTTCTTTTTCCAGTTTATCACTGATGGGCATTTGGGTTGACTTCATGTTTTCGCTATTGTGAATTGTGCTGCAATGAACATACACATGTGTGTATCTTCATAACAGAGTAATCTATATTCCTTTGGTTATATACCCAGTAATGAAATTGCTGGGTCAAATGATATTTCTCGGTCTAGGTCTTTGATGAATCGCCACATTTGAAAAAAAGCTCAACATCACTGATCATTAGAGAAATGCAAATCAAAACCAAAATGAGATACCATCTCACACTAGTCAGAATGGTGATTATTATTATTATTATTATTATTATTATTATTGTTGTTGTTATTATTAACTGTAGAGACAACAGTCTCACTCTATGATCTTGAACTGCTGGCCTTAAACAACTCTCCTGCCCTGGCTTCTCAAAGTGCTGGAATTACAGCTGTGAGCCTCTGCACCCAGTCAAGTACTATATCTTAATCTGAGGATATTGCTTCTGCCTTGCAGTCACCTGGGGAGAGCTAAAGAGAAAGGACACTCTGAAGCAGTGTTGTTCAATAAAGGAGGAGCTGGAAAGAGCTTTTCAGAGCCAGTCATGGTTTCAAACTGGGACCCAGAAGTCCCCAATGCTCTCTACAGCTAATTACACCTTACGTCAGTCAGTAGACTAAGACAGCAAGCAAAATGGAATATGTGCTTCCCTTATCCATCATCATTCCTACTGACCAAGAAAGCTGTAATGTTCCCCCTCAACTGGATTAATCTTCACACAGGATGCTTCCTGACTCTAGGCCCCAACTCCCTCTTTACAGAACATTTACTCTAGAAAACTTGTATTGTAAACTCTTTATTTGTCCCTTTGAGATGTAAATATGTTTGAAAGCCTCTTTCCTATTTTACAGTGCAGGACTTTCTTTCTGAATGCCCTAGGAGCAATCTCTTTGAAATCAAGAAAGGTAGCAGCCTAACTCCCAGTCTCCATGAGAGGGTAGGAGTCTAACTTTGATGGGCACCAATTAGCAAACACACTCCACTCCAGCTTTTAAAACCTCCTGAACTCCACTCCAGCTTTTAAAACCTCCCCAGCTTTTTGTCTCAGTTAAGTTGAGCCCAAACTGAGTTCCGGCTGGGGTATTCTCTCTCTTCTAATGTAATTGTATTCAATAAAGTCTTCTTTACATGGTTTGTTTGATTAATTTTATTGTATATGTAGGCAGGCACCACATAATGAGGTTTTAGTCAACAACAGACTGTATATAAGACCTTGGTCCCACAGGATTATAATGGAGCTGAAAAATTCCTATCACCTAGTAACATTGGAGCCTTCTTTAAACCATAGGGCTGTGCATTATTTATATATTTGTGTTGCTGTTGGTGTGAACAAACCTACCCCACTGTCAGTCCTATAAAAGTATAGCACATACAGTTATGTACAGTAGGTAATACTTATTAATGGTAATAAGTTACTAAGTTATTGGTTGGTGTACTTACAGTACTATATCTTAATCTTTATTTTAGATTCTACTCTTTCTACTTATCAAAAACTAAAACAAAGTCAACTGTAAAACAGCTCCAGGCAGGTCCTTCAGGAGCTAAACAGAAGAAGACATTGTTATCATAGGAGATGACAGTTTCCATGTGTGTTATTGACCCTTCTAAAGACCTTCCAGTGGGACAAAATATGGAGCTTGGAGACAGTAATATTGATAATCCTGACCCTGTGTAGCCTTAGACTAATGTGTGTGTGTGTTTTAGTTTTTAACAAAAAAAAATTAAACAGTAAAAAAAATAATAATTAAAATGTTTAAAAATGAAAAAAGTTTGTAGAATAAAGATGTAAAGAAAAATTATATTTGTACAGCTGTGCAATGTGTTTGTGTTTTAAGCTAAATGTTATTACAAGACTCAAATTTTTTTAAAAAAGCTTATAAAGTGAAAAAGTCTCAGTGAACTCAAGTTAATTTATTATTGGAGAAAAAATATTGTTATACACTTAGTGTAGCTTAAGTGTACAGTATTTACAGTATTACTCTACAGTAACATACAGTTACATACTTGACCTTCACATTCACTCACTGACTTGCCCAGAGCCACTTTCAGTCCTGCAAGCTCCATTTATAGTAACTGCCTGTACAGGTGTACCATTTTTTATCTTTTATATGATGTTTCTTACTATACCTGTTCTATATTTAGAACACTTAGATAAATAGATACCATTGTATTAGAATTGACCACATTATTTAGTACAGTAACATGCTGTACTGGTTTGTAGCCTAGGAGTTCTAGGCTGTACCATATAGCCTCGAGGTGTAGTGGGCTGTACCATGTAGTTTTGCAATAAGTACACTCCATGATATTTGCACAGTGACAATTTTGCCTAAAGACACATTTCTGAGAAATTCTTCCTGATGTTGTGGTGCATGACTATATTTAAAGGGTAAACGTGGTGTTTTGATATACATATAAATAGTGAAATGATTACTATAGTCAAGTAGATTAACATTTCCATTATCTCACATAGTTACCCTTTTCTAAAATTTAAAATTATATTACAGAAATGTTTTAACCAAAATGGTACGGTACTAATAAAAATAGATACCTAAACCAATGAAACTAAATAGAAACCAACTAATTTTTGACAAGGGCACTAAGAGGACACAATGGGGAAAAACATAGTCTCTTCAATAAATGGTGCTCAGAAAACTGGATTTCTACCCAAAAAGAAATGAAACTGGACTCTTACCTCACACCATACACAAAAGTTAACTCAAAATGGATCAAAGTCTAAACAAAATACTTTTGATGCTTAATTTTGTTCAGTGCAATTTTTGCTTTGACACTAGTTTTGGTTTCTATCCATTCAAAACTTCCCAGTACGCACATTGAACAAGATGCTGGTTAATGTCAAGTGTTTTAATAAAGTTTAATTTCAGGTGCAACGTGAATAGGTATTACTCATAAAAGTAGCATACTTGGCTGGGTGTGGTGGCTCATGCCTGTAATCCCAGCACTTTGGGAGGCCAAGGCAGGCAGATCACTTGAGGTCGGGAGTTCCAGACCAGCCTGACCAACATGGAGGAACCCCATCTCCACTAAAAATACAAAATTAGCCAGGCATGGTAGTGCATGCCTGTAAACCCAAATACTAGGGAGGCTGAGGCAGGCGAATCACTTGAAACCAGGAGGCAGAGTTTGTGGTGAGCCGAGATCACTCCATTGCACTCCAGCCTGGGCAACAAGAGTGAAACTCTGTGTCAAAATAAATAAATAAATAAATAAATAAATAAATAAATAAATAAAAGTGGCATACTTGTCTCACAAATATATACCTGTTAGTGCTTTATTATTCATTTATCATTACCTGATACTTCTCATTTATTTTCACATGTTTAAAAGACATGGACTGGTTTCAGAGCCATTACATTTAAACTGGAAGTTTAATTCAATTCATTGCTCATTGAATTCATCATCATTTTTTTTCTATTGATAGTCTCTTCTCTCTCTCTTTTCTTGCTTTTTCTAGACAGTAATTAAAGGTAGAAACCTCATTTAGAGGTAACCTTTAAAGTTTATATTCACAGCAAAAATAAAATTGTCCCCAAAAAGTAAGAAATGGAAAAGGTAAAATGTAGAGTTAAAGAGACTACAGGACAAAAGTTAAAAGATCATACAAATTCACACAATGCATAGTGCTGAAGGAGACACTTTTATTTTGAACTTATGACATTGTAATTCTTGTAAATCTACCAAACTAGACAACATAGATACAATATAACAAGAGATTAACTAAAATGTGTAAATCCGAATTTAAGAATATTAGAAAATGAAGTAAGCATTAATTTTATTTAACTGATTAGAGGTTAAGAAAAACACCCCTACTGGATCAATGTTATTTCTTTTTTAGCTGACTTGACTATTTGTGAGTCTTATTTTTCAATGTATAATGTAGGAAAGAATGCCTCTTCCAAAGCTACGGGAAGCTGTCTGCCCAGACCTACATATTCTAAAGAGAGAAAATAAAGAAAGCTCAGGAATTATTCAAAATGAGCCAATTCCTCTTTCTGAAACCTCTGGGTCCTCTCCAAAGAATTGACTTTTTACACTTTTTATTTAATAGATAACAGTTTTGACAATTGCAAATTGATGAACAAGCAGAGAGCCTATGGTAGGCCGGAGTTTCGTGGAACTATGAAATCACTTCTGGTCTTTTGGTTATTGCAGATTTATTTGCGCAAGGAGATTGTTTGTGAATAGAAGCCTGAACTTTGTGTACATGCAAATTATCAGGTTCCCAGGTGCTGGTATTAACTGAGCATGCAAACTTAATTGCTTACAATGTTAGAAATTTCAGACTAGGAACTCGGTTGGGTGAAACAGCATTTAGTTTATAGTAAAGCATATAATCATTACACCTTACCTTGTTTCTGCTATATCTAATGACTGCCAATTTTTAATTGGCAAGAATCAGTTTAAAATTTGTAACTTCAGATTGTGGTATGTGGACTCTTCAAGTGAATAAGACAACATATTATAACCATAGACTTATGATCTGAGTTTTTGTGTTCAGATTTTTTTCAGTAGTCAAAGTGCAATAGAATTTAAAAACAAACAAACAGTAATAGAATTAAACTGGATTGGACTCCTAGATATTTAAATTGAATCTTAGTCTTTATATTTAATTATTCATTACACTTAAAATTATTACTAGAAGGGAACCAAATTCAGACAGCAATGAATAGGGTACTAGACAAGATTTTCAGTTTGAAAATCTTCATAGTTGTTCAAACTGTATACTCTATTTTTAATTTATTATTATTTTATTCATAAATTTATTTATTTGAGACAGTCTCATTCTGCCTCCCTGACTGGAGTGCTATGGCATGATCTAGGCTCACTGCAATCTCCACCTCCCTGGTTCAAGCGATCCTCATGCATCACTCCTGAGTAGCTGGGACTACAGGCGTGCACCACCACCCTTGGCTAATTTTGGTATTTTTAGTAGATACAGGGTTTTGCCCTATTGGTCAGGTTGGTCTTGAACTCCTGGGCTCAAGTAATCTGCCTGTCTTGGCCTCCCAAAGTGCTGGGATTACAGGTGTGAGCCATCACGCCCAGCCTCAAACTATATATTCTAAATTGACGCAAAGTCACTTATTCTTTTCTTAGGTTGGAATAAATTAAGTGCAGAAAAAGTGGAATGACTGTGCACACTTATTTATCTCCTCATCTAACATATTAGTTTGCATTTAGTAACAAAAGTAAAGGATCAGTGATGGAATTCTCCCAGCTATTTCAGTATAACATTGTATCCTTTGTGATGCTGAATCAGACACTGGAATTGCTATATGGTTTCTCTGTCTTAGAAAATGAACTATACAGAACCATTACAACTAAGTTTATCTATAAATATAGAAATTTCATTCATTACTACCCAGCTGTGTTTGCTTAGCCAAGTGATAATAATGGATTACACTGGAATGCAAAAAACAATGGCAATATGGATTGGCTAGGAAAGCAGTAAGCTAGTAAAGGACACACTGGAATCCAATTTGAAGTTTTTAGCCTCAATTAAAATGTCCGGGAAGTAGCAGAGTAAATGGATCAAGCTGGGATGAAATAATCTAAACCATTTCAACTCTTCAAAGTACATCAGAGTTCTGCCAAACTTAAGAAACAAAATTATTGACAATAATGGACCTTTGGACACAGTAGACTCATTCATTCTTTTGTTTTAAAACACATTTTTGTTTATTGAGCTTCTCATATATCTCAAGCCGTGTGTTATCTCTGAAAATATATAACATTTTTACATCAGTGTAATGATCTCTGGTGAAGATCAAGCTTTATCTTTATTTTATTAAAACAAGTCTGTCCCACAGCAGGTAGCCTGACTACATTTCTTTTCCATAGAAAACTGCACCATTCAGAACTAATTGCAAAGTGCCTAATCAGGTAAGTTTTTCATCGATTACTTCCACCTTGCTGCAATTAGACACCAAATCATCAGATTGCTAATGAATCTTCAGAGAAACAATAAAGCAAATACTCTTTTGATGAATTCATAGAAAAATTTGGTAGCTCAAGTAAGGATTAATAGCATTACAGTATAGTAGAATTTACTCTCATTATTTCAGGTTATTAATTGATCTACACAGAATGCCAGAAAACTCATCTTTGAGTTAAGAAACGCAGAGAATATGAGATATTTAATTGGAAAACTAAATGGGAGTAAGTGACAATAAACCATCTTTTTATCCTTGTTTTTTCTTATCTTTGCTTGCAGATAGTAGGGTGCCTTCATCATTATGCCTCTGTGAATAACTAGTGTAGAATCATCTTGCCATTTAAATAGTAACCTGCTTTGAGTTCTATTGTTTTCTATCCTGACAATGCACCATTTTCTCAATGCACTATGAGAGGCTAACATGTGAGCCCATTCCCAAACTTGTGTGGCACAATATAACAGAAGCCACCTAAGGGAAAGTTTGGCAGTGACCTCACCTTTGTGGGTATGCTTTGAGGTCAATGGGGGCACTTTCTATTTTGATGCTGCATTTTATCCAAAGTGACATTTGCCTTGAGCTTTTCACTGCTAATGCTGATACTGCTGGGGTTATGTCCAGAAAGAATGGGACATGGCCTTTTGGGACAATAGTTCCTCCAGAGGAAGTTCAGTTTCAATTAAACAAAGAAAAATGAAATGTTGATATAAATCAGAAGTCCCATAAATGTTCAGGTTTTGGAGGCATATTAAGAAATTTGTATCCTTTTTTAATTCTTCCACTTTTAATGCTTTAACATGAAGGAACAAATCTGATTTCATTTTCAGGAATTTATATAAAATATATTCATTTATTCATTCATGTGTTGTTTTTTGGGCACCTATTGTGTATAAAGCCAGCCATAGAACAAGTTATAAACATGCTTTAAGAGGAGCCTATAATCTAGTGTGTTAAATAAATCTGATCCCCTAAAATTACATATATTCTAACAGTATTTCAAGTATTATGATGCTTCATAGCATTAAAAAGATTAAGAAAGTTTTTAAAATGAAGGTACAATTTGAACATGAATTGATTCACAGTATTTTCATACTGGTGGTAGAATCTAAAGCAATCCACCTGAACAAATAAGGGCAGCACAGACGGAATCGTGAAGGCTCACAAGATATTTATAAATATGGGAGACTTTCTAATTTAGAATAAACCCCTTTAAATCTTTCATATAAGCATATAAAGTAACTTAAAGAGCCCAAATAAGGCATTAAAGGCATATGGAGGCCTCCCACTTTTCCATATATTAATGTCAGCCACCTATATGAAAATTATCCCATGTCTATCTACAACCATATGGAAAAACCATGAGAATAAATGGACATCATCTAATGCAGTGTTTGGGGAATAACTAGAATGCAGGGAAGATGATATAACCAGGTGGGTATATCAAGAGGGCCAGAAGAACTGGCCTTGGACAATACTCCACTGCTGGGATTTGGGTGGAATGCAGAGTCAAGGGAATCCTAACACTTGAAGAACTCAGATACTCAGATAACATCAGGAAGAGACTGTTCCTAAATATACAACTATTTAGAACTTGATAAAGATTTGGCTGATCAGAGCCAGGATATGAAAAGGGGAGGATGTTGAAATGTGCAGGCATAAGCAATGGCAGTATTGCAAAATTTTCACTTGTAGAAGGAAATTGGAAGCATTTTGGAAAGCAGTATCTCTTAGATGAAATTTCCAGTAATGAGGGACAGAGAAGAAAAAAATGGCTGGTGATTAAGCTTTATGGAAACAGTATGATATCTAACTATACGTAATGTAATATAGAAAACATTATACATATATAGGTATATAGGAATGAAATTGTAAAAAATAGACAATGTATACTTGCACACACACACTCACCCTGGTGGGCACTTCAACATTGTACCATGGCGTGATGACACACGGCTCCATTCCCCAAAGGCTTTTGTAGCTGTTATTTCACTTGCCTGCTTCAGATGCATTTGCCACAAATAGATCACTGGGCACAGGAGCACTGAGACACACCCTGTGATTCCCTATAACCCCAGACACACTCCTTTCTTTTCCCCACTTTGTTGTAGCAACCTTAGCTTCCCATGATAATTAGGGTTGAATACCTTCAACAATGAGAGTAACTCCTTTTGTTGCCTGCCAGCCCGATGGCTTGAGGGGACTCAAAGTGCCCAGGTGACAGTGTCTGGTTCAGTGCAACATTAATTCTGTCAATTAGTATAAGCATCACATTTTCCCATCTAAAAGCCAAGACCTTTCACCCAGCATAGCCTCCATTTATGAGGACAAGAAGTACAGTGCCAAAGTGAGTCACTAGGAAGTATTAATGAATGGGATCTGCCCTGTCCACTTTCTATACCTTGGTTTTATATATGAGACATAACAGCATGTATCAGCCACTGGTTCAGTAGAACGCATCATGGAGAACAACCTTCCCACAACCCAAGGTGATATCCTCAAATTGGCATCTTCAGTTGACTTACCAAGTGGTTCCACTTTGCAATCAGGCCAAGTTCAGCGGGGTAGTGGAAGTGCATGGAATGGCCAATGAATCTTTTTTTTTTTTCTGAGATGGAGTCTCACTCTGTCCCCCAGGCTGGAGTGCAGTGGTGCAATCTCAGCTCACTGTAACCTCCACCTCCCGGGTTCAAGCAATTCTCCTGCTTCAGCCTCCTGAGCAGCTAGGATTACAGGCATGTGCCACCACGCCTGGCCAATTTTTGTGTTTTTAGTAGAGACGGGGTTTCATCATATTGGCCAGGCGGGTCTCAAACTCCTGACCTCGTGATCCATCCACCTTGGCCTCACAAAGTGCTGGGATTACAGGCGTGAGCCACCGTGCCCAGCCAGCCAATGAATCTTATAGTTTAAACTCCCAGTCACACCTGTTTTGCCATAAAATGAGTACCCAGGTATAAAGCAATATTATTTGGGATACTATGTTGAAAGCTGAAGATAGAGCTTTTGGAGTTACCATAGGCAAAGAAGGCAAGTCCATAACCAGAGTAGGTTTCAATTCCATTGAGAATAAATTAAATTTAAAAAAATTTTTTTTTAAAAAGTTGGGGGTTGGGGGTCTAGGGGAGGGAGGGATAGCATTAGTAGAAATACCTAATATAGAGGCCAGGTTGATGGGTGCAGCAAACCACCATGGCACGTGTATACCTGTGTAACAAACCTGGACATTCTGCACATGTATCCCAGAAGTTAAGTATTAAAAAAAAATGGAAAAACAAAAACAAAACAATACTAAAATTAGCAAGGTGTGGTGACATGTACCTGTAATCACAGCTACTTGGGAGGCTGGGGCACAAGAATCACTTGAACCTGGGAGGCAGAGGTTGCAGTGAGCCAAGATCACGTCACCACCTTCCTGCCTGGGCAACAGAGTAAGACAAGGTCTGAAAAAAAAAAAAAAAAAAAAACAAGGCTAAATGATTTTCTGCTGCTTATATTTAAACTCAATTGAACTGAAGCTTATTACTTGTTTTTGACAACATACAGAATGCTGCAAGTAGCAACCACTATATTTCAACCTCTAAACATTTTCTGCAATTTTCCTAAAGCTCCGTCCTCAATTAGTACATGCTCTCTGTCCCAAGAGATTCAACAGAAGATGGTTCAATCAAATGGTTTGCTAGTCTATAATGGAGATTTAAAACTTACTTCCCTTTATCTTTATCCCAGTCAGTTTCACATAATCAGGCCTGTCTTTTGTAACAAACCACTTCTGGGAACCAATGTGAGTATTACTGATGAATTTTTAGTTAGAAGTTTCCAAGTAAAATTTATAGATTAAGAAAGGAGTTCATTAGCTCTTACAAAAGTAAAGACCAAGATATGTCTCTGACTTCAGAGATGATTAGAAACTGTGGCTTCCTTCCATTATACTGCCGGGATAGTAGCTCTCTTTCTCTTAGTTCTTTCTTTCTCTGTATTTGCTTCTTTCCCAGTGGTGGAAGGTGGTGGCTAAGATAGTCCCCAGTGATTTTCTAGGCATATTTCTCAGACCTAGACATCAGAGCAAGAGCGGAGATAAAGGGAGAGAGAGAAAAAAAGGGGAAGGAAAGAGATATTTTCTGATAAAAGACCCAGGGAACAATAATTGCCCTGGCTTGAGGCATAAGCCATTTCAGAAAAAAAAAATGTGGTATAACCAATGGATAGGATCACTTATACTGTCCAGGCCTGGACTGCATATCCACCACTGAACCATATAGACTGCAAATAAGCTACTGAGCAGAGAAACACATCTAACCACAACAGGAGTTAAACAGATAAAGAATGTGGGGAAGAGATTCCAAGCAGCTGGTCTGGTACACACAAAAGTTCCTGTGGAAAAGGGAGATTGGAGATTTACTAGCTGAATGTGTGTATAGTAGATAGAGACCAGCATTAACAGTGTCAGAAAATAAAAGAATATACACACAAGATCTACATGGTATCATTAGGAATTATATATACCCTTTATCCTAAGAACAATGAGAATGCATTCTATGTGTTTTTTCTTTAATAGGAAAAGTGAGTTCACATTTGCATTTTGAAAAGATTACTCTGTAGCATGGAGGGCAAAAATGTTGCAGGCATTTCTGCTTGCTGGCTACTACCGGGTGCCACGGGAGGAAGCCGCTGAGTTGTACTGCAGTACTAACCCAGCTTCTAACCTTGTTATGCTTTCTACAGACCTGGTAATGCTTTTCTGATTTTTCATTTTGTATTCCTCTCAGATTAGGATTCCTATTTCCTCTACCTGTTGGTCTTGGACCACCCTGGCTGAGCATTTGCCCAAGCTAGGCTGAACGTCAAGGACCCCTCATCTGAGTGGTGCCCCTGTGGGCAGTGACCCCTAATCTCATTCTCCGCATGCAAAAAGGAGCTGAACAAAAACTGGGAGAGGTGACGTGGAAATCGAAGGTCTTTATGACTAACTTTAAATCATATTTTTGTGTCCTGAAAGCTGGCTAGGAAGTGAAATCGACAGGAAGTAAGCTGAGATAGGGAGGACCACAGGACATATGGACAGAACATTATTTAACATATTCAAATTCTGATTGAAAGGATGGTAAAAGTAAACATTTGGACAATTTCTATCTCATCTTATTATGTCTCTCCCTTTCTCCCGCCTGCTCTACCTACTTTCTTTCTCTGAGTTTGCCTTTATTCTCCTAGGATAATCTAGTCTAGACATGGGTTCATAGGCTCAGTGAGATATTTTCAATATCTTAGGCATTTGTACTTTGTTTTCTCTTCTCTTTACTCTCCACTTATTCATTTCTTATCTTTTCTGCTTATGCCTTCTCAATAAGCCAAAAAATAATGCAATTTGAATATTGTTGCCTCTTAAAGTACATATTATACTATGTGCTTTGGAAGTTTATGTAAAATAATGTAGCTTATGTTGATGAGGTCATAATTGCAACAACAATTTCTGAGTATCTGTATGGCAAGACTCTGTGATGAGTGTATTATACAATATCTAAGCGGTCTCTTCTACAAAATTAGTCAACTAAATACTGGAAAGTTATTCCAACTAGATTTAATATAAATTTATGAGCACTTTATTAATACAGAAAGTAATATGAGCTGATGAAATTAATGTATATATTAAAATTCAGGACCTATGAGAAGTAAAATAACCATAGGTCATGTCAGCAAATATTTTCACATACACACATATACATATATTTTTAATTTACCGCATGTATCTCTTCCCAAACATCTATAGTGCTTGAGAGATCAAGTCTACAATGGTAAGATTATTTATTACCCCAAAGTGCTCTTCCTGACAGCTAATGGCTTGTACACATCCTGATGATGTGGCACTGAAACTGAGAGAGATTTGGCTGGTCTAGTACATTTGCTCAGTCTCCTTGTCAGCTTTTAGGTTATTTTATTCTATAAGTGTCACATTCTTGTTTAAATAATTAATTTTGCCAGTAGCTTCAGGTTGGTTGTGTAAAAAAAAAATGTTGTACAAGTATAAATTTTGAAATTATATAGCACCTATGAATAAGCAAACTATAGTGTAGACCAATTCAAGAAACTATTCAATCAGAAAGACATACAGTGAATATTCATTGTTTGCTTACGTTTCATATTAGACGGCATAGTTCACCCATTGCTTCTTATACGAAATGAGAACACCTTGCCAATCTTTGTAGAATGATAGTCCCTTTTCTAGTTTTCATTTTTCCTGGAAAAAGAAAAAAGCAGGTTAAGAGAATAAAAAGATTTAAAAAGTGAAAGCCATTCATTCTGACTTCTGATTTTATTCTAATGTATATAATTGAATATATAGTTATTCATCAACTGCATAAGGAAGAATATATCAAAGAGATTGGATACTTGATCCCCCAAAAGATTTCCCAATACAAAATTTAAATGATTTATTTAGTATTTTTGCTGTGCTTTTAAATAACCTTGAGTGGAATGAGTAATACTTTAATATAATATATTATTTAATAATCTGAATATAGTTAGAGAAATCTTAGAGAACATATTTAAAAAATTAAATTATATGAGTACATGTAAGCTGATCTTTTTTTACATACACAAATATATTCTTTATTACCATATTCAAGTAAAAAATATAAATGTAATTTATGTATGGATATAATGTGCTAAAATGATGAACAAGAACGTCGCCCGTAGATACATAACCTTCACATTTCAGAGTGAAAGGACTTTCCAATGGATTTCATAGTCCAAATAACTTAGTGATTTCTTCAGAAAAAAAATGCTTACTTTTTATGAAAAATTAAAAGAAAAGGTACATTGTGCTTTATTTAAGTCTCAAATTTTGTGATTTTTCTGCCTCTGTGTTGTTTCTCCCACATTCAAAATAATCATGTTCTGTGTACTAATGGAGTAACATATGCCGACTATGGTGATATCTCAGGAATGTGGCATTATTTGCCTCTGTGTGTGTGTGTTTGTGTGTGTGTGTGTGTGTTTTCTGATAATGTGCCTATAACATGATTTAAAAAAATCTTCTATTTCTTTATTTTCCAAATGTTTAGAAGTTTCATCATTGGTGTTTTTAATCCATAGTAATCTTTCATATGGAATAAAATGTGTTTGCAGACCTAAGAAGGGTTGTATTTCAGTGATACCATTTCTTCCAGTTCTTCCAGTCTTTACAAAGCCATGTTCTGCCTGAGCAGTAAGGGCTCTGCTGCAGGCTCTCCAGTGCTGTGGCCACATGGTGTTTTGCCAGGACAATGTCACTAAGCCCCAGATTCAGTGTGAAAAACGGGGACACTCTTACTCATCCCCTTACTGTGTTGGAAGGTATTGTTGCAACATGTTTTACTCTCTCTAAGCTTTCCACAAGCCTATAAATAATCTTAACTACAATTATTATTAGCCTAAATTATCTTTCCTAGTACCTAAGAACTAAAACAATGTGATATTTCAGCTTAGCTGGACATCCGTTGTTCTACAAATCTTGTCTCAGGAGGTGAAACAAGCCTCGTAGTTTTGTTTTATCATGTTTTGTTTGTTTGTTTGTTGTTCATTTTTCTTTGCTCCTGGTAAATGAAGCTAGTAATAGCTGCCAACAAGATTATTTTAAAGTCAAATTATATAGTCTAATTTTTTTAAAAATCTCTTTCTCCTATGGTTAATGTGCTAAGAAAACATCTTCAGTCTATAGCCCCTTAGAAAAGTCAGGAATCAAAGTTAGTCTTACAAGCAAGGGACAGCTTACAACCATCCACCTAAGTAGAAGAAGGGGTGTGCCAGCCCCCAGGGCCATAGCCCCCCATGGGAAAAATAGAACTTGCCTGCCAAAAGTTTGTAAAAATAAACAATGAAAGGAAAAAAAGTTAATACTTAAATTGTCATGTGTCATGCTGATATGAAATAATGCCATTACCATGACGACTTCAGTTAATATTTAGCACTTGATACGTGTTGTGCTACCTATAATAATTTTATGTTTCAATAAGTTGGCAAACATGATCATCCTATTATGTCTTGTCTTTTTCTACTTCTAGTAATTTGTTTTTCTTTATATGGTTTTATTCTGGAAAGTTCACTGTTTTTCTTCCTGCAAATTATATACTGTGAAGGCTAGAATTATTTTTGTGTAAAATCAACATTGGTTTTATTTGCATCCAGTTCCTAGATGTGTAATATCTGTTCACCCATCAAATATAATTACAATAGGCAAACCTGGAATTTACACACCTGGAAAGGTCACTTGAGTGAGTTCCAAAGCATCACACATTTACCTAATATCTTTAATTCTGTCAAGAAGGCAAGGACCTATTGCAGTAGTTTAATTTATGCAGTTTGTATAATATTAACACCCTTAGTTATTTTCTATGAATGGTGTGAACATAAGCTCATAAGACAATGATACGAATTAAGGTTACAGAACATTTTCACCCTTTGTGCCTGAAAGCACATTATCAGAACCTGTTTGGTGGTGACAGCTTGCCCTGCCCTTACCAGTGCTTGGTGCCCTGCATATAAACAGTGGGGGCTTTAATTGAAGAGACATGTTTTTCTCCCTGTTAGAGCACTATCGTTTCACATCACAGTTACAACCAGTGACATGCAGAGAGGTCTGTGCTCAAGATTTTTGACATGAAACATTAATCATTATTCCATC
Source organism: Homo sapiens (assembly GCF_000001405.40). Taxonomy (NCBI): domain Eukaryota; kingdom Metazoa; phylum Chordata; class Mammalia; order Primates; family Hominidae; genus Homo; species Homo sapiens. The sequence continues at coordinate 65,270,982 of NC_000018.10, forward strand.
AGAGATCGTACATACACTATTAATCACTGAGTGAAACCATAATATTTTACAAAATGAATCAAATGAAGTATTCAACAAATGCCATGCTAAGACCTTGTTTTCATAAAGATATTTGACTGTTATATTTTACCACTGTTATATTTTACCAAAAACACTGTTGGTGTTTTTGTGTTGTATATATCTGTGTGCTTTGATTTGTGAGGATATATGTGTATACGATCCCATTGGGACACACAGAAGGAATCATACAGTGATTCATATAATCAAAATGTAAATATACTTTAATTTGCCATGGAAATAGGAGGAAGCAGACAATATTAATACAAGTAAAATTGGAAGTCCCAATGAATGCACCAAGTGAGATAAAAAATAACTGACATCATCACTAGAGTAATGAGTTGTGCATATGCCGTGTGGTTGCTTCTTCTTGAAGAGGTGCAACATGGCAATTGGTGTAGCTACTGATTCATGCTGATGAGGTTCTTAGCAGAATTGTATCTATGGTGAGACTTTCTGTTTAACTTAAAAATCAAATGAAAATATAAACACAGGCCGGGTGCGGTGGCTCACGTCTGTAATCCTAGCACTTTGGGAGGCCGAGACGGGCGGATCACCTGAGGTCAGGAATTCAAGACCAGCCTGGCCTTCATGGAGAAACCCCGTCTCTACTAAAAAATACAAAAATTAGCAGGGCATGGTGGTGGGCACCTGTAATCTCAGCTACTCTGGAGGCTGAGGCAGGGAGAATTGCTTGAATCCTACAGGCAGAGGTTGCAGTGAGCTGAGATCGTGCCACTGCACTCCAGCTTGGGCAACAGAATGAGACTCCATCTAAATATACATATATATATACACACACACACATACACACATACATACACACACACACACAGAGAATATTGAGTCATGTATACGAATGTATATAAAGATTGGGGAGAAAGAAATTCACTTGTCTCTCTCTGTGTAATCACACACTGCTCATTCCTTGTGTGTCATATACAAAAGGTCAAAACATATTTCAGAAGTAACCTATTGCATTTTTTACAGGATAGAATTTTCTGGCAACTGGGCGGCAAAAATCTATTGAGTTGTCATTGCCAATGGCACACAGAGGTATTGCCTTAAATTGGGGCAAGGACAAAAACTCAGTGATACTTCTGTCTCATTCCAGAAATGTGTTCTTGTTTGGATAATTCCAGTGGAGAAGTTTCTAATCAGAAATACTTTAATTTTTAATGCAGGCAACTTAAAGACACTGCAAGGGCACACATGATAAATGTTCCCTCTTAGTGAAATGTATAATGCAGTTTATAACTGTTTGGATTCTGGTGAACACTGAGGGTCACAGCGATTTTGATCTCATGACAATAGTTCTTGGCAACTGTAAAAGATGGGTATGAATTTCTGGGGACACCAAAGCTTTTACAGAGAACTGCCTGTGAACACTTATTTCAAAACATCTTCATTTCTCTCTAGGCCTCTCAGTATCTAGCTATTTAAAAATTAATATATACATTGTAGTAGGGAAAAATGAAATAAAGCTAAAATGAGGTAAATATTGTTCTCAGAAGAGGGGAAGTGAAAAAGTAGTTTAGCAGATATTCGTTTGACCTAAATTAATTATTTTATTTATTTATTTTTGATACAAGGTCTTACTCTGTTGCCCAGGCTGGAGTGCAGTGGTGTGATAACTGCCCACTGCAACCCCCAACTCCCCGGGCTTAAGGGATCCTCCCACCTCTGACTCGTGAGTAGCTGGGACTACAGGTATGCACTGTCATGTCCAGGTGATTTTTTTATTTTTATTTTTTTGTAGAGACAAGATTTCCCCATGTTGCCCATGCTGCTCTCAAACTCCTATGCTCAAAGCAATCCACCCACCTCCGCCTCGCCAAGTGCTGGGATTACAGGCAGGAGCCACTGTGCCCGGTCATAAATTAATTATTTTAAATAGAAATCAGTATGAGGCTTCTCTTGTTGTTTTGTTTATAGTTAACTTTTTCCTAATAACTAGCATATTATCATGTTAGCAACAATACCTACTCATTCTGTAAGATGATATGTGTAATGTCACAGGAAAAACTGATCATTTTCCTTCCAGTATGATGGGAGATTTTAAAGAGAAAATAAGCTCAGAGCAGGATAAAATTCACAGCCTAGTTAGTACTTTAGATAAATCAAACACTTCCCTTGAAGATGTGTTTTGTTACAGAAGTACTGTACACCCCATACAACAGCTGGGACCAGATAATTGAGTTAGATGCCTTGTGGGTGCTAAATATATGTTAGATTCATCCAAGATCTGTGCATAGGATAAGGTAGAAAGACAATAATCAAATAAAACTAAACAAAGAATAACAACAACAATATTCTATGAAGGAAAATAAATGAGTGTGGAAAACGATATCTTTTTTCCTAAGACTTCTAACTTCCTAGATTAGTATGTGTGCTTCGTTATTTGTTTTTAACTAGGTATTACTGCTACCCACTCCTGAGACTTCGCCTGCATTGCAGAGGAAAAGCCAATCCTGCAGGATCCCCTTCTGCCTGTAGATCACAGGATAGAATCTTCCAACATAGGCAATTTCACAAGATTTGGGGGAATGAGAAGAGAGAGGTCATTATTCTTCAGTTGCATGGCTAGATATGAAGTCCAAATCGCTTCTGGGAAATGTTTTGAGCATCACCCATGTCAGCAATGCAGATTGAAATAGAAGGTAGAGATTTCCAAAGGTTGGTGAGATTGACAGGGGATTCGGGTGAGATGATATTGGATTTTCAGCAATTGCTGAGTGAGAATTTCAGAACTTCCTACTTTCAAGTGGCATGCTGACATCCTTGGTGATAGCTTCTCTGACCTCCATTCCCCAAACCTTGTCAATGGTTGCATCATCCCCTAATTATTTTCTTTTTCAAACTCTTTACTTACCAGTCACATATTCTGATGGATATATTGTGCTTCGTATAAATATAGTCTTATTCCTTTAGGCAGAAGATGAAATGCATGCTCTAATTCAGTATTATTTTTTGAAGACAGAGCCAGAAAAACTGAAGGTTCACTTACAGGAAGAAGGATATCTGAAATGTTTCTTATGCATCTAGCATGGTTCCAGATAGTAGGGAACATATTAATATCAGTGATGATAATCATGCACCAAATCTCTGGCCTTATTGAGCTTCTAATTCAGTTGAGAAATAATACTTCAAGTGTACAGTGGCAATGGGGAGAAGGATGTAGGTGGGGAATTCAGTTAAGGGGTCTAAGTTGTAAAAAGGAAGTCTGCTTAGTAGGGAATTGTAATAACGCAGGTCAGAGTTGATGGTGGATTGAAGCAGAGTGGTAAAAGCAGAACCTTATGCATTCATCTGATTGTTGACTAATTTATTCATTCAAACAACAGGTTGAATGTATGCTCTGTGCAAGAACTACACTGAACACCAAAAACAAAATGAAAAAATGATGCTGGCCTTTGAAAAAATTAAAAAAGAAACATGATAAGTAGGTAACCTGTATGTTGTATTACGAGATTCCATGTTACGGATAAAAGACAAATCACAGTGTGTGAGAGGTATGTGAGTTGTTGGAATGTGTATGAGCAATATTTAATACGGTGGCCTGGTTTTGTTTCCTGTCCTTATAATTTTATGTTCTCTTGGCCTCGAGGTTTATTTCCAAAGGGATACATGTTTCTACCAGGAGACACAAAAATGATTTCATTACACTGGAAGTTAAGACTGCCACCCAGAGACTTTGGGCTCTTCATGCCGCTAAATCAATAGGCAAAAAAGGGGGTTACTGTGCTAGCTGGGCTTATTGATCCTGGCTACTAAGGGAGGAATTGGGCTTCTATTCCATAATGGAGGTAAGGAAGATTATGTTGGTAACACAAGAGATCCCTTAGGGTATCGTTTAGTGTTACCCTACTCTGTGATTAAAGTTAGTGGAAAACTGCAATGCAATTCATGCAGAACTATTAATGACCCAGATTCCAGGAATGAAAATTGGGGTCACCCTGCCAGGTAAAGAACCACAACTAGCCAAGATGCTTGCTGGGAGCAAAGGGAATCCAGAATGGGTTGTAAAAGAAGGTAGTTATAAATACCAGCTATGACCACATGACCAGTTATAGAAATAAGAACTGTAATTGCCAGGAATATATCATCTCTATTTTCTTATGAATATTTGTGTGTCTATCATCTATCTATTGACAGATTGTTCAAATGACTTTGTTTACTTTCCTCTTATTGCTTTATCATGTACCATAAATGAACTGACTTTATATCACAGTATTTAAGTTACAGAATATCAACAAGAAGATTAAACATCATTCAAGGACTTTACATTGGTTCTGAGGAAAGGATTAGTGAATTCTCAGTCGAATACAGGATGGTTGTATCATGTTAAGTGAAAGTATGACATCATTATTGTTTTATTGGCGATTAAGCACGGCTTAAAGAGGTGTGTGGGTTGCCAAGCTGACAAGGATCCGGACATGTGATGGTTGATTTTATGTGACAACTTGACTAGGCCACAGTGCCCAGATATATGGCCAGACATTCTGAATGTTTCAGTGAGGGTGTTTCAGGATGAGGTTTAAATTTAAATTGGTGGACTTTGAGTAAAGCACATTGCCCTTCATGGGAGTGTGCACTCAACCACCTGAAGGCTCAAGTAGAACGTAAGGCTGATCTTCCCTGAGCAAAAGGGTGTTCTCTAGAAGATGCTTGTGGACTCAAACTGCAGCTCTTTTCTCAGTCTTCAGCTTGTTGACCTTCCTTATCAGATTTTGGACTCTCCAAATGTCTACAACCACATGAGACAGTTTTTTGAAATAAATCATTACACACACACACACACACACACACTCACACACACAGACACACACACATGAAGAGAAGTGGCAGTAGCTAATGTAGATTAAAAAATAATTTTTTAATATGGTAAGACTAAAAGTATCATTATATGCTGTTGTGAACAATACTATAGAGTAAATATATATACAAATGTAAGAGAAAATGATGCGATTAGTTGGAGTAATGTCCCCGAGTAGATAAGAAGTGATGAAATATACTGCCCTGGGGGATTTTGTTAGGAGTGTGCATAGATGAAGAAGGTAACAGTATGGAGTAAGAATATGTTGATAGCAAAGCATGGTGAGAAGGTGAAAAATGGAGGAACTTCATATGCATTTTGAAGGTAAAATCAACAGAATTGAGGGGAGTAATATAGTTATGAATCTGGAAAATGTTTAGTAAATAACTGTATTTACTTTTTCTTAGATATTATTTTTCTAGATATCTGATTTGAACAATTTATATATACTATGCATACAAAATAGAATATAAAAGTTGCTTTTGAACAAAGATACATTTAAAATCACTACCGATTAACTAATGGTAATTAAATAAGAATTAGAATAAATTTTTCATGGACTAATTTTATCAATTACAAATTTAAAGATAAATTTCAGCATTCACATAATATTGCATATATATTTATATGATATATCTATTCATATCTTATACACACACAGAAATATATATTCCATACACATATTAGTTTATTATAAATCATGTTCCATTAGGATCTTTGGAAAGCTTTTGAACAATATCTAGAGCATAAATACGTTTATGCTTTTATTTTGTTAAATAAAATATTCTTTTTTTTAGGCTAGTCAAGTGAATCTTTCTTTCTCCTTCCTTCCTTCTTTCCTTCCATACTTCCTTCTCTTACCTTTTAGTTTATTTCCTTTCTCTTTTATATTTCTCTTCTCCTCCCTCCCTTTTTCTTTTCTTTTCTATACTTTTTAATCATTTATCATATTATCATTAACAGATATTTATTAAGAATTTAGTAGGTACTCCACTAAAGTACTTTAGTAGGTACTCCACTCCACTATAAGTACTTTAAAGCTTTTGAAGTGTACACACAATTGCTCCCCCTGAAAATGTATAGTCTTTATTAAAGGGACAAAGTTAATGTTTATGGAACAATTGGAAGCTAAGTATAAGTGATGTTTAATTCTGTCAATGCAAATAATGATGACTCCAAGAGGTTAATTTTGGAAGACGAAGAGACCTTTTAGACAAAATTTCATTAAAAGGCTGACAATGGAAGACAGTAATCTAGTATCATTTTTAACATAATTATGACACATAATAAGTTATTCATGGCTATATTATCTTGCAATATGTTCTTTTTTCTTTCTTCCTATAATATATAGCACAATTGTTATGGGGTATTTTGTAAGCAATATTCTTTACACAGAAAGTTATAGTCCATTTTGAAAATAGCTTTCTGAACTTGTCTCCAGCCAAAAGTAGGTCATACATACAGTAGTCAGAAGAAGAGAAAAATCAAAGTTTTAAAAAGCCAACTTGCTTCCCTACATTTTTTTTACTTTCTAATTCTCTCTCTCTCTCTCTCTCTCTCTGTGTGTGTTTGTGTGTGTGTGGGTGTGTGTGTTGCAGGGTGGGGGCATGTGTGATACATATACCTATCAAAGTTTAACAATTTGTACTCATGCATATAAGACAAGAATAATACAGAATGTGGGTAAAAAATTTTAATCCCAATAAAGGTGAATAAATCACAAACAGATCTAATGAGCTATAGAATGATAAGGCCATAGGGCATCAGCACACCAAGAGCATAAAGAAATATCTGAATGCTGAAACCACACTGTTTCCTTTCCTGTGAAGAGCATTTTTCTTTGCCAAATAGAGTATTGGCTTTAAAATTCTGCCAACCTGTTTCCCATAGTCATCCTTTTCCTTTACTGAAGTGTCTGGTTTATCAAAATATTTGTGTGTTATTCATCAGTTTATAATGTCTGTGGTATGCTCAGTAGGTTAAAAATAATAAAAATGCACTGCACTCTAATTACTGGTTTGGTAATAGAATCCAATTTAGAATGTATACAAAGAAAGTTAAATTTTTACAGTAGCAAAAGAAAAAGTAGCCAATTGCTCAGGATTATTTTACCTAACTTCTAGTTTGATTTAAACCATAAGCTGGTAAATGCTATTCATTAACAAAAATAACTTTTTCTTTGTTGTACTTACCTTAGAGGCCAAAGTATCTCAGATTGGTTGCCTATTCAGCAGTGACTTAAAATATCGAACAACAGGAATCAACTTTTGCTTTTTTGTTGTTCAGTTCTTATGTTTACTGAATAGTCACATCTTGCTGCTAATGATCTGAATGCACCAAATCCTGTTTGGAAGATAGCACTGCTCTTATTTTACCATTGCATGTTGATTGTTATCATTACCTTCATATGAAACATTCTATCTACCTATTATGTAGTTAAATGGTTTCTTTGTGTACTACCCAGGCTGTCCCAGGATCCCACATTCTGTAAAATGTAATACAAAGACTTAATTGGGTGTAATCATCTGATAATAAAAAAACGAAACTCTGTAAAATACTTAAAGATTTTTATTCTGAGCCAATGTAAGTGACCAATTGCCTGTGAAAGAGTCTCAAGAGTTCCTGAGGAAGGACACCAAGGTGGTTATGTTGCAGTTTCATTTTATACATTTTAAGGGGGTGAGAACTATAGTCAAAGACATAAATAAATACATGGAAACTTTACATTGGTTTGGGTGAAAAGGTGGGGCATCTTGAAGTGGAGGCTTACAGGTCACAGGTGGAAAGATTTTCTGATTGGCAATTGGTTAAAAAAGTTGATCTTTGTCTAAAGATTTGCAGTCAGTAGAAAAAAGTATTTCTGTTAACAAAAGGAGGGTTGTGGAGGCCAAGGTTCTTACTATGTAGATGGAACCTCATAGGTGACAGTCTTCAGAGAGAAAACACAGAGTAAGTGTCTCTTTTGGGACCTTAACATGTGTTAGGCTCTTAGATCCAGGAACAGGCTGGAGAGGGAAAACCTGGCTGTATTAATGGAGATTATCTACAGTACAATTTCCCTGCACAAGACAGCTTTGCAGGATCATTTCAAAATATGTCAAATAAACATATTTTCAGGTAAAATATTTTTTATTTCCTTCAGGGTTTGTTCATTGTCATGTGATGTTATACCACTTTGGAATTTTCTACCTTATTGCTGCAAAGTCTCTTTTGTTGGTCTTACGTACTCCATTTTAATGTTAATGCTGGTCAGTTGTGCCTAAACTTTAAAAGGAAGGCGGTATAACTACATACATCTGACCACTCTTCCTGTCGTGTCCAGGAATTCAGTTTTTCAGGTTTCTCTGGGGTCCACTTGGCCAAAAGGAGGTCCATTCAGTCAGCTTGTTACTGGTGAAGGGTGCCCAGGTTCTTGACATTTTGAACGAAAAATTGGACAAAACGTACAAACAAAGCAAGCAAAGAAGGAAGCAACAAAAGCAGATATTTCTTGAAAATGAAAGTACACTCCACACGGCGGGAACGGGCCCAAGCCCAGGGGCTCAAGATCTCATTACAGAATTTTCTGGGGTTTAAATACCCTTTAGAGGTGTCCACTGGTTACTTGGTGTACACCCTATGTATATGGAGAGGATATTTCCTGTCATAGCTGAAGTGTTTCCATTTGGTTTAGCTTTAGGAAGTCAGCATGAATTGGCCTTATGTTCTCTGCCGCCAGACCCTATTCTCCTGCCTCAAGCTGGGCAGCATATAATTTTATTTTTTGTTTACATATCTATTTAAAGACAGAATTAATTTCAAATGATTCTGGTTATTAAGGTAAAATTCAAAGGCCCCCACTTCTAGATTTATATATGCACCAAAGGCTATGCTGAGAACAAAATGATAGCAGTGCAACCCCAATCTATGTGGCCTGATTTCATACATGAAAGACAACTCTCTCCTGTAAAACACACCCTCATCTGCATAGCTGATGCCTGAGATTCCTTTAACTGGGACAGATAGTACTTTATTCCACAATATCACTAGAAGCTAAAAACACAAGTATTTCGGAGAGGTAACTCATTGATTTATATTTATTCTATTATGTAAATGACTGAGATCAAATCCCTTCTTGCAAGGAGGTTTTGTTATAAGGGAATTACAATTCTGAAAAGGAACAAAAGTGACTGTTCCTGAGGGAGGTGAAGTTGTTAAGCAAGGGAAGGCAGATCACTCAAGGCCATTGTTCTCAGCTTCAATATTTTGCCTAAGGCCACCTTGATAGCAGCACTGCTTTCATATACATTCTAAAGAAGTAAGCTCTGTTGTTGTTTGAAGCTGAGGAAGCAGACTGATAATAAAAGGACCATATTCTCCATCTCGATTCGCAATATCTAATACCTATTACTATTTCTGCCTAGCAGTTGAAGCACTCTTTTCCCAGGAACAGACGGGAAAAATGAGGAGGGAGTTGCTTCAATGTCTGCTTAATTCTTCCTTTCCCTGCTTTCCCTAAAAAAATAAGCAAAAAAAAAAAAAAAAAAAAAAAAAATCGGAATCCAGGAGAATAATGGATATATTATCCCCATATCCAAACACTTTGAAAATATTCAAATGCGATTCTGTGGTCTGCATAGATAAAAACTTGCTTGGGACTGTGAAATCTTCACTCAGGGTTGAGGAGAAAAAAAAACAGTGTACTTTAGTTGTTATTGTAAACGCAAGTTAATTATTTAATTAATTGATGTTTAAGGAGCACTTGCCAAACATTTTTTTTCCTGCTTAAGTGCTACTTTATTCTACTAAATGGGTGCCAGTAGTTCATGTATTATTGCTTTACAATAGCAAAATCATGTAGAAAAACTGGCTAACATTTTACAAGTAGTAAATACAATTATTATTTCTCCCATCAACTAGGAAATGAATTGAAGAAACAACATTCCTATCATTTCTAGGAATTACGTAGCCTTTGTGTTATTTTATCTTAATTTTAAACTTACTTGGCCAAAGTGAGATTCTTTTTCTTTCTCTTTCTTTCTTTTTTCTTTCTTTCTTTCTTTCTTTCTTTCTTTCTTTCTTTCTTTCTTTCTTTCTTTCTTTCTTTCTCTTTCTTTCTTTCTCTCTTTCTTTCTTTTTCTTTTTGAGATGGAGTCTCGCTCTGTCGCTCAGGATGGAATACAGTGGAGTGATCTCAGCTCACTGCAACCTCCGCCTTTTAAGTTCAATCGATTCTCCTGCCTCAGCCTGCTGAGTAGCTGGGATTACAGGTGCACGCCACCACACTCAGCTAAGTTTTGTATTACTAGTAGAGACTGGGTTTTGCCGTGTTGGCCAAGCTAGTCTCGAACTCCCCCCTGAACTGACAGAGCATGAGCATCGACATTTTGCACAAGCACCACCATTCTATAATTCCCCTCCATCAAAAACTGCCTAAATCCAAACAGCATCAGTCTAATGGCTAAGGTCAGCGTGACCATAAACCACAAATAACATCTCTGACCGGAAACATTTCAACCATAAGATAAACCCGTCCCTGACCAGAGACATGCCAGCCCCAAGATAACCTCCCCTCCAGCCAGAGAGATGTCAGCCCCAAGATAACTTCCCCTCTGACCAGAGACATTCCAACCCTGACATAAACTTCTCCCCCATACAGAAACATTCCAAGCTTGTGATAAGCTCTCTCACCCTAAAAAAAACAATAAATACTCAGTCCATAAGAGAGAGGGCTCTGGACAGAAATCAGCCAGAAGCCCCCCTCAGGTTTATTCTCCAAAATACACCTGTCGGCGGGGTGCGGTGGCTCATGCCTGTAATCCCACCACTTTTGGAGGCCGAGGTGGGCAGATCACGAGGTAAGGAGTTTGAGACCAGCCTGACCAACATGGTGAAACCCAAACTCTACTAAAAATACAAAAATTAGCCAGGCGTGGTGGCGCATGCCTGTAGTTCCAGCTACTCCAGAGGCTCAGTCAGGAGAATTGCTTGAACCCGGGAGACGGAGGTTGCAGTGAGCCAAAATTGCACCACTGCACTCCAGCCTGGGTGAAGGAGTGAAACTCACTGTCAAAAAAAAAAAAAAAAAAAATACACCTGTCTCTGAATGTTGAGCCACGTTTCGTGTTTCTTTCCTCTTTCTTTAACTCTTACACTGACCTCAGGTGATCTACCTGCCTCAGCATCCCAAAGTGCTAGGATTACAGACATGAGCCATCATTCCCAGCCAACTGTTCTCAAATCTTGACTATTGTGTTATGATTCTTCCCAATCCTAATCAGATTCCTGTACTGATAGATGCATGATAAAGCAAATATCCAAATCTCAATAAATTCTGACCTCATCTTCCCCACCCTGAGACACTCCTTTGTTTTGGAAGGCAGTAAACTCAGCTTTGTCTCATCAACAGGCTGAGTTGGAATGAACCCCTGTGGAATAGCATGATGAAAGTCATGAAAGCAGAAAGTACATGGAATGTTTAAAAAAAGACATGTAATATATTTTGGCAAAAATGTAAATTGCCTGGGAATAGTTACAGAAATGGAAAAGCTAAGGTAGGATCATACTGAAAAGCATTTTAAAGCTTGGATATTTTTAGACCTATACTCTCTCACGAAGCCTTGCCAATACTTAGGGATATCTTGGCAAATTGATGTCTGTGACAGATTAGTAGGAATTGTATTAATCAAAATTTAAAAAAATGTAATTTCCAAAAAGGAAAAAGTTGATTTAAAGTTTTTCATCTTATTTTGCATTGTTCTATTTTTTCTGGGCCACCCACCCAGTAATTTGGTAATAATTCTTTCATGAATTGCTGATGTAGACAGTGCAGAACAAAAGAAAAAATCTTTTGAGCAGATATAGTACATGAAGACCCCAATTTTTCTGAAACTGCAGGAGAAAAGGTGCTGATATATTAGAATTTATATGCCTGTGGACTGGAAGATAAGAAAATCTTATTGAATTTCCCATCTGAAATTTCCAGTACAGTCTTTTAGTCTACTGTATTCACAAAGAAAAAAAAAGTTTGATTGCACATGGTGCCATGCTAGTCATAACACAAAGAAAAATATTAGATAAATGTTTATTCTTTAAGTTCTGACAAGAATGCATGGCCTTCCAAAGAAATCTGCTTAGAGCACGCAATGAGAAAAAGATTGTCAGTTATTTGAATAAAGGGACCACTGCCAGCACTCTCTCTCTATCTCTCTTTCTCTCTCTTTGTCTGTCCCTTAGTTATTAAGAAGGGCCAGGCTGGATGACAGCAACTACGTTGGCATGTCTTCATGACACAACAGTAAGTTTATGTCCACTCTCTGGAGACTTTTGACCAAAATTATTCAAACAGTCAAACACAAGAGCGTCAGTATTCATTCTGCCTGGATTACCTCTGTATTCTACACCCCAGGCATGGCACCATGAACAAAATAAGTTCCAATTAAAATCTATAGATAGATAGATAGGTAGGTAGATAGATAGATAGATTTTATATATATATAAAATAAAATTATATATAACTTCATTATATATATATATATATATATATATATATATATAATGATCACACAAATAAAGACGTTTACTCTATACCAGAAGACATAATTGATATGATCACAACAAAACGAGAAGCGGATAGAGTTAGTTCTTCTCTCTTTTCAGGCTGTCTCTCCCTAACAGGCCCAGTGTTGTCCTACTGCACCTGAGTACCTAAACCCCTATCGGCTCTAACCTTCAGGTTTAATTTTAGTCAGGTCACTAATGATAAACTAACATGTTTTAACACTAATGAGTTAATGGCTGATCATGACACTATCCCCTACTTGGGATATTGGTTTGATTAAAAAATGTTTGTTAGCCAATGGTATAATTTAATCTTATGTATCAGAAAGAATGATGCTGGAAGAAGAGACTTTGGGGGTTGCAATTATTTCTGCAAATTTTCAATCTATACTTCCATAATGTAATGTAAGTATACACTATAATATATATGTGAGAAATTGGCAAATCTCACATGTTCTTTCCATTCAGGTCTTATATATATAACACTGTGTGTCATAAACTGAAAATATACATACATATAACATAATATAGGCATACTATGACAAAGCATATATGCAAAAAAATTAAAAATATATATGATCACATCACCTAGAAAACATTACTTCCTTTAAATAAAAGATTAAAAAGTAAGACTCCTTTTGGAGATTGTACTCTAGGATTAAGAAGGATATAATCTTTAAGTATGATAATTAGTATTTAGACAAGGTCAATACTTAAAATAATATATAAATGAGTTAGCAGCAGTTTTATTTAGAGATGTCTCTATCTTCAAAATATTCCCCTTGAGACTGGTTGCAGTGGCTCATGCCTGTGATCCCAGCACTTTGGGAGGCCGAAGTGGATGGACCACCTGAGGTCAGGAGTTCAAGACCAGCCTGTCCAAAATGGTGAAACCCTGTCTCTGCTAAAAATAAAAATAATTAGCTGGGCATGGTGGCGGACACCTGTAATCCCAGCTACTTGGGAGGCTGAGACACGAGAGTCGCTTGAACCCAAGAGGTGGAGGTTGCAGTGAGCCAAAATTCAGCCATTGCACTCCAGCCAGGGTGACAGAGCAAGACTCCATCTAAAAAAAAAAAAAAATTCTCCTTCATTAGGCACTAATTGATATTTCTTCCACAAACAAAGACAAATTAGATTCTACATCATCAATAAAGTGTTTGTTAATCTTCCTGTCAGAAGTACTCTTCCTACCACATCTCATAGCGTTTTCTTTTGTATCACTATCATTGCATTAATCACATATGTCCTTGTGTATGTTAAAGGAATTGGATATGTGTCTTATCTTTCCCATTCAATAGTATCTTGAAAGGATCTCTGTACCTATTGATTAAGTTTTCAATATAGTTGAGTTGAATTGAATCACAAACCAGTGGCAAACTCATGTAATGCTAACTCATTGCAAGGCAAAACTTTTAGTGATATTTATAATACAGAGAGAATGTATTTCCAAAAAATATACATAGTTTGTATATCAATGTGTATATAATTTATTTCCTGTAACAAAATCATGAATTATTACTAACTCTTTTTATATTTGGAGGAACTGAGGTGGTGAGAAGCTAAGTGAGTTGGCTCTGCTCATGTAGTCAGTAGGGGCCAATGCAGAATTTGAAACAGGGAATCTTTTCTTAGAGTGAACACTATGTTTTACTGACTGTTATATGACATCAACAACCAAAAATACATCCAGGAATTTACATAGCTTTTAATTCTGTAATTTTCTTCTTTGTTTATATGTATTCTTATTAATTCTTTTCTATACTTATTTATGCATTTATCTATCTACTTATCTATATTTATATATGAAGTCCTAATTACAAATACAAGTACATTGTAAAATATTAATATCCTTAGACATTCCTTTGTTTTGGAAGGCAGTAAACTCAGCTTTGTCTCATCAACAGGCTGTGCTGGAATGAACCCCTGGAGGATAGCATGATGAAAGTCATGAAAGCAGAAAGCACATGGAATGTTTAAAAAATGACATGTAATATATTTCTATGAAAATAAGAAATCAATTTCATAGACTGTCAATGCCCTCTAATCTTATCTAGGAGAAATAGTCACTATTAATAATTAAGTGTATAATCAAGCCTTTGTATGCAGAGGCTGTACACCTGAGAGGTGTAGAGGAATTTTGATTGCAATATAACAGTAGAAACTACATAAATGCCATTTGAAGGAATGGATTTGTGATGGTTAATATTGAGTGTCAACATGATTGGATTGAAGGATGCAAAGTATTGTTCCTGGGTGTGTTTGTGATGGTGTTGCCAAAGGAGATTAACATTGAGTCAGTGAGCTGGGAAATGCAGACCCGCCCTCAATCTAGGTGGGCACCATCTAATCAGCTGCCAGCACGGCTAGAATAAAGCAGGCAGAAGAATTTGGAAGGACTTCATTTGATGAGTCTTCTGGCCCTCATCTTTCTCCAGTGGTGGATGCTTCCTCTCCTCAAACATTGGACTCCAAGTTCTTCAGCTTTTGTACTCTTGGACTTATACCTTGGACTTGGACTTACATCTTGAACTTGGTTTACCAGGGGCTGAAGGCTGCGCTGTCGGCTTCCCTACTTCTGAGGTTTTGGGACTTGAACTGGCTTCCTTGTGCTTCAGCTTGCAGATGGCCTATGATGGGACTTCATTTTGTGATCATGTGAGTTAATACTCCTTAATAAACTCCCCTTCATATTTACATCTATCCTATTAGTTCTGTCCGTCTAGAGAACCCTGACTAATACAGGATTAATACATTGAGTTTAATCATAATAGAATGCTGTATATTTCTTAGTTTGGGTATCCCAGGAAGCATATCCTGAAAATGGAATTAGCAGTTTCTTATGAAATTAATCCCAGAAAGCTGGATTGAGGGATCAGGAACAGTGGCCCCAGGAAGGAGTAAAGGTCAATAGAGTACATTAATGAGCTGTTTACTACTGCAGGCAACTAGGGCTTATTCCCCTTGGAGACACTCCAGGCAGCTGTGTAGAATGGCTTTCAGAATTTCAGTAGTGAAGTTCAATTCATTCCTGTATTAAAGAAAGACTGATATCAGTTCAACAATTATTGAAAGCAGTATAGCAACTCCTCAAGAAGTTAACAACAGTATTACCATTCAACGGAGCAATCCCATTGCTAGGTATATACCCAAGGGAATATAAATCGTTCAATCAAAAAGACACATGTACACATATGTTTATTGCAACACTATTCACAATAGCAAATACATGAAATCAACCTAAAGGCCTACTGATGGAAGACTGGATATAAAGAAAATGTGGTACATATACCATGGAATACTACTCAGGTATAAAAAAATGAGATAATGTCCTTTGCAGAAATGTGGATAAAGCTAGAGCCTATTATCTTTAACAAACTAATGCAGGAACAGAAAACCAAATGCCACATGCTGTCACTTATAAATGGGAGTCAAATGATAAGAACACATGGATACACAAAGGAGAACAACAGACATTGGGCCCTAGTTGGGGGTAGAAGGTGGGAAGACAGAGAAGATCAGAAAAAAATAACTATTGGGTGCTTGGCCTAGTTCCCAGGTGATGAAGTAATCTATACATCAAACCTTTGTGACATGAGTTTACTTATATAACAAATCTGCACCTGTACCCCTGAACCTAAAATAAAAAATTAAGGCCGGGTGCAGTGGCTCATGCCTGTAATCCCAGTAGTTTGGGAGGCTGAGGCGGGTGGATCACGAGGTCAGATCGAGAGCATCCTGGCTAACATGGTGAAACCTGGTCTCTACTAAAAATACAAAAATTAGCCGGGCGTGGTGGCGGGCACCTGTAGTCTCAGCTACTCGGGAGGCTGAGGCAAGAGAATGGCGTGAACCCAGGAGGCAGAGCTTGCAGTGAGCCGAGATTGTGCCACTGCACTCCAGCCTGGGCAACAGAGCAAGACTCTGTCTAAAAAATAAAAATAAATAAAAAATAAAAATTTAAAAACCCTGCATTCATGAATATATTTTTTGTGGCATAAAAAATCTCATGGACGTGAAGGGGTGGCAAGTTTCAGATGACCATGTTTTATTCCCACCTAATTAACTCTTTTGACCTTGCCCAATGTCCACCTGTCAGTCACCTTGCCTTGCACAACAAAGGGCTTCAATAAATACATCAATACCTCGATAAGGAAGTAAACAAATGTAGTGCATAATATAATTTCACATTCACATTATTTAACAATACAGATGACCACTGAGAGTTGCCTTGGAATTTCCTTTGGATTTATTGTAGCCACTGATCAAGGCCGCTCTACTTACCTAAACTGCGGCTTCTAGAGCCTGAATGCATTTATGTTAACATAAGATTCTTTGAAATTTTAGCAACATGATAATTCTGACAAATAGGAGATCATTGAAAGAGAACATGCCATTATGTTGTCATGAGAAACAAAGATATGAATGCCTCCCAGGTGAGAGCAGGGAGGATCCTTTGATGAAAGTCAGGCTTCATTGCCACTAGGTAAATAAATGAATCTCAGCTCCAGTCCTCCCTCACTTAACTCATGAGTGATGAGCAAACACAAATATCAAATTCCTTTTAGATTGCTTCTCAGTCTACCAGAACATAATCTCTGATACTTCAATGTTTTATAATCCATATATTTTATTTTACTTTTTGATGTGATCTTGTGATCTAGACACTGTTCCTGACTTATCGTCTCAGTCCTCCCTATAAATTGAGTCCACACTGTTCCTGTTGGAAAGACATTCATCTATATCAAATGAACACTTCAATAAGATGTTCCCATTTCATTTTCAGCTGATTTAAACCAGCAGCTGGGCTCCAATTTGCAAGTTGAATTTGCCTGCTCTAAAATGCCACAGCCACAAACTAATACAAAATTTGCTTTCCTTAATTCTCCTAGGATTTGATATCTTGCAACAGGAGGCTGGGTAAAGGAACATTCATATTTATTTCTTGAAGGACTGGAAAATTATCTTCCCTTAAAAATGGAGAACAATTTCAAGTGATGTGCATGCATGTATAAATTTAAACTGCATATGTACACCCAGAATAAAATCACACAAGGCAAGATGATTATGTTTTATAATTGAAGGTTTTGCATTGAATGTATTTCCCTACATCATATTTATGATATTTAAAATACCAAAATCCAGAAAGCCTGCATAAGTAGACAAGTCATAAAAAGAACATATTTTTTAATATAGCAAAATGTAAACAGCATAAAGCTTCTCAACCATTTTTAATATCCTACATATTAACAGTTACCTAAGGAATAATAAGTGGCGGAATGTTGTTCGTATTTACATTATTTTCATTTAAAAATTCCAAATTTAAATGTAAATACTCATTATTGGACAAATGAACAAGTGGAAAGTTTCAGTAGGATACTGTCAGTATGTATTGAGGCTTTTTTTTTTTACAAGTATTACTTGTTGAAATTATTTCTTATATGGTATTTATGTAATGAAGAAGTAAAATATTTTTAATTAAACACTGTAGGAAAAGAAGGATATATTACTTATTATGAGACACATCATTATTTTTACACAAAATATTTTAAAAAGATAACTGTTGAAGACAATTGTTAAGATTTTACTGATTTCATGATCTTTCTCATAGTTGTCTTAGCACAGTACAATATTCAACGTAATGCTTGGGCCTCATTTGGTGATGTCACTGGCACACCACCGACAATAGGATGGACAGCTTTAATAACAGTCTGAGACACAACAGAATTTTTCTCACTTCCTCATTCACTCCTGCCAATATCATCCTTCCTCCTCTCTCTAGTACTCCGATGTCAACAAAAGAACAAAATCGCTTATGAATCCCTCTTAAACAATGAAATTAGTTCATATGAAAAGAGAATGTCATCGCATAAATTGTTCATGCATGTATGCTCAACATTTTTAAACATTTTAGAGCTGACTTTCTTGATTTGTTTGAACATAACAAATTTTGCTAAGCTCTAGACTTGTAAGCACATACTAACAAATTTTAAATATTTTAATTTTCTGGATTATTGCATAGACAAAAAAGGTAGGTCTTTATTTTTTTCTTGAATTTCTGCTATTCCACTTCAGTGGCATTAAATCATTTTTTTCCTCTAAAGTAGTTTTGAATACAATATTTCTATCAATATATGTGACTCTAAAATTAATAATGTATATTTAAAATCATGAAAAAAGTGTCATTGCCAACCTTCAATAATTATTGTAACTATATATTCCTACTAACAAATTTTTCACTAAAACTTGAATTGTTTCATATTTATGAGCTTATTGATCCAGCCACCTGGATTTCTATTACTACTTATAATAATGATTTATTATATTTTTAAGAAAAATAAATAGAGCCACTAAGACCGCATCCTTGGTTCATCAAGTAAGCATATTTCCACTAAATAGTGGGAACTGGATTTGGGGAAAACTGGCAAGATCATGTTGTGAATAAGTTAAGAAAAAAGTAAGATTAAGTGGGTTTCTTAAAAAATGTTATTAACACCAAAAAAAGTTGAGGTCATCTGGAGGGCTACAGGAAGAGTCTTCTTCAGCACTTTGTCAACTCGTGTTAGGAGTAACTGTCTCAGAGGGCAGAAGTGATAGCCTGGCATTTGGAGAGGAAATATGCAAAGATTGTATAACCTTGGTAGTGTGACAACCTTCCCAGCCTAACTCCTTTTCTCCCAGCTCGCCCATCTCTACGGCAGAGTCCTCTTCACCTCTATCTGTGTGTAGCCCTTGAGTTAAACTGCAGAATGTAAGAAGCCAGATGTCAGTGAAACTGGAACATCATTTCTAGCATAAATTATGTCATTCACCCAGGTTTATATAATTAGACATTATGTTGCTTCCTAAGAGGTCTCAAATCTGACTTATTAAGCCCCCGAATGCTAGTTTATTATTTTAAATATTTGGGCTTATTCACATAGCTTCTTTCTTTTAAAGAAAATGCAAAATGCCAAGGTGGACTTGTGGGAGCCTCCCAGTACCAGATAACCTGCTATATGTAAAACCAGGGTGCTTTGCTTCTGAGCAAAGATTTATGAATCTAAACTAGCTTCAGCCCCTCATCTGAACAGAAGAACTCAGATAATCGCCACTTCACAGGCTTTGCAAAGACACTTCAGATTCACCGGGTAAAGTTTTCTTGCACATTGCATGGACTCAATAAAAGAACAGTATTTTATTTTCTTGTCCTTCTTTGAAGTAAATGACTTCGACAGCAAGCCAAGCTATGGGTTAGAAAGTATTTAGCATTGCCTTCAACGGCTACATTTTAATAAATTCCATTAGTAAAATGTCTGCATACCAGCAAAACCTACAGAGATTTTGCCACTGAAATATGAAGAACAGAAATGTCTCTGAAGTAGAGAACTGAAGAAACTACTAGGCATTGTCAATAATCACATGCTACATCATCACAGTATCATGTGACTGCATTACATATAACTTAAAATGCATTTTTTTATGATACTGGTTTATGTAGGCATTCTGTAGTTTTTAATACAGAATTAGACATCAGTATCCACTATCTACACCAAGTCACTGTGCCAGGTCATTATTATATTTAAAACTGCGCAAACAGAGACAGTGAGCCTAATATACATAAAATAATTAGTAAACATTTGTCTAATTAGCTAAAATACATATTCAATAAGGCAATACTCTGGTATTCCTCCCTGGGAAATTGGAATGAAATACATTCTTGTAACTTTAAAAATATCATCACATAATAAAACAATATGTTGAGTTCAGAAAGAAACAAAACTTTTAATATTTCTTTAGTAGAGAGATCATGGAGCTAGTGGATATGCAGTATGTTAAAGCTCACTTTGTCCAAGACTTCTGTTTCATCAATTTAGAAACATAAACAAAATAACTAAAGTCCTAGCTGTCAAGATATCACTAATAAGTAATTCTGGCACCAATAATCATCTTTTCCAAATGAGTTAATATAAGAGATCTAATGAACATTAGACTTTTATTGGCTACTGTGCTCAAGTAAATTATAAATAAGAGTTTAGGAAAAGATGCTGCTTGTATATGTATATGTGTTTGTATATATGCATATGTGCATAGACATCTGCCACTCTTTGTAATAAGAGAATATAGACATAATTATTTGCGATATTTAAAAGCATATTTTGTTTGGGAAGTGCAGTGGCATGAATGTAGCTTGCTGCAGCCTCAACCTCCTGGGCTCAAGTGATGCTCCTACCTCAGCACCCCCAAGTAGCTGAGACTACAGGCACGAGCTACCACACCTGGCTAATTTTTGTAATTTTTCGTAGAGATGTGGTTTCTCCATGTTGCCCAGGCCTGTCTCGAACTCCTGAACTCAAGCGATCAGCCTGTCTCGGTCTCCCAAAGTGCTGGAATTACAGGCATAAGCCACTGAGCCTATCCAAGAGCATGTTTTTACATAAGAAGTGTAACAATTATCTCAATATGTAAAAAAAAAAAAAGATCGTAGTAAAATATATCTGTTGCTTTCCTACTTAATTAATATTCTCTCCATACTCCTATGTTAGTTTTCTGGGGCTGCTTATAGCAAGTACCACAATTTCAGTGGCTTAAAAAAACACAAATGCATTCTATCACAATTCAGGAGGCCAGAATCGTTTAATCAAGGTGTCTGCAGACTTGGAGGCTTCTGGGGGCTCTGAGGGAACCAGTCCCATGCCTCTCTCCTTGCTTCTGCTGCTGCCTGAAACATCAGTGTTCCTCGGTTTGTAGTTGCATCACTCCAGTCTGTGTTTCCGTCATCACGTGGGCTTCTTCCTTTGTGTGTCTGTGGGTCTTCTCTTCCTATAAGGACACTAATCAGTGAATATAGGCCCCCAGTTCAACCTAGTATAACCTCATCTTAATTAAATACATCTTCAAACACTCTATTGCAAAATTAGGCCCATTGGGAGGTTCTGTGCAGACATAGATTTTGGAACGACACTATTCAACCCACCACAACTCCCTACCAAGGAGCTGGTACCAAAGCAGTATTCTGGGAATTTGATACTTTTAGAAGATCTTCTTCCTCTCTCTCAGATAATCAAGGGGTTACCTCTCATACATTCAACAGAAATAGAAAAGAATGCTATATATAGTGCCTTATGAAGAGCATCTAACAAAATGAATCCCTTAATCGTATAGGAACTATAATAATACATTTAAGAAAATATTTTATTTGTCCATCAGTAATATTAGCGTGCATATGTATAAATATACATATATAAATATATGTTAGATTCTAAACTCTGTGCCAATCATTCATGCTTAGCTCTAAGAAAAGATTAGAGAAAGATGTTTCTTGAAAAATTTCCTCACAAAAAATTCATCTAACAGTCGTTTGATTTGAGAACACTAGCGATTTCTTCCTGGTCATGGCAGAACATTGAATTATCATTCTTAGAGACAAAGAAATGTGAACATGTTAAATCCAACAATATATGCCTCTCTGAAATACCTTCCCTCACAATCACAGAAAAGGTAATACTATAGAATTCCACTTTACTCTTAATTACTCTGTGTTTGTTTCTAGGGGGAAAATATGTAATTATCTAATTATCAAATTGTTGCATGTGCTTTAAAGCTTTGCCCTTTGAATCTGGAGAACAACAACAACAACAACGAAAAAAACAAACCAAATTTTTTCTGTCTGTTTGTAAATAATTCTGAATTAATTTAGTTAATTAACATTAATAAAAATACTATATCTTTTATGCATAAAGCTGTTCTTTAAGCATTGAGACTTTGGGGGAAACAAATAATTGTGAAGATATATTTACATGGACTATTTCAAATGTTATGAAATTTGAAACTGATTTCAATAGATATTGAATCCGAGAGCCTACTTTGCTTCTTTTCAGGAATTTTTCTAAGTTTCACCTAAAAGTTTTTTGGAAAATATAAGATTCTTGAAGTAATATAGACAAAAGTTACAGCTGGGGAAGAGAGAGGCATTGTTATTCTAACCATTACTGAGAAACCTGCCTGTGTGAAGGCTGTTCCTCAGACTCCCTAGCGGGGCTCTTCCTAAAAAGATGACAGGTGATGTTTCTGATTGAGTGAATGTAATTGTGACTGAATAAGCATGTTTATTTTGTGCTTGTTAAAGAACACATGATGTGTGGGTAATATTCAGTTTGCAAAATGTTGACTGTCATTTGCAAAATGTTTTGTTGAACTGAACCACCAAAATTACTTTGAATGTGGAGAAAGGTAAACAAAACATAAAAAAACTTTATAATATTCATCCAAATCAAGTTTCTCAGTCAGTCAACTTTAACTGGTTGTTGGTTAAATCCTTAGGAAACTAAATAACTTTCAAAAATGTTAAAAATCAGTTCTGAATGTGTACTTTTTTTCCTATTTTCTGGAAAAATATAGATAAACCGCATGGAAGCAACTAAGGAAGCCAATATAAAACTGGAAAATATCAATACATAAGAAAATACAGGCATATACCACACCTGAAATAGTGATTGTTATATAAAATGATAATTTTGTCTGTGAGTCAGTTTGACAGCAAGAGACTCTATAAACAGACCGCAGCTAATAGGTCCACAGCACAGAAATAGGATCACAGCATAAACTGAAGATGAGTTTTTGCATGTATCCTACATTTGCAAAATATCTGTCTGCTTCATTTTTGGGAGGCTGAGGTGGGAAGATTGCTTGAGTCCAGGAGTTCAAGGCTGCAGTGAGTCATGATAGTTCCACTGCACTCCAGCCTGGTATACAGAGCAAGCCCCTGTCTCCAAGAAAAACAAAACAAAACAAAAGCTATTTAAATATGAAAAATAAATTTAAATAAAAATTAAATGCACTATCATCATGACTTTGAAACAAACTCAATCCTTTAAGTTAACTTATTTTTTTTTCTAATTTTTAGAGGAGGAAACAAAACATGGATTAATATCAGTCATCTTCACTTGTTTGTCTTCTCTTTATCTTTTATATTAGCCTTGGGCTTTTATCAGAATACTCTGTATGACTGTTTTACTTTTTAGGTAAAGAAGACAATGCTGAACATCTGCCACAGCATAATTATGTTAGATCTTAAAATATTTGTGACTTTGAATGCATGAGATTTCTATGAATAGCTATTTTTATTTAAATTATTATGTTGTAATATTATGGCTTTTAATACAAATTGAGTGCAATGATTTTTCTTCATGTAAAGGAAAACATGAAAACTAATATCATGATTGTACACTCATACAGCTGAATTTCCAAAATTAATAGTTGGCAGATAAACTTCAAACAATTACAGGATCATTTCAAAAAAACGAATGTTCTGTTGGATCTTCTCTTACACTGTATTGTCAAGAAAAAGAGCTTTTATGTCTCCAAAGTTATTTTGTTAAAAATAGGACAAATAGAGAAAAATGAGAAAAGTTTCACGTAAAATTTCTTTTCATTTACATGAAAAAAATTCAGATTGGAGAAGAATAAAAGAATGCTTGCCATTACTTTGTGATATCATTGGTAGCCCAGGGATGACTGAAGGAGTCCCAGATGTGTTCTTCTCTTGCAATGAAATATTTGGAATAGAGTATATGAGAAGATAGAGATAAATAAAATAAGTTAATAGTTTGTTATTTAAGAATTTGATTATTGAAATGGATGATGCCAATCTTAAATTACTTCTTTTAGAATAATGTACTAATAGGATTTTTAAAGTACTCAGCATTTTTTTAAATTATTATTATACTTTAAGTTTTAGGGTACATGTGCACAATGTGCAGGTTAGTTACATATGTATACATGTGCCATGCTGGTGTGCTGCACCCATTAACTCGTCATTTAGCATTAGGTATATCTCCTAATGCTACCCTCCCCCGTCCCCACACCCCACAACAGTCCCCAGAGTGTGATGATCCCCTTCCTGTGTCCATGTGTTCTCATTGTTCAATTCCCATCTATGAGTGAGAACATGCGGTGTTTGGTTTTTTGTCCTTGCAATAGGTTACTAAGAATGATGATTTCCAATTTCATCCATGTCCCTACGAAGGACATGAACTCATCATTATTTATGGCTGCATAGTATTCCATGGTGTATATGTGCCACATTTTCTTAATCCAGTCTATCATTGTTGGACATTTGGGTTGGTTCCAAGTCTTTGCTATTGTGAATAGTGCTGCAATAAACATAGGTGTGCATGTGTCTTTATAGCAGCATGATTTATAGTCCTTTGTGTATATACCCAGTAATGGGATGGCTGGGTCAAATGGTATTTCTAGTTCTAGATCCCTGAGGAATCGCCACACTGACTTCCACAATGGTTGAACTAGTTTACAGTCCCACCAACAGTGTAAAAGTGTTCCTATTTTTCCACATCCTCTCCAGCACCTGTTGTTTCCTGACTTTTTAATGATTGCCATTCTAACTGGTGTGAGATGGTATCTCATTGTGGTTTTGATTTGCATTTCTCTGATGGCCAGTGATGATGAGCATTTTTTCATGTGTCTTTTGGCTGCATAAATGTCTTCTTTTGAGAAGTGTCTGTTCATATCCTTTGCCCACTTTTTGATGGGGTTGTTTGTTTTTTTCTTGTAAATTTGTTTAAGTTCATTGTAGATTCTGAATATTAGCCCTTTGTCAGATGAGTAGTTTGCGAAAATTTTCTCCCATTTTGTGGGTTGCCTGTTCACTCTGATGGTAGTTTCTTTTGCTGTGCAGAAGCTCTTTAGTTTAATTAGATCCCATTTGTCAATTTTGGCTTTTGTTGCCATTGCTTTTGTGTTTTAGACATGAAATCCTTGCCCATGCCTATGTCCTGAATGGTAATGCCTAGGTTTTCTTCTAGGGTTTTTATGGTTTTAGGTCTAACATTTAAGTCTTTAATCCATCTTGAATTAATTTTTGTATAAGGTGTAAGGAAGGGATCCAGTTTCAGCTTTCTACATATGGCTAGCCAGTTTTCCCAGCACCATTTATTAAATAGTGAATCCTTTCCCCATTGCTTGTTTTTCTCAGGTTTGTCAAAGATCAGATAGTTGTAGATATGCGGCATTATTTCTGAGGGCTCTGTTCTGTTCCACTGATCTATATCTCTGTTTTGGTACCAGTACCATGCTGTTTTGGTTACTGTAGCCTTGTAGTATAGTTTGAAGTCAGGTAGCGTGATGCCTCCAGCTTTGTTCTTTTGGCTTAGGATTGACTTGGTGATGCGGGCTCTTTTTTGGTTCCATATGAACTTTAGTTTTTTCCAATTCTGTGAAGAAAGTCATTAGTAGCTTGATGGGGATGGCATTGAATCTATAAATTACCTTGGGCAGTATGGCCATTTTCATGATATTGATTCTTCCTACCCATGAGCATGGAATGTTCTTCCATTTCTTTGTATCCTCTTTTATTTCATTGAGCAGTGGTTTGTAGTTCTCCTTGAAGAGGTCCTTCACATCCCTTGTAAGTTGGATTCCTAGGTATTTTATTCTCTTTGAAGCAATTGTGAATGGGAGTTCACTCATGATTTGGCTCTCTGTTTGTCCGTTATTTGTGTATAAGAATGCTTGTGATTTTTGTACATTGATTTTGTATCCTGAGACTTTGCTGAAGTTGCTTATCAGCTTAAGGAGATTTTGGGCTGAGACAATGGGGTTTTCTAAATATACAATCATGTCATCTGCAAACAGGGACAATTTGATTTCCTCTTTTCCTAATTGAATACCCTTTATTTCCTTCTCCTGCCTAATTGCCCTGGCCAGAACTTCCAACACTAAGTTGAATAGGAGTGGTGAGAGAGGGCATCCCTGTCTTGTGCCAGTTTTAAAAAGGAATGCTTCCAGTTTTTGCCCATTCAGTATGATATTGGCTGTGGGTTTGTCATAGATAGCTCTTATTATTTTGAGATACGTCCCATCAATACCTAATTTATTGAGAGTTTTTAGCATGAAGCGTTGTTGAATTTTGTCAAAGGCCTTTTCTGCATCTATTGAGATAATCATGTGGTTTTTGTCTTTGATTCTGTTTATATGCTGGATTACATTTATTGATTTGTGTATGTTGAACCAGCCTTGCATCCCAGGGATGAAGTCCACTTGATCATGGTAGATAAGTTTTTGATGTGCTGCTGGATTCTGTTTGCCAGTATTTTATTGAGGATTTTTGCATCAATATTCATCAAGGATATTGGTCTAAAATTCTCTTTTTTGGTTGTGTCTCTGCATCTTTTGATAGTTTAGATTTTCCAGCAGCATTTATAGTTGCTGGTTTCGTATTTCTTTTGTTTTTATTTTTGAGTTGATAAAACACTACTCTTAAAAAAGATAAGAAGCAAAAAACAAAAGTTCTGACAAAGGCCTTGGCTTCCTCGTTTTTTCAGTTTTCTTACAGGCATTTGAAAACATTCAAGTTTTCAAAATGTATGTCTTATTTTTATTATTTAATAATGGGTAGAAGGAAATCTTTTTTCAAAATAAACGAGAGAGTAAGAAAAAGAAAACTGATATTCAAAAACAATACAACTAACTCAGCAGAATACTGAGAAGATATCCAACTTTCATATTTGAATCCTGTTAGAAAACAATTCTCCACGAGTCTCTCATGTTTATTCACATCTGGTGAAAAGTTTCGTATTCTTGAGTTAGTATTTCCTTCTGGAGCTAAGGACAGACATGCTCATTGCACATTATAAATGATTCTGGTTGCCAAAGCTCAGGGTTTCTTTCATCTGATGCAACCCATGATGTGTGCAGGTGCCATCTCTTCTTCTTTTCATCTCCTTGTGGGAATGAAGATGCAGAAAATGGGCACAAATATACTGACATTCTGGCCTCTGCTATTATTGTGAGTAATAACTGTCATTAGTTTCTGCCCTGGCATCTTATATCTTCTGGAAGCATTGATGAAACTGCGGCAGGCTTATAGGCTTACTTGTGAACTTACTAGTCAGGGAACATTTCAGAACCTAAGCAGTTCTTGATAGGTAGCAGGCTGTGTCAGATTGAAATTGATGGACCCCATTCTTCACCTGCAACCTTTGCATGTAAGTTTGCAAAGCCCTCCCATTTGGGACACGGCAGTAAGCCTTATGCTTTGACTTGGGACTCAGTGGTCACTTTGACTAATGCAATACTAGTAGATATGCCACAGCAAAGTGTGAAATAGGCTTGCACATTGGGACATTTGCTTTTGTGATTGTTCCATTGTTATGAGAACTGATCCAAGCTATGCAACTGGACAATGAGGGTTTTACAAAATAGACCTGAGTCATTGCTGTCACCACAGGGAAACCACTCTAGGTTAGCAAAAAGCCAGCCAAATCAGGAAGCTCAGCCAAGGTCAGAAGAGCTGCCTAGTTGGCCCTAGTGAGGAGTTTTAAGAAAATAGCTTTTGCGAGAAAAACATACACACGCGCGCACACACACACACACACACATATATAATTTCTATTTCATTTCTATTATTCTTTTTAAAATTCCCCCTTTGCCGTTTAGGCGGTAGACCATGTTAGTCCTAAGGAAAAATTAATTTTAATTGAAATTAATTACTTAACAAAAAAAGGCTTGTGAGTCCTCATTAACTGTAGATATTATGATATATAACCATAAAGTGATTACTTTTTACATATTAGAAAATGCAGACAATATTGAATGTGGTATGTTTGTTTAAATATAAATTCATATTTGTGGAAGGATCTAGATTGCTTTTATGATGTAGATGTGTGTGTGTGTGTGTTTGTGTGTGTGTGTGTGTGTGACAAAACTTGGGGATTAATTTTATTCCCATATGAGGCTTGATAATTGAAGTAAATATCTTTGTCTTGGTAAGAGTTTATGCTCCTCAAAGCCATTTAAAATTTAGGACAAATTTCAGAAGATTTGTTCCAATTTTAAACTTGATTGGAACTTTGCCCATGATAAGATTACCATACACAGAAACATTGTTTCTTATGTGAAGATATGATTCCCTTTCATCTAGTAAACATATTTTATGTATATTAATATCTCCATTTCAAAGGATATATCAAATTAAGCAGACTTCATTCTCCTATATAAGTTGTTGTCATCTTCTGTTTCTTATCCCAAGAAACTCACCATCTACCTTATTGATGATATAAACTTTGGTGTCAACGTCAACTCCTACTTTCTAACATATCCTCAATCCCCTTAGTAAATTATTTAAATCCTGCCTCAAAATATTTCTCTAATATCTCCTCTTCTATCCATTAACATAGCCACTCACTTATCTCCAAAAAGTATTTCTTATATCCTTAAAACCGATTACGCTCTCCTTCTAACACCTGTTCCACCTCCATTCCACCTCCCTGATCGAATGCTCTTTTGCTATAAGAGATAATTTTCATTAAATATTACCCATGACTTTCTATCGCTTGCAGAACATCTGTCAGATCCTTGGTAAAACTTTTTTTTAATCTCCAACTTTTCTATTCTACCACATATATAACACATTTTGCATTGTATCACAGTTATCCCTGCATTTCCCTTTCTCCACATTCCAAATTGTAAGCAACTCATAGTCAAATAGCTCAATAAACATTCAACCTAATAATAAATGAATAATTAAATATTAATATAAATTTTATCGATGAACACTCTTAAGGTAAAGTACTAATCTCTGTTGACTGTCAGCTATTAAGACAGGTTGATTTTACTATATGTATTTTTTAAAATATCATTAAAAATACCCAACGAACAAGTCATAATTTTAAGATTTTAATTCCACAGTAATGTCCCTTTAGTTCTTTGTAATTAAACATTCTCATATTTTAAAATAATTATCATAATTTGTTCTGTTTTTAAAAATGACACATTCTGAGCATTATATATTATGAACTAAGGAATTTGCATTGTTTAGCTATTTTAAATCTCATGGCAATATTATTCAATGTTTGTTAGCATATCATGAAGCCCATTTTTAAACATAGAAACAAAATTTTTAAATGTGAATGAAAATGCATAAGATTGCATAGGTAATAAATAGCAGTTATGGAGTAGGGCCTGTCTGACTCCAAAACCTCAGATCTCTATACTGTTTTGCCTCACAGTGTAAAATAAATTTTTTCTGCTTGTCTTTAACTATTCCTTGGCATTTAAAGATATCTGAATAGTGAAATTTTATTTTTACCTCCTTTTCATTGACTATTTACAATACTTTTCAATTCAAATTCTATCACCTGTTCTGAATAATATTAAATTACCTTAGTCCATTTTGGCTCACTTGAATGTTTTTGTTGACTCAATAACCTTTAATAAACTTTAATGAAGTTTACCTTTATTAAAACTGTCATTGACTACCAGATTTCGCTATAATTTTCTATAGCTAGGAATCCAAAACATAGATGCAGAGAGCTGTCAGTACGGTAGCGTGGCTTTGTGAATGTTCTTTAATCTGAGTACCTTGTAAGCTCCCCCAAGAGGTAGATTTTGAGTGAATTGCTGCATGTAATAAATCAAGTTATGTGCAGGCAAAGTGAGGAGATTCAATGAAGTATGATAGATAACTATTCTAATAATTGTAGTTCATTGTCTTATACTACTGTACTTTTTTCCATCTAGAATACATATAGTCATTCCTATTTTTCTATTCTTTAAAACAACCCAATTTCTAATATTTGAAGTCAGAATTGTAGAGTGATTAAGAGTGTTGATTCTGGAAACAAACCACCTCATTTACACTACTTACTAGCTCAATGATCCTAGGTGAGTTATTTTACCTCTATTTCTCTTTGATAAAATAGAGATAAAAACAGAACTTAGGCTGGACATGATTCCTGCCTGTGATTCCAGCACGTTGGGAGACAGAAACGGGAGGATCACTTGAAGCCAGGAATTTGAAACCAGCCTGGGCAACATAGCAAGACCGTATCTCTACAAAAACAATATTAAAAAACTTAAGAAAATAGAACCTGCCAATATTTTAGTTGTAGAGATTACATTTATTGATATATGTCTAATATTTTGAATATTGCCTGGCACAAAAAAAAAAACCTTACATGGACATGTTGCCTCTTATTAGTAGTGATTTGGATCCAGAAAAGACCCTACCTAACAGACATTAAATATATGTATCAAATTTTGTGTCACGTAAAGTGCTATTAATGAAATAGACTATGGTAGGCAAAATAGTTCCTTGAAGATGTCTACTTCCTAACACTTGAAACTTATGGAGAGGAACTTTGAAGATGTCGTTAGACTTATGGACTTGAAAATAGAGAGATTATTTTGGATTATCTGGAGGACTCAGTATAATCACATGAACCCTTAACAGCAAAGAACAATATCCAACTTGAGTCTGAAAAAGGCAACCGAGAAAGAAAGTTTCGAAGTGTGAAAGGGATTTGACCTGCCCTTGCTAGAGAGGGTCCTGTGGAAAACAAGAGAAAAAATGAGGACAGCCTCTAGATGGAAAGACCGCCCCTGGTTGATAGCAAAGCAACAGGGATCTCAGTTCTACAACTGCAAAAAAATAAAATAAACTAAAATAAACTGAACTCAAGAAACAGCCTGGATGAGCTGAGTACATTATTTCCCAGTTTGTTAGCAAGAAATACTCCTGCCTGCGCCTTGATTTCAGCCTTGCGAATCCCTTGACAGACGAACCAACTGAACCCATGAGACCTACAGAAACTGTGGCATAATGAAATTATATTGTTTTAAGCCACTAAATTTGTAGCAATTTGTTATGATAGCAATATAAAACGAATACAATACCTAAGAATTCTTTTGGCTTTTAATTAACGGAAAATAATTAAGAAATGTTCAGCTTTGAAATCCTATCTGATTCACAGTTGCAAATTTTTCACTTTCATCATTACATTCAGTGAAACTTTAAGGTTCTCTTTTACATTTTAAAATTTTCATTGTAATTTTATATGCTCATATTTTTACTTCTAAATGTTATTATGTCTACTTCCTTCTCCACCCTCCACCCATCTAGCAGGAGATAAGCTATATTGTTCATTGGTTTTCATCTGTAAAATCTGCTGCTATTAAAATTCCAGTATTACATGGTTTTTCAAGAGAGAAAGAAAACTTTAGTTTCCTTATCTTTATGTTGTCACATTTTAAAATGTCACCTGTTAGTGTTTTTCTGTCCTGTGCCACTTTGGGCCATTCTATGAAGCAAGTTTAACTATTTTTGGCTCTTAGTGACCACTAATATATTCACTCAATAAAGAAAGTTACTACTCCAGTAGTAATTCTGGCCAATACATATTTGTTTCATAATATTATGAGGGCTTTTGGCCATAGGTTCTCTGTCTATAAAACCAATGTAGGCAATTAAATTTATTCAAAATACAGTGATTTCTTTCAGAGAAAAAAATGTGCATCTTTAATACTAATACTTGAGAAATTCATGAACATTTTATTAAATATCATGTTCTAAGAAAAATACACCATTTTTGAAAAACTGATTACTATCTTGTTATTGATAAGATAATGACTAACACAGGAATTCAACACTGTTTATGAATAACACTTGATTATACTGGTAGAGTGTAAGAAAAAAATATTTATATATAAAATAGCCTGGATGAGCTGGCAGTACATTGTCTCCCAGTTTTTTGTAAGGAATACACCTGCCTGCACTTCATATATATATGAATATATAATTTCACATATATGAATATATAAATTCATATATATGAATATATAATTTCCAATATATTAATACATAATTTCATATATATATGCCCAGATTTTTATTCATTCCAGATTTCTCAGAGCAGTGGTTTTTGCTTTTTTGTTTTGAAATTGTAGCTTTAAAGAATGATAATTACTGACAAGTGTTAGAAAATGCACTTCAGCAAATATATTAGTTTTAATTATTTATTCAACATATTTTAGTGGGAACCTACCAATGCCATATATGTTTTACTAATTGTGGAGGACATCTTATTGAACAATACAGACAATATCTGTAACTTTATAAAACGTAATGTATACATATATCATGAGCACATTCCAGCTGCTAAATTATAGATTTTAGAGAATTTCTCATGTTGAACAATATCACTTGGAGATTCATTTTATCTGTGAATAGCCTTGAGGAAAGACAGTTACTTCATAAATAAAGACCTTCATAGGTTTTACTAAGTCCATTAATTTTTGAGATAACTCAAAATATTTTTGTATTTAAAATATGATCCCCCAAAATATTACTCACTTATTATCCAAAGTTATAAAAATAATAAACTACAGTCCATCTTGTGATTAAAAATAATATTGTACCCATTTGAAGGCATAAATATTGCTCTTGAACTCTCAAACTTTATCATGATACTCACATACTTAGGATAGGAATTTTTGAAGTTAATCTCTGCCAACCACTGACATGTAAAATAACATAAATAACAGAGATCACATGTAGTGTGTAATTTTAATAGACAATAAATAAATTTATAAACAAATTTTTGAAAATATAACTATGAATACATTAATATGTAAATAATATAAAATAACGTACTTATATCATAAACACTGAAAATAAGTATTAAAATATAAATTATATTTTTCCTGTAAGGCAAGAAAATACTTGTATTTTATTGGAAAAAAACAACAAATAAACAAAGAGGAAAAATAATAGTTATAATCCTAAACCTCTCAAATCGTCACTAATTTAAAATTATATTAATATATTTTATATATTAATTTTAATACGTAAATGTACGTATGATTTATATTTATTCATGTAATTTCTTGTTGCTGTTCTTCTAAAATTTTTGTTTTTCGATATGGGGTCTCATTGCGTTGCCCAGGCTGGAGTGCAGTGGCATGATCTCGGCTCCCTGCAACCTCTGCCTCCCAGGCTCAAGTAGTCCTCTCGCCTCAGCCTCCTGGGTAGCTGGACCACAGATGATCACCACCATGCCTGGCTAATGTTTTGTATTTTTGGTAGATTCAGAGTTTCCCTATGTTCCTTAGGCTGATCTTGAACTCCTGAGCTCAAGCAATTTATTCACCTTGACCTCCCAAAGTACTGGGATTACAGGCGTGAGACACTATGCTCAGACATTGTTGCTGTTCTTCTGAAAAATCTTTTAAATTTCCATATTTTAGTAATTGCATTACTGCTTAAAAATAATTTATGCAATTCCTATTGCTGAATGCTTATGATATATGACTTTTATTTTTAACACACTGAGATATTAAAATGTTATAAACTTTATTCCATAACTAAATTTTTTTTGCATTTTTATTTTTGAGGCATGCTTGCTTGTGATCTTGGTTCAATTTTTTATCAAGGTGGATCTTTTTCCTTTCTCCTTCAAGAAAGCTTTTTACATATTAAAGACATTAATAAGATTACTATTATTTCTTGTTTGTTCCAGGCAATAGGATGAATTTTAGCGTGACCTCTATTGGATCCTGACGCCCCAGGCAGGTTGAAATTCAGGCACTGATATTTACTCGTTACATGTCTTTATGAAAAGGAATGAAGAATGGATCCACTTCATATAATTATAGTAAAAAATAAAGAAATAAGGAATAAAAATTAATAAATAAACCTTGACTCAAGGAAACTACCAAATAAATAGTTAACTATTATTATTTTAGGTTATATAATTATTTTTATTTGTTATTTTCTGCTGCTAATTTTATTATTTTGGAAATGTATATATTTTAAAATTCCCCATGCTAAAATCCACTTCTTCTTTTTTTAGGCTTAGATGAGATCCTTTAAAGACCTTTTCCCCACCTCTGTTTTATAAATGTCTTTCACTTGTATGCACTAACGAGCTATTTCAAATTTAAGTAGTGTCTATCTGAAATTTAGTGTAAGGTCATGTTGTGAGACAGGGATAGAGTTTCTTTTTTCCTTCCAAGAATTCTTTGGTTTTTCCCACGTTTTTTGTTTACCAATTCTTAAACGTGCTATGTTTAATTTGAAGAAAATTATTGTAGGCACAGATGAGTTTATGGATTCTCTTCTTCGTGCCATTGTTACCTCTCTCTCTCATTTCTTCTGAACTTTTATTAATTTAATGTAAACTTCTAGTCAAGTTTTGGGGTTGATTCAGTGATGTACACTCTGCTCCCCACTGCTGGGCACTGCCCCTTCTGATGCTGAGAGCTGCTTTGCCCAAGTTTGCTTTTTCTCAGCTGTGTAAATATAAAAAGCTTGATTATCCACATCCAACTTGGGACAACCCTGAAGGGTTCTTCAGGTTCCAGCAGACTTCCTTTAAGGTTCTTTGATTTTCTGTGGGGCTATATTGCAACTGCACTTCTCCTTGAGTCCGCTCCCACCTCCTTTCTCTCCCTTTCACAGATGTGGCTCCCAAAGGCAATGAAATCATCTCAGAGCTGGCTTCTGAAAGGACCCAACTTGCTACACAGTTAATATTTGATAAGGCAAGCCTCCATTTTTCCTCCTTCACCTTCCAATGCTATTTGATTAATTTATTGCAGGTTTGTTTTAATTTAATTTTATAACATGGATATAAGAAAGCAAAAGGGAGAGATGAATGCAGGAACAAAAGGCAGAAGAATGAAATGTGATCCGTGATCTTAGTTTTCATGGACAATGAGGAGGTTCCCAGGATCATGCCTTTTAGTGCTAAAATCTTAAAGTACTGAGCAAACCAAGAGACAAGCTATGGAATGCATTGGCGGCCATTTAATACTGATTCTTTTAGTCACAGAGAATATAATTTCCATACGTATTCAACTATTTATTCACACAGTTTAATAGTGTATAATGGTTTTTATTCATAATGATTCAATGTAATTATTACATTTATTCCTGAGAACTTTATATTGTTAATTACAATTTTTTAACCATTTGTATTTTTGACTTGGTATTGCTGATATAGAGGAAAATGATTTTTGGTGGTTGACTGTGTTACTTGATAATATACTCTACTTTTTCATTCAGTAGTATCCTTTAAAAACTGAGTGTCTTAGATTGCCCAGGTAGACAGTTATTATCTCTTTTGTAGTCACCATAAAAATAAAAAAATAGCTACAATTTATTGGTAGTGCAAGGGCAAATACAAAATTTTTAAGTTTTAACTCTCTCTGTTGAAACTATGGATAAGACTTTTCTTTCCTCCTTTTTCTGAAAGCCCTCACTTTAGAAAATTTGTAATTATAAATACTGTCTCCTTCCTTTGAAATGTGTATACATTAATTTAAAAACTAGATAGGCCATTTATGAGCTCTATGACACAGAAATGTCTTTCTTAAGGACCTGAGTGCCATCTTTGAAATGTAAATATCAAGGGGTATAGCACCCCTATTTTTCAGTATCTATTGGAGTTTATAAACATAACTTCAGTGATGCCTTGATCCAAGTTGCAAAACCACTTCTTGTCATAATGATATGAAAAGTTTTTAGTTTCCTCTGGATAAAGTCAATTAGCTAACATAGATGGTCATATCTCATAGAATGTCAATAAGTTAAAAGAAAAAATAGCTTGATGAACAAATAACTTTGGTAAATACTGTATAAGATAAAGTTAACAAGTCACTATATTGAAAACTGTATGAGTAGTATTTAAAATGATTATCTGAAAAATCAGTCTCCAAAAAGGTATAGTATGTAGGCTCCCCAAATATTTGACAATGGAAGAAAATATTTTTTCCTACATTTCCTCATTGAAATCATGACACTTAAAACAGGCCATGGGAAATGCTGATTTGCACTGTTTACTTATTGAGTCATTCCACAAGATGAATTGATTATTTAATTTTTATGTATCATCTGAATAACTGATGTGTCTTAGGAAGTGTCCATTTCTTAAAGCAATATATTAAATTTTAATTTATTTCCCTTGATTATATTCCTAATTTTGCATATTGAAAATATGTTAAAGATTTAAGGATTTTAATTATATTTATGTATTTCACTAGCTTCTGGAGTAAGGTGCTTACTAAAAGTAGAAATAGGAAGGGAATATAAAGGTAATATTTAAGAGCAAAAATTTTCTGTGGACTTCTGTACCGATCTTCCATGATTCCATAGCCTTTGGAGCAGTATAATGAAAGTTGTGTCTGAATGACTCGCTTATATCTAAGTTGAAGATTCTATGCGTCAAAATTATCTCTCAAGAAGAGAATGGTTAAATACAGCAGAAATCTTAAAGACTAAGCTCTTCAAGATAAATATGCAGAAAAGGACCTGAGTACCGTCTTTGAAATGTAAACATTTAAATATACAGAAAAAAAAATGCTAAGATTATGAGGATGATTGAAACCAACAATAGTTCATACAGACATCACACTAAAAAACAAAAATTGAATTAATGAATTTCAAAAGTAAAAGGCGTGAAAGGTCTTCATTGTCAGAGAGATAAGTTACATTATTTTTTTTTCTTTGAGTCAAGCCTGTCTTCAAGACCTGCAGGAATGGCACTCCCCAAAAATTGTTTTGGTTGCATTGGCTCTGTCAGTTTCATTGGCTGTGTGAGTTCACACTCTGACCTGCCTGTTTCTCTTGATTGAAGTCGTTTGTGGTTGTCAAACCTATGTGCTATGAACCCTGATAACCAGGTGGGGAAGACTGTCACTTGGCTTACCCAGCTGAATAATAAAGTTTAGACATTTTTAGAAAGCAGTTGATTCCTAGAATAAAACCATCAATAATCAATAATTGGGGGAATAAGTACCATCAGTAAAAGAAAGATGACCTTAGTATCAATATTGAATATTCCTAAATGCTACAAATTTATTTCTTCATAAAGATTACTACATTACAGAGTATTAGCTTGTATAGTAAAATGCAGTGAAACATTTTTTCAAAATTAGCAGAATTTTCTTTGAGGTATTTTTTGATGAATGTGTGGTAGTTTGTGATATTTTACTCAGTACTGAGTTTATTGTGACAACTTTGTGGCAAAGAAAAAGCAAAGATAGTAAATAGATTTAGGTGACAAAAGGTCAGGGGAAAACAAAACTAAACATAATTCATGATTTGGGTCTTTGCGCATCAGGTAAGTAATACAATATATACTCAAAGATGTGGACCTCAGGTGGCACCTATGTTGCTGTCATTTTTCAGTAGCAAAGTGTAGTAACAGATTAACCCCACTCTCTCCAGTTACTTCGTACATGCTTACTGAAAGACAAAATGATGGAAATGACCAGTAGAGGGGCTCCCTACTGATGTACCATCTTCATCTCTTGCTGGGCCTTAGCAACCAACCTAAGAAATGGAAGAAAATAGTACGTACCTGGAATCAACCCAGAATACTTTGATGAATTAGAGGGGTGTTTTAATATTTTCCTCTCTGTACAAAACGAGTTTGTATTTACATTTGTAAAACTTATAACAGTGTTTATAATTAACATTTTGGGACCGTAATGGAAACATATATTCTCTCTGCCAGTGGAGCATGTGAGTAAATAATAGAAAACGTGATAGAAAACCTTTGAGGGCAGATATTGTGGAGCATAGGTTGTGTGACTCTTGTTTTTTTAAAGCCGCTGATAGTTGGTGTCGATTGTAGAATAACCTATATTGGCTGATTCCTGGATAATCAAGCCATCATTTAATTCAATATTATCCTTGGAATAAGCTAGAGATTACTCTGTTATGGTAAGAAAGCAGCTTCATTGAAAAGTGATTCTAGTTAAATTTTAGGTTTATTTTATCAGAATAAGGCAAGATCAAAGGCTCTTAGTTTATTTCGAGGCTCAAATCAAATAAAAACAAAGATCCATCAACATCTTTTAAATAAACAATAAGGATTTCCTTGTGAATTATTATTTTAACATGATTCAACCAACATTTCTGTTTAACCTACATATTACAACATCCATGTTACACATATGTTCACCAAATTTAAATTATTATGTATGTCTATAATTTACTTATGTGGCATCATTATCATAAAAACAGCATTCATACATTGTGGTATTTAAACTATAATGCAAAGATAGTTTACATAAGTTTATTTTTATTAGAGAATTGTTTACAACTTAAAACAGACATGACACAAATGTAAGAAAAATAATCAGCATACTATATGTAGACACTAAAATGGTAAATAAAAATATATATAGATAAAGAATAAATATGATGTAGATGCATAGATTGCTAAGATAATTGATGACAAGGTCTGGAGGAAATGAGAAAAAGGAAAATAGATCCAGGATATCAAGTTCCAAAATGAACAAAGGTTAATCCTTTTGAAAGTGCAAACTAGAATCTATTAATATTTCCAATACTTCTTAATTTCAGAATGCATGAATGCCTCTCAGGTTTGCTTCTTTCTCAACATGAGCTATATTTGCTTTTCAATATTAGCATTGTACATGAGAATATGTCTTTGTGTTGGCAATAACCATCTTCAAATAAATAAACCGGCATGCATTTCCTACACATTATAAAAAGCGTGCTAGTAGAACATATAATTATGATAATAATGTAAAAAAGAGCATAAGTATTTTAGAAGTCCCTAAATATTCTTTAGTTTTTGTTTTGATTTCTGATGGAGATAAAATAGCTATAAAACATGAAAAGGATATTTGAAATTTAAATTGTAAATATTTTACCTGAAAATTTAAATTTAAAATCACAAGAATCGTTCTTGCTTCATCACACATCTTTGAGTTTGTTCTCAGATTTTCATTTTGTGCATTTAAA
This sequence comes from Homo sapiens, assembly GCF_000001405.40. Classification (NCBI taxonomy): domain Eukaryota; kingdom Metazoa; phylum Chordata; class Mammalia; order Primates; family Hominidae; genus Homo; species Homo sapiens. Next base: position 65,309,945 of record NC_000018.10, read on the forward strand.
ATGGTTTCATAGCCTTCTCCTACTCTAATAAAATCATAACCTACACTCTCTAGCAAATAATTTTATTGAATATACGTGTTTAAATATCACAGGTATTAAAATTAAACCTCTATTTCAGGAAGAGTTTACTGTGTTTTAAAGTGGATTATGTTTAATCTCCATAGAGACTTGTTGACTTAGACTTTAAAAAGTGTTTTCAGCCTTTTGGCATTTTGAAAATATTTCAATTTTCAAGAATTTGGCTTCTAGAATTTATACACAAAGAAGAATTAAATAAAAATAAATATAAAAACTGAAAGTAAATTTGGAAAGACTTATGATCACTACAATTTATTATTTCTTGTTCAGTTTTGTACAGCCTTAGCTTTCTAATTATAAGAGGTAAAGTACGTCGTGCATTACAAGTAGTTAGAAAAATAAAAATTGATATTACATGAAGTGCATATGTTTAAATATATTTAGGCATTTCCTGGTCATACAATATTGCAAGGGTATTTGGGTCAGAAGATACATCTTTTTGGTCTTTCGTCTTCTGAAAGTTTTACCTATGTTTCATATAGTGAAAGCAAAGTACATTTTGCAAGTGAAAATAGACATTATTAGATAATGCAGTGAATTTTTTTTGCCTCTATTATTTTAAATTACAAGATCATCTTCATTTAGTTTTATTATAGTAATAAAATACTGTCCAGGAAACAATATCAAAACAAAGTGCCCAGAAATCTAGGGAGAGTCAAATACGGTATCTAAAAATTAGAATTTATATATTTAAAAAATGAGATAAGATAATTCACAATGTGATATATTTCTCTCATTCCTTCTGTATAATCCCTCCCTTTTTTGAGGTTTTATTTTGTAACTAATATGTTACTCATTTATGCTATAGAAAGTTTTCTGAGCTCTTTATTGAAAAGTTGTTACTGTAATTAAAAAAACAAAATAAGTACTTATAATCCATAGTTGTATTCTACTTTAACAGTGTTTCCTTTCAATACTTAAACATACCTGCTCATTTGAGTTACTACTTCATGCTGTATAGACAAACTAGAAAGCAAATATTTAATACACTTTTCAGGAAAATATCATTTCTCTTAAGCTTATAAATCTTTTAAACTTCTTAAATGTGCTTAACTTTAGTAGTCAGAGATTAGTATCTCTACCACTTGACAGTATATTTTTGCTCTTTTTTTCAAAAATTTGCATGATGTTTGATAATTTTAAATGACACACTTTGCTGTTTAGATACCTCATCTTCATTATCTGGGATACAATAATTATTTTTAAAAACATGCTGTGTTAATTGCATTATAGCACTATTAATAACAATAACAGCCATTTTCTTTTCAAATTTATAGTTGCAGATTTTATGGATAACATGATTTCTGAGACTTACCTCATAGTATTTCAGTGAGGGCAGAAATAAATAGAGACAGAGATTAAATAAGTTTGATCATGACCTAAATAACTGTGGAATCTAAGTAAATAGTGTGTAAGTGTTTAACAAACTACTCTAGTTTCATATGGTTTCATCAGATAATGATTACCACAAAATGAGAATATGACAATTTCCATTCTGAAACCAGAAAACTGAAATTACAAAAATACTGTCTCATATTCTCACCTGATTGCACATATAATTATTTATATATGCAACATATGGGCTATTTGCTTATAAATATGCATGTATTAAATATAGGTCTATATATAATTTTTATGTGCAAAATATATGGTAGAGACTTCTAGAGGTCCTGATAATATCTACTCCTCTCTTCCATAGTAATAGAATATTTGGCTAAGCTCTTGGTGTGAAGTTTTGCCACGTGAATTGATTCCAGCTAAGGGACGAGGAGAAAAAGTTTGACATCCACATTTCTGGACACAGTTTTCAATGTATAAGAACTTATTCTTTTCTTCCTGTTTGTCACTTCCCAGAAGCTAGAATGCAGATGTGATGAGGCTTTTCCCTCTATGCATAATAGGATAACATCTTAAATATGGTGAGTCAAAAATAGAAAACCTGGAGCATCCTATGACACTCAGCAACCATTCTGGGTTTGGACTATTAGGTAACATGGAAATAAATAAAGTTTTTTTCTTTTAAAAAAGACATATATTGAGTTGAAAAATGTTCGACCTTTTTCAAGTGAGAAATGAAACCAAACAAGGAGATTTCTCATTGCGTTCTCATTTGATATTCTATATCATTCTTCTTAAAAGCTCCTTATATAACCCTGCCCCTAGAAATTTCTCACTGATCACCCTTTAACCACGATGTGGTTAAAGGAATGTTGCATAGCTGTAAAAAATGCCTTTTATTTTAGTATATTTCCACTTAAATTTTCTCTCTTTGAGACTACCGAGGTATTTATTATAGTATAGTATATATTACGTATTCTAAATATTTAGTGCCTTATTCAGAGAAATTTGCACAGCTTTGCATATCACATTTATTTTCCCAGACTGAATACAAAGACTTTCCTTCCCCAAATCATAATAGCAAAAAATTCCATTTATGTAATGCTCTAAATAAAATGACAGTTTTCAACCTAAGGAAAAGTCTGTTGCTCTGATGATTAACCTCTTTAACTATTTTAATGTTTTAAACACAAATACAATAAACTTCTTTTCTCTTCCTTGGTCTTCCTGGAGTAAGTAAAAGCTGGATTGAGAGGGTGAAACGACAACAACAACGTCAATAATGGCAACAATTTGTCTCCAGTTACATTGAGTTTAAGTAATTAATAGCTCTTTTGATTATAATAGCTTTATAATATATTTTTAAATCAACGAGTGTGATATCTCCAGATTTGTTCTTTTTGGTCAAAACCATTTGGCAACTTGGGGCCCTTCGTATTCCCATATAAATTTAAGGATGCTTTTTATTTTTGTGAAAAATGGCATTAAAATTATAATATGAATTGTATTGAATCTGTATTACTTTGGGTGATACAACATTTTAATAAACTTAATTATTTCAATCTAGGAACACAGATGTGTTTTTCCATTTATATATTATATGTTACATATATAAATATATACCATATATAATATACCTATAATATGTATAATACATATGATTAATCTTTTGTACTTTTTGTTGAGATGGGGTTTTAATATGTTGTCCAGGCTAGTCTCAAACTCCTGACCTAAAGCAATCCATCTGCCTCAGCCTCCCAAGGTGCTGGGATTACAGGTGTGAGCCACTGCAACCAGCCATATTTCTTTTATTTAATTTTTTTCATCAGTATTAACTAGTTTTCAGTACCATAGTGTTTTTCTTCCTCAATTAAATTTACACCTATGTATTTTTATTTTTGTTGCTATTGTAAATAGAATAGCTTTTTTTAAATTTCTCTTTCAGCTAGTTTGTTAGTATATAGAAATGCTATTGATTATTGTATGTTGATTGTATTTTGTTGATCCTGCAACTTTGCTGAATTAGTTTATCAGTTATAACAGTTTTTTATGGATCTATTGTAATCAGAACACCATGATACTAACATAAAAACAGAGACATCAATGAACAGAATAGAAAGCCCAGAAATAAACTCATATATTTAAGGTCAAATAATTTATGACAAAGGTATCAAGAACACGCAATGGGAAAAGGACATTTTCTTCAATAAATTATGTTGGGAAAACTGTATATCCATATTTAGAAGAATGAAATTAAATTCTTATTTTGCACCAAGTACAAAAATCAACGAAAATGGATCAAAGACTTAAATATAAGCCATGAAACTATTAAATAATTAGAAGAAAACATAGTGGGGAAAGTTCCGTGACAGTGGTATGGGCAATGATTTTCTGGATATGACCCTGAAAGCACAGGTAACAAAAGCAAGTATAGACAAATGGGATAGCACCAAACTGAAAATCTTCTTAACAGCAACGACTACAATCAACAGGGCGAAGAGATAACCTATAAAACAGGAGCAAATATTTGCGAACTATATATCTGACAAAGGGTTAATATCCAAAATTATGTAAGGAACTCAAACAACTATAAAGAAAGATAATCCAATGAAAAAGTGGGCAAAGGACCTGAAAAGACATTCCTCAAAATACACTTGGCCATACAATTGTATGACATAACAATTGACCATGAGATTGATGCAAAAATGCTCACCACCACTAATCATTACAGAAATACCAATTAAAACAATTAGATATCATCTCAACCTATTAGAATGGCCATTATCAAAAATATTATCATCTTTTTGAAAGAGTTGGCTGGGATGTGGAGAAAGGGATAGCTTGTAAACTGTTGGTAGGAATGAAATTAGTAGAGTTCTTACGTTAAAAACAGTATGGGGGTTCCTCCAAAACTAAAAATCAAACTACCATATGCCCCAGCAATTTCACTTTTGGAGATGTGTAGATAGATAGATAGATAGATAGATACATACATACATACATACATACATATATATGTGTATATATATACATCTATCTCTCCAAAGAAATTGAAATTAGTATGTTGAAGGAATATCTGTATTCCCATGTTCATTGTAGTATTATTTACAAAAGCCAAGATACGGAAACAACCAAAGTGTCCATGAAAAGATGAATGGATAAAGGAAATGTGGTACATATACACGATGGAGTACTATTCAGCCTTTAAAAGAAGGAAATTTTATAATTTACAACAATGTTGATGGCCCTGGGTAACATTATCTTAAGTGAAATAAGCCAGGCACAGAAAGACAAATATTTCATGATTTCACTTATATGTGGAACCCAAAAAAGTTGAATTAATAGAAGAGTAGGATGATGGTTACTAGAAGCTGGGGGAGGAGAAAGAAGGTACTGAGTTTTTGGTCAAATGGTACAAAGTTTCTGTTAAGACAGGAGGAACAAATTTTGAACTCTATTGCACAGAGTTATTACTATTAAATAATAATGTATTATACATGTTAATTAGCTCAGTTTAATTATTAGACATTGTATACACATATCAAAACATCACATTTTACCTCATAAGTGTATATGATTGTGTCAATTAAAATAATATTAATAAAAGAAAAAGTAATAGCTAAAAAAAGCAGTGACATGATTTAAAAAACTATTTTATTGCGGTATGATTGACATATACAAAGCTGTACATATTTAATGTATACGTCTTGATGAGCTTGAGGGTAAGCATACAACTGAGAAAATCTCACCACCATCAAGGTCATAAATATATTCATAAACTCCCAAAGTTTCCGTATTATTAGTATTTGTTTTTCTTTGCTTGCTTTGGTAAGAACAATTCAAATAAGATCTATTGTCAGTTAGTGGCACTGTGCTGTATAGCAGATCGCCAGAACTTATTTATCTCTCATAATGAAACTTTGTACCCTTTCACCATGGTTTTTCAATATTTTCCCACCCTCAGCCCCTGGTAACCACCATACTACTCTCTGCTTCTATGAATTTGATTATTTTAAATTTTTTCCTATAAGTGCAATCATCTAGTATTTGTCTTTCTAGGTCTGGTTTATTTCACTTAACATAATGCTATCCAGGCTCATCCATGTGGGTTGACTTTTTTCTACAGTTTTTTTAAATCTCTGATTTATTTCTGCTCTAATCTTTATTATGTCTGTCATTCTTCTAACTTTGGGTTTAGTTTTTTTTCTCCTTTTTCTAGTTTCTTGATGTGAAAAGATAGGTCATTTACTTGAAATCTTGGATCCTAATCTTGGATCCTAATTTACACCATACAACAAAGTAAATTCGAGACGGATTACAGACTTAAACATAAGATCAGAAACAGTAAATTCCTAGAAAAAGACATAGGGAAACGTTTCCTTTATGTTGGCCTTGGCAGTATATTTTTGGATATCAACCAAAAGCTCAGGCAACAAAAGCAAGAACAAACAAGTAGGATTGCATCAAATTAACGGCTTCCACACAGCAAAAGAAGCAATCAACAAAATGAAAAAGCAGCCTATGAATTGGGAGAAAATATTTGCAAACCATATAATTGGTAAGGGGGTTAATATCCAAAATATCTAAGAAAATCAATAATGAAAAACCAAAAAAATTTAATTAAAAAAATGGGCAAGAATCTGAATACACTTTTTTTCAAACAAGACATAAAAATGGCCAGTAGGAATATAAAATGTTGTCAATATCACTAATCATCAGGAAATGCAAATCAAAACTACACCAATATATTAAGTCTGGTATTACACCACACTGTTAAGATGGCTGTTATTACAAACGTAAGAGATAATAAGGCATGGGTGTGGAGAAAAGATAAACATTATACATTATACATTATACATTATACATTATATACCATTGGTGGAAATACAAAATGGATTCGCCAAACACAGCAGGTTCTCACTCATAAGTGGAAGGTGAACAATGAGAATACATGGACACAGGGAGGGGAATATCACACATGGGGGCCTGTCGGGGGGTGGGGAGCTAAGGGAGGGATAGCATTAGGAGAAATACTTAAAGTAGATGACCAGTTGAGGGGTGCAGCAAACCACCATGGCACGTGTATACCTATGTAACAAGCCTGCAAGTTCTGCACTTGTATCCCAGAACTTAAAGTATATTAAAAAAAAGTTAACTATGCAAAATTTGTGTGTATATTTTTTAATTTAATTAATTAATTAATTTATTTATTTATTTATTTAGAGATGGAGTCTTGCTCTGTAGCCCAGGCTGGACTGCAGTGGTGCGATCTCAGCTCACTGCAACCTTCACCTCCCAGGTTCAAGCAATTCTCCTGGCTCAGCCTCCTGAGTAGCTGGGATTACAGGTGCCCACTACTACACTCAGCTAATTTTTTTGTATTTTTTGTAGAGACGGGGTTTCACCATGTTGGCCAGGCTGGTCTCAAACTCCTGACCTCGTGATTTGCCTGCCTCAGCCTAAGCACAAAAGGGAGCCACCACACCTGGCCAAATTTGAGTGTATTTTTTATCCAATATTAAAATGCCCTGTCCATGAGGCTGACATGCAGTGGACATGAATCAGTTAATAACTAGTAAAATCAGAGTACTACAACAGAAGATATTCCGTTAAATGAGAGGAAAGTTATTAGAAATTTGCTGATTTCTGAGCTCTGGGGGGCATATCTTTCTGATTTTACTCATAAGGAAAGGAGCTCTCTCCTGACAAAATAACAAATTAAATTAAATTTTAAAAATTTTCTCTCCAACAAGCACAGGCCTCTTTTCTTCATTGTTCAGAATCAATGAGTAAACCATTCTCGGATTACAGTCTAGCCAATAATTAAATGGCTTGGCATTAAAACAAATTCTTCTGTTTTCGAAATACAGATGTTGTAGATGTGTTATTCAACTGTGAACTCTGCATAACAGCAGAAGGAATAGCTGAGAGTTCTCTGCTATCGAATTCCAGTAGAGAAAAGAAGCTGTTCCTAAGCAGAAAAGCATAAAATTGCAGAAGAGAATCAAAGAACACATAACCAGCAATCTAAAGGAGAGTTTTAGAAGCTGGTGGGGGACACCTCTCCTAGCCATGTGCTGAAGTTCCTCACTACTTCCCTAGTGAGGAGGAAAAAGATGTTAGCACAAAGCTGTGATACACATTAATTATAATGCTCTGTCCGTATGCCTCTCTTACTTTTTTTTTTTTTTTTTGCAATTTTTAGAAAATGATATTCTGTTCTTTTTATGGAGTGGGTGGGTTTAGGCACTGTTGACTATTTCTTTTTTGCTGTTTTTCTTTTCTGTCTTGAATTAAATAACATATTTAGTTATTAAATATATGTTGGAATACATCCAAATATCAACTATATATGTATATAGAGAGATATATGCATGTGTTTATATATATCTCACATATTACAATTGCTGCCAAAATCATTCTGCTCAGTGGGTAGAAGAAATATCAGTATACCTTACAAACTGCTTTCTGAAGAAGGCTTATTGCCATCTGGGTAGACTACACATGGCATTTATAATAAATGCTCAGGACACATTTATTGAATAATATCTGAAAATGAGGAATTAAACCACTGAAACAAAGCTTCAGATATTTTTCTTTCTTTCTTTTTTTTTTTTTTTTTTTTTTTTGAGACGGAGTCTCACTCTGTCACCCAGGCTGGAGTGCAGTGGTGCGATCTCGGCTCGCTGCAATCTCCACCTCCCAGGTTCAAGCAATTCTTCTGCCTCAGCCTTCCAGGTAGCTGGGACTACAGGTGCGCGCCACCACGCCCGGCCAATTTTTTGTATTTTAGTAGAGACGGGGTTTCACCATGTTGCCCAGGCTGGTATTGATTTCCTGAGCTCAGGCAATCCGCCCGCCTCAGCCTCCCAAATTTCTGTGATTAGAGGCATGAGCCACCGCTCCCGGCTGCAGATTTTAAACTATAATATATTCTTACATTGCCATTCTTCTTTTTGAAGAATTAACAATAAGACAGTTGTAACCATTCAGGGAAAAGCCTATGTGTTACTTTGGACTACAAGTTTCATCTTAAAAATACAGAGAGCAGGAAAGAGCATTGTTTCTACCCATACAAATAATAATAATAATAATAATAATAATAATAATAATAATAAAGAGCGAGAAACTGGTCAAATTGCAAACATATGATTTTAAAAACAAACAAAAATCAGAGAACTGAAGATTCTCATATCTAGGGAAAGACAAACATTTAATCTGATATCTAGGGAAAGACAAGTCCCTACAGGGTCCAAAAAAGAAAAAAATTAAAAGACTTAACCATGTGTGTACCTGACCGTGTGTGTACCTGGGGCAGACTCTCCTGGATGCTCTCTAAGGCAGAGAGAAGATTCAGCTAAGTATTTTTAATGAATTGCTAAAGGCCAAGTGTGGCTAACATTAAAGTTTGAAGCTCAGGGGGCCTCTGGCATAAAAAAGGTTGCTTACTTCTACAATCTTTTCTTGTCTGAAACCCACCATGATTTTACAGGGAAGATCGACCAGGGACCTGAGAAATCTTCCCTCATGCTGCCAAAGGGAAGGATTGGCAGACACTGCTGAGGCTCCTCCTATTCCCATCTTCCCTATCTACCCTATGGAAAAAGCTTGCTCCTCAGAGGAAAGAACCAAAAACACTGCCAAGTTAGGACTGGTAAAAACTGTGGCTAGAAAGAAAAAGGAAAATACATTCTTTACCCCTGTCGAAGGTGCAAGAGGACTTGTAAAGATGCAGATTTGAGACCAGGTACAACAGAGTCTGCTGAAGACTGAGGCTTCATCAGAATATGTGAGAATGCCCTATTTCCCCTGCTCCACACCAATGCACTACTAAGCACCAAATAAAAAACCACAGTGGAGTCCATCTGGGACGGCTGTGGTAGGAATCATCTAAGTAACAGCAGAAGGGGAAGACCCAGGGCCTACTGGAGAGTAGGTATTTGAGAGGAAGTCCGTGGAAATAAAGGAAATTTAAATCCACTGGCACACTGGCCTTAACTGTGATGACAAACTTCAGTCCCACATGAACTCTGGGCTAGATCAACACAAATTCTCATACAAATACTTACTATGAGATGAGATGTACGTACCTTTGTGTCTAAAACATATTTATCTCAGCATCTATTGTTCTGTATAATATACCCAGCTGTTAACAAAATATTACAAAGCATATGCAAAGGGAAGGCAAAAAGCAATCTGAAGAAACAAAATAATCATCAGACACAGGTACTGAATCTTTTAGACAAGGAGTTTAAAATCACTGTGATTTACACATTAAAGCCTCTTTTCAAAAAGGGTGAGGAGGTTCACGAATAGATGGATAGTTTCTTATATAAGCCATAAAAAAGAACAAATAGTGTTATAAATCAAAACACAGGAACATAAATGAAAGGGCTCACCTGTAGACTCAATATGGTTGAAGAAAGAATTGGTGAACTTGAAAATTGGTTGATAAAATCATTCAAGGGAAAAAAAATAGTAGAAAAAATGTACAAGAACATATAAGCCTGAAGGACAATATAAAATGCCTTAAAATGTGCCTAATTAGAATCTCAGAAGAGAAAACAGTGCAAAAGATAAATCTGAAGACACAATGAACAAGAATTTTCCTGAATTAGTGACAGACACCAAATATCAGACAAAAATATTTCAGAAACATTAAGCAAGAAAAACATGAAATGCAAGCACACCAAGCATAGTATATTCATTTAAGCAGCTAAAAATCAAAGACAAAAAAATAAAAACAACAAACAAAGACAATATTGGTAGCAGCCATAGGGGGAGAAAATATTATCATACTGAGAAACAAGGATAAGAATTTTAGTACATTCCTCACCAGAAAACATTCAAGAAAGAAGGCAGTGAAGTTACATCTTTAAAATACTGAAAGGAAAAGTAAAAAACAAAAGAAAAAACTGTCAATTCAGAATTTTATACTAGCAAAACATCTTTCAAAAGTGAAAAAAAAGTAAAGAATTTCTCAGATTAATAAAAACCAAGGCCACCTTTATTGTATGATTTCCCCAAACCCTTAACTTCAGTCCAAGCATAAGAAAATCTCAAACACAAATTGGGGAGCATACAAAATATCTGACTAATATTCTTCATATGTGTAAAGATCATAAAACTGAAGAAATCCAAGGGAAAAAGTCAAAGGCAGGAAGAGATTAAGGAGACATTATGACTAAACGCAATTTTGTATTCTGGATTGGATTCTGCAATGGATATAAAACATTAGTTGAACAATTTGAAAAATCTGAATACAATCAGTAGTTATTTGCATTGTACTAATGTTAATCTTCTAGTTTTAATATAAATGGTTATATTAATATTAACTTTCGAGAAAGGTAGGTGACGAAAATAAGGGGCTATTTTTGTATTTTTGCATTTTTATGAATATAAAACTATTCTAAAATAAAATTACTAAAGAGAAAAAGTCATTTACAAACCAACTTCTTTCTTTAAATGTTTAAAGGTGCTGAAATGATCTGCCCTCTGTTGATTCCTTCTGTTGGTTGTTAAGATAAAAGCAAGGTAATAATTTCAACAGAACTTTCAGACTTATAAAATATTTTTCCTTGTCTACTACATCCAGCTGTCATCTTTCATCTCTTTATCACTTGGGATTAGTTTCACTGCATGTGTCAGAAAAAAAAGAAGCAAGTAAACAAAAAAAAGACAGTGACTTAAATTAGGTAATTTTTTTGTTTTTCCTTTGTAAAATATTTTTTAAAATGCCTAGAGATGGAAAGTCCATGTTTACATGGTGGGTCATCAGTGTCAGAGATCTAAGACTTTTCTAAATTCCTATTCATTTTTAAACTCAAATTATAGCCAACATTTTTGCTTTTAGGCTGTAAGCATTATAAAGAGATAGGGAATGTCTTCTCTCCTGTATTTTAGGAAAAATTATTGGAAAATTGACAAATCATTTTTGCTCAGATATCATTGGCCAAAACTTATTAGCATGGACACACCTAACTTCAGGAAGAGCTGGGATATTTAATTCTTTGGCTGGTCAGTAGGAGCCCAGATAAAACCTAGGGTCTTGTTGTTTAGATGAGAGAGATAGATATTGAGAGACAGTGAGCTGTCTTTGCCAAAATTTCCCTCTTGTTCCAGTCGAGCTTCTTAAAACATGGACTATGCTTGACATATTATTAATTTTTAACTATATTAATAATTTTTAAGTCCCAAATTCAGTATGTTACTTATTGGCTAGAATAAGCCATTTATTTTTATGTCTATGGTATGTTTCATATTTCATGTACTTACATGAAATATGAAAAACCATGAAAATCAAAGTTTTTCCTTCTTCTTAATAACCAAGCCTAATTTAAAGGTGGCTATAGTCATTCAAAAATATTTATTGAGTTCCTGTTACATGCTGGCTATAGTTTAAAAGGCTATGGATATGGTCCAAACAAAATGTAAAGTAATATCTACAATAAATAATATACATAAGTAAATGATATTATTTCAAATAGTTATCAGTGTTATAAAAATAAAGTAGGAAATTGGAGAGTGACTAGAACAGAGAAAGATGTGTTTTACATTGAGGAGGCAGGTGGCATAATTGGGCAATGTCTTCAATGTTGAGAAAGAGTCAGCCACACAAACATTTGGAAGAAAATTAGCCTAGGCAAAAAGGGAAGAAAATATTAAAGACCTGAGTCACTGTGTTTAGGTACCTTGGAAATGTTCAGAGTGACCAAGGCATAATGGAGCACTGTGGATAACAGCATAAATGATTCAGAGAACTAGATGGATGAGCCTTGGAATGCCTTATAGATAGTAAGCAGTTGTATGGATTTTTTCTAGTTCAATCAGAAGCCATTAATATTCAGGTAGAGGAATGTTATAATCTCATTTCTATTTAGAGAAGATATTGCAGTTGTGGAATGACTATAATAAATGGAAATAACTTGAAAAAAACTATCACAGTAAATCAAGTAAGATTTAATTAGGAATAAGCAGAATCACCCATTCTACAGATTAAGCATGTAACATATAATGGCCTTATTCTAGCTTTGTAAATAAGTGCAAGTGAAACCACGGTAATTAATACCTTCTTTCTAATTTATTACATGGATACTCCAAGTAAAATTTGCACTTTCTTCCATTGCCATTACTTTTTGTATAAATATTTTATATATAATTGATCAAGCTTTTACTTATTTTTTTACCAAACTAAACTTATGGCTTATTTTAAACCTCAGTATTATTTTCTACTTCTTTTGTCTGTAAACAAAGCTAAAGTAGAAGTGTTCTCAATATTTTTAAAATTGTTATCTTAAGTAAATAATGTGGGTAAAAGTCACTAGATTGACTGTAATCATTATTAACAAGACAGACGACTGTAATCATTGTTGTCAAGACAGACTCAAATGGTACTTAAGGTCAATAAAAGTATAAGAAAATCCCATCCTTCGTACTAAAAAATAGCTAATTCTGACTAGTATAAAGCTGGTATAAATACGTTCTCACACTGCTATAAGAAAATACCCAAGCCTGGGTATTTTATAAAGGAAAGAGGTTTATTTTACTCACAGTTTTGTATGGCTTGGAAGGCCTCAAGAAACTTACAATCAGGGTGGAAGGGGAAGCAAACACATCCTTCTTTACAAGGTGGCAGGAGAGAGAAGGGCCAGTAGGGGAAATGCCAGATGCTTATAAAACCATCAGATCTCATGAGAACTCACTCACTCTGACGAGAACAGCATGGGGGAAACAATCTCCGTGATCCAATCACTTCCTGCCGGGTTTCTCCCATCACACATGGGCATTATGGGAACTACAATTCAAGATGAGATTTGGGTGGAAGCACAGCCAAAACATATCAGCTGGTATTTTACATCTACCATCCTCACCTTTTAAAGTGAGAAGATAAAAATTGTTACATTGTTTGGGGTCTGGTTACAAAGCTTTTAATCAAATCATGATAGTTCTCATTGCAGAAAAGTCAAGCACGTCTTGATAAGCACAAAATTGATTCAAATAATTTGTTCTTTTGCCAAGACTATGTGTGGGATCCTGTGTTCAAATTCAGTTGATCAAATTTTTAACTATAATTATTCAAAATATCTTTATATTGATTCTAATCTTGTCTACGATATGTTGGCATGTGATGATTATATAAATGATTCTTTTTCTTTTACTTGTATACTAATTGAAGGAAATGACTGGTTCCAATAAAAAGTGAATGTGTATAGAAAAAAAAAATCACTGTATTTTCCAAATCCTGACATTAAATGAAAGGGATAAAGAATGAATCAGCAACTGTGAAAATACTGGAGGTTGGTCTGAAATGACATGTTTCGTGAAAGTGAGAGAATTGACAATATTTTAAATGACTTTTCACAGCAAGAGTCCTTGGACAAATCTATATTATTGGGTGTCTATGTTAACTTTGATGTTCTTGCTGTTATATAATGCATTGCTTCAGAAAACATTAAGATCTGCCTCTTAAGAAGAGTTATATAAATATGTATGCTAATTTATTGAGCCTATTTATTAGTATCATAATATTCACCAATGATATGTTAGCTTATTCAGAAATTATTACGGCCACCGCATATCGGTAGAGAACTATAGTAACAAGCTCACAAATTGGTTAAAACTTTTGAAGGTATCTCATAACAATGAAACTCAGGCTTTTTTTTTTTAATTGTAGAACACAAAGGCAGTTAGGAATTTCTGTTAAAATACAACTTTGGCATTCGAACAATTATAATCATTTCTTTGATAGTAAGCGCTAATATTTAGACTGATATTTAACTATTCTGGCTTGAGGATTATTTTTCAATACTATTTGAACAGACCTCTCTACAGCTGGTTTAGATGTAGTTAGTCATCACTCCTATGAAACACTAAGCACAGACACAGGTCATTGTTGCTGTACATGAGAATTTTGAGTTATAAGTAGACATTGTTTGCCAAGAGATACCTAAGGGATCACTGAAATGCCAAATATATTCCTTCCTGCCCTCAAAACATAGCAGCCATTCTACTTCTTCAGGATAATCAGTGTAGCATTTTTTAAATAGTAAACTATCATTTAAAGATATTTATAATCAAGACAATTTTGTTGTATGTTTATCCATGTTACCATCTTGATGCTCTTCAAAACATATTTCATCTATTACCTTTTTTTCTCTTCTTGAAGAACTTTCTTTTACATTTCTTGTACTGTGGGTCTGCTGCTGATGAATTCTTTTAAACATGCTTATTTTACTTTCATGGTTGAAAGATATTTTCGATAGGCATAGCGACATAAAGAGTCACAAAATCCATATTACTTAGCTACTGCTTTGTTGATTTGCAGTAGCCCCCTCTTATCTGGCATGATTTATCCAGTTTTTCAGGGCATAGACTTATGAATTAAGTGCATCCTTTAAATATTTGGATATGATATCAATGTGTGTCATTATCCTGGGATACTTATATTAGTTTATATTTATTATCTTTCCAGTGGGAAAGGGGCAGTTTCAGAAGCTTCCACATGAATTTTTCTACTGTAATAGCTCTTAACCCATCGAAGAGTTTTATAAACAACAAAGAATGTTCATTTAAATTGCACAAGTTCAGTCTAAAGAAATGACTGTCGGGTGGATCCATTAACACAATAGACACATTTTGGACAGATCTGGGCTAAAAGCACAGTGATCTGAGTCTTAGGTGTGCACTGTATCTACCATCCCTCAAATAGCTTGGTAGGCTTCCCTTGGTTGTGATTACTCCCCAAAACAGCCATAGGCTTCTTGAAAAACTGGGAGGATCATTACTGTTTACTCTTTTTCTGGTGTTAGAAGGTCCTTCCTCATGGGGATTGGACTTCTCCATAATTTGGAATTGGTTTAGGTCTGGAAAATGGGCAAAGTGCTGGCTTCAGCACCTTCATTTTAATCTCTTTTGGTTATATATCAAAAGGCACTATTTTGGCTGTCTATCCATTTAGCCAGGTACAATGAGTAATCACTGCAGATTCCCACTGGTTATAGAAATTCTAACCTTGTGACTAACTTACACCATTACACATACTTTGCTTCTGATGGTTAAGTTCTGTCAAATGGCCTTTGTTCTTCTAGGATCCTAGCATCCCTATTCTTACTGGGGAGGGCAGAGCTATAGTGGCATCTTCCACCATCTGCCCTAGCCTAGAGAAATGACCACTCCTGTGATTTTTTATGATTTTGGGACCTCTCTATCCATTTCGTTCCTGGTATTCTTGATAACTGGAGCTTTCTAAGGGTCCTCCCAAAGAACATGCTTATCTTATGAGTTTTTGCATTTTGTGTAATAGAGCTTTTCTTGCATTTTGTGTAATAGAGCTTTTCTAACACATCCACTTCTGTGAGACTGTGTTTGTTTGTTGATGCTAATTTTCTTTCATTTTATTCAGCTTTATTGAGATAAGATTGACAGATAAAAAATGCCTATATTTAGGGAGTACAATGTGATGTTTTGATGTTTATATACATCATGAAATGATTAACACAATCATGATAATTAACATATCCATCATCTCATATAGTTACCATTTGTGAGTGTGGCTGTATGTGTGCGTATGATAAAAACACTTGTGATATACTCTTGGCAAATTTCAAGTGTTTAATGCATTATTATAAGCTACAGTCACAATGCTGTAAACTTGATCTCCAATACTTATTCATCTTATAGCTGAAGGTTTATATCCTTGAGATTTTTGATCCATTCCACCACACTTTATTATGGTAGTTCTGGAATCTCTGCCCCATTTATTGTGGACCGTCCCTTTTTATTACTTTTTCCAAGATTCCAAGAGCCATCAGGGAAGCATAACAGAACTGTCACTTAGATCACTTGCCAGCATGTTAGATCCTGGATGTTTACAAACTCTCTTATCAACTGCATATTCCAACTGTCTTATTCTAGCACCTGCAGGATCCATTCTCAGGCATACTGACTGGTAATGTTAGTCAGGTATCAGCACCTTTTACATATATTCTTTTTATCCATCTGTACTCTGGGCAATTCCCAGTAGATTCATGCTGAAATTTGACCCTAATTATATCATGACCAGGGGTGGAGAAAAACCCTGCAGAGGAATAGCACTGTTTGGAAGACAACTGCCTCATTTGAGTGCTCTACCTTATCTTCTGAGAGTCTTTTAACAGGGGAGGGTGGGCCACTCTTGGAGATCCAGATAGTGCAGGAGGAACTGATGATTCAACATTCTCAAGTGTGTTACAGAGTTAGTCTCATTCAAAATCTTAGGGCCTCACTCCTTCCCTCTCAGAGTTCCAACTTTAGTGTTTGAGGCTTTCCTGAAAGTTGGCCCCTCTCAGAATTAAGTGTTGTGCCTTATACTCAGCCATGTCTATTTTCCAGCTGCAAGAGAGGAGGATCTGTTTCAATATAGCTGAGAAGGCCCTCTGACCCTCACACTTGGCTTTAAATTCTAATTTGATCATATGACCTTGTTATTTCCACTATTATATAAATCCATCAAGCTGAGAAATAGTCTCCTAGTTCAATACTTCTCAAATTCCTGAGACAGGCACTGTATCCCTTTCCAATTCATGCAAGTAAAAGACAGGAGTTACACTGCTGTGGTCTCATAGACTTCCATCACTTCCCCTACCATCAGGGATGGGATACTCCCTGCATTCATCTGGCAAGTGACCCAAATCCAGGACCTCATCCTGTAAGTCTGCTTTCTAGGGCCACTCACAGTGCCAACTTCCTAAGATCAGGTTCCCTAGAAACAGATTGTACAATGGGGATTTCTGTTTAAGTGATTTATTGAGGGAGTACTCTTAGGAAAAATAAAGCATGGGACACAGTTTATGGCCTTAGAGAGAATATAAGCAAGAGTGCGCTTTCAGTTGGCTTCAGTGTGATCACAAAGGGAACTGAGTTAGTCCTACCTTGCACCCCGTCTGCCCTAGATGGGGTAGGAGTGGGGCTGGACCCTTGAGTGATGTGGCTGCCTTGGCTGAAGACAATTCTCAGAAGAAGGAAGCAGCTGGGCATTGCTAACAGTCACTGCCAATCGAATAAAGGAAAGGGGGCCTCACATGAAGGGGCAGTTTGGTGGGGCACTGCCAGAATCCACTCTAGGAAGTATAACACACTGCAGATTCTGTGGGGTTCTTGAAGCTAATGCTTTTATGACACAGACCGCACTCAAATGTTTTACTCAAATGTTATATATGTATGTATGTATGTACTCAAATGTATGATAAATTCTATGGTTGCCCCTATCTTACATATACTGCATAGTTCTCCCTTCTCGAATCATTCAACAGACAGAATAAAAGATTAGACATGCACTCCAGTAATGAAAATGTAGGGCAGAATGTAAAAATTGCCTGAGATCTGAAGTAAAGGGAGATTAGATTTAAGAAGCACTTATTTGAAAAAAAATACTTTGGTGAGTTCATAGTATAATAACAAAGAGGTTTTCTTTTTATTGTGAGACATAAGAAAACTTGTCCCTTATTGTGAAATTAATAAAGTTTTGTGATATATAAATACATATATATTATTTAATTCTATAATTTTGTATTCGTTTTCTTTTTTACTTAATTTTCTGAGACAGGGTCTTGCTCTGTCATCCAGGCTGGAGGGCATGATCATGGCTCACTGCACCCTTGACCTCCTGGTCACAAGCAATCCTCCTGCCTCAGCCTACCAAGTATTTGGGACCACAGGCATGCACCACCATGCCTGGTTAGTTTCTTAACATTTTTTTTTTTTTGTAGAGATGGGGTCTCACTATGTTGCCCAGGCTGGTCTTGAACTCCTGGGCTCAAGCAAGCCTTCTACCTCAGCCTCCCAAAGTGCTGGGCTTATAGGCCTCAATAGCCATGCCTAGCCTATGTGCACAGGTTAGTTCCTAACTTCATGAAGTTTAGGTTAACATAAACATTATATTTTGAAGAGTTTCTTTTTTGCTTCTTTTAGTAACTGAAAAGTGAAAACTAAGTGGTTTAATAGCAAACTTTTCCTTATTAAGGAATTTTAAACAAAGGATATTTTAGTTTCTAAAATAGAAGAAAGCATCACTTGCAGTTTAAGCTATCGAGAATGGCTGAGGCATCTCCAAAAACCTGAATTCCTTGTATACATTTATCTTTGTAATCATTTTAATAATTATTTGTTAAGCAGTATTGAAATGCATTACCAATTTTCTAATATACTCCTAAATTTCAGTGAAATTCTACCACACACATATGGGTTAGTGTTTGTGGCATTGGGGGACTTACAGGTATGAGGAAGTTATTTTGTTTAGGAAAAAAACACAATAGTGGAGAATAGTGCTTCCAGAAAACTAAGATGACTAAAAGAAAGAGTTTAGAAAAATTTTGCGTAATTACGGTGATTTTTATTTTCTTCTAAATGAATGTTATAACTTTTGAGGCTTCTCCTCATTCAAGAACTTTAAAAGAGCTCATATGGGTACTATGGTATTTGGTTTATAAATCAGAATAGTACATTAAAAGTAAATTATCTTTCCCAAGTTCATATAGATATTGGATGTTGATATGACAGTTGAGATACTATAATTTCCAAAGTGAAATTTTATCAGAATGATTTCTTTATAAAATTAAAATGCCTTTGATATTTCAGGATCGTCTTAGACCTGGTATTTTTATTTATGGTACACTCAACAGGTTATTTTCTTTCCCATGTATCTCATCAACTTGTGCTGATAGTTTTCAGTTCAAAAGTATATCAGAGTTTGGATTGAAGTCAGTCTCCATTTCATGTTTGCATTTGAATTTAGGTCTGTCACAAGTGATAAAGAGTGACAAATGTGACATTGTCATGTTGAAAGATCATTAAATGTCACTCTCTGTCCTGGCAGCAAAATGGCTGGCACAAAGTCAATGATGCAAACCAAATGTGGAGTGTGCAGAGCAGAGATTGATCTTGGGCAGCACTGAGTCCTGCAAGCTGTGAACAATCAATCATTTCATTCAAAGGAAGAGTGAAATGAGACTTGATAGTAATGCTGTGCGCATACATACAGCGTTGGACATCTAGCTTGTAAGTGTTTTGATTTACACTTATAACTATCTAGTGACCAGTAGATAGAATAACAGTCTGGGAAGACTATATATTTGATCATTGGCTATCTCCTTGACGTTCTTTATGCACCTTAAGTCTTAAACGGTTTTTCTAACTTCAGAGCATGAATGGCCCAAAATGACTCTTAAGTACAGTCAATCTATTAGAGGTGGGATTTACACACCCTGATAAAGAAAACATTAAATCTGAATGGCAATGCTATTTCACATCTTCTGTGGCTTTTCCACAAGTGGTGTGTAATTTATTTAGCTTTCTACTTTACATGCTGTTCTCTCATTTCTGTGAATTGATCCCCTAAAGTTTCTAAATATAAATTGTACTTAAAACAGTGTGAAAATGCTTACACAATATTAATATTTATTTTCAAAAACTTTTAAAACTATCACACAAAGTATGGAGCACTTCTTAAATGTTTATCCAGTAATTTACTCCATTTGTGTTTTAAATGTAAGCTAGAAAATGAAAACATTGCTATTGACTACCACCAGATATCCCTTAGACTGATAAATATGTTTAATCTAGTTCATTTCCATTAGATGAAAACGGAGAGTATAAAATATAACGAGTGAGAAGCAAAGCAGCAGGGATGATGACAGCAAAAGGTTGCATTAGTGAGATCTTTTTGTATTCATATATTTCACTCAGGGTATTTTAGAATGAGTTATGAATTTGTCAATGTAAGTGTATGAGAACAATATTATCTACCTCGAGTCTTAACCATGTTTTAAAATCTTTGCTAGACTGTACAATAGAAGATATTCTAAATCAAATTCTGATGGCTATTTTCTGAGGTAAAATTAGAAACTATTTTTGCTCTAATATTTATGTCAATGAGATTCAGAGAATTTGACAGTATTCATTCAGCAATGTCCAGGGTAACATAGCCATCTATCCTCTTTGGTGGAATTATCATTAAAGATAGAAATAGCTGGATGGCTATCTTGGCTTAATGTCATTGACAATTAAATGATCAGATCAAATTCTCATATTCTAATATTATGAGCAACAGTGTTGTTTTGACTAAAATTTAGATTCTCATCTTGGTTTTCCTTCAGGAAGAATGCAGGGTGTCTTGAGGGCATGTTATGTCCAGGTCACTTATCAGTTCTATTTCTCTTTGCAAAAAAAAAGTGGCATCCTGATAAATTTTAAGTGAATTTTTAACCTCATATGACTATTTTACAGGACAATTATCCGCATAGCTTTTCCTGTCATTAGACATCTACATGCATCTGAACCCAGATTCCTCCTCATTCATTGTCTTTCCTCCTATCAAACACCAGACCTTCTCTTATGCTCTGATCCCTTTCCTTATTTATCACTACAAATACAGTTCTTTTGTTAATCTATCTTTTCTTAAATATTTCCTTCTCCCTCTCTCCTTGATTATGCTCTTGCTCTATTATTTCCCAAATAAGAAACATAAAATTTTCATTTACTCTCTGTCTCTTCTAGTAATTGTACCTTTTTATGCTTCTCTTCAAAATTAAATTTCTCGAGAGTTTTTTCAGAGTTCTTCATTTCTTCATCTCTTCTTCATTCCTTTACAAAATTTGAAACATATCATATTGTGAAGTGTCTAAAAATATATGATCAGTTAAAAGAAGACAGGAATTGGTGCTCCCAAAAGCTGACTGAAATATACCATACATTCTGAAGTGTCCCAATTAATAGAAAATAAAAACTGGTGGTCCCAAGAGCTAACTGAAAGTTATTTACTTGTACTTTAGAAGCACCTGTATGTGCCTTCCTATTGCACTCATTTTCTTGCTTCTAAAGGTAGTCAGTATCCTAAATTTTATTTTAATTGTTACATGAAAAATGGCATATTGTTTAGTTTTTTTAGCTGTGGAAATTTATATGAATCAAATCATGCCATGTGTATAAAACTTGGTTTGTATTTATCACACATTATGCTACATTATAAAATTCATCCATGATAATGTGTTAAGCTGTAGTTTACTTACTTTTACTGCTGTCTGAATATATCTGTGTACAAACATAAGACAGGCTATGTACCAATCAGCCTGTTAATGAAAAAGGTGATGTTAAAAGCTGCAAATTCTTTGACATACTCTCTTTTAAGAGCTAAGACATATGGTCTCTCCCCTTTATCGAGGGTGGGTTTGTGTCTTCCTTGGTAAATAGAGTATGACAGAAATGATGCTTTGATACCTCCAAGGTTAGGTAATCAAAGACCATGGAACTTTCATTTTATTTACTGGAACACTTAGTGCTCTTAGATGTTATTTAAGAATTATTACCCTGAGGCTACCATGGAGGAAAGTAAATATATAGACACTGGGAAATAGATCCAAGAGACCCCAGACTTCCAGTGATCCCCCTCAAAGGACCAAACATGCGAGTGACTTCCAGCCCTTTCACCAGCTGAATGACACCAAATGACCTCTGTTAGTGCTGCATGGAACACAGAGATCACTTAGCCAGGTCTTGCTAAAATGCCTCATCCCCAAATGGCAACATCAACAAAATAATTGTTATTTAAAACCATTGTATTTTGGGATATTTTTTAATGGCAAAAAATAATTGAAACAGAATGGTGCATCTGAAAGTGGGGTGATGCTTTAACAAACACCTAAAACATATGATATTCGTTACAAGATTAGGTGGCAGTCAGAATCTAAAGGGGTTCTATTGGTATGAGTCTGTAGTGAAGTGAGAAAAAAATGTATTGGAAACTAGAGAAAAGATGTCTCTTGTTAAATAGTAGTGGAATTCTGCAGTAATATTGAAGATACATGTTCCAAATTAACTCAGTGATCTAGTTGACAAGATTGGTGGATTAAATGTTGAAGTTGTCACTTTTCTTCTTCTACTTGCTTATCATAAGGAAAGGAATGGATGAATGAAAAATCTAACTTTCATTTTTGAACAGAATTTAGATGAAATGTTAATGAACCAGGGCAGTTTTTCCAGCCAGAAAACGGTTCTTAAAAACAGCAGAACTCTCAGGGAAGAGATAAAATCCAATTTGCTATTAGGTTGTTGTCTTAGTGTAAAGATGAAGCCAAACTTGTGACATTATTCATTTATTTATTAATATTGTAGTACAGAAACAGCAACATTAGATTGACCCTCTTAAGAAAGTTTGATGTGTACGGCACAGTATTGTTATAAGCACAATGTTGTATAACAGATGTCTAGAACATTTTCATCTTGGAAAATTGATTTAATCTGATGCTTAATAGAAGTTTTCAGATAGACAAACGTCTTTTTAAGGATCTTGAGATATGCCCCACAGACCTTTCTTTCTTTTTCTCTCTTTCCTTTTTTCTTTCCTTTTTTTTCAGGAAGAATGACTCAGAATATAATATTAAGATACCAGAGGGCAAAGTCAAGAGCCGTGGACATTTGTTCCCAGAAAGTGGGTCTGAACTCCTTTCAAGGAATGCTATGAACCAGTGACTGCTGTGTGTAAGTTGGATCTGTGAAGTTCAGAAAACTTGTTTCTTTAGTTCACAATTCTTCAGGTCTGAGAAACTGAATGTAAGGACTCTCATCTGCACCTGAATTTGATTTGGATAAAGAGAATCTAAACCTCAAGCCTTAGCCTTATATCATAATGCAATAGGACTTTTTAGAGTGTTTTTGTTTGTTTGTTTGTTTGTTTTGCAGGGGTTGGTTTCATTTTGGATTTTGGAATATATGAAAGTTATGGCCAGTGGTGTATTTTGGTGTGTGTGTTGTAATGTGTCCCCATATTTTTGACACTTCTCCCATCAAGATATATATTCTATATCCCCTTCCCTAGAATCTGAATGGACTTGGAATAGCTTCTATCTTCAGAGCATGGTAGAAATACTTTCAAAGTTGAAACACAGGAAGTCATGTAGCTTCCACCTTCTCAATTTCAACACTTTCTTTCAGAATTCTGACACACTTGAAAGAAGTTTGACTACCTCAAGGCCATTATGCCCATAAGACCTTATCCAGATGCTCTGCCAGAACCAGCTGAGGCCAGCCTCCCCTTCCCCCATTAAAGACTATGATATGTAAGTGAAGATATCTTGGAACCAACCAACCGCCCCTTCCACCATCTGAATAACATCAAATATCCTCAGTCAAGCTAATACAGAAAAAAATGAATCAGCAAGCTTACCTCTGCTGGAATTTCTGACCACAAAACAATGAGATAGAGCAAAATGAGTACTGTCTTAAGCCACTGAGTTTTGGGAGAGTTTCTTATCCAGCAATAGATAACTAGAGCAATAGGCATTAGGTTATT
Source organism: Homo sapiens (assembly GCF_000001405.40). Taxonomy (NCBI): domain Eukaryota; kingdom Metazoa; phylum Chordata; class Mammalia; order Primates; family Hominidae; genus Homo; species Homo sapiens. The sequence goes on from NC_000018.10 coordinate 65,333,682, forward strand.
CTAAATTTTTGGCAGACTATTTGGTGAATATTTTTGTATATCTCCAGATATGTTTCCGCAATAGTTTTTCAATACCACTTTGGTACTGTTTCAAGCTTTCATCTATCTATACCTCTCCACAGAGTATATTTTTCATAGTTTTAAATACATCTATAAGACAGTAACTCACAAATATTATCTTCACTCATAATCTCTCCTCCAAGCTGCTGACATATATTTTCCCATTTTACTTCAATATTTGAGTGTTTATGTACAATGTACAAATTAGTACATTTAGAATTTAACTCCTGGTTTTTCTCTTATTCAATAAATAAACAAACAAACAAACCATTCCACCATATGTGCTTCTCTCTAATTTTTCTCCAATCCTAGTAAATGTCACTTCCATGCATCTATTTCTGAAAACTGGTTATCTGCCAGTCTCCAATTTCCCTCTCCACACTAATCATTTCACCATCAAATATATCACAAATTCATCTAATTATTTTCCTCCCAAGAGGCCTTCTCTAACTACAATACCTAAAATACACAGTCATTCTTTATTCTCTAACACTCAGTCATACTGTATTTCAATTCCCTATTTAATCTTCTTCATAGAACTTAAAATAGGTGCAATTATACTATCTAGCTGTTTACTTATTTATATGTTTGTTATCTGTCTGTGCCTAACACAATATAATTTTCCTAAGGACAAGTATTCTCTTGTTCTTGCTAATCATGTTATTATAAAGACAAGAAGAGTAACTTGCATTTTTGTAGATGACTTATAAAACACTAAATAAAATGAATAAACTTGCACTGTCATTACCTATGACATCACCTACAGATCACTTTAGTAACCTTTTAATTGATGTCCTTGCTTTCACGTTGTCTTCCTTCAAATAACCATTTATAGCTTCACTATCCACTTCCAGGGCTTCCCAACAGTTTCTTTTTAATTATTTCAAATATTACCTTAAAATTTATTTTTCTCAAAGACATACCAAGAAGAAAATTCTTCATGGGCTAAGAAGAAAATTATATAGTATATATGCTAGCAATATTCAATTTAGACAACTGTCAAAGTGCCTAAGCATGATTTAAAAGATGGTGCAGGATTTATCCTTTTCAACTTTAAGGTTTCAACTTAAATATTTTTCTAAGAAGGTCATTAAAACCATCAATCCACCCGCAACCAAACAGTGCTTGTCATGCACTCTAGTGTCCAGCACAGAGTGTGGCACATAGTAGGTACTCAACAAATAATGGATGAATATATTCATTGATCAAGGAACTAATAAAATCATATTAAATAAACAGGTATATGAAGAATAAATCAAAACTGCAGATATGATGCAATAGCTTCTTTCCCCCTAAAAATGGTATTAAATGATTAGTACCTTGTAGTATAATTTTCAATTTAGGAAATACTAGATGATTTAATTAATGTACTTTTAAATCCCTGGGATCTGAAAAAGAGAAAATATATACTATAAGGCAATTAATGCAGAGTTTAATGCATGCATCTTGAAGCAATGTTTTATTATTTCCTATATATGTAACAAAAAAGCTATAGGAATAGATATCAAAGAGACTTCATGCTTAAACAAAATTGAATGTGTTTTTAAGAAAGCTCTGATTCTATGTTTAAATAACTCCTTGCAATTACTGACCTTCTGCTATAGTTAGATTATTTCAGATTGTTTTCTCACATTAAATTAATTTTCATTACCATTCCTACTGCCTTGCTAATTAAAAATCTAACTATTAATGAAAGTTGTACAAAAAGCCATAAAAATTAAAAATTTTCTATATAACAATTTATTTTATTCTTCCCACACTTTATTCCATTTTAAGACATTTCATGTGCTTAGAGTTCATAATTTTTTTTATAATTACAAATTTTTAAAGTGTAGTATATTCTCTCACCCATTCAATGATTACTTGTTAAGTATTTAATTGTGTATCTGGCATAATACACATGAGGGTCAGGCACAGACACTGTCTCTGGTATCATGGTTATTATAGGTCAATGTGGAGACCTCCACTATGTAAATAATACAAATAATTCTATAAATTGTAATTAAGTGGTAGGCAGAAAAACTACAGGTTGCAATTAACGAGTAGAAGGTGGCAATTTAACCAAGTCTGCAGGCTCAGATAAGTCTTCCATTAAATAGTATATAATCCAAGGCCCAGAAAATAACACTGCATTAGCTAGGAGGGGAAAACAGGAATGAATATGCAGATTATGTCCCATAAAGAAGGAAAGTCTGGGAGAAAATAGACTGTGCTTCTTAAGTAAGGCATTTCCTATGAATGCTCAGATTCCTTCAAGTCTTAGTATCTTAAAAAGCTTTTTAAAGGTAATTGGTTATTTACTATTTATTGTTTCATTAGTAAAGATGTTGCTTCCATGTGTCTCTGTATAGTACATGTTTGAGACGACAGCTGTTATATTAAATCATGCTGTCTTATTTGATACAAGCGTTTCATAAGGTTCTCATTTTTATTTCTAAAGATGACTTTTTAAAATTATGGTTTTATTTCCAACATTTTTTTTTTTGACAGAGTCTTCCTCTGTTGCCCAGGCTGGAGTGCAGTGGCATGATGATCTTGGCTCACTGCAACCTCCGTCTCTCGGGTTCAAGCGATTCTCCTGGCTCAGCCTCCCGAGTAGCTGGGATTACATGTGTGCCACCATGCCCAGCTAATTTTTGTATTTTTAAAAGAGATAGGATTTCACCATATTGGCCAGGCTGGTCTTGATCTCCTGACTTCAGGTGATCCACCCCACTCTAGCTTCCAAAAAGTGCTGGGACTACAGGCGTGAGCCACTATGCCCAGCCTTTTTCAAGAGTTTATAAGTGAAGATTGTAGCACTGTCCCCCAATGACTGACTATGTTGATCACTTGTGTCTCTTTTTCTTGTCAGATAGGTAATTCATCACCTGAGCACTTGACATATTGTTCACTAAGAGCATAAGTGCTTTCCATCAGTGGAACAGTGTGCTGGTGGTAAAAACCCATACACAAATAATGGGAAAGAAAACCCGCCAAAGAAACTGCGTGTTCAGCCTTAACCTATGTTATTCTAATGAACAATGTCAAACACTCATCACTTGTACTTCAAGGTTATATTTTGCCATTCTTTCCCCATCAGAGTGTGCCACGAATTTCACTTTGCCAATCTCCCCATTAACCTCTTCAGTAACATTATTTCTTCCTTTTATTTTGCTCTTTATTGACCTGCCTATTAAGATCTAGCTATCTGTGTAGCGTAATTTTTAAATGGCTTTTTATTAACTCTTTATTATTGCAAAGATGATAATTTCTGAATATGCCATGGACTGAGAGTATCAATAGATCCATGATGTTATGTTCAGTTTAAACTGGTAGACAACATGTTTATCAATTTTAATATGTATTTTCTTATAAAAGGATTTCTGTATTAATTCCTACCTTAAGGAACCATATAAGTATAGAGCAGATTTGCCTGGTCATTTTAATTTCTGTCTTGACTCATTTACTGAATGATACATTGTTAAAAATAATTGGTATATGCCAATCTCACATATAAAAGTTTTGAGAGGCAGATGGAATTTGAAAATGATTTAGGGCTTCAGTGGTGGGTATATATAATTGAGTTCTCAGCTCTACCAATTACTCAGTGTCCATAGAAGCACCTCCATTCATCTTCTGTTCTCTCAAGTTGCTCTTTGTTCTCTTCTAATGGTATGTGGTGGTAACTTTGTAACTTCCCTTCTGTCATACTTTAAACTCTCAGCAAGATTGTTATTAGAATTTTATAAAATAGTGTTCAAAATATTTCAGGAGTCTCTAATTTCTGAGATCTTTTGTAATTGCTTTTAATACAATTATTCAAAACTATTATGTTGCTACTAATTTTTATTTTTCTTCTAAACGTGTAGGCAGATTATTCTTTAAGAAGTAATTAATTAGGCAATAGAATTGACCCTAATTTTAAACTACATCTTTCTTTTTTCTTCATTCTTTCTCCCTTCCTTATTTTTACCTGTTTGTTTTTCACTTATGAATCACCAGGAAAGTTTGTTGAATGAATATTTTATTGCCATGTGCTTGTGCCAATTTCTAAATAGTATGTAGAGATGAATATACAAAACCTAACTCCAGCCATCAAGTGACTTATAGTCCAGTAAAAAACAAAAGACGTGTAAATGAATAAATGAAGCAGAAATACAGTAGATAGATACATGAGATCAAGTGGTGAAAGATGATTAGGCATCCATCTGTTAAACAAGGCATGGAAAAATATTTCAGACACAAAGAGAAAAATAATCCAAAGCAAAATGATATTTTGGAACCATAAAATATCATATTGTGTAAAGAAAGGAAGCATTAATGGTAGGTAGCATGTGGGTCAGATCCACTATTTTATATCTAGAAGGTTGCATTTTATTTTAGAAGAGACAAAGTTTTTGAGGAGTATTGTTTTGAGGAATAGAAAGATTAGATCTGAATTATTTTAAAAACAAATCTTATTTCTCCATTTTTTAAAATTCCAGGAATATCCCACATTCTTTGTCTACTTTTTCTTGTTCACTTGGACTATTTTCTTTACCTCGGCATCACTGGAATAAATAGTTGTACTATTGCATGGCAACTTAGCTTGGGGTGATCTTATTCTAACATTTTCGTTTTAAATTCATCATTACTTTCCCATAATCTCTTTTCAATTTATTCATGTGCCTAAAATGACAATTTATTCGACTTTTATTTTGTCATCCATTTGAATACGTTTTTTAGCTTTCTTTCTTTGACTTTTAAATGCTTTTTTATTATGTTTCAGTTTTCATTCTGCCTCTTCTCCTCTCTGTCTTCCTCCTTCCTTATTTCTTCCTTCCCTTCCTCCTTTGATCTTAAACTTTACTGATAGATGCTAAGCTTTGAAAGTTAGACACCTTGCCTTTTAAATCTTATTTATCTAGCAGTAACATCTTGAATTTTCAACCACTTGTGGTAAATGGAGTTTCCACTGATCTTGCTCTTTTTAAAAATTTACTGTGATATATCAAGTTCAATCAGTGAAAATTCATTTGCTTTCATTCCAAATTTTGAATTTTATTTTGTGATGATACATTACATTCATCTTTAAAAATTAATTGGCAGCATAAGATAATTTTCCTAAATAACACGTTATAATTATTGATGATTCCAAATAGGTCTTTTAAAGAAATCTTGCATGATGTAATTATTGGACAAGAATCCTCCCATATCATTTGAATTTTTCTAATAACACTTTCTGACTTAATTGGTAGTATTCAATAGAGCATACTTATTGACAAAATGGCTCTTTTGTCACTTAAGATGTACTTCATCCTGAGAAAAAGTCAGAGTATATGTTTGTGTTTCTTCTATAATTAGACAGCTACTTACTTGGAGGTTTAAATAAAAAAAAAAGAAAAACTTAATTTCTTTACAGAAGAATTGACTATCTTAGGTAAAAATTATAAAGCAGAATTCTAGTACCATTTTAATGTTCCTGAGAAAAGAAACGTTACAGCAAAGACAGAATGTTTAAAAATGTTTTTCTACTAAATATTATAGACAAGTGACAAGAGAAGATCCTTGTTTGTATGCAAAATGTTTAACCTTTGTGAAATTGGAGAGAAATCGCTTTAGTAATGTTTTACATATAAAACAAATGAGGTATTTTAATACACAGACACTTTGATAACTTGATGCTATATAGACAAGTTAAACTAATATGAATGTATACTTACTATAGCATATTGAGAACAAATTCAGTATTGCTTACAAAAATCATTATTCTTACTTTTGAATCATGTCATGTATTTTGCTAGACTTTAAATGTTATTTAGTTATTAGAGTTTGCACCTCAACTTATTTCTTATCTTCAAGGACCTTAAATTCTAATAGAAAAAGATTAGATATGAACATAAACCACAAAATATGAGGTGATATATTGTGTTATAGTTGCCATGAGAGGTGTATACATCATGTACTCTAAGGATTGAGTGAAAGAAAATAATAGCTAAAAAAATCAGAGATGATATTTTTAATCAGATGGTTTTTGATCTAGTGTTTGCACCATGAAAACAATTTGGAGATGAAATAATAGAAAAAGAAGGCCATGAACAAAAACGTAGAAGCAGGTTTACTATAAGTGTGGTCTACTAGTTTACTATGTTTACTGTAAGTGTGGTCTACTAGTTATCCATTGCTGCTACAACAAAGTTAGTAGCCTAAAACAATATCAGTTATTTATCTTGTTCATGACTCTGCAATTCAAACAGGAGTTGATAAGAAAAACTTGACCCTGCTTCATGTGGCATTAAAAAGGTAGCTTGAAGGATGGAACCTCAAATTTCTTAATGGCTTGTTCACTCAGATGTGTGGTGGTCAATTTTGGCTATTGACCTGGACCTGAAGCTGTGGCATCTACATGTGAGCTCTTCCTGTGACTTCATGGCTTCATCAAAGCATTGTAGCTGGCTGGGCTCTAGGAAGGAGCATCCCAAGAGAACAAGACACGTGCGCGGCATCTTTGTGATGCAGTATCAGAAGTCACAGAGCATCACTTCTGCCATGTTCTATTAGTTTCCTCATCAAAGCCATCACAAAGCTCTTCCCAGGTTTAAGGCTTCAATTCAAAGGAGCTGTAAATGTCACATTGTGAAAAGAGCATGTTGAGTGAAATGTGCTGTTACCATCATCTTGGAAAAAACAAAACAAACAAACAAACTAACCAATCATCCAGACATGGTACATGAGACACAAGATTTCCTTTCTTCCAGCAAAGCAATGGTCATAGGAAAAGCATCTTTTCCTGGTATTCTGAGACATTGACTATGAAATCAACTAATAGGAGACCAGAGCAAAGTTGTGAAAAATGTTCTAATTTTCTAAGCTTGGAAGAGTAGACTCTAACCTTATTTATAATATTAATATATATAAAACAAGAACCTATTTATGGTGAAGAATCAGCAGTCCTCATTGAACAATTTGTGGGCATACAGGTTATTATGAAATAAGAAATATTTTTAATGCTATACTGCTGTCAAACTACCATTTATGAGGATGTGCACAATAGTCAATATTTTTTAAATATAAGGAAGATCATCATACAATATTATGACCTGCTGGAAAGGTCTTATAAGTAGAATGGAAAAAAAATCACTGAGGCTTTCACGGAATAATATATAAAGAAAATATGTTACCCAAGTGCTTTTAAAAATTATTAATGGATGGGATTTATTTTATTTCATAACTATCTTTTATTGGTTGCTTTGGTGAAAGAAGTTTTAATTTCTGATTAAGAATAATTTGGGATTAAAAATAAGAAATAAGAAAGGGACTGAGAATTAATATAAAATGGAAAACCTGAAATATTATGTGGATTTTATTTTGAATCAGGGAGAGAAGACAGCTAAATCAGTTAAATTTACTGTTTTCATTGGGGCACCTACTCTTATTTTTGTGCTAAAGAAATGAAAGTGAAGGTTGAAATTATAAATTCTTTGAAGAGTTTGACCATTTATTTGAGGGACATGTGACTAAGGAAAGCCGTAACCATGGATAGAAGACTAAGAATTACTCACATACATTTTAGTTGCTTGCAAAAGGCTCTTGCATACAACAAAAGAGTCTTTAAATTGTACAAATTGTAGAAAGTCTTTAAATTGTGTAAACTGCTGATTCTTCACCATAAATAGGTTCTTGTTTTATATATATTAATATTATAAATAAGGTTAGAGTCTATTCTTCCAAGCTTGGAAAATTAGGACATTTTTCAAAACTTTGCTCTGATCTCTTATTAGTGGATTTCATAGTCTATGTCTCAGAATACCTGGAAAAGTTGCTTTTCCTCTAATGTCCATTGCTTTGTTTGGTTAGAGAAAGTAACATGTTTTTAAAAAAATAAAAAAATACAGGAAAGAAAACAGAAATAAATGAAAATAATAAATGTTAAAATTAAAAAAGAAATACCTAAATAATGCACTTAAAATATCAATGGGCAATTGTCTAAACATTTTATATGTAATTTGTTTTAATTTCTGTACATTTAGGGGCTTCAAATGCATATTTTTACATGCACATATTGTGTACTGGTGAAGTCTGGGCTTTCATGCACCCATCACCTCAATAGTGAACATTGTACGCAATAGGTGCTTTTTCAAACCTCACTCCACTCCCACCATCCCACCTTCCCATCTTTTGGAGTCTCCTGTGTTTATTATTCCACTCTGTATGTCCATGTATACCCAATGCTTAGTTTCTACTTATAAGTGGGAACATGCAGTATTTACTTGACTCTCTGTTTCTGAGTTATTGCACTGAGGATAATGGCCTCCAATTCCATGCACACTGCTGAAAAAGACAAGATTTCATTTTTTTTTTTTTTTTGGCTGAGTTGTATTTCATGGTATATGTATGTACACCACATTTTCTTTATCCAAATCCTCTGCAATGGACACTTAGGTTGATTCAATGACTTTGCTATTGTGAAAGTGCTGCAATAAACATATGAATGCGGGATCTTCTTGGCTTTGAGCATACACCCAGCAGTGAGATTGCTGACTGTATTTTTAGTTCTTTAAGAAATCTCCATACTGTATTCCATAGAGGTCGAACAAATGTACATTCCCACCAACAGTGTATAGACATTGCCTTTTCTCAGCATTCCCCCCCAACGTCTGTTGTTTTTTGACTTTTTAATAATAGCCATTCTGCCGGGTGTAATATCGTATTTCATGGTGGCTTTAATTTGCATTTCTCTGATGATTAGTACATGTAATTTTTTATAAATAGGTAGGTAGGTAGATACTCCACTTGGAACACTTGGAACGTAGCATCGATGTTTACATATTTTAGATAAATATAAAATATAAAAATAAACCTACATATGTACTGTAAAATATGATATTGATGCCAACGATTTTATGTTACTGAATTTAAGAAAAGTAACACAGAACATTCTCACATGAGAGTTGATATTTGACAAAAAGAAAACTGTTCCAGAATGAATAAATTATAAATTACATTTGAAATTGGTGCTTAATTACATTTCAATACTTTATTGCAAAGTGGATACACTATTCATTTGTTGCTATAAAAAGCATATTTAATAGAACCATGAAACTGTGCATGGTGCTTCTATGGGAATAAAGGAAAAGACCATTTCAGGCTGCTTATGAAAATTGTTGCCACATGATAGTGTTTCATCTGTATTGTGCTAAAAATTCAAACAATTTTGTTCTTCTATTTCTGACAATGTTAACAAACCAACAATCTCAAAATTTGATACATCAAGAAAGCACCTCACTTCCTTTTATAGCCTGTACTAAAGCCCATTGAGTTCAATGAAGCACACATACGAAAGGCCCAGTGAGAAAAAAGGATATATATTCATGTTTTAAAGGGTTCTTCTACTATTTTTGCCTCAGTTTACACTATGCACCTATGATTAAGATTTTCTTAGTTATTGCCTTTTCATTGTTATTTTTCTAAAGACTTGATGCTTGAAGGACATGGTTATGGGCTGTATTGTGTCTACCCACAATTTGTATGTTAAAGTTTTAACCCCCAGTTCCTAAGAATTTGTCTGTATTTGAAGCTGGGGCCTTTAAAGATGTAATTAACATTAAAAGAGTTCATAGGCATAGACCCTAATCCATTTTGATTGGTGCTCTTATAAGAAGAGGAGATTAAGACACATGCAGAAAGAGAAGACCATGTGAAGACAGAGGGAGAAGGTGGCCATCTGCGAGCCAAGAGAAGAAGCCTCAGAAGAACCCAATCTTGCCAACACCTTGATCTTAGACTTCTAGCGTCCAGAATTTCAAGAAAATAAATTACTGCTGTTTAAACCACACAGCCTGTGGTATTGTTTTAATGCCAGCCCTACTAAATGAATACAAGACATCTTAGCTGGGCATAAAAAAATATAGTTTGTTCTTCCTTTTCATAAGATTCTAGAAAATTTCTCACTTACTTGTGGGCTGGTTTAAATGCTTCCTCCGTGGGAGGGCATCAGCTGAGTTTGGTTCGGTTTTCCTTTCTGTTCTAACAGGACAGCTCTGACTTCAATGCCTCATAATTGTTGTGCTCTCCCTCACCCAGCACCCAGAGGTGCTCTCTGCCCCACTCGCTGCTGCTAGATGGTGAGAGTGTAGCGGTGTCGGCCACCAGATTGTTTTTTCTTTCTGTATCTACAGTGCCTCTTTCAGCCATATAAATTAAAACTAGATACTATGAGGGCTCACCTGATTTTTGGTTCCTATAAAGGTGTTTTTCTGTACAGATAATTGTTAAATTGGTGTCCTTGAGGGGAACGGTCAATGGGTGGAGCCTTCTATTCTGCCATCTTTCTCTGCCTCTCTGGTATGAGAGATATTTGAAAATCTGGAGCATTATCTAACAAACTTAATCCTCTCCGAATTTTTAAACTAATTTTCTATACCCTTCAGTCATTTTCAAGATTGTCTTATTTCTTTAAATATAGTAAGTGTATTTGCTTTTGAATCTGTGTCCAATAGATTCACTGTTTATGTGATTTTTTTCTACTAGAGTTCAGTATTAAATATTTCTGTAAATAGTTATCTTTGACTGGGTCTGATAATTACTATTGAAAACTCATTTGTGGAACTCTCAAAATTAAAATATAAAATAACTTAGGCTAAAAAATCTAATCAAATTATGATAACATTTGGATAGGATTATTATTATTATTATTTTATACTTATCTTTTAATGATGCCAAAAACTATTGGTTAACAGGATCTTAGTAGTGTATTATAACAAATTGATTTCTGAACTGCTATCAATTATTCTTAAAAGATGTTTATGTAATAAAACAGTTCATTTTCCTTTCAAGAAACATTCAGGCACAATTTTTGATACAATAAAAAATTCATAATTACTTTAATTTTCACCTAGAAAGTTAATAATGACATGCTTACCTACAACTCTATTTTCTATTTCTCTCCTCAAAGAACCACACATATTGACACACACATATTTATAAAATTAGAAAAATGCTATTCACATTCACTATAGTCTGTTTTGTCCAATAAGCTATATTATGCATACTATTATTTAATATAATATAATGTATCTCCATGTTAAATACACAGCTAAGTCAGTATCCCGGAAATTGTTTCCTGAATTATATCAAGCCATCTTAAATAAATCCCATATTTCTGATTATATTATTCTAAATTGCTTTTTATTTTAAACAAAACTGTGAAGAAAGACATTTCTGAGCATTTCTCTTCACACATTTTCTGTTTATTTCACTAAAAACCTTTCTAAAAATAGAACAGCTGGGTCAGGTTGTAACAGTATTTTAGAGGCTTCTGATACATACTGTCCACTTTCTCTTAAGAAACATATTGATTTACGCTCTTACAAATAATATAGAAGAGTTTCTCTTTCCTGATAGCATAACCAGCACTAATTATCAGCATTTTTTTAAAAAATCAAGTAAACACACCATATGGTTTTGCTATTGTTTTAGCATGCATTTTTGAGGTATTGAACAATTTTAGTTTAATAGACCATTCTTCTCCATTAACATTTATTATATTTTTGTCAATTTTCATTGAGTTATATTAAATAACTTAATCTTCCTTAATTAATTACATATATATTGTTCTAGATACTATTTCCCTGGTAATTTCTTTATGATCTTTCATGCTGGTTGTTGTTACTATTATTTTTGAGAATATTCGTGGTTTGGTCACTTGTTGATTTTGTTCCTTGGTTATTCAAACAGAAATTTAAGTATGAGATTGGGCTTTGAAAGACTTTCTCCATCTTTTCATTTAATTGCACTTAAATCCTTTAGCAAAATATATTGATGTAAGTTTTGAAAAGTGTCAAGTTGGACTTTAACTGATGATAGATTAGATAGATAGATAGATACATAGGTAGATGATAGAGAAATATAATTTTTGAAATTTCATTATAGTTATAAAATCATTTATAATACCTCGATATTACTTTATATACATACATACCCTATTGAACAACAAATAGTTATAATGCATTATAAATCTAATATGCTCTATAACATTATCTTAAAATTGTATATATACATGACAACTTTAATAAACTTGACATTTTCTCCGTATTCTGAGTACTCTCATATATCTTAACTAGTGTGAAGTAGCTTGGGGAATTCTATTGAACACTCTGAACCAATAGGCCTCTACACTGTTAAAGATTTTTCAGCCAGTATGTAATATAATGTAATATTGTGGCTGGTATGCTAATGATTTTACTGTGGCCTCTCTTTATGCCATTTATTTTACCTGATTGTATCTGATAAACAATATTTCTTTTAAAAAGTGTGGGAAAATAGTGCAACTGGGCCACTGGGTGGAGCGGGGCACGGGTAAATACAAGTTCTCCATATTATTCCACAACGTTTCTGGTTTCTGGAGTTCCTTCCAATGAAACTGTTAAGGAAAGATAGGCAAATTGGGGCTGAAAATGGACATGATTCCTTGAATATAATGAAGTTCTTTGTAAATACTGCTATGTCTAAGCAGGATTTGTCGTTTGGAGCAAATGACAGCTAAACGTGTCATGGCTTCAGTGCACACAAAGAGTACACAGATGGGATTATTCCAGTGCCAGGCATTCCCTCAATGGGGACTGTGCTGTCATGTAATCTTGTAATTCATATTTTGGTAAGCCTTCATGTTTTCAGAAACCTGTAACTGACCACTACCCTCCTTAAATAAATGTTTAGTAGTTGTTGGTTTCTATTCCAGTGATCTGTCCACACTTGTCTCTTTTCTAATATTAACATGTTCTCACTATCATAGTTTTAAAATTTGTTTCAATACCATCCGAGTAAATCACATAAAATATTCAGATTCATATGCTGTAAGAGTAAAGATATAAATAATAGCCAAGTCATTTCAGAGCCTTTTTTTCTTGATAAGATATTATATATTAATGTAACATATTATAGCAAAGAAGTTTAATTAAAAAACTAGTAGGCACAATTTGTATCACAATTTGACATAATTTAAATGTGCATATCATTTGTTATTAATCACCATTTTCATTTTGGCTTAAAAATGTATGTACAAATATTCATGTATCTGAAAGGAAATGCTTAGTACAGAATGTTACTTTGAATTACCTAACAAATAATTGTTATCAGCATCTACTTACGCTGAGCTAAATGATTACACAAACAAGATTCTAGCAAATTTAAATTTGGTGTCTGTGCCAAGCCCTCAGTGTTTCACTTGAGTCTATTTTGAAGTAAATACATCAAACTGTTTTTGAAAATAATCATTGTTTACATAATAATCATAATAATTTATAGCAAGATTAGAAATAGGGTCTATTTTAACATATTAATATATTGATTCTTAAGAGCTTTTTGATATTCAGAATGAATATTAATATACTGTACTCTTTAAAATTATCCAAAGAAATAGACCAAGTTGCAATGGCCATTTTATTTACATATTTTGAGACAGTTGCACCTTGATGTGTTTTCATATTTCATTGATTTTTATGAGCTTTATTATTGATTCCCTTTTGTTGGAATCAATGAATTCTTGATTCCATCAAAGAATCATGAATTCTTTCTATACCCTTAAGTTAAAAATACTGTTTCTAATGGGATAATTCTTGATTGTGTAATAAATATGCTTGTGAATCTCTAGCATTTCAGAGTCACAATGCTTTAATGATTAGCCATGTTCCCCTACACTATTTTATATGCATATATCATGAGGGTAGTAGTTACTATTTTTTCAATTTGTGATTATTAAGTTAATCACACATGTATGAATTATCTGTTATGAATACTCTGTTATATACGAGGAGTTCCAGCTCTACTCCAGAATCTTTAGTGTGATCATTCAGGCCTGATCACAATTACAAAGCTCTACTTGGCAAGTCTCGTGGATAAAGCTTCCCACTGTGTACCAGACTTGGCTCACAGACATTGCAGTCTCTAGTGGGAGTGACAGTCAAGGATTCACGTCCTCTCAGGCATGCCACACTTACATGCATATTTATATTTCGAGGCAAATGTATTCCTTTTGGAGGCCTCTGCATCAGGAGATTCAGTACTTTTCTGCTCCTAGCTCTTCCCAGCTCTCCCTCCTCACAGTCCCATGAGTCCATAAAACGGCAGGAGCCGTATTCTCAGGACTCCTCAAGGAATGAGACAGTTCCCCTCATCTGCACGGCTTCACCTGACCCTCTCCAAGTGCTGTTCTATGGGGAAAAATAAAAGACCAGAGAGCTGGCACCTACTTTTGTCTCAGAATAAAGGCGAGATTGTCATTTTCATTTTGGCTCATTGTACTAATTGACCACTTCAACACCTGGCAACTCAGCAATATAATCAGAACACAAAGAAAAACATCGTCGTTATTTTCAAAGAACTCGCCATTTACTTAGATAAAATATTTTAACTAGAACTGAATGAACAAAAGTTTTCCTATATTCAAAAGTTTAAAATTGTTTCTTCGTGAATTAGAAATAAATATATAAATAAAAAGCATTTTCTTCAGCATAATGCAGATAATATTGAGAAAGTATAATTATTATTTATTGGAAATATAAGGAAGCAAGTGATTTCAATTGATCCCACAATAAATGTTCTACTACCAATAACAATTTCAAAAAATTATACCTGTATCATTTTAATTGTGTATTTTTTAATGAAACAAGTCCAATGGACCAGGTGAGTGGCATGATTAGCTTTAAAACTGTATGAAAATTAGGAAATATCCTTCAGAACTTTAAGAAGATTGACTACTTTTGTCATGCTTCGCTAATAGTAGCTTGTGGGAAAAATACAGAGTTCTATATCTACACCTGGATTTATATTTATTCATATATATACATAATAAAAATGTGTCCAGAAGATTATTTTTGAATTTAAACACACTCATATTTTTAATTTGCTTTATGAAAATAATACAATTTTGATTAATTAATAAATCAATTATTTACAACCTAAAATGAGTAATATTAATGAATCATTAGATGGATTGGTTATTAAATACACTGTAAGAATTTCCTGGGAGGAGAAAGCAGCTGCCACCAAGTTTTACTAAATATATTCAACCTTCAAGAGTATTCCAGGGCAAAATTTGTGATACAGTTTGGCTGCGTTCCCACCCAAATCTCATGTTGAATTGTAGTTCCCATAATCCTCATGTGTCATGGGAAGGACCAGGTAGAGATAATTGAATCATGGGGGCGGTTCCCCATTCCTGTTCTCGTGATAGGGAGTTAGGTCTCATGAGATCTGATGGTTTTAAAAGGGGCTTTCCCCTTCGCTGGACACTCACTTCTCTCTCCCGCTGCCATGTTAAGAAGGATATGTTTTCTTCTCCTTCTGCCGTGATTGTGTTTCCTGAGGCCTCTCCAGCTGTGTGAAACTGTGAACCAATTAAACCTCTTTTATTTATAAATTACCTAGTCTCGGGTATGTCTTCATTAACAGCATGAAAATAAACGAATACAGTAAAGCTTACTTTCTCAGTATTTACCAATGACCTCTGTTCTAAAACTTTTTGGTTTCAGGATCACCTTACACATTTCAAACTTATTGAGAATTAGGGAGCACTGCAAGAATGGTAGAGTGAAAACCTTCAAAAATATGTGCCCCCCAAAAAGCAATGCAAACTGCAAAAATTGTCAAAATCAACTTATTCAGAATTCTGAAAACTAACAATATGAGAAATGTATATTCTAGAAAAATGACTGAATTTCTGCACAAACAATAGTCTTTGTTGGTGTTTTGACTTGCCTTCATCCCAGCCCCCTCCACTGACGCTGTGGGAATCTTGAACACCGACAGCCTCGTAACTATTGTATCTCACCAAAATAATTGAGACATAACTCATCTGTAACTTCTGCTTATAAATAACATTTTTCCAAAAGTACAGAAAATATACTTCTCAGTAAAATATGTTGATATTAATTATATTAAGCGAAAATATATTGTTGATGCTATATAGCATAAATGCAAAATGGCATCTTCAGTCAGATAAGTTTAACTTCATCCAATCTAAAACACCAAGTATTTATTTGTGCTTAACAACACAAGTTTAGATATTGGTGGCTTAACTCTGCTTATAAGCATCTGTTTATAGAATTAGATGATCACTTTATTATGTTAGCATTCTGCTGACTAAAGCAAAAGTCCATTATATTCATTATGTTATTTTATTCTTTATGAGTATGTGATAGTCCATTGAATATAATTAAGAGTTTGAGAAATGAGAAACGCTAGCAGAATTACACAATGAAATAATAGTTGTTTCTTTATATAAAATTGCCACTTGTGTAGACTTGGTACAAAACTCAAGTTGATTTTGGAGAAGAAAAATATCTTATACCACAAAACTAGCACTTACAAACTCAGCCTCTTGCTGTAAAAAGCAATGTTTACACTGAAAGAAAAAAAAAAAAAAAGACAAATCTACCCAAAACATTATTGACCCCCTCTCCCAGAAAAAATTCTCAGAATGGATTAAGGTTTTAAAAAAAGATGTATCAGTCGAAGGGACATTTTAAAATTAGAGTAATGTTTGCTGATGTAATGAACATACAAAGATTACCTGTACCATCACCCTTTTAATTATTATTTCAGATACTAGGTAAGATTATTTTCTAATTTACTTATATATTTGTGTTTAGAAAATTAAATTTGTGTGAAATTTGACCACAAAATCAGTATATAAGGATTGCTCCTTGCCAACACATAACATAAAATATAATTGAGGAATAAAACAGACACACACATAATAAAGGTACAAGGGATTTTTAACAATACCAAATGTTAGTATAAACATCGAATCAAAAGTTTAGTATATGGCAGGAGAATATTGGCAGATGCCAGCATGATTGGATGACTGAGTTCCAGGAATAGTAGACTGAGTGACTAGAAATAGAAATGTGTGTCTTGCAAGCTGAAAACTATCTTTAGGATTTTTTTTCAGCACTAGTTGAAAGACTGGTTTAAGGCAAAAATTAAAAATAAATAAAAAACAGCGCTTTATTCCTGTCCCATAATTTGTATTACGCAAATTATTTCCTTTAATCTCTGCCTTTTAATATTAAAGCTAATTTGAAATTTAAGGGTTTATGGTAGAAATTTTGAATGTATGCCCATGAATAAAATGTAATATAAAAATAATGTGAAGAACCATTACATAAATACAATTTAAAATAGTGACCTTTGCTTTATTATCTGCTGATATTTATTTTGGGAGATAGTATGAATTCTGTAATAAGCATATTCACCCAAGTTCTTAAAATCATTTTCACAATAGGAGGAACATGGCTAATAGTTAAAATAAATATACAGTTACACTAGTGTGCTTACAATCTGTTTCATTGCTGAAAATTAATTATAATTACAGTAATAAAGACATTTAACTGACATTTTCACCTATTGTTTATTTAAGGAGGAGATGTAAATGTGTGCAAGTGTTTTCAGAGAAAGGTGTTTTATTGAAATATAAGTGTGTTAAACTTTCATAAACAGAAAGATCAGGCTAATAAGAAGAACACTACTGTATTTTCCTCTCATTTCTAAAATAAGAATGTTAATTAAAGGATGTTAAAGTTCTACAGACTTTAATTGTATGCTTTGAAATTAGATGCATTCTCCTCTCTAATATGCTAATTAATTATGAATACTATGTAAATTTTCTGAGCAAAATATTAAGAATATTTTATTCCATAAATTAATAATATAAGTTCTAAAAGTGAAAATGGAAAATGTAATATTTTAGATTGTGTGGCAATTTAATTATTATTAAATATTCTCAGTTAAATTATTTAAATTTTCTTGAATTGGACATCCAGGTGATAATTTTTCTATTCTACATAAACACGGATATACACATTGTCCAGTTTTTGCATCAGGTATAGATCTAGGCCAAACTGCCTAATGCCTGCCTACTCATTTGTGAAGGACGTGGTGACTTCCTTCCATGATATCACAGGATAAGTGAGTTGAAGACATTTAACTATCTTCCCTTTTGCAAACATTTCACATGTAAAATTTTCTGAATAAGTAGACTTCTTAAAATACTTTGATTTATAATTATGTAATGCAAATTCTATTGCTATAACTGATGACTGAAGGTCAGCCAAAATGTAAGAAAAATTAATTGCAAATAAATTTTGTTTAAGTCATAGCCCTGGGTAGCTTTAGGCCAGTAGGAAATTTTGATTAAAGTTTTAAGTTATGAATAGGAGGTAGTTTTATGAAAATATGCACCTGAAGCATGAAAAGAAAGTGCAAATGTTTGTATAAATGATGTAACCTCATCCAAGGCTTTGGAGAACTATTTTAGATACAGCTGCTCATCAGAACTAGGGTGTGTCTTTGGCAACAGAGTGATGAGCTATGTCTCTCTTCTTACTTGACTGAAAAGACTAAAATATAAAATATTAACCAAATAATTTTAACTGAAAGATACTGAAACATTTCTGAAGAATAAGATGTTGATAATGTATCTAGTCATATAAAGTAAGATAATCAGATAGCTGTGATGACTCCTGAATAAATTGTCGTGCAGAATAAATTAAGCAATGAGCAAGAAAACACTTGAATAACAGTAATAGGGCCTGACACTGTACTATTGCTGCTGCTATTTGGTTTCTGAGTGTTTTATATGCAGTTTTTGCATGAGTCAGACCTACACTGTTCTGTGTACTTTCACCACAGTTAGTTCCCTGGATTAAAGCCACTCTACCATCTGGCAGAGTAGCAATCGTATAAATGAAGAATCAAACTCAATACCAAGGGTTTGTAAACTGAAGTGTCATTTGCAGTCTGCTCCGCATGTGTGAGACCTGGAATTTTTCAGAAACATTTCCTAGGCAGATTTTATTAGCCAATCATATGCATTCTAGTTATTCTCAGATTATATTCATATAAATATGTATGGTTTATATATCAATAATATATAAATATAAGTATATATTTATATAATAATACATAGTATGTTATATAATAAATACATAAGATATATTTATGATAATATATTATGTTATGGATTGAAACAGCTAGAAATAATCAAACTGGAAGTGGAAAGCAGCAGCCAGAATCCAAGCCTAATAAAAGTCAAAGATCTAAAATTTTCTCTATATGAAAACTATTTATTCTCTAAAAACAACCGAGATGCGGTTTTGCAAGCAGCAGCAGGCTATCTCAGCTAAGGCCCTTATTTTTTAAAAGAGAAACTATGAATATGAGAACTCATTGACAATGATTTCTTCATTGCTCTCAGTCATTTTGTGAACCTGTGAGATTCACTGTAAAATGAAGAAGCGGTTGTCAATTTGGAAAATTTTGTGGAAATGAAAGATTGCAAAGTTTTATAGGCAATTTATTTCAATCTCATGATTCTGAAAAGATCATGACAACAATATTGACTCTGTCTATTTTGAATAAAATTCACCTTTGTTAGCAATGATAAAAAACACAGTCTTGTGAAACAAATACAGTAAGAATTGTTAATGTCCTTTATGTCCCCAAAGATACAAAGTTTGTATAAGCACAAGTCAATTTGTTTTTTATTAATACAGTTGCTTTTATTTTAATAAGTTTGGGTGAAATCATGAAAACAATTAAAAGGAAAGACAGCAATGATGAGCCTTTTGTAGAAAATCAGTACAAACTAGCGCCAACTAAACTACACATTCTTATCTTCTGTCGTTATTTTTATGACGTATTAGTGCTAAATACTATTAGCAATGTTTCAGCACAATAATAATTATTCACCAATTTGTGATGAAGACCAATATCCTAAAATCTATGCCAAGTAGAGTTATTCTGCAAATACATCTCAAGGAAAATTTATATATACTTAGCTCAAAACTGTAATAAAAGAGGTTGCTTTAAGATAACATATTCGATTTTGTTAGCAGTTTTAAAAACAGGTAATCTAACAGAAGAAATACAAATGTATAAAACTTTTCATAATGGAACTTCATTATTGTTGATCCATATGATCATTCCTTCTTTATATAAGGAGTCCTTCTGATATTGTATCCTCTTGAGTTGAAAGGCCATGGGCCAGATTAGTACATAATGCATTTTAAACAAATAGAACAAAGTTTTATTTGAAGAATAAATTAAAGGAATCAATAATAATGGTATGCTAAATTCAAAGACCCACAATATTTTCAATAAGTATCTTGTTTTTAACAGAAAAATAATACAATATCTAACCTAAAATGATGCCTGGCTAGAAAATCGAAGCTCCTCTCATCTTTTCCACATTCTTCCCACTCACCAAACACAAAAAGAGAAAAAAACAAAGCACGCAAACAAACAAACAAAAACTTATGAAAGTATCAAAAGCTAGGATTTAGAGTTTTCACATTACCAGAAACAAAAAGTACTTTTTTACAAAACTAAAGACTACATAAATGGCAGAATTTTCTAAAATTATGCCTAAAGTACTTTGCGCTTTCAAATTTCCCCTCACTTTTCCCAGGTACTCACGATAACACCAGCTGAACCAACTGGAACTTCGGACAAATCTTTGTCCATTTCTTGGCCATGGACGTTACAATCAGTCAGAAATGCCGATGCCAGAATGATCACCATAATCTTTTATCTTTTTAGAAAAATTAACTCTGTGTATAGCAAGAAATGGGAGTAAATTGATGGTGAATATGTTAATCTGGTAGGAAAATCTTCCAAATTAATTCCTGTAGTCATGGCAAAAACAAGGCATTATTTGGAAGCTTTGCATTTCGGATATTAAAATTCTACTTTTACCCTACTTTTCAAGGTATGAAATATCTTATACTTAAGAACTTTCAGTTTATAAAATGGTATAGATTAAATATAGAGCAAATTTATACAAGCAACTTAAATGCATGAATAATGCAGAACACCTACAGGAAGACTTGCAGTTACTGACATTGTATAATTTTAGACTGATAAATACTTTTGGAGTCTAACCATTGTATAAGCAGAGAAGACTGTCAAGTAGACATTCGGGGGCTGGATACGGTTTAATGGATGAGAAGAGATCCCATTTAGTCCTACACAGTCAAATTTGAGAAAAACATTTGCAATTAGGTTTTAGACTTGCCCTTCTTCTGTCAGCTTGTGTTTTTATTTTATTGAAGTGCATCATAGAACTCAATTAAAAAGAGAATAGAGCCAAAGGAAATTCAATTCTTATTTGATAATTCATTTCTAAGAGAATGAAATCATGTCTTTTTTGAGTCAGGATGGATGAAACTGAAGGCCATTATCTTAAGTGAAACAACTCAGAAACAGAAAACAAACACCACATGTTCTCACTTATAAGTAGAAGCTAAATAATATGTACATAAGAACATGGAGTGTGAAATGATAGACAGTGGAGACTCAGAAAGGTGAGAGGTGGGAGTTAAGTGGAGGTTGAGAAATTACTTCATCGTTACAATTGTACTTCGTTCTGATGATAGGTACCCTAAAAACCCTGACTTTACCACGACAAAATATATCTATGTAACAAAACTACATTTGTATCTCAGAAATTTATATAAATAAGATGAAAACATGAAATTCATAGGTAAGCATGATTTCTTATAAAAAAGTGAGACAGCAACCAATACAAAGACTAATTAAACTAAACAGAAAATTTAAAATATAAACAAAAACAAAAAGCTAAAAAGAGAAACATCTTTCTGAAGACGGACAGTAAGAAGACACCTCATAAAATTATTTAATTTTTAAATTATGGGTCAGAATACATTATTTGAAAATTCTTCAGCAGTTCAAAGTAAGAAAGTATGAATTCAATAAAGTTAAAAAAAAGTTAAAGCATTAACAACTGAGCTAAAATGTAGCCAGATAAAATATATAATGACACAAATGAGATGAATACACAATAATAAACAAAAAAAAAGCATTAAAGTACTTAAAAGAGAAAACAGGATTGGGAATAAAATAAATCAAATGAGAATGTGAAGGTCAAGTTTATAAAGTTTTCTCAAAACGTATAGGAAATTAACTAGAGGAAAATGCAGAGATAAGATGTTACAATTTAATAAACCAAATACCAAAATTTTTGAAAACCAATCATTAACATGTCCTGCAATATTAAAAATTGAAACCGTAAATTAAAAAATAATACAAACAACAAGTCATTTGATTAACATTGCTTTCCAAAGAATGCCATTTTAAAATTGTATTAAATCCAATCCACAAATATTTCCTTTCTTTAATCTACTGAAAAACTTTTTGCTTACTTTATTTCCATTTCTAATTTTGTTCATGATTTCTTGTAATATATTAAGAAAATTGAACATATTTATAATAGGTGCTTCCGTATCCTTGTTTCCTAAGTCTAGTTTTCTGTCATTTCTGGCTTTTTAAAAAAATTATAATTATGGAACATAATTTCCTGTTTGGGAAAATGTTTATTAATTTTTTATTAAGATGCTAGAATTTGTTTTTATACATGGTTGAGTGTAGAATTTTGCTGTATCTTAAAAATGATGTTGGACATTCTTTTAATCACAGCTTCCAAAGAACAGCCATGTTGTAACAAAATGTTATGAAATCCTTATTGTGCAGCAGTACATAATAAAGCTGCTAGTTGTCAACTTTTACTTATTTTCAAAATTTTCATGTAATTTTGAGAGGACAATTAAAATGTGTGAAAAAATATATACAGAATAACTATTTGTTTTTCCATTTGGTTAAATCATTTTTTCTTGGAATCACAGCATACTGATATTGGAAAAAAACATGTAAAGTCAACTAATTACATTTTTGTAGTTTCAAAGTCAAAACATAGAGGCCAAGAAACAGAATTCAGTCCCACGGGGAATAACAGACTTGTAGAGTAGAGCTGAAATATTTTGATCCTTCTTCTAGAATGTCCCTCAATGATACCAAATACTCTCTCTTAATGATATGAATGTATTCTTCCCAATCCAGAAGGATTTGGATCAGATTTCCACACAGGTGCTTTATGGACTACATATTTTGGGCATCCAAGAACCGACCAAGGCAGGTCAGGTCGGAAGGTAAATCATAGACTGGTATTAACATTTCAGGTAACAGGCCAGGCACAACGGCTCACGCTTGTGATCCCAGCACTTTGGGAGGTCGAGCTGGGCAGATCACCTGAGGTCAGGAGTTCAAGACCAGCCTGCCAACATGGTGAAATGCCATCTCTACTAAAAATACAAAAATTAGCCAGGCATGGTAGTGCATGCCTATAGTCCCAGCTACCTGGGAGACTAAGGGAGGAGAATTGCTTGAACCTGGGAGGCAGATGTTGCAGTGAGCCGAGATCACGCCAGTGCACTCCAGGCTGGGCAATACAGCGAGACAAAAAAAAAAAAAAAAAAAAAAAAAATTCACGTAGCAAATGAAATACTTTTCTTGGTTTTTGAAAGAATAGCTGCATTTCCTTTCATTTTCTTTTTTTTAAAATATGAACCATGAATGGTCATTAGAGCATCATATATATTTTTGCACTGACTTTGAATTATATCTAAAGTCACATGCATAATTTAGATCAAATTTACAAAATCAACTTTAAGCAGCTAATTCCCAATACAGAGACACTCCATTCCCTGACACTTTATTTTCAGAGCAAGCATAGCTAGAGGTGTAATTGAGATTGGCTCTGCAACTAGAGTACAATAGAATACCAAAATTAGATTAAGATGGCTTAAAATACATAATTATATTAAAGCAATCAAGATATTAGTTGATGCCTGTCTCTTACTATAACATATAGTTTATTTTGTTAATTAATCATTAACAAATATTTAGAGCGATTTAATAAAATCATTAATTGAAATGAACAATGAAAAATGAGTCAAATTGCTTCTAACAGTTATCCACATTCCTGAAGTGCCTATTTACTGGTCTAGCTTCCCTCTCTAAACATTCCCATTCTTCATAAAGTATTATTACTATGAAGTGAGGGCGAAACTATATGTGAAGTGTGTGGCATATGTTATTTGGGGGTAAAGCATAGTATAATTTATTGAATTACTAAAAACTTAATTACCGATGGGCTCTAAATATCACTTGTGGTTCTATAATTAATTGTGTGAACTTATTTGGGTTTTCAGTTTCTTCATCCGGGGACAGGAAGATTAGATTCCTAAGATTTCTTTCAGCCTAAAAGTTGTAACTATTTATTTTAAGTTTTTTACATAACAGCTTTTGGAAACGCTTATTGAAAGAGATCATTAATTAAATAAAATAACTATAGTTTGATAGTAAAAAGTAAAAACAGAAATCACATAATTATGAACTATTGCTTTGTAAGAACTTACATAATATATAAAATATTAAGACTTTCTAAACTCTATGGAATATTTCAGAAACATTGTCTGAATGGCTGGTATATGACAGAGATGAAATATTTATTTCTAAGAATGAGATATTTACTGAAATTATCTGATTTCAGTAGGGTTTTATATTTTCTAAATCATTTTAGATACATTCTATCTGTGTGAAAGGCCTGAAAAACAATACACAACATTCTATCCATGTGAAAGGCTTTAAAACATGCAACAGATCTCAACTGGATTGTGTTAGAAAAGGAGACTGATCATGCCACGTCCCCTAGATAGGCCAAAAGCACTGACAATAACAGAGAAATATGGTCAAGCAATAAGTGATAAAACAGCAATTTGTGCAATGTAAAACAGTAACTAAAATCTTAGAACAGTTTATATTCCAGGTATGTATCAAACTGTAGATGTCATGGTAAATATACTCACTGATGGAGATTACATGTCATGCAGAAAGGTCTCTTAAGGAACCTTCCAAGGTGATGAGCCATAATAATAAATCAGCCAAATGATTCTCCTCTCTGGCTGATGAAAGGAAATTCTCCTTGAGATCAATCATTGTGAACACGCTGACAATGAAGTAGCCTTGCTGCTGATCTTGTGCCAGGCTACGTGGAAGATTTCACACATCCTTGAAATGCAACTAGTGTAAAAATCGCACACTCCTCACATAGATGATTTGGTTCAAAGACTAAGGGGAAAAAAAGGAGAATAAGATAGACTTTTGACCCCAGAAAGCAAAGAGCATAAAGCTCTGCAAAACAGGGTCTTTTGGGGGCATGGGGTTTTTTTTTGTGGTGTGTCTGTGTGTGTGTGTGTGTGTGTGTGTGTGTGATTGTTAGAAGGAGATTTAGAGGCAAGAGGGACACAGTGTTTTGGTGAAGAAGGAGCAGAGAGGTAGGGCAGCCGCCTATTCTGATAGAAACTCAACAACCTGCTAACTGGAACTAACTATGTGGGAAAAGCTCTCTGCAGAGTTGGCACCACGAAGCTCACTGGAACCATTTCAACTCCTTAAAATCTCCTTCAGTACCTCCCCTACACAAATTGCTTAATAGGGAAAACTGCCATATTTCTCATTGTTGTTTAAGTGTCCACGGGTAAAAAAGTGTCGTTAGGCCTCTCTTACAAACAGATAATAGCTCCCCAAACCCTCTTTCCATATAGAAATTCTGGTGCACCAATGAGGTTGTAAATAAAAACTGAATAGTTCAGTGATTCTCAAGATACAAAACAGATTTATTTTTTGCCGGAATCACAGGAAAGTTACATACTCTACCTACAATTAAAAATGTGTATAAGGCGGGGCGCAGTGGCTCACGCCTGTAATCCCAACACTTTGGGAGGCCAAGGCGGTCAGGAGTTCAAGACCAGCCTGGCCAACATGGGGAAACCTGTCTCTACTGAAAATACAAAAATTAGCTGGGCGCAGTGGCGGATGCCTATATTCCCTGCTACTGGGGAGGCTGAGGCAGGAGAATCGCTTGAAACTGGGAGGCAGAGGTTGCAGTAAGCAAAGATCGTGCCAGTGCACTCCACCCTGGGTGACATAGTGAGACCCTGTCTCAAAAAAAAAAAAAAAAAAAGTGTTCAGTTTAAGTATGACACTTCATTCTGAGTGATCATTCTTAGCTATCAGCTTAAAGATATTTGTGCACACTCAGGCTGCATGGAGGTCACAGCCTGTGGTGGGAACATTGCTATCTAGTGCTGCAGACAGGAGAACTGGGTTTTATTCTTGGCTCTGCTACTAACTAGCTCCTTGACTTCAAGGAAATCACTTAAGTTTTTTCTAGCTTAAAGAGAAAGTCTTGCCCTTGATAATATCTAAGTTTTCATCATCAAACATTTTGAAACACATTGTCTACTGCCTGTTATTGAAAATATGTTATCTATATCATGGACCTTGCCAAGGAAAAATATTACATAAAAGAGTGGATCAATTTTTCTTATCTAGATTAATTATAATGCACTTTTAAACATCTGTAATTTTTCTAGTTAAACTGAATTTTGATCCTTTATTACATAAATTATTGACAAAAATCATACAACCTCCTTCTCAGCAATCAACCAGTGAGTAAATACTATTTTGACGCCTTTTTGAAAAAAATAGTAAGCTTTATTTCTTTGCATCTGAGTTATTTCCACAGTTATTTTAAAAAGCTGGACACCCAATTAGGAAATCTAATAATTACATTGCAAATACCTGAACCAATATCAATGTACTTATTTTTCTATGTACTATTTTGTAGTAAAAAATCTACAAAGAGACTTCCAAGTTTGTCATGTTAATGCTTTCTTCAATGAATAAAACATGGCATATTTTCAAAACTATGATTTATTGAGTGCCAAACCTCTACACTAATACAAGTCTTTTAATTTCCTTTCTTTATAATGGACATTACTAAAATGAATCAAGACCAAGGACAAAGAGAATTGACAAAGAAACCACTTTTATTAAATGAAGAACAACTTCCTCTGTAGAGATTAAATGACCAGAGTTGGAAAAAAACATAATGAAATATATGGTGTTTCTATCCTACTTATCCTACTTGATATTAGCTGAACGCATGTAAATTTTTTTTATTTGTATTGAACAAATATAATTTATAAATTAAATAAACTTTTTATTTGTAATGAATTTTAGTTTCTAGGTTTTTGTTTTCTTTCACTGAAAACATTTTCCATGTGAAGGTGATTTTACAATTTATTATTAAGATGTCATCATGACAAGTGAAGTGTGTCTCTGAAACTGAACACATAGTATACACTGCTTTCTATCAACTGGAAATCACTGCATCTGTTGATAGTAGCCTCAAATTCAAAGAGGCAAAAGGATGAAAGACCTTCTGCAATATTTCTTTTTTTCACCTTTAACATCAACATGCTCTGTGTTTAAGATATATATGAGGGATTATAGATTTCAGCCTATATAGTTTATGTAACATCATTGTACTGTTTGCTCTGGGGAGGACAACATTTTAAAGTATGCAGTTGAGTCTCATAACAGCCCCTTGATGCTGCTAGCAAACAGTTACAGTACTCAGAAGCATAGAGGTTTGGCAGTAAATCAGCCTCAAGTATTATAATAAAGTTTATGGAAGCTGTATCAACATGTGCCCTAAGTAGGAAGAGTTATTTTTGTCCTCTTCTTGCCTTCCTATTTTTCTTAGTCCAGTAAAAACTTTTGAATCATTGGGAAGTTGGTATCTACGCCCCTCATCCAGTCCTCGTGAAAGAGGAGTAATGATGTGTTGTTTAGTGAGACAGGAACAAAATAGATGACTAAACACTGTAGCTTAGTCCCTCAGGTTAGCTTGTATCCACCACATCCATTCCTCTTTCCATGCAGTAAATCAACTTGGGTAGAATCCTTGCCTCATAAAGGCAAATATGAAAGTCAGTCATTATGTCTGTCTCTGTGGTTCTTTCTTTCTCTCTCTCTCTGTCTTTTCTCTCTCTGTCTTTTCTCTCTCTCTTTCTCTCTCTCTCTCTCTCACACACACACACACACACACACACACATTTCCCTTGAGTTTGAAGAATAGATGCAAGTTAACATTTCTATTGGTCTCAGACACAAGACTTATTCTCTATCTCAGCTTTATTTGTGTAAATTTCTCAAGTGGTACAAAGTAAAACTGTGCTTGGCAGCGTTATAAAAGGGACTACTTTTATAACTATAGGTTTATTAATTTATAGGGATGGCACAAAAAGAAAATAAAGTATTATCACAACAACTGATTAGGAGGTAAGAACACACAAGTTTTATCATGAAATGTTTAGTCCAAAGAAACAGCAATAGGGAGCCCAGTCTGAGGAATGAGTTGATATTCAGGTGCCATGCCCATCAAAACTGGAATGTGCCATGAATTGAGTCTATATTTTAAGCCTGATATACCATTGCCTTTTTCTTCCCCAATTCATATCAGAACTGTGGTGATTTTGCACTTCACATGATCTAATAGGTACTCTTTAAATCTGTGGAATAAAAGTTACAATCCTGGCCACATGACCTTACTCAAGTAAACAATAAGCTGACTGAATGTAAATAGTAGTGTGTGTCTCTTGGTGTATAATTCATTTATTTCATGCAAATGCTCATATTAAAAAGAGTTTGGAAATAATTTTATTTTAAATTGTATAAAGCATTGTCAAGAATTGTAAAGGTGCTAACATTTTACCTTACCACCCATTATTAAGTGGCTGTAAAAGGTGCTCAATTGTCAGACTCCAAAGAGCTTCAAAAAGCCAAAAATACAGATTATACTTAAGAACCAGAATCATGCGGCTAATGTCGACTTAGACTGGAACAGCAAATGTATAGCCTAAAAACTTTTCTTTTTGTGGGGGAGGGGGGAGGGAGGAGTTTTGCTCTTGTCGCCCAGGCTGAAGTGTAATGGCGTGATCTTGGCTCACCACAATCTCCAGCTCCCGGGTTCAAGTGATTATCCTGCCTCAGCCTCCCGAGTAGCTGGGATTACAGGCATGCACTGCATTGCCTGGCTAATTTTGTAATTTTTAATACAGACAGGGTTTCTCCATGTTGGTCAGGCTGGTCTCAAACTCCTGACCCCAGGTGATCTGCCCGCCTCGGCCTTCCAAAATGCTGGGATTATGAGGCGTGAGCCACAGTGCTGGGCCTAGCCTGAAAACTTTTAACAGTGGTTAGGCATCGGTGATATCCCCAAAGCAGCAAAAGACAGATGTAGTCAATCTGCCAGGAGTGGCAAGGGCCTTGACCTGAGTTATGTGACTTTTCTCATAGTAAGACAAATGGTTCCACTTTTCGTACGAGTCACAAATCTAGAATGCAGTGACAGCCTTAGCATCAGATACATAGATTCTTTTACCTTGTGCCCAGCCTGTGATGGTGGATATGTTGCCATAGCAGTTATGATGATGCATCGGGAGGCATTGGTGGCACTCTGGGCCATGCAAGCTTAATAATCAGCCCAATTTCATCTGGACTCATTAGAGAACAGACTCTTACTGTAGGCATCCACGGGATTGACTCAGAATTCAATCAGGAGCCACCATCTTTTCTACAGTTTGTGACCACAAACAGGTGTGTCATTAATCTCCCAGTCTGTAGTTTTCTAAGTGGCAAGCCAAACAGCTGGACTGTTGGCAATAGCCTAAGAGTTTGTAAAATTCCACAAGGGAAGCAATGGGAGTATTGTCTCGAGCCATGGAAATGGCCGTGAGTTCTGCCCACCGAGCAGAGTAACCATGTCCATTTCATTTCTGCTGGCATTCTCTCTTAACACTTGCAGCAGTGCCTGAAAACCATCAGCTCCTGGCCCAGCTCAATCATCAGCAAACCAAACCCAGACCCAGGCTTTTTGGGTCCTTCTGTAACTTGAAGCCCCATTCACCCAGCAGCTTTGCTTTAGTAGGTAGAGCAGGAGATAAAGTTTACACCAAAAAGACAGCTGGTACTTTGTTTTTTAATGCCAGGATATCACCATGGTCAAGTTGGCTGCATTCTGGAGTATTCCATTTCGCTTTGATATGTAAAGCTTGTTGATCCCCTTTTACTTTTTTTTTTTTTTTTAGATGGAGTCTCGCTCTGTTGCCCGGGCTAGAGTGCAGTGGTGCAATCTCAGCACACTGAAACCTCCACCTCCCGGGTTCAAATGATTCTCCTGCCTCAGACTCCTGAATACTTTTATTTGGCACTTTTTAGGATGCATGTGTCTGGCTGCAAAGAACCCAAAAACTGATTAACAGTGTCAATAAATAAGTTGAAGTGCCATGTGTAAAGATTTCCAGATGAAGACTGCCTTACGGAAATTGGTTAAGAATATTTTCTAGAAGAAAACACAGTAAGGAAATGGGGAAAGTTGAAGATGCCAAACAAAGGTAAATCTTCAGGTAAATGTGTAGCCTCTGCATAATCTCATAAGCGGCCTTTGGAGTATTAATTATATCTCTATGGTGGCTGCAATTCAAGGCGAGATGACAAGATTTCATATTCTCACAGCAGTTATTGGCCAAGGACGTCGTAGTTGGAGGAGTGGGAATGGGAAGAAAGCAGACATACATTTCCAGACATTTCTGGTTGTCTACACACACAGACAGATTGGCTTCAGTAGCCTAAGGCAGTTCTCCACAGAGAATTCCAGGTATGGGCCCTGGGAAGCACAGGCTGGGAGAGATGCACAGAATTGATACACAAGATCTGTGTTTGCTGCAGTCTATGATTTTCAAAGACTGGATCCAGTTATGCCTCCCAGTGATTTCCTCTATCTGAGAATGCCTTTTTCTAGACTGTGGCTGGTCAAAATTCCTGGGACAAAACTTACATGTAAAAAGTGACTGAACAGAGCTACTGAACGTGCATTCCTAGCTGACATTCTTCATTTTCCTCCTCTATCACCCATTTTCTTCTCTTGCAGTTAATGCTTCTACTTCTCTAGGTAAGTTGACTGGTTAAGTGATCCAGTCACCACTAAGGAATCTGAGCTCCTAGTTGCTCTAATTGTCTTGGAGAATCCACTGAATTTGGAACATATTCCTCCCTGCTCCAAATTATGTAGCAGTGGCAACACTACCTCATTTTGAACAAATCCACTACCCCTTCAAGTATGCAGCACCCTTTATTTGCTTACTGGTCTCTCACTATGATGAGCATAAGTGAGCAGGCTGCAGCTGTAGCTTTATGTTTAGTGGGGTGCTTTATCTCCCTTGGGAGAATTATTTACTTTCTAGGAACCACAACTTCTAAACTCACCAAACCTAAAGCTGCAAGGAATGGGAAGCAGTATTTCCTCAATTATTTTATCAGAAAGGACTGAGAAGAAATTTACTTCTGTCTTCACCCTTTGTTTCTGGCACTTTGTGATGGCTGCTGGCCTCAGGCACAAATCCCCAAAGAAAAGTCAAACACTCAAGGGCCCCATCTTCAAGCTACAGGCATAATTCAACCTCTAAGAGGGTAGTCCAATGCTCTGTCACACCAGCAGCTACTGGATGATGCAGTAGCAGGACTACCAGTAGATTCCATGGTAGTATTCTCATTAATGCACCTCTTTTTACCATAAAGTGGTTTTCTTGTACTGTAGTGATGTTATTTAAGATATTATGTCAATAAAAGAAACATTTATTAAACACTTGGAGAGTGGTACTTTCTGAAGTGCTCCAGGCAGAAATCGAAAAATTAATCCTGGAATAGTTGTCAGTCTCCATCAGAATGAATTGCTGCACTTTTAAGCAGAATGGGATCAGTGTAATGAAATTTCCACAAAGTTATGTTTTCTTCCTCTCTGTCCTCTGGTCATAGGAAGACCCTCATGAAGCCATAGGCATAAGATGAGGAGGATGTGTCAGCATTGCCAAAGCAAAACCTGCACTGGGAAAAGTTATACAGGTGAAGAGTAATTTATGTAAGGCTGTTGCAATAGGGGTGAGGAACCAGGATTCAGCCTGAGCTGAACTCCACTGAAACAAAAGCAGGTGGATTTTTAAGCACTGAAGTGTGAGGGAGAACACAGGCTATCTACATTTGCTAATCATCTTTGCCAAAGGAAAGGTAACCTTTCTCTTATCTTTGTGAAAGGAATAGTTTCACAACTTGGAGCAAAGGACTCGTAGCAGTTAATCTCCTACCTCCCCAAAGAAACTTAGAGAGAGTGATGCTATGTCCCTTGATGATTTCTTTTCAATGAGATGGATCCTGGGTCCTTGAGGAAGACATTCCTTGATTGTAAAACTGGCAAGAGGCTTTTAAAATGATTTACATCTCAAAAGGGCAGAGAAAAAATTTACAATGACAAGTTCTATAAAGTAAATGCTCTAAGAAAGGGGAAGGGGAGAGTTCCTGTGGTTAGACCATCTGGATTCTATAAGGATCTGTGTGAAAAGGAGGTCATGGGCCTAGAGGCAGGAAGAAAATTGTCTGAAGTTTAGTTAAACTGATGGATATATTAAATCTGTCTTACTCCTTACTAAAGGGGCAGATGACATGTGTGTTCAGATTACTTGTGGCCTCAGAATTGGCTCATACCCAATCCTACATGTATTGTTTCCGTGGTGGAATGGATAGCTGCTATGCCTGCCCAAACTTATGAGTTGGTGGGCCTGGCGGCATCCAGCTCATAAGAGGCTCATAGACACCTGTTCAATCACCTCCAGAATCCAGAAACATGCCAGAGTGGTGTTTCTGAATGGTTTTCAGCAACCCTTTGCTGAAGAGGTCCTTACTCTTGAGCCCTAAGAAGCTTATCTGTGACTTTTCCGTTAGGGTTTGCCATGTTCAGCACACAAAATTATCTACTTCATATACTTTCAGCACCATGAGATTGTGCAGACAATATGTTCCAAGTGGCAGTGTTATTTGTACCACAGCCACAGTTCGGAACAGAGCCCTTTTTTGTTCCAAGCCTTACTCAATATTGACAGCATTTGAAGGCACCTGATAATAAGTTGTAGCAGTATTCTCAAAGGTTATGCTACTTAAATATATGCTACCGAAAAGAACTAAAATGAAGCATTTTTCTTAGTCATATAGTATGAAATACTTTATTATTTTCCTGCAGCGGATGCCTGTGCATGTTCTAGATGCCTGTGCATGTTGTAGTTGCCTGGATTCCCCAAATCTTCACAAATGTACTAGGCCCTTCATCTCTATAGGATCCCTCCAGCACTCTTTATTGCATGATTATTATCCCGGCATCCATAATTCTTGTTCCATCTTTCTTATCTTGTTTGATTAATGTGATAACAATCAACTTAGAATACAAAATCATGGGGAAGCTCCACGGGTAGAGGAATGAACCTGAACTTGCACTAAAATCAGTGAAAAGGCCAATCAAGAGACTAGCATTTAGCAGTCATATTTCTAAGTTTACTTGTGTAAGAACATGTCTTGCAGAGAGGTTCAAGATGGCTGCCTAGAGGCACCTGGCTGTCCCTCCTCCACAATAAAAGGACCAAAAGCACAAGTAGATAAATACACATTGATTGGAGCATCTAAGAGAGAACACCTTAATTCAGCAGGGAAGTGGCCAGGAACCTCTGAGGCACTGAAGGAGAAGCTGGCCAGGGATCAGCTTGGAGCCGAGAGGAACTCCCCATCGCAAGAAAACAGATAAGCAAGAGAACCCAGAGGCCCACACTCCCACCATGAAATCCTGTACTCCTAGCCAACTTTACTGTATATTTCAAAATGAATAAGAGAAGATTTGAAATGTTCCCAACATAATACTCAATGGTAGATACACTGAATACTCTGATTTGATCATTATACATTGTAGACATGTATCAAAATATCACATATACCCCATAAATATGTACAATTATTACATATCAATAAAAAAGAAAAAAGCATACAAATTATGTCCTAAAACATCTAAAAATCAATGTTCCTTGAAAGTATTTTGCAACAGGTGAGTTAATACATATAGTAATGTGTTTTATGTGCAAACTACTTCTGTTCTTCCTTAGACTGTGGTATTGAAAGGAATGCATTTGCCGGATCAATAATTGCATCACATACACTAGAGGCTGTGGTGTTTTGTCCTAGTAAAGACAATATAGTTCACAGAACATCTACCATTGACTCCTCCACTTGGCTATGTTTGCAGTAGTCCACTATTCTCTATGATGATCACTCTGGTTTTTTGCAGAGTCATATTGGTTGATTAAATGGTGACATAATGGGAAACACTACCTCATTTTTTAAATTTTTGAGGGCTGCACCAACCTCTGCCACTCTTCAAGGGAAAATGTACTGCTTCAGACTTTCCATTTTTGTATAGTTGAAGCAAAACCATTTCTAGGGTTTTCATTGTTCTTACCTTCTGTAGTTTTTACTGTGCACAATGACAATAATAACAAAATGTGCAGACTGTGTCAATTGCTAATCATTTCAACCTGAATATCTTTCTGAGAATTATGAAATAGCATAGGATCTGATGAATTTGCAACCCAGTCCACTGTGAATTGAATTTAATCTAAGATTCCATCCATCACCTGATTTGGATTTACTTTTACCCTAACAGGGAAGCTATAATGGTGCTTTAGATCTCTTGGGTATTACAATTAATTCAGTTTGCAGGTCCTTGGATCGTTGGCCATAGACCTAGGAGAATCACATTTTTGTACATTTGCTAAGGCATCTCAGATAATTTCTTCAGGGGGACCCAGATTCAACCTATATAACTTCCACAAAGATGTGTTATGGGTCTTCAAATGGGCTCAGGTTTTGACACAGGACAGAGATTATTTTATTTCATTGGTGGCTGACCTTGCTCCTCCGTTAATGTATCTTTTGGTTATCTTTATCCATTTCCAAATCTATATCTGTAAATACTCACATCTGCATAAATATGCATATAAATGTGATCCGGCCACATATGCAGCTTTTAATCCTCATATGTTTTAAATATATACTATTATTATTAAAAAACACTTTACACTTTTTAAATGCTATATTAAAAATATACTCCCATTACAGAGCCAAACTGTACCAATTGAACATATGGGTTAACGTGCTGAATCTGAAGGGAGATACCCTGCATTTGAACATGGCTCTGCTACTTACTAGACTGGGCAAGTCACTTACTACCTATGTCATCTAGTTTCCTTAGCAGGAAAAAAAAAAGCATTAATAATAATATATAGTTCATAGGATTAATATATTAGCAAGTTCATAAATGAAAAACATTTAAAGTAATGCCCATAACACTGAATGCTGTAAGATTTAGCTAATTCCATTTATTTTGGGATTTTAATAATCTACTCTTATTCATCACTACATAGTGAACACAATTACTCAAAAATAATTGTTGAAATACCTGATTCCTTCTTTAGGATACACTTATAAAGGTCATTCCTACCTATTCTACCTTAAAAAAATAGATTCCATTAAAATATTTCTTTAGGCCTAAATGAGGTTATTTATACTAGGAACTATTAAAGTATTATTACAAATAAATATGCTTTCAGAGCTGATAGGCCCACCTCAAGTTCTCTCTTACTTTACATGAGTTTACTTAAAACAGACAATCATTTTATAGAGGAGAAATTTTGACTATCAAAATATGTATTAAGTATTTCATTTTCAATTTTTTAAATGCGGGTATACTCTCACAATTTGAAAGGTGAATCAACCTACTGAACATATGTATGAAAACATTTCTGTCTCTGTCTCTTTCTCTCTCTCTCTCTTTCTCTCTCTCTCTCTCTCTCACACACACACACACACACATACACACACACACACTCCTAATGCTTAGTTGCATTTCCAAAGTATCAAACCAGGTTTTCATATGATTTCAATCAAGGAACATTCAAATATTCTGTACTCAAATGAAAACACCACCTGCTAATTTAAAAATTGAGACTGATAAATGCCAGCACAGGCTATTCTGAGTTTTATTTTCATAGGCTTTCTAAAAGTAAGCTTAGAATTTCTAAAACGTGTAACGTTAAATTTGCTTGATTTGAATTTAATCATGTTTATTGTGAGAATTATACATACACATGTATATATATTTCCATGGGTTTATACACTTAAAAAATTCAAACTTTGAGCTGTCTCACAAGTAAAAAGTAAAGTACTCAAAAAATGCCAATGAAATATTAAAGTATAGATTAAATCAACTATTACACTTAAATAAAATGTAAGTTATAAGAATGGAATAAAAATACAGAGAATAAATACTATTGAAAATGAAGAGGAGAGCAAAACATTATAGGGCTGAAGATATAGATTAATCAATATACTGTAAGCCATGTGCAAAAAGACAGTAAAACAAGCAAAAAAAAAAAAACAGTTTAACAACTTTGAGTATTATAATAAATCTAGATTCTACACTTTGTTTTTCCTCACTCTTTATGTTAAGAGACCGAATACTACTTCAGGTTGTCTGAAATATAATACACTGACTTAGGACATCTACATGGACTATTACGTTGGCAAATATTCCTAGCAAAAATTGGGGAAACATGGTTGATATGCAATCATTTTCTATGAAGCTTATATTCAAAAGTAGATAATTTATTATATATGTGACAGAATCTGCTTTTCAATTCTAAAACACATAATTTCAGTTGAGAAAAATTTAGTTCTCCCCAGAATTTGATTGTTGGATTCTATAATCTTGAAATTAAAGGTAAATAATATACAAATAAATTAAAATATGTTAATGTTGTATTAGCAACTATTTTCAACTATTATCAATATGTGAATTTTGATATGCTGCACGCAGCCAGTTGTCTTTTTTTGTTGTTGTTTTTTTTGAGACGGAGTAGCCAGTTGTCTTTTAAGACTGTGTTTACCCTCAATAACACATCCATACTTTGCTAATGCTTGACTCTGGACTCTCACATCAGGAAAACCACAGTGTTCCTGTCGCCATCCACCCATTTCCTCCACTTCCAACATGGGGCTCTGACAAAGTTACAGCAAGAAACATTTTTGCCAAGATGCTTGTGCATTCTTAAGTTCTGGTAAAAGGAACAGACATTAAAAGCTTTTATAATTCAAGTAGTTATTTTGTACCTTCTCCTATTTAGTATTCTCATTTAAGAGATTTTCCGTTTGAAAGTCAAAAGTTGAAACAAGAGTGAACTGAGGCATGAGAACAAGCTTCAGATGGACATCAGAGGTCTTCTTCAAGTCTAAACAAAAGTGGTTCAGGAGAGCCAAGAAAAACCCATCCACGATCACACGAGTGGACTGCGTAAGGACTAGAGTGAAAGCACAAACAGTGAAAAAAAAAAAAAAGAATTTTAAAATAGTGTGTCCTCTATTTATATTTCCTTCAGGACACTACCTGAGGTAGGAGAGGCCTCAATAAGTAGCAGGATAAGATTTAAGGATTTGGAGGTCATTATTCTGCAGAGAACTGGCTCATTTGGCGCCTACTCTATTCAGAGTGCAGAATTAGATACTGTTTTCTTGACAGATTTCACACACTGACCTTCATGACCTTCAAGGCAACAAGCACATTCCTAACAGTATTCTTAGTGGATATATAAAAATGGATTGAGAAATACATTTATGGAGAATATAGGTTTTGATAATGTTGCAAAATTTATATTATAAAATTTCCTGTGTAGAGTTTGCTTTTGTTATTCATGCATATATTTGGTATTGTGTTTCTGAAAGAACTATATATTTATAATTTACATTTCAAATATCCAACCAAAGTTTTTTCTTCATCACTTACAACTGCCACAGAGACTACCGAATATATCACAATTCTAGGAAGAAGTAAGGCACTTTAAGTACCTAATTATTATGTTAGCAAACAACGGGAAAGGAAGCAAAAGGGGAGAAAATTTTTAGAAAAGGGGCCTCAACTTCACAATGCAGCTCTGTAGTATTTCTATTGCTACTGAATTGTCGCTGCTAACATGTAGAGGGAAAATAGATAAAGGCACTTTATTGCTTTTTGAAACTTGGAAAGGAAAAAAAAATCAGTATCTTAAGTAAAGATTTCAATTCCTGACCTCACTAGCCTAGTCTGCAATGGAACAAAAGTCATTAATTTTTACCCTCAAGTAAATGAGAATTCAGAATTTTAGCTCTGCATGCAAAAGCTCAATAAAATGGGCCATGGCAGTAGAGTAGAACCACTACATATGCAAAATCAGGGCACATTAGAAATGGATTTCATTTCACAATGTCATATAAGTCACTGTAATAGGAAACTACCATGTTTTTTCCTTTACGAAATCACGTTTTAAGCATTCTATGCTGAACTTTAGAAAAAGTTTTTGTTACATAAGCTATTTGGCATTTGAGAATTTGGATTTTTTTTTCCTGCCTTCCAAATAAATTTCTTTACCTCTGATGAACATTCTTTTTATTTATTTATTTTATTTTATTTTTTTTTTTTTTTTTGAGACAGAGCTTTGCTCTTGTTGTCCAGGCTGGTGCAATGGTGCGATCTCGGCTCACAGCAACCCTGCCTCCTGTGTTCAAGCGATTCTCCTGCCTCAGCTTCCTGAGTAGCTGGGATTACAGGCATGCGCCACCACGCCCAGCTAATTTTGTATTTTTAGTAAAGGTGGTGTCTCTCCATGTTGGTCAGGCTGGTCTCGACTCCTGACCTCAGGTGATCCGCCCGCCTCAGCCTCCCAAAATGCTGGGATTACATACGTGAGCCACTGCACCCAGCCTGATGAACTTCTTAATACCTATTTGTGTTAGTCCAGTTTGCATTGCTATAAAGGAATACCTGAGACTGGGTAATTTATAAAGAAAAGAGATTTATTTGGTTAATCATTCTGCAGGCTGTGCAAATGTGCCTCCAACATTTGTTTGGCTTCTGGTGAGGCCTTAGGAAGCTTTTACTCATGGCGGGAGGTTAAGGGGGAGCAGATGTGTCACATGGTGAGAGAGAGTAAGAGGGAGAGGAGAGGGTGCCAGGCTCCTTTTAACAGCCGGCTCTTGAGTGAACTAATATAGTGAGAAGTCACTCATCACCAGGAGGATGGCACCAAGCCACTCATGAGGGATCCACCTTCATGACCACAACACCTCCCAGTAGGCCCCACATCCAACAATGAAGATCACATTTCAACATGAGATTGGAGGGACAGATGTCCAAAACATACCACTATTGCAGACTCTTTAAGTACACACTTGTCAGTAAATCACAAGTGAGTGGTCAGTATCCTAACAATGACAAGCTATTCATATTTTTTCTTTCTGTTTTCGAGTTAATATGCTTCCATATGTGTGCACTCTCTCTCTCAAACCTGACATCCACAATTAGTCAATTAAATATTTTCTTAGTAGGAAAAAATTATATTCTTATGAGATATTCCAGCATCTGCCATCGCAATACCTGTCATGAGTAATTTCTTCTTCTATAATCGTACTCCTCTGGCACAGTCTGAACTCCAGAATGCTGTGAAAATGACCTGACTCTCCAAACCTGACAGTCCGTTCTACGATTCTTTAGAATTTCTTTTGCTGCTGTGTTCAGAATCTGTCTATTTTAAATTAAAATAGCATTTTCTGTTTTATGCTGAGAGCTGTGAGGTAACTGGGCCCCTTAAAAGGAATCTGGTTTATTCCAGAATATTCTAAAGATACTTGGCAATATCAGTGGCTGCTTGCATTCCACGCCCAGCTCAAGGAAATGCTGAATGGGAAAGACTGCTACCCCTTGAACAATGGTGTTCAGTCACAGATGTTGAGGTCTTTGTCACCAGTCGTGTATGGAGTTACAAGGCAAGGGAACCAGGTATGTGAGTCTCACTTTCTATTTCTGGGCCTAATTTACCTGAAGTCCCCTGGAAGAACACTATCCAATCTCTCACTTCTTAGTATGTATTCACATTTTACCCTACAACTTAATGCATTTTGTAAACTTTAGCAACAATACACTCAATTTTACTAGGCTGATATGAGAAAAACATTATTCATAGATTTATAGCACATATCTGTAGTCACAAGAATTCTGACAAACAAAATCCAACTATGGTAAAAGTATAACAGATGTGATCATGGTGACTTTACTTGAATAATCCAGATTTGAAGACTATTTTTAAAATTTCTACCATCAAACTAACGATTTAATGTTATTTTCAGTAATTTTGAACAATACCCAAGGAACATCCAAACATATATATATCAATACAATACTATCTTCTCCAAATATTAGTTTCTTAATAATATTCCTAATACACAACTCTCTTCAAGATGTTTTTATAGGAGAATAGTCATAATGTCTTAAACTTCAGAAAAAAATAACTTTCCACTGTCTTCTCTAGATTTCAGTTTTATAATTTCTTACTTACTGTTTTTATTTACTATTCTTATTTTGCTTTACTAATTTAGTCACTTACTGTCATATTCTTTTAAATTACTTTTTCTCATAAAGCTTCCAAGTTCTCTCATTCAGTAATCTGGAAAACCAGAAACCCACATGCACAATAAATATTATTCACTCTCACAACCCATTGCAAAAACAATACAGTCTAACATTGATGATTTAATTTAACTTTTATTCAATAAAAAAATGACAGCTAATTTTTCTCTTTTAGGTGAGGTAGAGCACTGAGAGGAATGGCATAGATTTAAATATAACATTCATCATGTACAAAGATCTTAAGTGCAGATTAATTTACAAGAGGAACACATCCACGTAACTACACCCAGATCAAGATACAGAGCACTAAAATCTTCCAGATACCTCTCACTCTGACATCTCCTAGTTAAAATAAAACATGCCTACTAAGTTACTCAGTATTTTTACTTCTATCAGTGCTGATTAATTTTGCTAGTTTTTGAAATTTATATAAATAGGGCCAAAGTATATACTTTTACGTGTCTGACTTATTTCATTCCACATGATATCTATGATATTTATCCATGCTGTTGTGTGTACCTGGAGTGCAATTGTTTTCATTACTTTTTAGTATTCTATTGCTGAATACCCAACGTATGTATACATTCTACTGGGATTAACATTTGGTGGGTTTCCTGTTTTAGTTATTAGAAATAATGCTGCTGTGAACATTCTTATTTATTCCTTTTGGTGCCATGCTGTATAGACATATGCATACTGAGGATACACATAGGTGTGAAATTAGGCAGTCAGAGTCTATTCTTGTCTTCAACTTAGTCCCTACTATAAAGTTTATACAATAAACAATTTCTAAAGTGGTTATAGAAAATTATAATCCTGCAAAAGGATGTAATTTGAAATTTCTTCACATTACCATCAACCTTTGATATTAAAATTTGTTTTGGTGTTGAATAGTAATTTAAATTTAAATTTCCATTTCCCTGATGATTAAATGAGTTAAGGATGGTTACATATGCTTATTAGCCACTTGTATATCCTGCATTGCAAAGTGCCCTCTAAGACTGTTCATTTTTATGATGAGAACACATATTGGTGTCTAGAACATATTCTTGGATTTACTTTTGTCTGTGGTGGGAGATAGGTTTCAGATTTTATGATTTTCTGTTTGGATATTGTGGTGGACCCTGTGATGCACTACTAGAGTCCCCTTAAGGCCGTGAAAAATTTAGTTCATCAGCTACTAAAAGTGTTGCCTAAAGAAGACCTTTGTTGCCAGCCACTTAGAAGATCCTGTCAGCTGTAAAAATGGCTTTCTCCAACGTCGTGCTATTCTGTCTCCCTCCCTCGCTCCTCCCCTCCCTCCTTCCTCCCTCCTTCCCTTTGATTTCCTTCCTTCCTTCTTCCTTCCTGCCTGCCTTCCTTCCTTCCTTCCAATAACCCATCAACACTGAGATATAAAAGTATGATTCCTTATCCAAAATTCTGGGTGATTCTGTAAAGCCATCCTGTGGGGTTGGGTGAGTCCTTCACTGGAATCGTATTGTGGTTAAGCTTTTCTGTGTGTTCAATCATGCTTTCTTCCTCTCCCTTTCACAAAGTAATCATGAGGTATATTGTATTAGCAAAAATACTTCGTAGCATCTTTTTTTTATTTCTAAATTTCTTTAAGGTGTATACTGACGCATTTATTTAATTCCTAATATTGGTAACATTTAACTTCTAATTTGCTTTTATAATTGATACATTTGCTTAAATGAGAGATATGTCTGCTTTCTTCATCTTTTCCAAGATTGAACGTTTTGTTTAATCAAAATTTCTCTCAATATACACCTATTTAAGAATTTCTACTGTTTAATGTTTTCTTTTTCTTTGCAGTTTTTTTCCAGCATCTTGAAATTGATAATTAGATTATTTACTCTTTAGCATTTCTTCTGTTATTTATGTGCATTTTATACCATAAAATTGCTTTAGTTTAATCACAGAAATATTATGCTGTATTTTTATTATAATTCACTTATTTTTTTTTCTAATTTTATTTGTAACTTTTACTTCTAACCATGAGTCATTTGGAAACATGTTGAAATTTAGAAAGATTTGTTCATATTAGCCATTCTTTTTTTAATTAAATTATAGCTTAGTTTGTAAACATTTGGGGGTTTATAGTTATTTTATTTATTAATTTATAGTATTTATTATTTTATTTATTTATATTTTATTTATAGTTATTTTATTTATTAGTTACAAAATAATAAAATGTCATAAAAACATTTTATGTAATATGACAACTATATGAATCACGTTGTTTAAATCTTTATACTCTTATTGATTGTTTCCTCTTTATCCATCAAATCCTGAGACGTGTCAAAAGCTCCACTATGATTTTTGGATTTGGCTATTGTCTTAGTACTTTTCTGCCTTTCAATTTAGATACTCATAAGAATTGTACATATTTGTGGAATACAGAGTGATATTTTGATATGTGTATACAATGTGTAATGATCAAATAAGGGTAATTAGCATATGCATAACCTCAAACATTTATCATTCTTTGTGTTGCCAACATTTGAAGTCCTCTTTTCCAGCTTTTTGAAAATATGTAATAAATTAGAGCTAACCATATTCACTCTGCAGTGCTACACAGCACCGGAACTCATTGCCCCTCTCTGTCTATGGTATTGTGTACCTTAACAAAACTCTTCCCCATCCTCTCCTCTCCTCTACCCTTCCCAGGCTCTAAAAACACTATTTACTTTCCATGAACTCAAATTTTTGGCTTTGGCATATGAGTGAGAATGTGCAAAGTTTGTCTTTCTGGGCCAGACTTAGTTTGTTTAACATAATGTCCTACAGGCTCATCCATGTTGCCATGAATAGCAACAGTTCATTCTTTCTTAGGTTGAAGAGTATTCCTGTGTGTGTGTGTGTGTGTGTGTGTGTGTGTGTGTGTGTGTGTGTATACTGTATATATATGTGTGTGTATATATATATATATATAAGGTATATATGTATAACGTGTATATATATTATATATACATTAGAATACTATGGATGTATATATAAGAAATATATATTATATAAATAATCTCCTTTGTCTGTTGATGGAAGTTTAGGTTGATTCCTCTTTTTAGTTATTGTGAGTAGTGCTGCAGTAAACATGGGTAGAAGTATCCCTTTGGTATACTGATTTCTTTCCTTTGGATAAATAATCAGTAGTGGGTGTTGTACAGTAGTTATATTTTTAGTTTTTTGAGAAACATCCATGCTATTTTTCATAATGGCCATACTAATTTACATTCTGACCAACAGCGTAAGAGTTCCTTTGGTTTGAATACTTGCCAACACTGGGGCTCAGAAACTGATGCCTCAAAATATGGTACTTTGCTATCTTGAACTGAAGAAGCCACAAAGTCTCTTTGACCTTCTCCCTCAACGTGTATGTTTCAGTCCTCTCTCTCCCAACATAAGAAGACGTTAATCTTTGAAGTTCTCTTATCTGTATTAAGTCTGCACCCCGCAAAGAAGAAAACAACTATCTCTAATCTCTTCCCTGAGTTTTCACTAACTGAACTCATATTGCAGGAAAAAGATTGAAGTCCGTTGAGGCACATCAATGGATTTTTTCACAAAGTGTTGTCTGCACTGAGGATCCAACAAAATTTGTCCGAAGCCATCCTGTGTTCTTCAAGTTCATTGAACTTCCCTAGAAATCATTTACTACCTCTCTAAAATCATCCACATTTTCTTATCTCCCTTTCTCCTGAGAATTAAGATAGATAAACATCTTTAATCCATTGGGATTTGTGGTAATCACTTTTTGGTTTTCCTCCATGCAAGCTAATAAATTTGTGAGTTATTTCTCCTATTAATCTCCTTTTAGTGAGTTGATTATTAAGTGAAACTTCTGAGAGTGAAGGCGGAGTTTTCCCTTAGTCCCTAAAACATCATTTGTAATATTTTGGTTTTTCGATAATAGCCAGTCTAATTGAAGTGAGATGATACCTCATTGAGGTTTTGATTTGCATTTTCTTTACCCTTAGTGATGCTGAGCATGTTTCATATAGCTGTTAGCCTTTTGTATGTCTTCTTTTGAAAAATATCTATTCCGATCCTTTGCCTCCTTTTAAATGAGATTGTCTTTTGCATGTTCAGTTTGCAAATATTTTCTCTCCTCCTACAGATTGTCCCTTCACTTTCTTGATTGTTTATTTTGCTGTGCATAAGCTTTTTACTTTAACTTAGACCCATTTGTCTATTTTATTATTGTTGGCTGTGCTTTTGAATTCATAAAATCTTTGCCTAGAGTGATGTCCTGAAGCATTCATTGTCTTCAAGTTTTCCTCTAGTAGTTTTATAGTTTCAGGTCTTATGGTTAAGTCTTTAACCTATTTGGAGTTGATTAGTGTATGTGGTGACAGACAGGGTCTAGTTTCATTTATCTCCATATGAATATTTAGTTTTACCAACACCATTTATTGAAGGAGTTGGCCTTTCCCTAATGTATGTTCTTGGTATTTTTGTTGAAAGTCAGTTGACTGTAAATACATTGATTTATTTCTTAGTTCTCTATTCTTTTCCATTGGTTTATGTGTCTATTTTTTATACCAGGACTATGCTAATTTGGTTACTATAGTTTTGTAATATAGTTTAAAGTGAGATAGTGTGACACCACCAACTTTGTTCTTTTTAGTTCAACGTTGCTTTGGCTATTTGGATTCTATATGAATTTTAAGATAGTTTTAAGACTTTTTTCTATTTCTGTGAAAAATATCATTGCTATTTTTATAGGCCTTGAATTTAATCTGTAGATTTCTATAGGTTGTATATTCACTTTCAAAATATTAATTTTTCTAAT
Source organism: Homo sapiens (assembly GCF_000001405.40). NCBI lineage: Eukaryota > Metazoa > Chordata > Mammalia > Primates > Hominidae > Homo > Homo sapiens. The sequence goes on from NC_000018.10 coordinate 65,378,621, forward strand.
CCAGGAGCATGAGATGTCTTTTCATTTGTTTGTGTCCTCTTCAAGTTCTGTCATCATTATTTCATCGTTTTCATTGCAAAGCCTTTTTACTTACTTGGTTAAACTTATTCCTAGGTATGTTTTTATAGCTACTGTAAATTAGATTACTTTCTTTTTTGACTACTTTGTTATTGGGGTATAGAATTGCCACTGATTTTTGTAAGTTAGTTTTTTATCCTGCAAGTTTATTGAATCTGTTTATAAGTTCTAGGAGTTGTTTTTTTTTTTTTTTTTCCCCTGGTGTCTTTAGGTTTTACTATACTCAAGATCATGTTGTCTGCAAAGAGGGACAGTTTGATATTCTTTTTTGCATTATAGGTTCACTTTATTTCTTTCTCTTGCCTTATTGCTCTGGCTAAGATTTCCAGTACTATGCTTTAAAAGAGTGGTAAAAGTGGACATCATTGTCTTACTTCATTTGTTAGAGGAAAGACCTTCGGCTCTTTCCTATTCAGTATTTATTACTGATTTAATCTCATTGCTCATTATTGGTCTGTTCAGGTTTTATATTTCTTCCTAGTTCAGACTTGGTAGATTATGTGAATCCAGAAATTATCCATTTCCTCTACATTTTCCAGTGTGCTGACATATAGTAGTTCATAGCAGTCTCTAATGATTCTTTGAATTTTTGTAGTATCAGTTGTAACGCCTCCTTTTTGCTTCTGATTTTATTTTTGAGGGTCTTCTCCTTTTCATTCTTTATTAGCTAGTGGTTTATCAATTTAGTTTATTCTTTCAAAAAGCCATCTTTTTTTATAGATCCTTTGCATTGTTTTTAAGTCTCTATTTTGTATATTTCTATTCTGATGTTTATTATTTATTCCTTCTACTAATCTGGGTTTTGGTTTGTTCATGCTTTACTAGGTACTTGAGGTGTATTGTTAGGTTGTTTATTTGAAATCTTTCTACTTTTTTTATGTTGGTTTTTATTGCTATAGAATTCCTCCTTAGCAGTGCTATTGCCACAGCTCATGAATTTGGGTACATTGTGTTTCCATTTTCATTTGTTTCAAGAATTTTTTATTCTTGAAGGTTTGGTACAGATGCTAGATATTTCTAGTTATTTTGTTATCGATATTTTAAACCTGTCTTATTATGGTCTTTTTGTCTTTCTTCACTAATTTTTGAAAAGTTGCCTATTAGTCTAATTAATATAGTTAAAATATAATGCATCCCTTTTTACTCACTAGTAAAAGATTTTTAAAAATTATTTTTAACATTGTTCTGATGAAATATTTCTCACATTTGGAGCCAAAGAGATTCTTCAATTTGCACATATTTGATTTTGCCTGCTTTGAAAATTTCAGCTAGTATTAGAGTAAATATTATTTTTTCTTTATTCTCTCTCTCCACTCTTTCAGAGACTCCAATGGAATGTGTTAACAGTTTTCTTATTTCTTATGAGATTTTTACACTCTTTTCTGTTTTTATGCCTATATCTTTTATATTTCTGCATCAATGAAAACTTCTCTTTTTACTATAAATTCTAGATGGCCGCGATCTTTTAACTTTTCTGCTGTGCAGCTCAAGTTGAAAGTGACTCAAAAGTAAAAAGCTACAGTGACTGTAAATCTCACCTCAATCAATTTCGCTTCTTTTTATGGTTTTGGCACCTGAAGTGGTTGATATCTTGGTTACTCTGCAATGTACTGAATAGCTGTGCTTCCCTCAGGTTTATACAATGAAACTGTAATCCCCAATGTGATAATTTGTGGGGAAGGGCTTTTGTGAAATAATTAGGTCATGAAAGTAGAGCCCTCATCAATAATATCAGTGTCCTGATATGTTCATTTTTGTGTGTTTGGATTATTTCAAAACTACATATTTTAAGAAAAAATCAAATGAGAAAAAAATTACAGGAAATAAAATAGCCCAGCCTTCCATCATTATTCTCCTGTATGAAAGTGCCAAGAATAGATATAACATATTTTCTTGAATCTTCAGCACACAGTGCACTACCAATCATTTATTTGTGCATTGGAAATATTTACTAACCTTCTGTAGATTCAATGAGAGTGTTGCCTTTTCTCATTCTGCAAATACATACAAAAATTTAGATGGTATGTTGAATGAATAGTTTCTGTTTTATTATTAATCTCTCAACCCTGAGTCAGCACTATTATATTTTCTAGTTTAATCATGGAATTTTTACTCTTAAAATCATTTGAAGGATTAGGGAATAAGAGAAGTAATTGCCTAAAACATTAACATTGCCCACTGTGATTTGTATGATTTCAGCCAAGTTAAGTGATTCAGTAATAAAGTACCACCTCTATAACTCCAGGTAATAGAAGATGAGCAGATCTTCACCATCTGTAGCTAATTTTATTTTCCATTGAGATGAAGTGTCATTTCTAACCATCTCTTGTGTTGTAATTCCCATTCTGAAATGAAATAAACCATACTGCAGTTACAAAGCTACTGGACATATGTAGGTGATTCTGAAAGAACCTGGCACCTTTTCCTCTCCCACATTGCTGTCTTTCCTGAACCTGCTGCATTCTGCCCTCCTTTTTGATCCATTCCAGTTCGGGAGCCAGCCGTTACTCCCACACATAGGGCACTTTTGGCAGCCAGAGGACTCATAAGAACGCTGGCCAGCCTTGACTGGTTATACAGCAGATGTTTGGGAAGTCATATTTTTGAAATTTATATTCTCTGTAGGATAGAGGACAGGGTTTTAAAAATAATTTTGTCCACATTATGCTTTCTTCTTTTTTGATGCTTAGGCATTTGAAAGGCAATTCTTGGAGAAGAAGCATAATATCTGAAAATCTTCTGCTGCTATCATTAAGCATTTATTTGATGATCAAAAAAGGCATGAGAGTTTAAAGTGTAACAAGAAATTGTATCTCCTTTTATACAAACAGAACAAGATGTTTGGCTACACCATACATTTGACTGAGAAATTGGAAGGAAATACAATTAAATTGTCATGTTGTAAGATCTCTATTCACATATTAGAAAACATTGCTTTTAATTAGGATGTGGGTGTTTTGGCCTTTTTGGTCAATATATTAAAGAGTTTCTTTATACGAAGCTGGTTATACCATATACGAAGCAAAAGAGGCAATATATAACTCTATAAGAGAAATAAACCAAATTAATCAAATAGGCTTCAGTGTTATTAAAGAAACAAAATATTGTTACTTTTGGTTGTATATAAATATATATTTTTATATGATGAGGGTAGTGATGTCTGAGGAATTAGTTTTGTCAATATACCTGTAATCTCCAGGTTTCCTAAAAAAACAACAGCAACAACTGTATTTTCTTAAGTATTCCATGTTGTCAAAAAAGTAGAAGTAATTTTAGCCCTTAAAGCATATGTTTTTAATTATTTTTATTATTTTTATTTTTATTTTTATTTTTTGAGAAGGAGTCTCACTCTGTCACCCAGGCGGAATGCAGTGGTGTGATCTCAGCTCACTGCAACCTCTGCCTCCCGGGTTCAAGTGATTCTCCTGCCTCAGCCTCTCGAGTAGCTGGGACTACAGGCGCCCATCACCACGCCCAGCTAATTTTTTTTTGTATCTTTAGTAGAGATGGGGTTTCACCGTGTTAACCAGGATGGTCTCTGTCTCCTGACCTCGTGATCTGTCTGTCTTGGCCTCCCAAAGTGCTGGGATTACAGGCGTGAGCTACTGTGCCCAGTCCCCTTAAAGCATATTTTTATTACCATAAAAATAAATGGGATGTGTCCAAAATAAAAAAAAAGTCAACAGAAGATATAAAACTTCACTTGTTTTTGATCTGCTATAATGTAATATTAAACTATTCTATAAGAAGTTGTCATCATGATTGAGGTGTATTTTGCAGTTTGTAAAAATAATTGAGCTATTTCAAGGCAATGCTGCAATTTTGCTAATAAGTTTACTTCTGAAAAGACCTAAGCTGTCTCTGTCCTATATCTTCAGCAACATTTATTAATGTATTTTCTTGTCATTCTCCTTTCATTATTCATTGTAACTTCTGCTCTCTTACCTCTATCAGCACACCACACACCTGTGTAGCCAGAACATTGCAGCATCTTTGTCATTGAAAACACTCTAGACAGATATACTGTCTAAATTATAGAAAGAAGATTCAATATAGTACCGAGAAGGTGATTTCTTCTCATGTCCTGGGATTCTAAATCTAAGATGATTTAAGAGGTGCAGTTAAGGAATTTATCATAATACTGTTTCCCCTATAAAAGTGAACATTTTATGAAGGAATAAAAATATAAAGGAATGTGACGAAATTGTTAATTGGGGTGACATTTAGCTGGTCTCAAATGTGAACAAGATTTGAACAAAAGATGAAGGAAGATATTAATATGGAGTTACAAAAAATAATTTCAGAAAAGTAAAAGCCACAGGGAAACTTGGGCAAATCATTAATGAAGTTTTATGAAATAAACAATGAAAAAATTATCTTCATGACAATATTGCTTCAGAGATTCTGGAAGGTAATAAGTTTGCACATTATTTTTTAGTAAATAAATTTAGTTTTATGACTTTTTGCCTATTTGAAAGACACCATTTAGGCGTCCATTCAAAGAGGTCACATGGGAGGAAATGACCTTTGATATACCACAAGATTTTGTTTTGCCAATGCTTTTGTGTATAATATAGGTGAGCACATTTACTTATAAAAGCAAACACTTCCCAAATAATCCTATTAGATCAATATTGTTCTGACATGATAACCTACAAACCAATACTCTCATGAACAGAGATGTGATGTTGAATCTAGTAATATTTTGAAAGCATAATACATCAACTACATTACAGCCTGGTGGGGAATATCACAAGAATGCAAACCTCACAGTATGGAGTGCTGGCTAGGATGCTGTGCAACTAGAACTCTCATAGATTTCTGGTGTAAATTTCAAATGTTAGAGTTGATACGGAAGGGGGACAGGGAAATGCTGGGTAGAGGAAAGCATGGTCCCTGGCGAGGGCTCTACCCTTGGGCTTGTGCCCACTGATTAGGTGAGGACAGGGATTTCTGTTTTTTTGCCCAAATGTTGAGTTTCTCAAGACCACCCTGGCCTGCCATGCCCCGATCCTGTGCCTATAAAAACCCGGAGACCCTAGTAGGCAGACATACAAGCGATTGGACGTTGAGAGGAACACATTGGCAGAAGAACACACAAGCAGCTGGACGTTGAGAGGACAAGGACGGAAGAGCACACCAAGAAATGCTGGGAGGCCGGCAGGCCATCAACAGGCAGAATGATGTGGAGTTTGAGTGGGACAGTGGGAGGAGAAGGGCCACTGAGTGCCGGGCTCCAGGGGAAAACCACTTTCCCACTCCATCCCCTTCTAGCTCCCCCATCTGCTGAGAGCTGCTTCCACTCAACAAAACCTTGTACTCATTCTCCAAGCCCACGTGTGATCCAGTTCTTGTGCCTGGTACACCAAGGCAAGAATCCCAAGATACAGAAAGCTCTCTGTCCTTCAATAACTCAGGGGGTCTAATTGAGCTGACTAACACAAGCCACCTATGGATGACTAAACTAAAAGAGCAACCTATAACCCACAGCCACTGGAGCTTCAGCTGTAAACATTCACCCCTAGACACTGCCATGGGATCAGAGCCCCACAACCTGCCCATCTGCATGCTCCCCCAGGGGTTTGAGCCATGGGGCACCTAAGAATCAAGCCATGGCCCCATCACACTCCCTGAAAGGGGGATTAAGGGAACCTTTCCTCTTTCACAGTCACCTCAATAGACAGTTTGATAGTTTCTTACAATATAATATGACCCAGCAATTTCACTCAAGGTAACTTAAAACGTATGTTCATACAAAAGCCTTTAAACCAATGTTTATAGAAGCTTTAAAATCACCAGATACTGGAAACAACTGTCCTTCAACAGGTAAATGGATAAACACCTAAAATGCATCCATAAGATAAAAGATAAAACCTGCTCAAAAATAAAAAGAAACACTCTTGATTTATACAACCACATAAATGAATGCTAGATGCATTTTACTTGGTTAAAAAAAAAAAACATACTCCAGACTAATATTTCATGATTCCACCTATATGACTTTTCAGAAAGGAAACATTGTAGGGGCAGAAAACTAATCAGTGGTTGCCAGGGGTAGAGCGTGGAGGGAAGGGTTTTGACCAAAAAGGGATCACAGAAGAGAACACTTAGGGAGAGGTATATATAACTACGGTGGTAGATCATTCTTTTCATTTGTTAAAATTGTACATCACAACCTGTGAATTGAACTGTATGTAAACTTCTTAAAAAGCAAGAAAAATATAAGGAGGACAAAATGAAATTCAAATTGTAAACAGTAATATTAAACTCTACCTATACAACTAACTAAATAAAAATTAAATATTTTTTTCAACATTTACATAAACATGAATGGAATAAGGGAAAAATGAACTCACTTAAGTAACATTTGGCTACTTTTTAAGAAAAATGATCACAAGCAAATACTGCACCTTAGTTTGAAAATTTATTTCTCAAGTGGGTATGCATTAACAGTTCTGTGATTGTATGCATACTAGAACTTAACAAATATGTAAATAAATTGCAGATGAGAGACTCGGGTTTCTTATTTTCTGAGAAAGAAGTTACAAATTTAAAAAAGGAAGAATGCAAGAATAAAGCCTGGGATGCTGAATTAGAGTCAGAGATTGTGTGTGTGTGTGTGTGTGTGTATACACATAGGTTATTATACATACGTGAGTTTTAAAACTGTACACTCAGAGACCCAAAAGCAGTGACATCCATTGGCACCATGCACATTAACTGTTGAGTTTTTGGTTTCTAAGTACCATTTTTCAATAAAAGAAATATGGCTCCTTAGAGAAGTAGTTGATCCCAAGGCTGGAGCAGAGGATAATACAAAAGCCTTATGAATTTTGTGATGCCAAAGGTAAGAAAGTCCCCACAAAAGGATGGAAATCTTTAAAAAAATATACATAAACTACAGAAGCCAATCTGAAATAGCTCCCAATGGGCAAACCTAGAACCATTTATGCAATTAAATAAATATTGATAATTTTGTATTATAAGCCATATAATAAAATGCCAAATAATAAATACATATATATGTGTATACATTAAATATATATGATATGATTTGGCTATGTCTTCACCTAAATCTCATCTTGAGTTGTAGCTCCTGTAATTCTCATGTGTTGTAGGAGTGACCAGGTGGGAGATGATTGAATTACAGGGCAGTTTTTCCCATACTGTTCTGGTGGTAGTGAATAAGTCTCACAAGATCTGATGTTTTTATAAAGGGTTTCCCCTTTCATTTGGCTCTCATTCTTTCTTTCCTGCCACTATGGAAGACATGCCTTTCACCTTCCACCATGATTATGAGGCCTCTCCAGCCATGTGGAACTGTGAGTCCATTAAACTTCTTTTTCTTTATAAAGTACCCAGTCTCAGGTGTGTCTTTATCAGCAGTGTGAAAATGGACTAAGACTGTAAACTGGTACCAGGTAGTGGGACGCTGCTGTAAAGATACCCAAAAATGTGGAAGCAAGTTTGGAACTGGGTAAGAGGCAGATTGTGAAACAGTTGGGAGGGCTCAGAAAAAAAGTAGAAAAATATGGGAAAGTTTGGAACTTCCTAGAGACTTGGAGGGCTCAGAAGGCAGGAAGATGTGAGGAAGTTTGGAGCTTCCTAAAGACTTATTGAATGGTTTTGATCAAAATGCTGATAATGATATGGACAGTTAATTCAGGCTGAAGTGGTCTCAGATGGAGATGAGGAACTTGTGAACTGGGGTAAAGGTCACTGTTGCTATGCAAAGAGACTGGTGGCATTTTGTCCCTGCCATAGAGATTTGTGGAACTTTGAACTTGAGGTAGATGATTTAGGGTATCTGGTGGAAGAAATTTCTAAGCAGCAAAGCATTCAAGAAGTGATTTGAGTGCCATTAAAGGCATTCAGTTTTAAAAGGGAAACAGAGCATAAATGTTCAGAAAATTTGCAGTCTGATGATGTAATGGAAAAGAAAAACCCGTTTTCTCAAGTTAAAATCAAGCCAGCTGCAGAAATTTGCATAAGTAATGAAGAGTCAAATGTTAATTACCAAGACAATGGGGAAAATGTCTCCAGGACATGTCAGAGAACTTTGTGGCAGCCCTTCCCATCACAGGCAGGCCCAGTGGCCTAGGAGGAAAAATGGTTTTAGGGCCAGGCCCAGGGCCCCCCCTGCGATGTGCAGCCTAGGGGTTTGGTGCCCTGCATTCCAGCCACTCTAGGCATGGCTAAAATGGGCCTAGGTACAGCTAGGTACAGCTCAGGATGTGGCTTCAGAGGGTAAAAGCCCCAAGCCTTGGCAGCTTCCATGTGGTGTTGAGCCTGTGGGTTCACAGAAGTCAAGAATTGAGGTTTGGGAACCTGCCTACATTTCAGAGGATGTATGGAAACCCCTGGATGTCCAGGCAGAAGTTTGCTGCAGGGGTGGGTCCCTCATGTAGAACCTCTGCTAGGGCAGGGCAGAAGGGAAATATGCAGTTGAAGCCCCCACACAGGGTCCCCACTGGGGCACTGTCAAGTTGAGCTGTGAGAAGAGGTCCATTTTCCTCCAGACCTCAGGTGGTAGATACACCAAGAGCGTGCACCATGCACTTAGAAAAGCCACAGACACTCAATGCCAGCTCATGAAAGCAGCCAGGAGGGAGGCTGTACCCTTCAAAGCCAAAGGGGTGGAGCTGCCCAACACCATGGGCACCCACGTCTTGCGTCAGTGTGATTTGGATGTGAGACATGGAGTCAAAGTAGATCATTTTGGAGCTTTAAGTATTGACTGCTCTGCTAGATTTTGGACTTGATTGGGACTTTTAGTCCCTTTGTTTGGGCCAATTTCTCTCATTTGGAATGGGTATATTTACTCAATACCTCTACCCCCATTGTATCTAGGAAGTAACTAACACACTTTTGATTTTTCAGGCTCATAGAGGAAGGGACCTGCCTTGTCTCAGATGAAACTTTGGACTGTGAACTTTTGAGTTAATGCTGAAATGAGTTAAAACTTTAGGGGACTTTGGGGAAGGCATGATTGGTTTTGAAATATGAGGACATGAGATTTGGGAGGGGCCGGGGGTGGAAGATACAGTTTGGCTGTGTCCCCACCCAAATCTCATCTTGAATTTTAGCTCCCATAATTCCCATGTGTTGTGGAGACAATTGAATGATGGGGGTGGTTTCCCCAATACTGTTTTCGTGGTAGTGAATAAGTCTCATGAGGTCTGATGGTTTTATAAAGGGCTTCCCCTTTCACTTGGCTCTCATTCTTTCTTTCCTGATGCCATGTAAGGCATGCCTTCCACCTTCTACCATGATTGTAAGGCCTCCCCAGCCACATGTAACTGTGAGTCCATTAAACCTCTTTTTCTTTATAAATTGCCCAGTCTCTGGGATGTCTTTATCAGCAGTGTGAAAACGGACTAATACAATGTATACATGTATGTGTATATCTATATCTATATCTATATGTATAATTGAATAAGTAAGTAAATCGAGGAACAAAATACACCTTTCCTCCACAGAAGCATTCCAATTAATAAATGTATAAATACATTATAATTTTAAACTGAAGACATTTCAAAAGTACCATTGAAATATTACAATTTTGGCCGGGCGCAGTGGCTCATCCCTGTAATCCCAGCACTTTGGGAGGCTGAGGCAGGCGGATCTCAAGGTCAGGAGATCGAGACCATCCTGGCTAACACAGTGAAATCCCATCTCTACTAAAAATACAAAAAAATTAGCTGGGTTTGGTGGCGGGTGCCTGTAGTCCCAGCTACTCGGGAGGCTGAGGCAGAAGAATGGCTTGAACCTCGGAGGCAGAGCTCGCAGTGAGCCAAGATCATGCCACTGCACTCCAGCCTGGGTGACAGAGTGAGACTTGGTCTCAAAAAAAAAAAAGAGAAATATTACAATTTTAGTTTTTGCAGATAAAATGTACTAATGGATTCCAAAATTGGTAAGTGAAAGTTTGAACAGAGACATACTTTTACATATTCTGAAAGTATCTTCCTCAGGTTATTTATTGATTTCAAAGGTATGCATTGTAACTCTACAGTGGCAAAACCCAGCAGACACCATACTTATACAAATAATGAAGGTTAACAATAATAAAGTATAGGAACATCATGTTCTCCTGACATGAGAAGGGCACAAGAAGACAAAGCTTTAATCTAATAATGAGAATAAATCTGACAAACCAAAATTGAAGAATATTCTATAAAATAATTAACTGGCTAGGAGCAGTGGCTCACTTCTGTAATCGCAGCACTTTGGGAGGCCAAGGTGGGTGGATCACCTGAGGTCAGGACTTTGAGACCAGCCTGGCCAACATTGTGAAACCCCGTCACTAGTAAAAATACAAAAATCAGCCAGGTGTGGTGGCGCACACCTATAATCCTAGCTACTTGGGAGGCTAATGCAGGAGAGTCACTTGAACCCAGCAGGCGGAGGTTGCAGTGAGCACTCCAGCCTTGGTGACAGAGTGAGACTCTGCCTCAAAAACAATAAAAATAAAAAATAAAATAATTAACCAATTCTCTGGTGAAGTGTCAAGATCATAAAAGAAGAAAAAGACCAAGGAACTGTCACAGATTGAAGGAGACTAAGAAGACATGAAAACTAAATACAGTCTTCCTTTGGCATCAATGGGGGATTGGCTCCAGGAACCCCAAAGACACCAAAATTGCAAATGTTCAGGTCCCTGATATAAAGTAGTGTAATATTTGCATAAAACCAATCCACTTCCTCCCACGTATTTTAAATCAGCTCTAAACTATTTGTAATATCTAACACAATGTAAATGGTCTGTAAACAGTTATTATATGGTATTGTTTTTTTGTTTGGACTTTGTATTTTTGTATTGCTTTTTTTTTGCTTTTTTCTTCTGAATATTTTCAACTTGCAGTTGATTGAATCCATGAATGAAGAACCCACGGACACAGAGTATTGACTGTACAATGTGTGATTCTAGATTGAATAACTTAAAGTAAAAAGACATTCATTTTTAAATCACATAAATTCTGAATAAAATCTCTACATTAGTTACTGGTATTGTACCAACTGTAATTTTTTTAATTTTGGTAATAGTATCAAGGTTATGGAACTGTTTAGATGAAGGCAATCCAGGGATTCTTTGTGTTAGTCTTGTAATTTTTCTTTGTCTATAATTATTTGAAAATGAAATGTTTAAAGTATATATTTTGTAAACTGAATGGAGTAAGAAATATATTAGATTCACTGCTTATATGAATCTGTGAGTATATCTCTAACATGGAATACATTATATTATGATACATCTCTGCTTTTTGTTACTATCCCTCACTAAAATAAGCAATCTTTGAGGGTTATGGAGGTATTTCGTCCTTTCCTATCATTTAAACAGATGGATTAATAACTAAGCAAATGAATAAATTGATGCTGTGCAAGAATCTAAATTTTCTTTGACATGTTATAATAATTTTAGTAGTCTAGAAAAAAGAATTCTAAAGAAGCAAGTATTATCACGTAATTACACGGTCCACATTTTCATATATATTCTGCCTATAAAACAGCTACTATATTGCTGATTAAAGAAAGCTAATTCTGTAATAGAAGTTTAAACAGAGTTTGAAATGGGAGATCAAAATGTATTTGCCAGTGAGTAAAAGAGGAAATAAACGCCATCAGGCCTACCTGATTAGCTGAATCAGCCTAGTAATCAGTGGGGGCGACATATCAGTCAGATTAATCGGAAGGACTCCTGAAAAGAAGATTCGCTGTCTCCTTGTCCTGGAGACAAGAAAATGTCTAGTGGGTGGCAATAACAAAAATGCAAATAATAATTTAATTTGCAGTAATTTTTTTGCCAATTAAAATTTTCTGTAAATAAAATGGTCATTTCATCATGCAGCTAAAGGCCCTGTCACAGAATTTATTTAAAACAGTCTGGGCTCTTAAGTGAAAGCTGAACAATGAGAACACATGGACACAGGGAGCAGAACAACACACACTGGGGCCTGTGGGAGGTGGAGGGGTGAGGGAAAGGAGAGCATTAGGAAAAACAGCTAATGCATGTGGGGCTTAATACCGAGGTGATGCATTAATAGGTGCTGCAAACCACCATGGCACATGTTTACCTATGAAACAAACCTGCACATTATCCTGTACATGTACCCCAGAACCTAATAACATTTTTAAAGGAGCACTCAAAGCCCCTATGAGTTAGCCTCAGCTTGGCTGCATGGATGGCACCCTGAAGTCACTTTGCTATCGCTGTTAGGCAACACTCAGGCAGGCCTTCCTCAGGACTGGTTCCCTCCCAAGACAGGTTTGGTGAAAAAACAAACAAACAAGCAAAAAAGTCTGGGCAACTGTTTCTTAGGTGTTTCTGGATAGAAAAAAGTAGGATTTAATTTTTTGTATAGTCACAAAATGTTAATTTTCTATGAGTCATTTAAAGGCCTAGGAAACAATCTGTAAAAATAAATCTGACCTCTGTACCATAGGTAACCTGGAAGCATCGTATTTCCAGGCAGGTGGAAGATGAAGGCCTCATTTAGTGTAAACCTGAAACTTCTAGTTTCAGTCTTTTCTAGACTCAACCATGCTTATTACTCTGGGTTAACAAGTGCTATTAAGTAGTATCCTCATCCTACTCTACTATCTCTCCTCCTTTTTTGAAAATGAAAAAAAAAAAAAAGGTGAATTTGTTTAGCAAATATATAGATAAAATGCCTGTCAGAAATAACTGCTTCTATATCACTTTGCCACATCACATTCTCCTTCACTATCTAGTGCTCTCTGAGTGGTAAGTATTTTTGATAATATGCCAGTGTTTGATTCATCCTCTTAGTTTTTTTAAACCTCCTCCTATGTAGTCATTGAGAAAGTGAGGGCTCTGCTTTATGCCTAACCTAAGCTTCTGGATACTGTAGGCATGCATCTCCCTAGAACATAAAACCTTCATAATCTCAAAATCTCCCCTTAGGAGGAAGGAATGGTAATGCTCATAGATTGCCTACCTGGTTCCATACTTTTCTCCTCAAAATGTGTTTAAATAAAAATAAGAAACAATGGATGAATGAATGAGGGAATGAATGAATGAAGAAAGACAATATATATATTAGTGTTCTGAAATGAAAAGTCTTGGTCATCTTCACTGTACATTAAAAATTTATGCAGTTGTTTTAGTAAAATTCAACAGTCATTTATTGAAACCCACTCTGCCTAACTTAAGTTGTTAGAAAACTTTTATCACAGTATTAGACAAACTATTAGTAACTGAACAAAATTTCCAGAAGCCACGAATCTGTAAATATATTGATGCCTCCCCAAATGTATCTTGAAGAAATTCTGTTCAAAAACTATTTCAGTAATATAGTTTTGTTGCATAAATATTTCAAGACTAAAAATGTAATATCCTATAAAAAAAGATAAAACATAAATATGAGAAGGAAATTATAAATTTTAAACTAAAAACTGATTAAAAACTGGGTCTGTGGTCATTATTAGTAAGTTCTATGTACTTAGCTTATGGTACCCGGCAAAAATTATACCTCATGATGTCAGGAGATTGCTAACAACACCTGATATAAAATACCAGTACACCAGAATAACATCACAAACATCTCTGAAAACCCAAAATTCTCTTACTGGAGAAGGAGAGCATATAGATTCCAGAGTTATATTATTTATCTAGAGTATCTCAAAAATAATATATTACAAGATCTATTTTTTAATTAATAATCGTGTTTTAGGAGCATTATTTGTGGAAGTTTATAAAGCTCCTCTTTGGAAAATGCATAGGTGATTAATTCATGGCCTCACCCTTCAAAAAGAAGCTCAAAACCTGGTGATCACACAGAGAAGACAGAAATAACTTAAATCCACAGAGATTTAAAGAAAAAAAATCTGAGGTGGAGATAAAACCCACAGGATACAGTATGGATACAGAACTAATCAGACCAGCTTGAAACTGACATGTTGTGATTATTTTGAAGGTTTGGTTGCTTGTTTTATATCTTAGAATTCATATTTTTTTGTTTGTTTTTTGTTTAATAGTGAGTTGCTTACCTTTGAGCAGATGGGAATCGGAGAGTCCATTTGAGTTTTCTCAGAGGCCCATTTTGATGTCTGAAGAAAGAATGGGAAGTTTTTATTTCCTTTTAAATGGATGGAATGTGCACATGTGAAAACACAGAATGTACGTGCATCACTTGAGGTATCTTAGCATCAAATTGTACTGGATTGAACAAGACTACTGCCTGCACCACCTGACAAAATATCAGATAATGTCTATTTAGTGCTTGATTGTGTTTTCCTTCACCAGCTAAGAGATTAAAGTGATGAGGATTTCACTGTAATAGTTAAGATTATGTCAACATTTCAATCATAATCCTATACTGTTAATGGTTTATGACTCAGTCATAAAATGTCCTTTCCTGAGGGAGAAAAAAAGAACAGCCTGTCTTATAAGGTCCCAGAAACAGGGGAACTGTTTTTAAAAACTGATTTTTAAAAGGTGGTTATTTTAAATTTAGCCACTTTTAAAATAATGTTTTTGGTGGTTTTTTTTTTTTTTTTTTTTTTTTTTTTTTTTTTTTTGAGACGGAGTCTCGCTCTGTCGCCCAGGCTGGAGTGCAGTGGCGGGATCTCGGCTCACTGCAAGCTCCGCCTCCCGGGTTCACGCCATTCTCCTGCCTCAGCCTCCCGAGTAGCTGGGACTACAGGCGCCCGCCACTACGCCCGGCTAATTTTTTGTATTTTTAGTAGAGACGGGGTTTCACCGTTTTAGCCGGGATGGTCTCGATCTCCTGACCTCGTGATCCGCCTGCCTCGGCCTCCCAAAGTGCTGGGATTACAGGCGTGAGCCACCTCGCCCGGCCTAAAATAATGTTTTAAGGACACTTTCTACTCTAGAATTTCCAAAAGGGATTGGCTTAATATGCATTGAGGCTTAGCTGTAGAATAATCACTTAAACATGGGTTTATTGCCAATGTCAATATTCTTTAATTTCTACAATAATTAAAGTTTAAAGTCCCATTTCAAAGATATTCTGTGTAATTATACTGGGAAGGATCATTTTAATTTTTTAAAAAATCTTCTGAATATAAAACAAATAGAGGAAAAACATTCAAAATCTAATTCCTTAATGTTATATTCCAACTATCTGTATTATGGATAACAAGTTTCCTAATATTCATTTTCTGCATACATTTTATTATCATTACTTAAATGAAAATAGATACTGTGTAACACAGACTTTTACCTTGTCCAAAAAGTGGTCTGGACTTTGCCCTTGACTTTTGGAAGGCAATCTGCAGTCCCTTGGAATATCATGTCTCATAGGAACATCTGTATTTCTCTGGGTACCTTGAGCCAACCAGATCGATAGCAACAATGTTAGAGTGAGAGATCTGAACCACACCAAGAATGTGATACAGGTTAGAGGCTCTGGTATAAGACCCCATGATATAAGTTGACCTCCAGAGAAGCTGAAGCAGGAGAGCAGCCATGTGGGCAATCACTCATGCCTACGTGATGAGGCACCAATAAAATCTTTGGATGATGAGTCTCTGGTGAGCTTACCTGGTTGGCAATACACAGTGTGTCTGTATAATCACACAGCGAAAGGACAACTGAAAGTTCTCCATTTGCTATGCTCCTGGACTCTGCCCATGTGTCTCTTCTCTTGGCTGATTTTAATCTGTATCCTTTCCCTGTAGTAAATCATAACCATGAGTATGACAGTTTTCAGCAAGGTCAATGAGTTCTTCTAGAAAGTTACTGAAATTAAGACTGTTTTGGGGAAATTCTTGAGTTTGGAATTGTTTCAGAAGGGAAAGTGTTCTTGTGTGAGCTGTTTCCTCTAATTTCTCAGTTAGCTAACAATTTCCCAGATACTTTACTAATATTTATAGTATATCAAAGAAGTATCTTTCTTGCATTGCAAGTTACCTCACAGTTTGTAGACTCACAACTTGAAGAAGAAAGAAATGAGCGAAAATTCCTACAAAGAATTCGTTGTTTTGTTTTCTCCATGTGTTAACTACAAACTCTACATGTAGTCTTCTAATATAAGCAACAGAAATAATAGTATATCTTCAAAAATTGATCTCATCTGTTTTAGTATTTCTATGACTGAATAGGAGTGAGCAGCATATACAACAGTAGAATTTTTCTCAATTTCTCCTTTGCTAATGTTCAGAACCTTCTAGTTTTCCTTTAGCAAATTAAATTGTTTAGATATGTCAGATATTAGATGCAGAGAACTGTGGCTTTACAGAAATGAAGATAGCCATAAAGTACTGATCTTCGCTCTTCTAAAAGGAAACCTAAATTATTTGTCTAGTCATTTTACTTTGGTGTGATATAAATTCTTTTGCATTGACTACCAGCTTTAAAAGCTCTTCATAGCAATGGACAATCATGTAAGAATTATTGATTTGCTTGCTTACCTTTCACATTATGAGAATATGATCTATTCATTTAATCATCTATGTTTGGTACCCTAGTACAATGTCAGAAAAAAATCTGACATTTTATAAATATCTATTGAATGAATGGATAAACTAAAACATGCAATATCCTAAGCCTATTACCTACCGGTACACCTATTGAGAGCAAACAATTCTCCTTCACAGAATTTGTCCCTTTTCTTGGCTATTATGATGTGTTTTCTTCTCTTATTAGACACACACATGCACACGCACCAAACACAAATACACACACACACACATATATAGATAAACAAAAGTGTGTGCATATATTTCCCTTATAATAGATATATATAGGCCAGGTGCAGTGGCTCACGCCTGCAATTCCAGCAATTTGGGAGGCTGAGGCGGGAAGATCACCTGAAGTCAGGAGTTTGAGACCAGCCTGGCCAACATGGTGAAACCTTGTCTCTTTTTGTATTTTTTTGTAAAAATACTAAAAAAATTAGCCAGGTATGGTAACACATGCCTGTAGTCCCAGCTACTTGGGAGGATGAGGCATGAGAATCGCTTGAATCCGAGAGGCAGAGGTTGCAGTGAGCCGAGATCACACATCTGCACTCTGGCCTGGGTGACAGAGTGAGACTCCGTCTCAACAAAATAATAATAATAATAACAATAATAATAACAGATACATATATTTTTACTTTGATACATCTTTTAATGACCTCTTACTTATCCTCTGTTTTCTATCTTCTTTATATGAACTATTTTCCCTAAAGGGACCAGGTATGTTTATTCAGTCTTTAGTTTTTTAATTCAAGTTAGTTTTTAAAATTACGTTTAAATCTGTTTAAATAACATAAAAAAGTAACCATAGGAAAAATGGAAAAACTCCTTACTAGTTCCTTCTCTAATTTCCCAAATTTTAATTGCCATAATCTATAAATTTAAAATTATTTTCATCATTTCTGGTCTCATTCTATGTATACAATTGTTATCCCAATGTTGGTTCTTCATTGTATATTCGTATCTTTGTTTTTTCAATGTTCCGTTCATCTTTTCGGCCAATAAATTCTGGGAAGAGCTTCTCAAGATTGTTCTACACCTCACTAATTTGTTTTTTAATATCAATTTATACATTTTCTTGTCTCAAACAGATTTTAATTTACAATTACATCTTTATTTGATTTGCAATTTTATAAACACAGTAAATTCCCTTTTCATCTTAGAATACGAAATAAATATGCATCCTCTCATTTTCATCTTTTGTTTCCTGGGGTACATTTCAACAATTTGAATTGAATACAAACCAGATGCTTTTTAACATTTAATTTGTTCATGTACCACTATTAGAATTACTATTTCTTTCTGCGTTCATCTTGTTTTTCGTTTTGTGGAATTTTACGTGGGTTCAGGTTAGTGTTTATATTGATTTTTGTTCTTCTTTAGGAATTGTTTCCAGATATGTGGTTTTTCACAACCACTTGGTTTGTAGATATTTCTTGACTCCCTTAGTTCTTAGCCAGTTGCCAATTAAACTCTTTTTTTATACCTTAAACTGAAGGACTACTTACTGTAAACATTCTCAAACCAAAAGAAATGGTGTTTAATACTCTTTGCTGCCCAGGCACAGTGGCTTACACCTGTAACCCCAACACTTTGGGAAGCCAAGGCAAGTGGATCTCTTGAGCCCAGGAGTTGGAGACCAGCCTGGTCAACATGGTGAAACTTTCTACACAAATTTTAAAAAGTTAGACAGGTGTGGTGGTGCACTCCAGTGATCTCAGCTACTCAGTAGGCTGAGGTGGAGGATTGCTTGAGCCTGGGTGGCAGAGGCTGCAGTGAGCTGAGATCGCACTACTGTACTCCAGTCTGGGGGACAGAGCGACACTCTGTCTTGAATAAGTAAATAAATAAAAAGTTCTTTGTTAAATATGGATCCACTGACACTTTGTCTAATTGTAGAAAGATGGCCTTTTTTTTTTTTTTAACTTGGGTAGTAAGCATGAATAAACTGAGAACAAAATATGGACACAGACAAATTTTTAGCTCAATAAATATTAAAATGTAACATTTTAAAATGTAAGTATATAATATACATTTATACCTGTGTGTGTATATATACACATACTTACAAAATTTTTCTGCACGATTGATAAAACACTACAAATATTTGAGGTAGCCCATACTCTTCTCAATGGGATATATCTTTTAAATAATTTCCTAAATGGAGTTTCTTCAAAGGTATAGGAGGTTAATTGAAGGCATTCAATCATTATTTATTCTATATATATGGATATACATATATCTATGCATGTATATTTATTCATTACAATTATGTATTTCATATGTAATATAATTATATATACTACTTTTGATATATACTGTATTCCCTATAAAATACCTTAATATGGAGAATGAAGATGAAGAAAAAAACATACACAGAGAGAGAAACAGACTGAAACTACTGGATGTGAAAATAAAGAATACATGATCAACCTGGGCAAAAAATTATAAGTCAGGTAGAAATAAGAGTTAAACTGGTCTTCTTTAAGAGGCTATTATCTACTATATCACACTTTTTGTGAAATGCTGTTCTTTGGGGGATACTGGAGTGATGAGACACTATCATACCCAACAGTCAATGCCTATAACTTAGTCGAGATTAGTATTGAGGACACTTATTTATTTATAAAATCAATATTTTATAACAAGTCCTTATTTTTCTATCTTTCCCTTCTCTGTTTAGTCTTGTATAAAATGCTCTCAAAGTTCAGAGCAGCATATATCCTTCAGATAACCCATTATAAGAATTAGATTCAAGGAGAGGGATACCTCAAATAATTTCATGAAATTTTAATCAAAATAATTTATTTGTTATAGATATATTACCTCTTCTGATAAAGAACCTAAAGGACCCTACAGCTAATGATGCATAATTAAATCTATAAACTATTTGATTCTCTCTTGCAAAATAAGCCAATATCCTTTTTAAAATTTAAGACAACAAGTTCACACATGTGAGGAAATAATAAACTAATAACGTATAACGTGCTTAGCTGAATGTCTTAATCATGCTTTAAATTGTGTTTGTCCAATTGCCCCTTCAGTTTGCCTTTGGGTTATTATTAATATTTCACTATCTTTTCCAGTCAGTGTTTAATGCAGTCCTATTCAAGGGTACTTGCAGCAAGCAGAGCAATTAGGTATGCAACGTCCTGAGCTATAATCCGATGCAGCGAACACTGTCAGGTAGTTTTTACGAAACCAAAAAAATAAAAATAAATAAAAACAAAAAGAGACTGCCTCTTGACTGTGGCCAAGTAATATTGTTGATCCTGTGTTTATTAATCATGTATTAAGTACTTCTTCTGAACATAACATTCTGTTATGCACTGTTGTCTTATGCAAATGAATAATAACTCAATTCCGGTTCTCGAAGTGCTAGTGGTTTAAAAGGGAAGATGTGAAATAGACTCAACTAACACTGCCCAGCTGAATGTGATAAGAACCTGAAGGCAGGCAGGCACGAAATGCAGAGAGAGTTGAAGAGAAAGGTCTCTTTGCCCTACAAGAAAGAATAAAGATTCTGCAAAGAAATGACATTCAAATTGAGTGTTGATGAATGAGTAAGATTTGGTGAGGTAGATATAGGAAAATCACATTGCAACTCTGGTAGAATGCATTAATAAAAAATCTAAGTATGGCAAATATTTCAGAATAGTCCATGAGCTTTAGCTAGTGTATTTATATGGATCTCAGCGTGCTTGGGCCAGCTGTTGTGAGACTATGACTGCCAAACTCAAAGGTCAGTATTTATTTAGAATCTATGTACAAAATGGTAAACAAAGAGATAAAATGATTATTCTTATACCAATGTTAGCATATGAATGTTCTCTAAGCATCTCATTATAAAGGAAAAAATACATAAAGGTCAAAAACATATTTTCTATAAGAAAATGTTCTAATCAGTTAATATTAATTTATAATAAGTAATGTGACATCTTATAAGTATTCACATTACTTGTAATAAGTAATGTGAATCTTGATATTTTTTGTAACTTTTATTTAAAACTGTTTATGTAGCCATTTAATGCACTTTCACATTAGTAATCTAGTAATTTTATTTTTATGTTTTAAAAATGATTTATGTATCTAGAGGTAGAGAAGTTTGTAAATGTCGATTCCAATTATTCATTTTCTTTTTTCATGACTTGATGCTCATATTACCTTAAGAAATCTCAACTATTGTCATCAGCTGGTAACATTCACTCACACATAAAATAGACCCTCAGTTTTTGATGGGGTTGTTTGTGTTTTTCTTGTAAATTTATTTAAGTTCTTTGTAGATTCTGGATATTAGCCCTTTGTCAGATGGATAGATTGCAAACATTTTCTCCCATTCTCTAGGTTGCCTGTTCACTCTTATGATAGTTTCTTTTGCTGTGCAGAAGCTCTTTAGTTTAATTAGATCCCATTTGTCAATTTTGGCTTTTGTTGCCATTGCTTTTCCTGTTTTAGTCATGAAGCCTTTGCCCATGCCTATGTCCTGAGTGGTATTGCCTAGGTTTTCTTCTAGGATTTTTATGGTTTTAGGTCTTGCGTTTAAGTCTTTAATCCATCTTGAGTTAATTTTTGTATAAGGCGTAAGGAAGGGATCCAGTTTGATGGGTGCAGCAAACTACCATGGCACGTGTATACCTATGTAACAAACCTGCACATTCTGCACGTGTATCCCAGAAATTAAAGTATGATAAAAATAATATAAATATAAAAAACCAGAACCTCAGGGGGGAAATACAGCGGTATGTATCACAACCTTACATTATTTAAGCTCTGGGAATGCCACTCCATAATCCATTCTTCACTGAGATAAACATAAATGAGCACAGCAAAAGCAAAGGGAAGTGGGCACCTACCCCAAAATCTATTGTCACATTTGCTCAGCTCAACCCTCAGCCCCTCAGTGTGACCTGGCCCTGCTGGAGGGTTTCTTTTAGAACTAAATGAAGTGCTATATGTGAAAAGTGAAAGATATAGATTATATTGTTAACATTTTCTCTGAGCTTTCATATAACTTGTGCATAACTTTGATATACACTAATGTATACTAATTGCATGCACTGGATTGTGAGTTTAACAAAAAAGGGCCACATTTCATTTTTATTTCCAGTTCTCTAGGGTAAAATTCAAACTAATATCAGGCCTGGTAGAGTCCACTTAGAATAGGCACTGCAACAGTTACATGGAGGCCCCTGCTGCTCCACACATGAATTCTTCAGCTGTTGGCTTATGTGAAGACAGGTGAGGGGGGCTCCACACAGGTTGAGGAGATGACAGAACACTTAGGAAGTCGTGGCAATTTATCAACCAGCACAGATGTTCAGCAATTGCTGGACTATAGTGATGTCTGCCTCTATACATGCTGCTAGTTATTAATTAATGAATGAAATGAGTATCAGTTTTCACTGTAGTAAACAGGGCATATGTGTTGGCTCTAAAGCTGTTTAATAACCTCACCTTATCTTATAGTTACATTCAAAATTATTATCTCAGGGTTGTCATACAAAGGGGACCCCTCAAAGATCAATTTATGCAAATTTGAGCATTTTTAGGGGGATTATTTGTGACCCCACATAATATATATTTTTTTCTACTTGTGGTTTATTTGCTCTTGGTTTAAATCTAAATCACATAATACTGTCTTCCTCTCACATGTTAAGATTTTTAAAAATCCTGGTGATACGGAGCTATGAACCTTATTATGTTTTGAAGTATTGACAATTTTCCATCTCACAATCATCTTAATATATCCCACTTGGTGACAAAGCAAAAGAGAAAACAGATTTACCTTTGTGCCCATTTGGGGGAAAGCAAGATGAAAGAGAGAAAAAGTTTAAGAAAGTGAGACAATCTGAGAATAAGAGAATAAGAAGAGAAAGAAAGAAGGCAGGAGTCAACTAAAAAGTCAGAAATCACACTTCCAGTAATAAAGAAAGAAAAAAAATAAAAAAAAATCCACAACTGGGCAGGGGAGACATCTGAATGAGTTAAGAAAAAAATAAAGAGAGTGAGGAGGAAAACAAAAGAGACTTAGAACCAAGGAGAAAAATAATAGAGAAAGACAAAACGAAGTATGAAGAGAAAAGAAACGATATTAAAAAAATGATGTCAAAGTGAGAACAGCAAAGAAATTTAAGAAAGGAGGAATTAAAAACAACACTCAATGTGGGGAATGAAATAATTTAAAAGATGGAAAGATAATACTAGGAAAATAAGTATAAAAGGGAGTGTAGGAGAGAAAGAAGTTGAAGCCATTTAACTCTGGGGAGATTCATATCTTGCTGGCATTACTAAATGTTATTCTTTTGACGGATCACAAAAGAATGAGTGTTTAAAAACAATCTCCAGAATTCTATATAGCTGAAAACAGTTGGGAGACTTTAGATTCATCGATATTTTTACAAAAAGAAAAAAAAAATAAATCAAGAGATAACCACCTCAGGGACACATAGATGATCTAGTGATTAGCTCTAGAATATTAATTAGAAGAAAGCTATTTGCTTTTTTATTCACAGGTCATAAAGAGATCAATTGAGAGTATCAATTGGTAGCCATTTGATTATAACTTAATACTCATATACTATAAATGACCACTTCATCATGCATTGGTGAGCCAGCGGAGCAGGTGGAGTGACAAGAAGCAATATGGAAAGATTTATTCTACTTTAGCCAGAGAACTGCTGGAAAGGGAATTAAAGAATGATACGAGCTTCTTGTTAATTATAAAAGGCTATGAAATAAAACTTTAAGTTTATTACTGGTGGATGAAGTTCTCTTCTATTAAAAAGTATATGAAGACATATTCCAAGGGTACATATAGTCCTGGGTTGTGTTTTACTTATTTTTTAAAATTATTTTGATGATAGTTGTCTTAGTTTGGGCTGCTATAACAAGATACCGTTGGCTTGGTGGTTTATACAACATTTATTTCTCATAGTTTTGAAGGCTGGGAAGTCTAAGATCAAGGTTCAGGCTGATTTAGTTTTCATTGGAGCCTTTGTTCTGGCTTGCAGACAGACAGCTGCCTTCTTACTGAGTCCTCACATTGTGATGGGAGAGAAAGTGCTGCTCTTTTTTCCTATTGTTATGAAAACATTAATCCACCATGGCAACCCTACCCTCATGACCTGATCTAAACCTAATTAGCTCTCCAAAGTCCATCTCCAAATACGATCACATTCGTGGTTAAGGTTTCAATATGTGAATTTGTTGAGGAAGCAAACATTTGGTCCATCAATAGGAGAGAGGTTTTGGATGTTATTCATAGATGGATTTGCTAGTTTTATGTTCGCAGGTAGGACCAGCAGTCAAGGCCATAGCGGTATATATTAAACTGTGCATTTGCAGCAGGATGAAGTTTTAAAAGGGTGAACACTGTGCAAAGTTTAGGAAAAAATAAAAATAATATATTTTATTCTTGTCTTACCTAATGTTTTTTTTTCCTTCCTCCCTTCTCACTTTATATTAGAGTTGCATTACCCTAGAACTGGCAGTAGTGCCTAATGGATAGTCATTCTTTACATATATATTACCTCAAAAATAAATGCCTTAATTATTTAATAAATGAATATTCAAGAAATTAGGAATCAGTCATTAATCAGACACAGAGGCCAATACAGAAAAAAGTAGAAGAGAAGGGAGGAAAGTCATGACAAAAGGGGAAGGACAAGGGGAAGAAGAAAAGAGAAGACAAAAAAAATAATTAAATAAAGTATTTTAAATTATTTGAATTTTAATCAAAACTGGATGACCATATTACAGACAATATGGAAAAGATACTATAGTAAATATTGAGCAGGTCCCAAAAGACATTGCATGTCATTTTTAATGTTTGTGTTTTTAAAAGAACAGAGAATAAATGATGATTATCCGATACAAATAAATACGGAAAAAGAAAATAAAAACAATAAACAGAGACGAAAGGAAGCAGTATTTAAGCTGGAGAAATCAACACTGATGATCAAATGTAACTTTTTTTCCCAAAGTTCTAAAAAGAAATATTGGCCTGCACTAATCTACACAGTGCATTTTTTCTACATTTTTGCAAGTACACTTTGGTAAAGGTTTGTAAAACAAAGCCCTCCATGTCACTTACAATATTCTTGAGTACATTTCAGTTTCAATCACAACTTCAGCTACTAATCTTAATGTCATTGATAACAGATAATGGCTGAACAGGACAATTCAGGATGAACAGCAAAGATAAATACAATTAAAATGTATAACTTTTAATCATTAATTCATTCATCAAAGTCTTGTTAAGTTCCTATTAGGCACTAGAGCTAGAGATTTAAAAAGATATCAACAAAGAGGAAGACAAGCTGGATACTTTCATTGGGGGCCTTCACATTACTTGTAAATAATGTGGTACTGAATAAAGGGACATTTGAGACTCAGTGTAGTTCTGGGAAATATATGAATACTAGCCCCAGCTGTGTAAAAGAATGATTATTAACATGTGTATCTGTAAAATGCTCCATGCCAAGGGAGTTAGGGCTCTAGCAAGCTTGATTCCAAGCCAGGTGAGAAATAACATTTAGACTAAGAGGATTGACATGTATAATGTTGTGAAGCATAGGGGAACTCTGATCCAAAGATTATTTCAGTCACAACAAAGAGAGCAGCTCTCATTCAAGAAGGCTCCCCTTAGAATGGGAAAAATAGGTAATTAAAGGACAGGGAAATTAATAAGAAAAGAAGGCAAAACACTTTTAGATTGTGGATAAAATATATTCTATTTAAGGAATAAACTTCTGTTCAGCAAGTTATTACCAGAAAAAAATATACTGTGACATAAATGGCATCCCTTTATTACCCTGAACAATTCTTAATGATGACTGCATCTTTGAGATTTTGATGTGATTTGGTCTGTCAGGGGAACCAGACCTAGCTATTTTTTTGAGACTGCCTAGGTGAATATAATGTGTATCCAGGGTTAAGAAGGTTAAAAACACTGTTATAAATTTAAATATTATGTATCTTAAAGTTTTCAATTATGCCCTGGGTCAAGTTTCGCTGCTGTTGTTTTGTGTGCTTGTTCATGTGTATACATAGGTTTGTGTGTATATATGAATGTTTTAATTTTCCTTCAGACTACTAGGATAGGAGTGAAGAGATGGTATTCTGAGAGTGAAGTCTTAAGAGACACTAGAACTTTGACGTTATATGGGTTTGGCAAGCATCTGGTTCTTCAACTTATCAAATATAATTTGTATACACAATTTAACCTTGCTATATCCCCACTTTGAACCATACTATAAGGCTATAATAACCAAAACAGCATAATATTGGTATGAAAACAGACACATAGACCAATGGAACATAATAGAAATCTTAGAAATAAAACCACACACTTATAATCATCTGATCTTTGACAAGGCTGACAAAAATAAGAATAGGGAAAGGATGCTCTATACAATAAATGGTTCTGAGACAAGTGGCTAGCCATATGGTGATTAATTCAACTGATCTCTCACCTCTCACTATATACAAAAGATACTCGAAGTGGATAAAAATTTAAAAGTAAGACCTTGGACTATAGAAATACTGGAAGAAAACCTAGGAACTACCCTTCTCAACAGTGGCCTTGACATGTAATTTTTGCCTATGTCCACAAAAGCAATTGCAACACAAAAATGGACAAGCGGGACCTAATTAACCTAAACAGCTTCTGGATAAGAAAAGAAACTATCAATAATGTAAATACACATCCTACAGAGTGGGAGAAAATATATGTAAACTGTGCTTCCAACAAAAGTCTAATATTCAGAATCTATAAGGAATTTAGACACATCAACCAGCAAAAAACACCCCATTAAAAACGGGCAAAAGACACGAACAGACGCTTCTCAAAAGAAGACATATGATTGGTCAAGACAGATGTGAAAAACATGTTAATCACCGCTAATTATCAAAGACATGCAAATCAAAACCACAGTGAGATGTCATTCCAAACCTGTCAGAACGGATATTACCAAAAAAGTCAAAAAACACCAGATGCTGGCAAGGCTTCAGAGAAAAAGAAACACTTGTACACTGTTGATAGGAATGTAAATTAGTTCAGCCTCTGCAGAAAGTAGTTTCGAGATTTCTCAAAGAACATGAAAAAGATCTACCATTTGACCCATTGATCCCATTGCTAGATATGTACCCAAAGGAAAATAGATCATTGTATCAAAAAGACACATGTCCTCACATGTTCACAGCCACAGTACTCACAATAGCAAAAGCATGGATTCAAGTAGGTGCCCATCAATGGTCAACTCGGTGAAGAAAATATGACACTTAAACACCATAGAATATTATGCAGTGATAAAAAAGACTGAAATTATGTTTTTGCAGCAACATTAATGCAGCTAGAAGCCATAATCCTAAGTAAACTAACTCAGGAAGAGAAAACCAAATGCCACATATTCTCACTTATAAGTGGAAGCTGAATATTGAGCACATATGGACATAAACATGGGAACAATGGGCACTGCAGACTACTAGAGGGGAGAAGGAGGTAGGAGGGTGTGATTTGACAGTTTTTCAACTATCTATTGTGCAATATACTCATGTCATAAACCTACACATGTATCCTGTATATCTAAATTAAAGTTGAAATTTTAAAAAATTACTCTAATAAAAACAACACTTATTTTTAGTGTTTAAATATTATATTTTTGTAGGCCTAGAACTTGACTTGATAATTCATTTGGGATATTAAATTTTGTGATTTTATATTCCTATTTATTATTTCAGAAAATGAATTAAAGCTATTTTAGCATCACATTACAGGAAAAGCTGAGAAAGTCATTAAGAGAAGTTTTTTAAAGGAGATTCTTGATTAATTAGTACTAGCAATACAAATAAACCAAACAATCATCAGAAAATGTTTACAAGTGCCTTTTTCAGACTGGTCAACGTGCTTCATCTTGTGATTAACAGAGAAATAAAGTACAAGTGTACCCCAGTCCTCAAGCTTTTAGCAATTTAGTAGATAAAATGGTGATAATGTTGATTTGAAAATTATTTAGCATTCAACTCAGTTTTTCTGACAACAGAACAAAAAATTGAAGAAAACAGTTGCTGAAGGAAACAAAAGATGTAGAAATGGGACTGAAAAAATTCCATTGGTCTAGGATTTGCAAGATGAATAGGATGTAAGTAATAAAACGCACAAAGTCAAGAGCAATTGACATGACAAGAACCCCTGAGACCATTCACTCTACCTGAGGTGGAGATTTATTTCGTATTTCACCTTTTTTCATCTTTTTCCATTACTGTACAATGCCTAGCTGTGTACAGAGACAGCACAAGTAAATGGAAAAACAGTCCATTTTCATGGAGTGTAAAAATTAGTATTAAAGTGGCCATACTGCTGAAATCAATTTACAGAATTGGAAGTCAGAATTTATCACAAAAAGATGATTTTGTCAATTGGAACTGTTATTTGAACTGTAAATATAAGACCGTACTACCCTGTTGTAGCAATGCAGTTGGAATATGCAGAGAGAAACCTAGCAAGTTGTTCCTCTCCCCTCAAAAGAAACCCACAGAACGTTAGAACATTAAATATTTCATATCAATCCTTCAGTATCTGTCTGTGCTGATATTACTATATGAGAATATACATATATCAATATAAAAAGAAATTATTCACTTCTGTTTTTATATAAAAATAAAATTATATATATATATTACACAGTAATGATTTTTACTTAATATATAATGGGTAAAATTTCAGATTATATAAAAATATGGATTTTAAAAAAATATTTGCATGATGTACTTTTGAACATAAATTATGCAATTATTATCCTACTGGTGAACATCAATCTACTTCCAGTTTTCATCATTATACTGCAAATAAATATATATATGTGTATGTGTGGGTACACACACATATTTTTTTCCACTAACAATGGTACTGTGGAAGAAAGGTGTACTCTGTTTTCCTTTTCTTTATTAAATTATATGCCACTTCTGGGAAGTTGTCCACAATTCACATTCCAAATAGCACACTCTCCCACACTATTGCCTTCTTAAACATTATCAATAATAATTGATTTTTATTAATGTCAATAGGATGGTGAACAAGTCACATACTTCCTTCTGTTATTGAAGTCCAATAGTTGTTTGAACTTCATTGACCATTGAATTTCCTTTTTTAATGAACTGCTTATTCAGAATCTTTACTAATTTTCATTAATTTGACTTTTAATTATGACTTAACTATTTGTAAAAGCTAATAGCATATTAGCTTTTCACCATTTCACATTTATTTTTATGAGTCCTTTCTTATGTGTATTACACATGTGTGATTTTCTGTGATTCTGTTACCAAAACATCAGCGGTTCAGTCTAGGTCCTGCTGCTTGCCACAGAGAAAGCCAATCACTGAGATGATTATTGCCAAGGATGGAGGCTTTCACCAGGTGCTGCAGTCGAGGAGGTGGGAGATCTGCCTCAAACCCATTTATCTGACCACTAAAACTAGGGGTTTATATACCCAGGAAGAAATGTAGCAGTGTGTAAAAAAAACAGGAACTAGGGAGGAGCAAGGAAAGAATCATGATGAATGAGGGATCTGACATCTCATTGTCTAGATATGGTCATCTGGAGACTGTCAGTTCTTTGATTTTTTTTTTTTTTTTTTGAGAGGCCGAGAGGTCCTTTCCTGAGGAAGAAACCCAGATAAAACAAATGGAAGATTCAAGCTTTAAGATAAGAAAGGTCAATTTCTATGTTTATTAGAAAAAAAAAAACTGTCTATGGAACTATTGGGGTGATTTCAATTCTTCTATCAAAATAAAAAGTTATACAAACATTTGCCCATTTTTTTTACTTTCATGATTTAATGTTTACCCTGCTTTCTGTGACTTACATTTTCCCTTTTTTGCTAAAAAAGATGTTCCCAACCCAAGTATATATAAAAATCATATAAAGTTTATAGATAGATATTATATTAATAGGGCCAATTGGGGAGTATTAACTATATTGGTTTAAGTTTAAGAATATGCAACAATTATTCTAAGCACAAAGTAAATGTAAAATATATTATATCAATCAGCAGTTACTGTGGGCCTACCACAGGCTTTCAGTGGTGTACGATAAGCGGTTTATTTCTCATGAATCTTTGTGTCAGCTGGGGTGTCTCTGCTTTTGTAGCCTCCAGCTGGTTGGTTAGTTGTGGACTTGCCCACTGCATTCTACTAGGGGTCAGGTGAAGCTCTTCTCATGACAATGACCATGATGTAAGAGGACAACCAGGCTGCACAAGCACAGTTCAAATTCCTACTTGCATTAGGTTTCTTAACATCTCTTTGGCCCAAGCAAGTCAGTGGCTAATCCCCAAGTCAAGAGTTGAGGAAGAAAGTTTCACCTTTAGGCAAGAGATTTCATGGCACTGTGCCTGGATACAGGGTGAGAGGAAGAAATTGGCCTATAATTCATTCTAAATCATATGTATATACCTAACTAGATAAACATTCACTTATTTATAAGTATAACTGTATATGAATATAAACTATGGTGGAACTTTTTGAATGTCAAACGCTTAATCAAAATTTTTATTCTCCAAAAGGCAAACTCCTCTATAAAGACTGAAATTAGCACTTCTGCACGAAAAAGTGGAAATATCATATCTAATTTAAAGTAAGGCTATTTGGAAAAGCTTTGCAAGAGAATTAACCATGTCTGTGCAACTGAAATAACTTCTTTGCACCAACTGTTACTTTATTCCACTGAGATTTTCTTACAACGAAACTAATTTGATCTGTCTCTGTTAAATTAATTATGATAGATAGAAACCATGTATCAACCAGGAATCCATACTGTGGTTTTCTGTTTTGTTTTTTCCTACCTAAGTTTGGTAGTGTGATACTTCAACATTGTATTTGTTATTCAATATATATAATTTGACAAACTTTTTAAAGGTATATTTTATATCTCAGTTTAGAATAGTGTTTCATTGTGGTACATTTTTAGGGAACACTCTTCTACAATAATACAACCTTAAAGTGTTTTCTGTTTCAGACTATTAGTAAAGCTCTTAAGTATTTAGATTTATCTCTCTCTCCCTCCCTCCCTCCCTCTCTCTCCCTCCTTCTCTCTCTCTCTCTCTCTCTCATACACACTAATATACTGCATTTGACCCGATGAGAACCACATTGATTAAAAAGAAAAAAGAAGAATAAGCACTGCTTAAATGTTAGCTAAATAATCCATAGACCTTTTAAAATGTATTATCAAGTGATCAACATAGAGGTAACTAACTGGTGCCAAGAAAAATGCCTAACGAGCTTGCCAAGGAGCCAGATGCTCCTACTGCTAAATTATCTCTTGCAGATTGGCACCGGCATTCTACAACTGGCACACCCACAGGTATCACTCACACTGCACCACCTTATGGTTTGAGCTAATTATTTAAAAATAGTTTACTTCATATTCAAAAGTGGATGCTCTGTATAAATTAATTTTGCTCTCCTAGGGAATCAGTACTTTATAAAAAATAAGACATGAGAAAGAAAATAATGTGTGAAATAGACTCATTTAAACTAAACAGGTTATTAGCTTAAAATGCCAGCTTTTATATAACTGCTCATATTTTCCCTTTACTAAGTCCTTTTTTTGGAAAATTGGTTTACAGGATTCCAATAAGTCGGATAAAAATGAAAATTTAATTATTAGGTGATTAAAATATCAATATTGTTCAGTTAAGAAAACAAAACAAAACATGCCCTTTTTAATTTGAAGCGTAGAAGTATTTTATTACAGTATGGACATATCCTGAGACAAATTTAACTTGAAGAAGTGAGTAGTCAATTGATTGTGTGTAATTGAAGATGTCATGCTACATTTTAAACTTGTTCTAGCACTCTGCATTTCCCCAAGTAGCATTTTAAATTCTGATAAATGCATGAAAATACTTTCTATCAAAGCCATTGAATTTAAGAAAAATATTGTTCTCAGTGTATCAGGGCAAATTTAAACAATCACTTTCAACTCTCTATGATGACTATGCTATTATATTTCTAAATGTGTCAACAGTCTTTCAAAATATGGGCTTTTATATTTATCTAAAGATAGGAAAATTTTGTAATTCTTATTTTTATTTTAAGAAGATCTTATTTCCTCAGATATTGTGGAACACTGTGGCAAGTGAGAAAAAGGACTAGAAAGAACCAAAACATTATTTAAGGTTCATACAAAATAGAAGAGCTCAGATACTTTGTTATAATCATGCTTTAAATGTATTCAAAAATATTTTAGAATGTAGGTGGCACATTTATTTTAGAGAGAATTTTGAGTAACAAAAGAGTTTAATGACCACATAATAGCAGCTTGTGTTGATGACAATAATTGGGTTTTACATAGCTTAAAGAAATATGAAAGTTCATCAATTTAGTTTTTCCTCTAGGCTACTGAAAATTAAAGGCAGAGCTAATGCCAAATGCGCTCAAGAACATGCATATTAAAATAAAATGCAAAAGAAAATAAGCTGCATTATTTACATAGTGTTGTTACCATATTTGTATGATTATTTAGCAAGTATTTCTCATTAAGAGGATTTAAGATGAGTATTTAACCACACATATGTAAAAAGAATAATAGACTGCTATTTTCTTGTTTAGAGGTTGCAGTAATTTTTGAAATGTCAAAATAAACCCAAGAACATATATGCATCTACATGTGTGTGTGTATATATATATATATATATATATATATACACACATAATGTATCTACATAAAATCTGAATTTGCCCATATACTATATAATTTATTGTATTACCAATTGAAATTGATGGTTCTTATTCTATAAGGCTAATATACGAAATTACATGTATCTTCTGGAAATTTATGTTTTACATGTAATTTATATGTAATGTTTAACCAAAAATAAAACAGCATTATAACAAGGCATATTAAGGTAATGAATATATATATTCATATATATATAATATAGACTCCATAAAGAAACAGCTGCCATTGGAAAAACAAGTATATAATTTAAAAAATTATTATTACTTTAAAGTAATGATTATCAGATTTAAAGAGATTTCTAAAGTAAAGGACTATTTTCCTTAGCCAGACGGAAGACTTTCCCCCTGGGACCTTGTTTGCCAGGAAGAATACTGGGTGGGAAAATACCAGCAGCTGGCATGATAATGAGTCCACTTCACTGCAAATTAGTTCATTATTATTCCATTCCTGCAATCTTATGATTCACAGTTGCATGTCATTTTTACATAAATAAAAAATAGGTATTATATATAACTAAACTGTGGCAATCTACAAGAACAAAATTTACAAACATAAGGAAAAAACTAGCAAACATATAAAAATAAAGCCAGATCATAAAGAAAAATACATAATTTAAATTCAAAACAGCCTTTCATGTTTAAAAGAAAACAAAAAATAAAAAGTAAATACAAACCGAAAACAAACCTGTATGAATTTACACTTTCCACATTTTGGATTCAACTTTGTTTTAACATTAAATCAGCTACAGGTAAGAAAATAATATAGTTTTTTTTTTCAGTGCGAATTCTTGGCAATTATTATTAGTTTATGTGACAGAAAGACTTATATTAGCATAACATGAAAAGTAAGTCCGCTTATGCATAAACGGTAATGATTGAAACAGCAGTTTTCCATGTCTGAAGACTTCCTGACTTTAGCTTATCATGGACCAAAATTTGAAAATACAGAATGGAAAACAAAAATTTGAATTAGATGATACTGAACTTGGCAATGCAGAACACCTTTAGGGCAGGACAGTGAAAAATAAACATCAAAACACTCACTTCTAGGAGATTTGAAAATTCAAACTATATGAACAAAAGTTAAAACAGATTAAAAATGACTTGAATATGAGACCTAAAAATTAATATCCTAGATTATAGGTAGCATTTCAATTTTGTTCTGGATAACTTATAAAATATTTAAAACACTTGAAACAACGTAACATAGATCCATTTAAACTAAATCAGAATATGAGAAATATAATTTAAGACATCATACTCAACAAATGGTACAGTTTAAGTATTAATATCCTACTGAAAAATAGAGAAACAAGTTTAATTGAGAGGCTGTTGAGCAATCAAAAAAAAGTAAAAGTAAAATAAGTGAGCTTCTTAAATAATAAATTTATAAAATACACAAAATCACTTAGAAAATTTAGAAATTTTCAAAGTAGCATAATCTTTAACATTTTAAGGAAAATAATCATGAAATATGACACATTACTAAACTGGTGACCTGGAAAAAAGATATCTGAGTCCCTGTGAGGAAAATAAATGGCCTTCTGTAAGAATGATACAATGGACTTCGGGGACTTGGGTGGAAGTGGGGGGAGGGAGACAAGGAATAAAATACTACAAATTGGGTGCAGCGTATACTTCTCGGTTGATGGGTGCACCAAAATCTCACAAACCTCCACTAATGAGCTTATGTAACCAAATACCACCTGTACCCCAATAACCTGTGGGAAAATAAAAGTAATAAATAAAAGACAAAAAAGAAAATAAATGGCCTTCTTTGTAAACTATCTTTAAATAACATTTTTGAAAAGTTTGGTGAATTAAATTAGTATCTTATTAACATTTTAGTGAAATAAAAGTCTGTTGAAAAATGAACTGAAACTGGTAAAATTTATATATTGAGTCTATAGAAAATACAACTATAGTTAACCTAATTACAGAAAATTAGGAGATAGTATTAACAATATTGTTTAAAATCCAATTACCCTCATTATCTGGAAGTAAAATTATATTTGAAAATAATTGGTTCTGTTTCAATATTTTTTTTAAAAAGTCAAGTTTCATGAGCATATCACAAAGTAGGATATGGGAATGAAGGAAACTACTAAGAAATTATTCCCATGAGGATCAGGAACTGCAGTACCTGTTCAGGCAACACTCAAGGGATGCATTGGGAGAGTAAAAAAGCTCATAAGAAAAGCATAGAAAATGTGAGGAATTCAGAAAATATAACAGAAATAATAGTAAATGAAACAGATTTATGTACAAATACTGATGTAAACATGCTGAAAACAGTAAGCAAGGTTGAACAAGTAATTGTCAACAGTGTGTAAATAGTTAAAGAATAAAAGGAAGGAGGAAGAGTAATTACCTAGCATAAGATGGCTAAGAAAAGATAGTCAGGTTTTAGAACATGCCAATTTATTATATACATGCATGTATAAATAATGTATTCCAAATAATTGAGTTTGTCTTGTTTTACAATAGTATAAAATGATTTCCAAAAAATGAAATGTATTGTTTTATGATAATCTAAAATTATTACTCATGGAAAATGACTTTCTAAAGCATGAGGAAACAACATTGTCTTAAACTCACAAAGGAGCATGGAATAAGGGTAAAAGTATTCATTTTGAAGGTCTGCACTTATGAGATTTTCTTGCTCTTGTACCCAGAATCATGATTGCAATTGCCATTTGTATACTTTTGAGTCTCATCTCCACCTCCTGGTTCTGGTCCACGTATCTAGTTTAAAAGTATCCTGACATAATTTTTATCTAGACTGAAATACCAACAAAAGTATCAGCAGGAAATGACTAAAACCTCATCATGGAGCCTACCGAATAGTTTAAATACTCACACACATGCACTAATCTGTATGTATGCTTGAGATTTCACGGACCCCTTACTAAGGTCTGAAATAAGTTAAAGTCTTTGATCATTATCTTCTATCACTTCTCTGAATTGTTTTCTTTTTTTTATATCCTCTGCTTTGTAATAATAATTACAAATAATTTTATTTGCTTAGTAAGGCTAAGAAAGTCCTTTAAAGAGGGACTAAGCCGTACCTGCCTCATTCAATAAATTCTGCACACGATACGCCCAGTTACTTCCCAGACACACTGGCATATCTCTGTGTACCGCTACCACTTGTCACTATCTCTAGCTGGGTGCACTTTATTTTGCATTAGCGGGTCTTTGCCATGCTGTAGTGGCTCAGGAAATCCTGGTGCATAATAAAATTTTAGCATTTACCTGAACAAAAAAGTATTTTTTACTTTATTTTATTTTTTTTACAAAGAAGTAATGTTTAAGTGCATTCTGTGTAACACTGAATATTTTCCAACCTGGCCAGGCAGGCTGGTATTTTATGGTTGATTTGGTATCTACTATCTTGTAAGTTGCAATACATCTCTGAAATGAAAATCTCCCTCTAATTTATTTTGTAAGGCATATACTGTAAACTTTCAAAATATATCACATCTACTATGTGATAATTTATATGAAATAAATTTGAGTAAATTCTAGTATCATTCGAAATTTGGAAATACGAAGCTCTTTGCAAACATTTAGATTTGTTTTATATATCCAAGCACACCATATGTTATTCAAACACTTTGAATATCCCCATAGATTTTTTTGCTGCCATGAGTGCTTTTCATCCAAATAAAATTATTCTACTTAGAAAAACAAAAAGGAAGAAAAAATAAAATGAAAAGAAAAAACCTTAATAACTAGAAAGAACATAGAAGTCGCTTGTTACATCTGCCAGTCACTTCATCTGTCAACAAAAACATATTGAGCAAGTATGTGAGCAAGACTGGAATGAAATTCACAAGGGTGCAAAATTGTTTCCTCCAACTGTTCTTTGGACTCAAGAGAGTAAATAGTTAGCCAATTCCTTCCAAACTGCAGAGGGGTAGCTTTTGATTGATGCAATTGTTTCTCTTCAAAATAATTTAATACTCAGGAAAATGACATATAGCAGCTCTAAAAACTCTTTTTGTTGATTTTTGTTTTTGTCTTGTAAACTAGAGTTTTACAGTCCTTATCATTCTCTGGGTCTTTTTTGTTCTTACATGCTTATATTATAATTAATATTCAAATTCCATTTGGCCATTAGCTTTAAAATGCATATATCTTCAGGACTTCAGTCTTCCTCCATTGTAATTGTAAAATTTCACCTTCTAACTACAATCTCCCTACTCACAGATTCAATGACTTCCTGAGTTATTTTTAAATTACATAGAAATAGGCTTTCATGTACCCAGGAACAAGACAGTGCCCATAAATCAGCCCTAGCCTTTTCTTAGAAATCCATTAACAACAAACAGGCTTTGGAAGGAGTCACTGACCACTGTCATCTATGGACACTCAGCCTCTATGATGCTGCACCAGCCTATGTTGTTTGTGCTGGGACCAGTTCAGAAGTAAGGAATGCAGAACATGGTTCTCAGTGTGAGCTTGTACTTTTGTTTTCCAGGTTGGCCCTGAGGCATTATAGCTTAGGCTTAGAGTGTCACCAGCTTTATGTAAACATGATCCCTACCACATCACCTGCAGCTCTCTCTGCAGGAGTCATGGTCTCTGAAACAGTTGAGTCACAGCCTCCTTCCTATCATGCCATTCCCTGTCTCCACCGATTTCCCTAATGTGGCTGCAAACAATCATCTCAGAGCCTTCACTCCATCAAAGATACATGAATGCATAAACATCTACACTTAACAGTAAATGCAGTTAGGGGATAGGATATTGTTGCTGCTTCCAGTGTTCAGCACTGCTTGGACTATGTGGATCACACCACCACACAGAGTTTCATACACAAAATAAAAGAGAAGGATAGACATTATTGCTTCTGAATGATGTGCTTAAATACAGTGTGGAAGGTATTATACCTTATGGGTGCACTAAATCTTGGAAGAATTGATTCAAAACCCAGTTAGGA
The DNA here is from genome assembly GCF_000001405.40 of Homo sapiens. Taxonomy (NCBI): domain Eukaryota; kingdom Metazoa; phylum Chordata; class Mammalia; order Primates; family Hominidae; genus Homo; species Homo sapiens. The sequence continues at coordinate 65,415,829 of NC_000018.10, forward strand.
TTTGCTGTCTTTGTACATGGGTATTTGGGAAGTTTGTTTCAAATAACGAGACCCAAAACTCAATTAAATTTTAAAATCACTGTTGGAGCATGGAATGATTAGCAGCACAGTTATCTGACATGACACTGGAGAAAGTTAGAGGACATTTGTCTCATATACAGCTGTAAATGAGATTGAGAGTTAACTCAAAAATAAACTCCTAATTAAAAATAATTATGTGCTAAAATAACAACAAATTTAATTTAAGGGATGCTAAAAATCATCTCAAAGAGCATGACTGCTTATGGAGTAAGAAAGATAAATATAGAATTTTAGTTGAAAGAAGTAAAAAAAGTCTATATTTTATACAATCAGTTGACATTAAAGTGCAGATTCATATAAATTATGAATGTACATTATGTCTATTGTTGCCTAGGGAGGGGCAGAAAAAAATGTTCTAAAACCTTTGAGCAGATTGAGTCCATTTACAAAATAATTTTTTATCAAAAAGAGAGAAATGTTTTAATAAAAAGCACAAAGGTTTCTCATAAAGTTATTAATATGATTTTTGTATGAATAAAATGTATTATATTTTTGTTTATAATTTGTCGGTGTATTTTAATAACAAGCCCAATTGTAGAACTATAGCAAACTGAATAAATCATAGAAAAATTGCCATGATAGCATGAATTTTCTGATGAATAGGTAGCCATCCTGAAGTAATATTCATATACAGTAATAGGAATTAAGCTAAGTTATGAAAGTGACTTATTCATATATACAAAAGCTAGAAAATAATAAGGATAATGTTTTAAATCTAACAGTGAGTTTGAATCTAACATCAAAAACCAATAACCAAATGTAAAGTATTAACTGGCACTTTCTATACAAAAACACTGGAATAATTGACAAGAAAATGAAGACCTTGAATCTATCAATAAGGACAACAATAATAATAGAATGCTTAGGAATAAACTCAAACAAAGATGTGGAAGACCTGGACACTGAAAATTATAAAACTTTGAAGAAGATAATTAAAGAAAACAGTTAAATGAAATGACTTCCCATCTTCACAGATTGGAAAAATTAGTATTGTTAAATGTTTATGTTATCCAAAGTGATATACAGAGTCAGTTCAGTGTAATTTCTAAAAATCTCAATGGCATTTTTTACAACAATAGAAAAAGAATCCTAAAATTGATATGGACTCATGGATACTCAATATAGCCAAAACAATCTTCGGAAAAAAATAACAAAGAGCTGGATGCATCACATTTCTTTACTTCAAAATATTTTACAAAGCTACAATAATCAAAACAGTATGGTACTGACATAGAAACAGATATATAAACCATGTAGCATTGATTTACATCAGTTGAGGGCTCCTACCTTGACCCTCAGTACCATCATTGACGATTTTATACTATTTGTACTCAAAATTTTCTATATGATCATATATTTTTTGTTTCTCTCTCTCCTATACTGTCTTTTTCTGCACTAAATGGATATTTTCTAGTGTAAGATTTGTTCTTTAATATTCTCCCATGTGTTTTTTAAATTGCTTTCTTAGTAGTTAATACCAGATTTACCATATATATCTTATTGTTATCTATTTGATTTATACTACCTTATATCTAGTGAGATACAGCTTCTATATAGCCATATCTTTCTTCCCTTTTTATATGCTATTATTTTTATTCATATATCTATTTAGTTATAAATATAATAGTTTTAGTTATAAAGTCATAATATAAGTTATGGCTTTATATAATTCATGCTTACTAATGAAACTGAGAAAAGAAAGTATGTATTTATACAGTTTTTTATTTTAACCTCTTATCATTTCTGGTTCTCTTCATTTGTCCCTGTAGATTTAAATGATCATGATTACCATTTGATTTCACATCTTCATTTCCATATGGCTTTGCTCCCACACACCTCCTTTGTACTCCTTTGTACTGTACATAAATGTATAACACTTTATATGTTATAGACCCCAAAACAATACTATATATACATTATTTCATATTATTGCTTTTAAATCAGCCAATAGAAGAAAGTTATCCCTCATAAACTAGCTGACCTAGTGTTTAGCTTGTTGCATTTTTTCTAGCTTTATTGAGAATATTGACAAGTAAAAATTGTATATACTCATGGTATACAATGTGTTGCTTTGATATATGTATCCATAGTGAAATGGTTACCATAATCAAAGAAATTAATATATCCATCACTTCACATAGTTATTCTGTGTGTGAGTGTGTGTGTTCAGTGAGAACATTTAAGATTTACTCTCAGCAATTTCAGGTATACATTATATAATTTTTAACTATAGTGACCATGTTATACAATAAATTTCTAGATTTTATTTATCCTAACTGAAATTTTATACCTTTTGGGCAACATTTTTGCATTACTTCCCCTCTCCCACCACAACAGACACTGGGAACCACCATTCAACTGCCTGCTTCCATGAGTTTGACATTGTTAGATTCCATATATAAGTGAGATCATGCATTATTTCTTTTTTTATATCTGGCTTATATTATTTAGCATAATGTCTTCCAGGTTCATCAATGTTGTGACAAATGTAAGAAATTATTTCTTCTTAAAGGATAAATAATATTTATTTCCATATACAGACATACATTTTCTTCATTCACTCATTCCTTGGTTTTTTTCCATATCATGGCTATTTTGAATAATGCTGCAATAAACATGGCAGTGTCTTAATCTCTTTAACATACTGATTTCATTACCTTTGAATATATTCCCAGAAATGGGATTGCTGAATAATAATGAAAGCTCTATTTTTAATTTTTGAGGAAACTTTCTACTATCTCCATAAGGCTGTACCAATTTACATTCCCATTACCAGTGTACAAGGGTTCCCTTGCCAACTCTTGTTACCTTTTGTCTTTCTGACAATAGCTATTCTAACATGTGTGAGATGTGTGAGGTGATATCTCATTACTGCTTTGATTTGCATTTCTTGGATGTTTACTGATGTTGACCACCTTTTCATGTTTCTGTTAGTGATTTGTATGTCTTTTTTTGGAACTGTTTTTTTTATATCCTTTTACCTTTTTAAAAAATCTTGTTATTTGCTTTCTTTTTATTGAGCAGTTGGGTTCTTTATACATATCAGATATTAACCACTTATCAGATGTATTACTTGTAAACATTTTCTCTAATTCTGCAAGTTGTCTCTTAATTCTCTTGATTGTTTTAGAAGCTTTTTAACTTTATGCAATTCCATTTTCCTATTTTGGCTTTTGTTATGTGTGTTTTGGGGTCATATTCACAAAGCAATTTTCCAGCCCAATGTTGAGAAGGTTTTTCCTTATGTTTTCTTCCAGGTGTTCTACAGTTTCAGGTCTTATGTTTAAGTATTTAATCTATTTTTAATTTTTTTTTACATATAATATGACATAAGGGTTCAATTTCACTCTTCTGCATGTGGATATCCAGGTTTTCAAGCATCATTTAATGATAAGACAGTTCTTTCCTTATGGGAGTCCTTGGTTATTTGTTTTAAGGTCAGTTTACTGCAAATGTGAGATTTCTTTTTTTAATTTTTTATTTTATTTTATTATTAATATACTTTAAGTTTTAGGGTACATGTGCACAATGTGCAGGTAAGTTACATAGGTATACATGTGCCATGTTGCTGTGCTGCACCAATTAACTCGTCATTTAACATTAGGTATATCTCCTAATGCTATCCCTCCCCCCTCCTCCCACCCCACAACAGTCCCCAGAGTGTGATGTTCCCCTTCCTGTGTCCATGTGTTCTCATTGTTCAATTCCCACCTATGAGTGAGAACATGTGGTGTTTGGTTTTTTGTCCTTACGATAGTTTACTGAGAATGATGATTTCCAATTTCATCCCTGTCCCTACAAAGGACATGAACTCATCATTTTTTATGGCTGCATAGTATTCCATGGTATATAAGTGCCACATTTTCTTAATCCAGTCTATCACTGTTGGACATTTGGGTTAGTTCCAAGTCTTTGCTATTGTGAACAGACACTTCTCAAAAGAAGACATTTATGCAGCCAAAAAACACATGAAAAAATGCTCACCATCACTGGCCATCAGAGAAATGCAAATCAAAACCACAATGAGATACCATCTCACACCAGTTAGAATGGCAATCATTAAAAAGTCAGGAAACAACAGGTGCTGGAGAGGATGTGGAAAAATAGGAACACTTTTACACTGTTGGTGGGACTGTAAACTAGTTCGACCATTGTGGAAGTCAGTGTGGCGATTCCTCAGGGATCTAGAACTAGAAATACCATTTGACCCAGCCATCCCATTACTGGGTATATACCCAAAGGACTATAAATCATGCGGCTATAAAGACACATGCACACGTATGTTTATTGCGGCAAATGTGAGATTTCTAGGCATCCTATTCTATTACATTGGCCTATGTGTCTTTTTTTAAATGACAGTACCACGTTGTTGTGATTACTATAGCTTTGCAGTATAATTTGGAATGAGAGATTGTAATAACTTCTGCATTGTTCTTTTTTCTCCATTTTTTCACTATTAGTGTTTTTTTGTGGTTCCATATGAATTTTAGTTTTTTTTTCTATTTTCATGAAAAATGCCATTAAATTTTTATAGGGAATGCAATGAATCAATATAAAGCTTTGAATAGTTTTCATGTATTTGTATCTTCTTCAATTTGTTTCATTTTTTTATAATTTTCAATGTGCAAAACTTTCACTTCTTTGGTTAAATTTATTTGTATTGTTCTTTTTGATACTATTGTAAATGAGATTCTTGAGGGATTTTAGGAACACTCTCAAGCAAGTTAATATATGCATGATGATTGTCCCACAGGGAGCAGAGAAATTTAAAGGGGCAGAAAGTTTATTTAAATAAATAATAGAAATTTACTTATTCAGGTACCCTCTTCAGGTGTCCTGAAGAGGGAAATAAAGAGAAAAGCAACTCATTACGTATAAGGGAATATGCAGAAGCTATCACATATTTCTCAGCAGAAACCTTACAAGCCAGCAGAGAATGGGATAATGTACTCAAACTCTTAAAAAAAAAAAGAAAAAAAAAGAAAAGAAAAACGCTGCAATCACCAACACTATACCCAGCAAAACTGTCCTTTAGAAATGAAAGACAAATAGACTTTGCTAAAGAAACAGCTGTGAGAGTTCATCAGCACTAGACCTGCCTTGCAAGAAATGCTAGAGGAAGTTCTTCAAGTGAAAATGAAAAGACACTAAACATAAACATGAATACACATGAGAGTAGAAAATTCATCATAAATGTAAGAAAGTAATTAAGAGTAATCTAACACTATAATGGTGTTGCATAACTACTTTTAATTGTAGTGCAAAAGTTAAAAGACAAAGTGTTAAAATAACTATAGCAACAGTAATTTGTTAATGGATATGCAATATATAAATGATATAAATTGTGATTTCACTAACGTAAGATGTGGGGAAAGGAGAAGTTAAAGTGCAAATTTTTTGTATTGGTCAAAATTAAGTCGTTATCTTGAAATAGATTGTTATAACTATAATATATTTTATATAAGCCTTACGATAGCCAAGAAAGACAATAGATACATTAAAGATAAAGAAGAAGAAATCAAAAGATAACAATACAAAACATCATCTAATCACAAAGGAAGACAGCAAGAGATTAAACAAAGGAACTACAAAAGAGTCAGAAAATAACAAATGGCATAAATAAGTCCTTACCTATTAATATAAATGGATATAATTATGCAATCAGAAGACATAGACTGGCTGAATGGATTAAAAAAAACAAAGAGCCTACTATATGCTACCTAGAAGAGATTCACTTCAACTTTAAAGACACACGTAGGCTAAAAAAACGAAGGGGTGGAAAAAGACATGCAAATGGTAAACAAAAGTGAGCGGGTGTGGCTATTCTTGCCTCACACAAAATAGACTTTAAGTGAAAAACTATAAAAATAAACAAAGTAGGTCATAACATAATGAAAAAGTATTGAATTCAAGGAGATAATATAGCAATTGTAAGGTTATATACATGCAACGTCAGAGCACCTACGTCTATAACGCAAATATTAACAGAACTAAAAGGAGAGATGGGCAAAAATATGATCTAGTAGGGGCATCAATTCCTCCCCCCCTCCCACCATTCCACAATGGATAGGTGATCCAGACAGAAAAATCATTAAGGAAACATCAATCTTTAACAGTGCTATAGGTCAAATGGACCTCACAGACATATACAGTACATCCTACCCAACAGGAGAATGCACATTTTTTTTCAAGCACACAGGATATTCTTTAGGATAGATCATATGTTAGGCCACAAAACAAGTTTTATCAAATTAAAAAAAAATGAAACCACTTTAAGTAACTTTTCTGATCACAGTAATATGAATCTAAATATCAATAACAGGAGAAAAATTGGAAAATTAAAAAATATTTGAAAATTACATAACACACTGCTGAATAACCAATTGGTCAATGAAGAAATCGAAAGGGAAATAAAAATATGTTGAGAAAAATGAAATTAGAACCTCAATATATCAAACACATTTCATAAAAATGCAAGATAAAATAATCAACATTCAAATATCATTAGTGTTTCAATAGACTCAAAATGTAATAACTTGTTGCTTTTAACTACGAAGAACTACCAGTCTTTTCTAATTTGCTTGTCACCAAATTTCTCCATTAGATAATTTTTGGCCTTGAACTTCTCATTTTGTATCAAATAAAGACAGATCTTTTGAGGATATCTTCAGAGTTTTCTGTTCTTATGACTGACTGCCTCTTTCCCTGTTGAAAATCCCTGAGCCAGTAATCTGAGTGCTGAGAAAGGGTGGTAAGCTTTGTAATTCTTGGCTTCATTTTTCCCACATGGAACCACTACACTATGGGCCAGCTGTGGCCAAGAAAATTGTGGCCTGCCTGCCTGGTGCAGAGCCTATGCCCTTTTACTGTTTCCAGGGTGATGCACGAGATTTTTGACTTATTTGGCTACATTCATCAGGAATTTGGCATCTGCAACTCAGAGTTGGAGGGAATGAGAAGTACTGATGTTTAGACTCTCATGATAAGATACCGTCTTCTTTGGGAGCTAAATGGCAAGTGAGTCCTGCATTTTTATACACACTTCTCTAGAGTGGAGCTAAGATCAAGCTGAAGTGGGGTTGTAGGAAAGGAGTGAGTCATGACTCAAGTGCTACAAAGAGACATTTCCCATTTTTACAGAGACTTAATAGGTTTTGTTGCATTAATACTTTTTTTATTTAAAAAATTACCTTAGATTCTTGGAATACATTTTCAGGTTTGTTACATGGATATATTGCCTGATGCTGAGGTTTGGACTCCTAATGACCCAGTCATCCATCTGGTGAACCTAGTAACTAATGGGTAACTTTTCAACCTTTGTCTCCCTCCTTCCTTCCCTACTTTTGGAATTCCCAGTGTCTATTGTTTCCATGTTTGTGTCTATATGAACCCAGTGTTTAGTTCTCACATAGAAGTGAGAATATGCGATATCTGGTTGTCTGTTTCTTCATTCGTTCACTTAAGATAGTGGCCTCCAGCTGCATCTATATTATCACAGAAGACATGATTTTATTCTTTTCATTCTTTTTAAAGGCTGCAGAGACTTCCATGCTGTACAGGTAACACATTTTCTTATCCAATCCACCATTCATGGGCATCTAGTTTGATTCCAGTCTTTGCTATTGTGAATAGTGCTATGATAAACATACAAGTGCATGTGTGTTTTTGGTGGAAGGATTTTTTCCTTTGGATATACACTCAGTAATGAAATTGCTGGGTCAACTGGTAATTCTATTTTTAATTCTTTGAGAAACTGCTCCAAATCTCCAAACTGCTTTCCGTGGGAGTCGAACTAATTTGTGTTCCTGCCAACAGTGTGTAATTGTGAGCTTTTCTCCACAATCTCACCAACATCCGTTATTTTTAGACGTTTTAATAGTAAAAATTTTGACTGATGTGAGACAGTAATATGATTTGGCTAGGTCTCCACCCGAATCTCTTCTTGAATTGCAGTTCTCATAATCCCCACATGTCATGGGAGGGAAGGTAATTTAATCATGGGGGTGGTTACCCTCATGCTGCTCATGCTGTTCTCATGATAGTAAGCCAGTTCTCATGAGATCTGATGGTTTTACGAGGGGCTTACCCCTTCACTCAGCTCTCATACTTCTTCCAGCTGCCCTGTGAAGAAAGACGTGTTTGCTTTTCCTTCAGCCATGATTGTAAGTTTCTTGAGGTTTCCCAAGCCATGCTGAACTGTGAGTCAATTAAACCTCTTTCCTTTATAAATTACCCAGTATCAGGTATGTTTTTATTAACAACATGAGAATGGACTAATACAAATAGTATCTTATAGTGGTTGTGATTTGTATCTCTCTGATAATTAGAGATGTTGAGCATTTTTTCATGTTTTCTGGCTGCTTACACATCTTCTTTTGAGAAGTGTCTGTTAATTTATTATATGAACCTAGGACAATTTCCAGAGAATTTAAATGATCAATTTAAAAAAATAATTTTACCAGTTAGGCTTGTTTTGCAAAGGAGTGGGTGTTTAGAGCTCCTTACACTGAAATTCTGGATGTAGAACTCTTTGACTTTGATTTTAAACATACTGAGTTCTATGTAGTTTCTATTTGATAGCAGTAATTATGCTTTCAGGTGATTGAGTGAAGTCCCAATGACTGGAGATTTATATGTGGGATTTTCTTCCTAGAAGTTGGTGGAAAACATCCACAATTAGTAGCAGAAGGAGATGGTGCAGATGCTGTGTTTTAACTCTTGTTGTAGTTGTCAAACTTAAATATTTATAAAAATAGAAATGAAAATGTGTCTGGTCACTGGGGGGGTGCAGAAGATAGAGGGTTTTTCTTGATTATTGCTTTGGTTCTTTATTGACAACAGAATCTAAAGTAGTGGCATCATATAATATGTAATATTAATTAAAGAATTTCAACAATAAATATAGGTGAAAATTTGTTTTCTGACACATGTGAAGGTTTTTATTCTACTGCACTATATGGAGGAATCTCAATAGTAAAGTCTTGTTGGAGATGCAACAGATGGCCAGCTATGAGACTTTCGAAAAGAAAAACAATAACAGAAATATTTGAAAGCAATGATTTAGTAAAAACATTTTTTGAGGAAAAATAATCCTTCTCTAGTTAAAAAAAAGTTTCTTGTGACATGTTTGATCTAATGTTTCAGTTTTGTTTTGGACAGACTCTAAGTACATATAGACTTTTAATAACTAAAATTTGACAATCCTTCAAACAGCATTTTATTCTAACAACATAAATTGACATAATTAGTTAAATATTTTACATTTATCTCAATGCAAAGGATGCAACAAGCTGCGTCTACAATACATAAGATATTCCTGGAGAATATAATGCCTCCTATACTGGTCTTTTAGTAGCATGTTGTGAAAACACATCATCTATAAGATACGTCCTTAAGGTCCAGTAATATATGTTAGTGACACATGAAGAAAAAAAATGCCTATGGGGTAATTAAATTGCTTTCCTTTAATACAGTAAGCAACAAAATAAGTTAATTATGTATCACTGAGCTTGGATTGAGGCATTAGGTGCTTAATTAAAAACTCTAATATGAATACATTTAATTTCCTTTTTGTGTGTAATATGGTTTGGCTGTGACCCCACCCATATCTCATCTTGAATTATAGCTCCCATGATTCGACGTGTCGGGGAAGAGACCTGGTGAGAAGTAATTGAATCATGGGGACAGATGTTTCCTGCATTGTTTTTGTAGTAGTGAATAAGTCTTATGAGATCTGATGGTTTTATAAAGGGCAGTTCCCCTGCACTTGCTCTCTTACTTGCCACCATGTAAGACATGATTTTGCCCCTCCTTCACCTTCTGCCATGATTGTGAGGCCTCCCCAGCCATGTGTGTACAGTGAGCCTATTAAACCTCTTTTCTTTATAAATTACCCAGTCTCAGGTATGTTCTTATAGCAGCGTGAGAATGAACATACAGTGTGTATCCAAAATTATACTGCTAACATTTATTGATCTCTTTATATAGACCAGAAACTCTTCTAAGCACTTTATAATTAATATTCATTAATCAAATTCCTAGAAAGTAATGATATTATTATCCCCATTTTACATATCAGAAAACTGAGACCCAGAGATGAAATAATTTACATAGCATAATAGCTCATAAATGATTTTTTGCCAATATTGCAATTATTTTTATTTTTGTTTTTTACTGATGTAGACAAAAAGAAAATGTTGCTAAGTATCATAAAATCTATTTTTCAGTTAAATAAAATAATGCTAACAGAAGGTCATGTAGTCACAGATTTCATATGGGTCATGTTGGATATAATTCTCTAAACACATTTAGTTTTTGCAAATAATATTCTCACATGTTATTGAATTGATGGCTTGTTTCCTCATGGTACAACTGTAAACTATTTTAGAATAAGACCGAAAAAAGGGACAACCTTATCCAAACTACTTATTATGTGTATATTATATAAATGTTATTGTCATTATATTATTTATTTTGCTTACGTGTCAGCCAGTCAATAAATCTTGCCAGATAATTTTTGATAGAGTTTTGTGCAATCATGTATTAAATGCAGTTTGCTATTATTCAACTTAATGGAAGCACTACTTTATCCAACTGCTGCTGGCATAATAATTTAATTGATAAATATTTTCTTCTGTGTATATTGTGCCTGTGTCTATATATATCCTATATACATGATATGACAATGTAAATTTAATGTGCATTTCTTACACATTTTACTTATAGTCAATTAAAGGCATATCAGATCAGTAATATCTATCAATACTTGTATCAGAAATTTTACCTCAAGAGGGTGATATTGGGTTGACCATATAGTTACACAGTTTATATTTTATATTACATTTGGGGATGTGCTCTGTATTTAAAAATGAACAATTTTTAAAAGGGAAATACATATGACTTGGTTTCTGAAACCAAGGAGAAGAAATCTATCCATCTGTTGGTAATAAACTGTCAATAAAAAATGAGCATTGTGCCTCAAATTCAGCATTATTCTGATCTCATCTTGCACATCTCAACACCAACAAATCCCTTTACTTCTTGAAAGTTAAAATTATGCTTGTTTGAATAATTTACAAGTTTCTGGCTCACCAATAGCAGTATAATCAGGAAGAAAGTAAATGTAATTACACAAGCTATAATTCTCAAACTATATTCCATTGCTGAGAGGCATGTGAAATAATAACTGTACATGTACCTTAAATATTCATTTTATATTCACATTGTTTAAAAATAGTTTCTTTTTCTATTTTTTTCTGCACTCAGCTTTCTTTTGTCACACGTTTGCTTGACCAGAAATGTAGTTAGGATGTGTGCCCCCACTCAAACGTCATGTCAAAATGTAATCCCAGATTTAGAAAGTGGGGACTGGTGGTAGGTGACTGGATCATGAGGGCAGGTTTCCCCTGAATGGCTTAGTACCACACCTCTGGTACTGCCCTCGCTACAGCGAGGTCTCACAAGATCCGGTTGTTTAGAAGTGTGTACCATCTTCCCCCGCTCTCTCTCTCGGCTGTTCTGGCTATGATTTGTCTGCTCCCCCTTTGCCTTCTGCCATGATTGTAAGTTTTCTGAGGCTTCTGCAAAGACAAGCAGATGCGAGCATCATACTTCCTGTACAGTCCGAAGAACCATGAGCCAATTACACCTCTTTTTTTAATAAATTACCCAGTCTCAGGTATTTAACTGCAGCAATGTGAGAACAAGCTAATACAGAAAATTCCTAGCAGGAGTGAGGTATTGCTATAAAGACACCTGAAAATGTGGAAATGACTTTGGTACTGGGTAACAGGCAGAGGGTGGAAGAGTTTGGAGTGCTCAGAAGAAGACAGGAATATGAGGGAAAGTTTGGAATATCTTAGAGACTATTTAAATGGTTGTGACCCAAATGTTGATAGTGATATGGACAAGGAAGTTCAGGCTGAGGAGGCCTCAGATGGAAATGATAAACTTATTGGGAACTGAAGCAAAAGTCACATGTGTTTTGCTTTTGCAAAGAACTTGGCTGGGTTGTGTTCATACCCCAAGGGTGTGTGGAAGTTTGAACTTAAGAGTGATGATTTAGGGTATGTGACAGAAGAAATGTCTAAGAAGTAAAGTGATTAAGAGGTGGTGTGACTGCTTCTAACAACCTATGCTCAGATTCAAGACCAAAGAAATAAGATGAAACGTATATTTAAAAGGGAAGCAGAGTGTAAACGTTTGGAAAATTTGCAGACGGGCTGTATGGTAGAAAATAAAAGCCCATTTTCAGAGGAGGAATTCAAGCAGGCTGCAGAAATTTATATAATTAAAAATGTAGCAAGTGCTTCTGAAAACCAAAACAATAGGAAGAGGTCTCCAAGGCATTTCAGAGACATTCACAGCAGCCCCTCCCATCATAGATCCGGAGTCCTAGGACGGAAGACTGATTTTGTGAGCCAGGTCCAGGGCCCCGCTGCTCTGCTGCAGCCTCATGACAGCTTCCCACATCTTATCTGCTCCAGCTCTTGCAATGGCTAAGTGGGGCCCAAGTACAACTCTGGCTGCCACTCTGGAGGGCACAAATGGCAATCCTTGGTGGTTTCCACATGGTTGTTAAGCCTGTTGGTGTACATAATCCAAAAGTTGAGGCTTGGAAGCCTCCTCCTAGATCTCAAAGGATGTATGGAAAAGCTAGAATGTCCACGCAGAAGCCTGCTGCTAGGGTGGAACCCTCATGGAGAACCTCTACTAGGGCAATGCAGAGAAGAAATGTGGGATTGATGCCTGTACACAGAGTCCTCAGTGGGGCACTGCCTAGTGGAACTATGGGAAGAGGGCCACCATGCTCCAGACCTCAGAATGGTTGAACCATTGACAGCTTGCACCCTGTACCTGGAAAAGCTGCAGGCACTTAATACGAGCCCATGAGAGCAGCCTTTGGGGCTGAACCCGGCAAAGCCCCAAGAGCTAACCTGCCCAAGGCCTTGGGAGCCCCCCTCTGGCACCGGTGTGCCCTGGATGCTGGACATAGAGTCTAAGGATATGACTTTGGAGCTTTAAGATTTAACAACTGGTCTGCTCGGTTTCAAGCTTGCATGGGGCCTGTACCCTGTTTCTTTATGCCAATTTCTCCCTTTTGGAATGAGAATGTTTACCCAATCAGCACTGGTGCCCCCATCATATCTTGAAAACAAATAATTTATTTTGATTTTATAGATTCATTTGTGAAAGCAATAAATTTCCAAATGAGATTTAGGACTTTTCTGTTAATGCTGAAATGATTCCAGACTTTGGGGACTATTGAGAAGGGATGATTGTATTTTTCAATGTGAGAAAGACATGGAGGGTGCTAGGATGGAATGTTATAGTTTGGATGTTGTCTCTGCCTCAATGTCGTGTCAAAATATAATCCCAAGAACATCCTGGCCGACATGGTGAAATCCCGTCTCTACTAAAAATACAAAAATTAGCTGGGTGTGGTGGCACATGCCTGTAGTCCCAGCTACTCAGGAGTCTGAGGCAGGAGAATCACTTGAACTCGGGAGGTAGAGGTTGCAGTGAGCTGAGATCATGCCACTGCACTCCAGCCTGGCAAAAGAGCAAGGCTCCATCTCAAAAAAAAAAAAAATGTAAATCCCAATGTTGGAGGTGAGGCATGGTGGGATGTGATTGGCTCATGGGAGTGGGTTTCTCCTGAATGGTTTAGCACCATGTCCTCGGTACTGTCCTCATGATAGTGAGTGAATTCTCATGAGACCTGGTCATTTACAAATATCTGGTACCTCCCCTCACTCTCTCTTCCCCCTGCTCTGGCCATATGATGTGTCCACTCCTTCTTTGCCTTCGTCTATGATTGTAGGGATTCCGATGCCTCCCCAGAAGCAGGTGCTGCCATGCTTCCTGTACAGCCTGCAGAACCGTGAGCCAGTTAAGCTTCTTTTGTTTTTAAATTACCCAGTCTCAGGTATTTATTTTTAGCAATATGAGAACAGACTAATACAACCAGTTTCTCACATTCAGGTTACAAACACATTTCAAATGCTTTTCTTAAAACTGCAGCTTCTAAGACTTAGCAAGAAAATCATAGAAAGCAAAGAAGAAATATCTGCGATTATGAAATCCATCTCTCCTGGAAAAAGAAAAATTAATTTCTGACTTAGGGTTTTATTTGCCCTTTAAGACACTCAAGCATTGTTTGTTTTAAGAAAGCGTTTGAATGGACATAAACCACCTTCAATTTACTTTTTAAAAAGTTTGTTTTTTCACATAATTGCAATCAGATTAAAAACTGGGGGATTTTGTGTGGTCAAAATGAGTAGCTGAAATTTCTTATAATTTTGACAAATTCTACTTCTTTAATAATTATTCAAGGTAATGAAAAATTCAAATTAGAAATTAGAATATTATTTTTGAGGAATATAGTTTGCATCCAATGAAAAGGACTCTTAAATAGAAGAATTAATCATCACTTTACACATATATCACTTTATAATTTTTTTAGACTTTGAAGTTATAGGAACAGAAGGTGATATTTTCACTTGGAACTCAATTATAAAAAATCAATATCTGAGCATTACCACTGAATTTGGAGAATCTGAAATTCATGTATAAATTTAATAAATGTTTCTTTAATAAAATATCTAAGTCACTACTAGAAGTTCAATGAAATAAAAAGCCACATTAATCTTGTTCATCACTGTAAAGGCAGCTCATAGAAGACTATTTGGCATGAGATAAATAAATAAGAACACAGCAGAGACCATTATTATTAATTTTTATCAGGGAAGGGAAGGATAAATGAAAAGTTGAAAAGCGTATCAGCCTCCTGCTCCAAGAATTTCCAGGCTAATAGGATTGTCATGACAAATGTTTAAGTAACTAAAATATAAGGTTTTAAAGATACACATGAGTGGCTGAAGTCCTGACTTTTAGGAGTTCACAAAAGGAGAGATTATTTTGGAATAGTATTATTAAGTAATTCTTTATGGAAAGTGAGGTTTTAGCTTGATCAGAAAGAATAAACATGGCTAAGTAAGGGAGAAAAAGGAAATAGTAAATAATAGGAAGTGAGGAAAAGTGAAAGATTGAATAATTTGAATATATGTACAAAAGAGATATTTAAACGCACACGGAGGATGATTGGATGGAAAAAGACTTGATGATTGGCAGCAGGGAGGAGGGTCACCTTGAAGAGCAATTACTGGGATTATCTGTAGGTTGAAAAACAATAATCTGTATATTTTCTTGCTGATCACAGCTAATGGCATTATCCCAGATATACCGTGAATATATCTTGTTCAAACTGTTAGTAATTTTAATTTGAGCAAAAATACTACTGATAACTAAGATAACATATAGTTAATAGACTGAAAGGAACTAAGCTCTTAAAATACAAAAATTATTACAAAAAGGTCCTGACCTTAAATTTACTTCTCAGATGGGATATTGTCCTATTTGTAAAGATCTCTTAGAATACACTTTAGTAACACACAATCATGTTGATCAAGCTTCAATGTCAGTGTAGCGTAATCGGTAGCCTGAAAAAAAATCTTAGTTTCCACTTAGAGAGCAAGGGAACCAAATTATACTATTTATAGTCGTAATCACAATCAAAAGAAACGTAGTTCAGTCAGGATCATTCTTATGATAATAGAAATCAGGTACATGAAAAATACATTTCTCTTTTTCTTTAATAACAATCATTTTTTAGAACATGTGAGGCAGACTACCAGCAAAATCCTTGGTGGGCCCATTCTGATGAGCTGTAAGATGGAAAGCATCATGCTGAGGTAATAAAGGTGAAATTTCCTAGGAAGTGGGAGGGCCGATTATTTAGAAATACCATCAGGTCACCTTGCTCATAATTTTCAAGCATGTTTCAGGTGCATAAATTACCAATTCATGGTTCAGGTTCAGTATAATTCAATCTCTGCTGAGTAAAATCTTGGCTTCTAAGTCATGTAAACTAAAAATAATATTTTCAGGAACACAGACTTGAATAACTGAGCTAGGTAGACAAGCAGAAGCAGAAACACCTCCCTCTTATTGTGTTGCTTTGCATTGTAACTATCTGACCCTTATCTCATCTCATCTGTGACCTTCATTTCCCTTTCTCATGTTTAACTTTGAAAATAAAATGCACCTTATACTTGACAGTATTAGAACCATTTGAAATGTTATAGTAAATAAATTCTAAAATATTATATTTAAAATATAAAATACAGGTTTTAGGAGAATTTCCATTAAAAAAATTGGACAACAAATATGTTTCACAATATTTGATGAAAATTTACTAAATATGTGCTAATCCAATTTTTCTGCCTAAACTTGCAAACATGCTGTATAATGTATCACTTGTGTGTGTCAAGGGGAAGGTCGAGCTAACAATAGATTTTTAAAAACTGAATTAGATTAACAACAATTGTTAGCTTTTGATACATTCTCATCATATATGACCTGCTTTTTTTTAACTTCTTTTTCAGTATATTTTCTACTAATACTCTAAAAAGTAGCATATTCACTAACTGATATCTAACCATCTATTCCCTGACTTCCTCCTCCAGTCATGATAATCTCATGATTATCATTTTGTTGTCTATAATTTCATTGACATTCATTTTACCTATATCTATTGCTAACATGCAGTTTTGTGTTTTAGTTGTTTTGATAGTTTCAAATGTGCATCGTACTATGTATAATCTTTTAAATTTTTTTTGCTATTTTTATTTTGCTAAAATTTGTCCTATTGTGTATAGCTGTGTTTCATTGCTATGGAGTGTTATATAACATCCATTGTATTGATACACCTTTGTCGTTCCTATTTATGAACATTTGAATTGCTTCCAGTTTTTGCTGTTGTGTAAAATTCTACTGTGAGCATTGATTTACACATTAGAAGTTGACAAGCATGTATCATTCAAATGTTATATTTTGCTTATATATTAACATGCTTTTTCTTCAAATAAATGTTTTACTTGAAAATTAAACAAATGAAAATGGGTAACATTTATTGTGCTTTTGTGAAATAATACGGTGATCTTATTTAGAGATAATATATTTTATATTCAGCAGCAACATTGCTAATTTTTAAAACTAATGTTTAAATATGAACATATTTTAGGGACTAAACAAAAAAACCAGCTTGAATTAGATAAAATAAAAGTGAGTCAACTGTGAGCCTATAATAAAGGCATTGGTATATCTTACGAAAAATAAGGATAGACATTCCATTGGGATCAGAAATCAAATATCAGATTCTGTCACGTTTTTTCTTTTTTTGTCTCTCCATGCTGCTCTTTATCCATCTGTATAATTTATAATTTGTGTTGCTATTTTACTCCATTTTAAAATGTATTACTTAACTGCTGTCCGAAGTTCCTAGAAAGAAGAAAAATGGTTACATAAATAGCTGTTTATTATATATCCTCAGAGCATTCTACTGAGTTGGTATATTAGGCCTGTTTCTCAGCTTTTCCTAGAGATGGATGGTTATTGGTTTAGATTGTGTCTGCTGACCACAGGCAAACCAACAAAACATGTGCAAAAACTTCTGCCCTACTATCTTATTGTGAGGCTCCCATGATAGTTGTGAGGGTAGGAGGGTATGGGCAGTTTTCTAAAAAGCAGTGGGGACATGCTGGACAGTTAAAGCAATAAATGTCAGCAATCTAGTAATGCCTGTGCTTAACCACCACCTAGCTTCTCAAATTAGTTGTTTGTACTAGGTACTGGAGCATCTATATTTATATGTGTCTATATCTATACCTATACCTATTTGGTCAATTTACTCATATTTGACCAATTTACTCCAGTGAAGGAAACCTTAGCATCATCAAATCATAATATATGTTATTCCTCAGAATATTTCGTGGTTTGACTTCTTAAAGTCAAGCTTATTATATCACAAGTGTTATATTTTGAATAAGAACAAATGGTTGTTAAAGAAACCTGAGAAATTCTTTAATAAAATGCAAAATAGTCAAATATATATCTCCCAATTTTGAAAGCTTTTATATAGCATTTATATAGTATTAGAGCATCCAAAAACAATTTATAAAAAGCTTTTTTAAATTATTTTTAATATCGAGAAACATACTAAGGATTATTACATAAATTTAAATAATATTTATATAAAGTCTTCAATGTCTCTTATTTTATTAGCAAAGTAAACTCATTGTATATGAAATTGTTATTCTAGCAAAAGCCTAAATATTTTGTAATAAGAGTTAAATACTAAATTTCTCTTTGTGCAATTTCAGTTGGGTAACTGTCTCTGACATACATGTTTCATTCTAAAATCAATTTAAGTAATGTGGATATTCTGATTTTTCCTATTACCTCCATGGTTTTGGACAGAATATAAAAGTTAATTGATTGTAAAAATTGAAATGCATCTCTTCCTTCTGTAGCTTTCTTGAAGTTTGCCTGTTCCTCAACTGATCAATGTTTATTTTTCAAAGGCATGTTATTAGAATTTTTGTGTTGACTTTTATAGTTTTAATGATGTCGTAGAATGTCCGATTATTCAAACCATAAGCACTGGAAACACCGTGTCTCAAGTGCTTTCTGTAAGGCGACATTATGAATTTGCAGTGGCTACCTTTTGACTACATGGTTTCTGCTGCCTCTTTGGTTTGGACTTCAGTAGAAGTGAATTGATGAATGAAAGCAGGGGAAAGGAATAAAATATTTCTTTATCAGGTGGCACACAAGAAGCAGAATGGTGGAATTTATGTTGAAATGTGAAGTAGCAGTGGCTACTGCAGTTATATGTGGTTACTGTGGCTGGTGGTTGCAGGGTTCCATATAGACATAATTTTCTAAAATATTAATTTTCTACTGTCTTATTCCAGACTTACAGAGTTTCTTGGAAGTATCTCTAGGCATCCCAGTGGCAAGTATGGGGAAAATGAGGAAGTGAGGGTAGTGAGCTCCAAATAGTTCTCCCCGCTGTAATTGGAACATTCTTTGATTTCCCTGCTTGGTATACTAGACTTCAGACTTTGTAAGGAAGAAATTTATTGTTGCTAAAAGTACCTAAGGAAAACAATCTATTGAAATATTTTTCTATAATCTTTTAGTTATTTTTTAACATCTCATACAGTTGGCAGCAATTGGACTAGAAATAACCCAACATAAATACAAATAAATTTTGAAGCAAATCCTGTGGCTTTAAAGATTATTGTATATAACTTACCGAAAGAATGTTGTATAAGCAACTTTAAATAAATATCTTTACTTGTATTCATTTATATATTTTATAAATAATAAAGATAATAATTAACAATATGTTAAATTTAAGAAAAGATGAAAAGAGACACGCTAAAAACCAAGGAACTGATCTTGTTTAAGAAAATATTCTAGAGGATGAGAAGGGTATGGGTGAAGGGAGGCAGAGGTTGGTTAGTGGATACAAAATTACAGCTGGATAGGAGGAATGAGTTCTGATGTTCTGTGGCACTATAGGGTAACCATAGTGAGCAATGATTTATTTATATTTTCAAATAGCTAGAAGAGAGGATTTCAAATATTCTGAACACAAAAAATGATAACTATTTGAGATGATGGATATGCTAATTACCCTGATCGTTATACATTGTATACATGAAACAAAATATCTCTCTGTACCCCATAAATATCTACAATTATTATACATCAATAAAATAAAATATGAAGTAAAAAGGCAAAAAAATTGTAAAGGAAAACACAAAGCTTCCCTATCTCAGGAACTGAGTGGATGAAATGCCAGCTATTTCAGATACCTCCTTTATAGTTCTGCTCTGGTATTGAAGTCTCATTGAGGTAATTTTCCTGTAATATGTAAGTTGCTATGGAAGAGAGCGCAGCACTGTGGCTCTGAACAGCAGAAAATACCATGTGCGCAGCTGACACAGAACAGCAGGTCTCTAGTATACAGATGATTCATAAATTAAATTTAAAGGCACAGAGGGGCATCATCAAGAGTGTTTGCTAAGTGCTCAAGCTCTGTAGGAAATCATGCAAAGAAAACAACTATGGAGCCTGAGGGCCTTTCCAAAGAGAAGACATCTACTTGGAGAAACAAGACAGTAGGAGCTCTGACATGTAGATCACGAGAGGCAAAGATTCAGGCAAAGGAGGGGAAGAAATTCAAATGAGTTGCTAAGTTCTCCTAGAATTTTCCTCTGCTGCTTTACAAAAAAGCAGAAGGCCAAGATGATTATTCATTTGAATTTCATTCAAAATAAAAAGTATTTGAAAATCTTGTTTTTACATTCAAATTGTGATGACCCAGAAAAGCAAGAAACTTTGATTTTTGTTGTTTGTTTGTTTTGCTTTTCTCTTTGTCCCAGAAACAGGGGAAACTTTTTTTAAAAAAGGAATTTAGTAAACTTTCATCAAAGTTTTAAAAAAAAACAAAGTGAAGAGGGCAGCCGTAGGCCTTGAAATAACAACAATGAAGAACCAGTAGTTTCTTTAAGTCAAATCAGGAAAGTATGAGAATTTTTTTAAAAAGCCTTTTCCCGTGAAATAGATTTGAAACAAACATGAGAGTATCAAGAGAAAAGAGAAGTCACTGGACAAGCAATAATTGATGGTGTCATTGGTAGCCAAATACAACAGAACAAAAGATGGAGCAATATATTCAAGGATGTCCCTTGTGTGATGGAAACCCAACTGTGGCGCCCCCTGACCCCGAAACATTACCAGGTGCTCATCTCTGGAGGAACCACATGTTCAAAACATGACCTAGCCAAGGGCTAACCTCAGAGCCACCTCTCACACTGGGGGCAGCACTGAGCGGAGACCTCAGGGCTCACCTCACCTGCCCATCCGGTTTGAGCCTTGAACTAGTCTACCTCCCATCCATACCTCACAAAGATCATGTCTGATTGTGGTTCTTTAAGGATGGACTCTTGGGCTGGTATTTTCTATTTTAAAAGGAAGATAAAAGACCATTGTATAATCTGGGAATTGTAAAACACAGACCTCCTGGATAACATTTTAAATGAGAAGCACTATCAATTTGGATAGAAGAAAAGGGAGAAGGTATGCTCTCTCCACAATAAATTGATGTTTATATTATAAACAGTTAAAAAAGTAAGGAAAATATATAAATATACTAACACTTAAGTGTTAGTAGACCAAAAAAAATGTTTTTATTAGAAATGAGATTCTGCAAACTATAGACCAGTGAGTTTAAAGTACGTCAAAGTGTAAACTGTTTCAAGTGAATGGTCTCTGAGCACTTACAACAAATGATTGCTAGAAATCAAAACAGATTTAATTAGAATGATTACTGCAGATTAATCTCATTTTAAATTACTTTATGACTAGTGGAATGGTAGTCCAACAGACTATTATAGAGTTTGAATACCTAAACTACAGCGAAGTTCAAAAATCTTACTTTTTTATAAAGAGAAATGAACTACATGCCCAGATATTTAGAAAATGAACACGGATCCCCATGGAATACTATGCAGCCATGAAAAATGATGAGTTCATGTCCTTTGTAGGGACACGGATGAAGCTGGAAACCATCATTCTCAGCAAACTATCTCAAAGATGAAAAACCAAACACCGCATGTTCTCACTCATATGTGGGAATTGAACAATGAGAACACTTGGACACAGGGTGGGGAACATCACACACCAGGGCCTGTTGAGGGGTCGGGGGACGGGGGAGGGATAACATTAGGAGATATACCTAATGTTAAATGACAAGTTAATGGGTGCAGCACACCAACATGACACATGTATACATATGTAACTAACCTGCATGTTGGGCACATGTACCCTGAAACTTAAAGTATAATTAAAAAAAAAAAGAAAGAAAAACATCCAGAAATCATAAACAAATACATAAATATTTTTTAGTATGCAACATGCATTTCCAAGATATTTCCCTCTCTGTGTGTTGGATAACTTATGTAAATTATATATACTGTTTTAAATATAAATTAGCTTTTGGTATATGTTTAGTTTTGGTTCTTTTTTTTCAAGTAACATTATTTTGTAAGCATTTCCCCATGTTACTAATTTTTTTTAAAGTATAGTTATGTCTGCAAAATATTTCATGTATGTCTGCATTATAATGTAGTCACCCATGATTCTACTGACCATTGAATTTCCCCAGTTTTGCTTTTATAAATAATTTTATTATTAACATTGTGGTCAATTTCTCTGGTTATTTCCTTAGAACTTATTGATAGAAGTGCCGGGTGCGGTGGCTCACCCCTGTAATCCCAGCACTTTGGGAGGCCGAGGTGGGTGGATCATGAGGTCAGGAGATCGAGACCACCCTGGCTAACACGGTGAAACCCCGTCTCTACTAAAAATACAAAAAATTAGCTGGGCCTGGTGGCGGGCGCCTGTGGTCCCAGCTACTCAGGACACTGAGGCAGGAGAATGGCGTGAACCTGGGAGGCGGAGCTTGCAGTGAGCCGAGATCCGAGATCGTGCCACTGCATTCCAGCCTGGGTGACAGAGGGAGACTCCGTCTGAAAAACAAAACAAAACAAAACAAAAAAAAGCCAAGAACTTATTGATAGAAGTGAAATTTATGCAGTAGGAATAATTTAAGCCACTTGATTGATGTTGGCAAATTACTTTCCAAAGTTTGTAGTCATATTTACTCATATTAGTAATGTACAAAAGTACCTTTCTCACTGCACCCACATTAGCATTTAGAAGGATATATTTCTAAACCAGTAATGCACTTGACACAGTCTTTAATTAGACCCATAAGGAATGTGGTCTAGATCATAATGTACACAGGATAACACAAAACTGTTCCTTGTGCCTCCTGTAAGAGCATAGTTATGATCTTAAATCCCTGAATACAGGGTCTACTACTGTAGACTCATGAAAATATTTAGGAAAACATTTAGAAAATGTAGGATATTCCTGCCACTTGTATCTCCTTTACACAGAGTAGGATATTGGCTGGAAACCTCCAGGTAGATTTTTGTCTTTGTGAATTTAGCAGAAGGAGAGACTATAAATATAACTTTCTTGTAGACAAGATGTAGTCTGAACAGTCTAATCTATGCTTCCCTGAGATAAAATATGGTACCCGTACCGTGATTTTCCATGGGTGACTTTATGTATTCCCAAAATGATGATGAGAGGTGTTGAGTGCATTAATTGTCCTGGTACCAGCTGCATGGGTGATTCTGAGACTCGCAAAGGTAGCTTTTTCAAGAGACAGAACCGTTTCCTAAGTAATTATTTTAAAAAAGTATTTATATACTGTTTGCCACATGCTTGTTTATGTTAAACTGCTTTATATGTGGTTATTTACTTAATCCCCAAAGAACCCTAAGGGGTATATGGACCTAGAGATAGAGACTGAGACAGAGAGAGTTAGAGATAAAGACAGAGAGAAAAATAGACTTATAGAGATAGAGATATGGCGAGAGTGTTAGAAAGAGACAGAGAGAGACAAATAGAGTTAGAGATGGAGCCTGAGAGAGAGAGTTAAAGATAGAGATACAGATTATTGAGAGAGAGAGAAACAGCGACACATACTGGACACAAACATTTAAGAAAGTAGCCCTTTTTGGAAGTTTTGATTAATGCCAGATGTGAAGTAATTTCCAGGGCCTATCCTGGTTAAGGCAGAGGGATCAGACAGGCAGAGAGAATAGGCTGCCTTACATGGAACATTCTTCTTCTAGCAGAGTGAGTACAACGGTGTCTGCCCATCTCTACCTTGGTTGGTGTTTAAGGGTTTAGCCAATTGTTATTTTGCTCTGAGTGATTTAATGCCTTCCAGTCTGTTTCTCCTTATTTCCTGTGGAATTTACAAGTGTGCTTTTAACATTTTTTCTCTTTCTCAAGCTCCTAATATGTATACTTTGCAAGAACAGTGAAGTAAAAATATACAGCAACACAGAGATCCAGCAAAAGCCACGATTATTGAACCTTTACTGCAGCAATAAACACGCCTTGGTTCTCAGGGTTTGCCTAAACATTTACATCTTGCTCCCTTTACAAGGGGATGTGGGTAGCTGTGGTTAATCTCACAAGGTAGAGGGAAAAGCTAGGATGGAGGCAGGAGGAGAAGTAAGCAAGTCCTAAAGAGCTTTCAAAAATGGCAAACACATCAAGCTTCCACTGTATGTGGTGTACACACCATCTCCCACAGCCCATTGGTCAAAGTGCAACACACAAGCCAACCCAAGTCAAATGGCCAGGGTGGAGGGCCCACCCTGAGATAAGGTGAGCCAGGTATGGTGGCTAGGACATCAGTACTTAACTACGTCCAGGTGTTTTCTCCATGGAACATAAACTTTCTAAAGGGAAAATTTAAGAACTAATTGCCTGCATTGATTTTCTAGCTCTCTGCTGGTGAGGTTTCTGTGTTGCTTTCATTGCCCGTATATCTGACAGCCCATAGTTTTGGGAGCGACATCCAAAAAGCTCCACTGGCAGGGCCTGGTAACTGCTTCTGACCTTATCTCCACCATCCTTTATCCTGGTCTCAGGCAGAGATGTTTGTCAGTGATGACATCCAATTATAAATGCAACCACATTACTAAAGAAGCAGCAGTTTGTATTCTTTACCATAATACAAAAGCCTCACTACTTGTATGTTCCCAAGAAAAACACTGTGACATTTCATCCATCTAATTATTTTACAGAAGGAACACTGTAATATGGACAAAGTTAAAAATTTCATTTCCCCCTTACTATACTGATGATGCAATGTTTTCAAAAATATTATCAAGCCAGGCGCGGTGGCTCATGCCTGTAATCCCAGCACTTTGGGAGGCCAAGGCCGGCGGATCACCTGAGGTCGGGAGTTTGAGATCAGCCTGGCCAACATGGAGAAACCCCGTCCCCACTAAAAAAAAAAAAAAAAAAAAAAAAAAAAAATTATCCGGGCTTGGTGGCACATGCCTGTAATCCCAGCTTTTAGGGAGGCTGAGGTAGGAGAGTCACTTGAACCCGGGAGACGGAGGTTGCAGTGAGCCGAGATCGCGCCATTGCACTCCAAGCCTGGGCAACAAGAGTGAAACTCCGTTCTCAAAAAAAAAAAAAAAAAAAAGTTAACATAGCCAACGTAGGATGCTATTTGTGTAAAATGCTCTAATTTGCTGATATCATTTAGCGTTTCAATAATTATTCCTCATTGTATTTTAATTCTACAGATATATTAAAGCCTTTAATATATCTTTAAATTGGCACTAAGCATAATCTCACTTCCTTTTTTTTTTTCTTCTCAATACAACCATCAGGTCCGGCTTGTTCAGAGCAAGTCCTCTTCAGCAGCTTCTACTGGGCCATTATCTGTCAAAACGTTTGTTGTTTCTTCAGTTCCTAAGTGTTAGGTTCATCCCACCCAAGATCTAGTTCTAAACCCATCATTCCAATATTGCAGTACACAGTGAATATAGAAGCATGTAACAGTCACCTTGTAAGTTAGGATGAAACCAAATTCCGAAATTTAAAAAGCCAATCCCGGCTACTTCTCAATATACATTTTTCCAAGGTTAACAGAATCTTTGTATTTTTTTAATCTTGCTCCATCATTTCAGTCAACCTGGAAAATGTCTTCTTTTTCTACATTACATGTCTACCTAACCAGAACCCTTGATTTTAGAACAGACTGCTTTTTCCTCCACATTAATTGCAACTGGAAAAACTTTCTAATGGGTAGCTAAACTGAAATATTTGGTGATTATCAAATTAGAAATTCTAGAAAAACTTCTGTTCTACAGCGTGGTCGTTTTTTACAAGTATTGGGTAGTGTTTCCCAGTCAAAACAAAAATAAATATTTTCAAACACTAGTATTTTGGAACTTCAACAAAAACTGCTTCTCTTTTCTTCTAGAGTCCTGTGATGTTATGAGAAAAATGATTTGAAAATGAGCTTGAGGTTTCAGCCCTGGAGGCCTGAACAGACGAGCTGGCTGTGGCTAGTCACTCCCCCACCAGCCTTGGCCGTGCACTCATGCCATTCAGCAGGTAGAATGAGATACAAAGTCTGGTTTTCCTTCTGTCTCTGAACACACTTGTCAACTACATTTATTGTATTTTAACTATTGTAGGGTTTTAATAAGCGTTTTTTGGCATTTGGATTTGGGATACTTTTATTAACATTTTTCTTACCTCCTGATGTCCATTATGATGTTCCAGAAACATGAGGGTCTATGATTTTACTCTACTTTCCAGTCTCAAAGTTAGTCTGTAACAATGTTAATGATATTATTAGAAGACAGAAGACATGAGATTCTTAGATCAGAGACAAATGACTTCATCATGAATGTCACAGCAGACAGCATCGGCATCAGCATAGTCAATTCCTCCTGTCTTCAAGTCTCTGTGGGGCAATGGTAATGGTCCCAGATGGAAGCCTCCAAGGCGGTAGGTTACATTACTGAATATGATTCCTTGAGCTTCTAGTGAACCCATCAGCCAAATGGTTAAAACATAGTACCAAATAGGTAGTTTTTCAACCCTCACTCCCCTTCCAATCTCCCCTCTTTTGGAATTGCTAGTCTGTTATTTCCATCTTTATTTACATGTGTGCTCACTGTTTAGCTCCCACTTATAAGTGAGAACATGACATATTTGAGTTTCTATTTCTGAGTTATTTCACTAAGATAATGGCTTCCAGCTCCACCCATGTTGTTGCAAAGGACTTGGTTCCATACTTTTTTATGACTACACAGTGTAGCCTGTAAGTTACTTGAGGGCAATAGTAATGCTCAAACATTACTGGCTTCTCAGTTGTTACTCAGGATACACATTAACCATCAATAAGTAATTAAATCCTAGCTACTGCACAATCCCGGGTATAGTTATACCGAGATGGTATAGTTGTACTGAGATGTGTTTTAGATAGCTCAATAGTCTTTTGATTTCTACAAATGCTCTGGGTTTGCCTTCTGCTATACTGCAAAATGAGTTTTATATTTACCACATAGCATTTATTTCTTGCCAACCCAGCACAGATATATCACCCAAATTAAGCTAAACTACTCCCAGTCACAATTTTGTAACAAAAATGCATCCTCAGTGCATAACACAACACCTAGTATCAATGATTATTTGTTAAAGTTAAGAAAGAAAAGAAGGTAACAAAAAGGGAGGGAAGAAGTAAAAAAGGGAAGTAGAATAAGGGAAGGAAGAAGTGAGAAAAGGAGAAGAGAACGTGTTTGCCTGTGTCTGCCTGAAATTCACAATAATTACCAAATAATTTTTTGGTTGGTATTTGCTTTTGTGTTGAGAGTTAAATATTATTCAGAAGTTGTCCTTTAACCAAACACACAAAAAATAAAGTTTGTAATCCTGAAAATATTCTAGCAAATGAAATAATGGTTTTAGTTTTAAAAGGAAAAATTTATCAAAACAACTTTGTATATCAGAAGTTCAATCCATAATTGAATAGAGATGTTTATAAATCCATGTATAGTAACCTTGAAAATGGTAATGAGACTTGCTATTTGAGCTCACTGAAGCTGAGCGAAAATTTCCAGTTACCTTTTGCAAATGTGTATTTTTGTTTATAGACGCTTGAATAAAATTGGAGTCAATATCATAGACACTAGGTGAAAATGTACACATCTCTTATGGGCTTTACTGATTCAAAAGAGCAAAGAAGTGAAGAAGAATAAAAATATGATCAGAATACACAGGGAATAGAAAGACAAAGATAATGAGAAATAATTTAATAAGGAGGGCAAAAAACCTATCTTCTAACAGATTGTTTTTCTTGCATAAGAAGCTGAATTTATTGGATGTAAGTAATAATTAAATAAATTAATAAAATCCTGGCAATTTGACAAACTGAGGTCCTATGGAAGGAATTTACTTCTTTCATAAATGCACAGAAAAGAATGAATAAAATATCCCTCCAAAATTATACTTTAAAACGATATAATTCTTCACTGGTTAATTAAAGAAGAAATAAAAATATTCAGATAACATAAACCCAGTTAATTACCCACAAAATTATATATATATGACATATATATATATATATGTCTACATAAATATATTGAGTAGACATTACATGTTTTCCTCAATTTGTGAGATTTGTGGAATTTGTGGATTACTGCTTTTTGTTCTCTTTGTTCCTAAGAATGTCTAACCCCTTTCCAGCTGCTTAGCTGGCCTTGGGCACTCTCTCCTGACAACTGAAGCATATAAGACTTGGGCTTTCTATGAAGCAACACACTGTTAAGCAGAAAAATTATATATCTTGTCTAGTACACATCTAACTTTCAATAATAGATTATATTTCAGCCTCTGCCTATCTCTTCACCAGGCTCCCTATTATTTCTTTTACATGTGCATGGTTTAAATTCAGTCAATGATATGCCAAGTTTTATGTCTATACTCTGAATCTTACTAATTCTGTACTCCCCCCTTGCTACCAGAATTTTTTCCTTTGTATTTTTAACTGAACTATCTGCCTCAATGTTATATTTTTGGGCACAATGAACAAATAATACTGTGTTTTTTGTTTTAGTTTTTACCTCTAAAGCCAAGGGAAGATGGAGGGACAATTAGTCTAAAAAAATTCAAATTCAGATTCAAATTCGAACTCTTACCCCTTCCAATTGCAGTTTTTTTAAAGAATAATCTTTCTACCTTATTTGTTCTTTCTGATACATTAAGACATATTTAGCCAGTTTTCATAATTATTATCTGCAGAGGGCTCAAGTGATCCCTTTTTTCTGTCAACATTACTGAAGTTTCTTCAAACTTGGTTTTTGATCTTTTAATCCAGTTCTATAGATTGTTAAATATGAATTTCATAGTAAGCTATTGTTTTATTTCTCATAGTTTACATATTTTTGTCATAAAAACAGTTAAATACATATTTACATAAACATAATAAGTTATACACATTTATAGACATCTGTAAGTGTATTGACAAGAGAATAAGTGCATTCTTTGTTTCTTACATATATGGTATTCTAAGTATATTTTTTCATATTTTGTTGTATGTTTCTTTCTGTGTCTATATGTGGAAGACTTTTAAAGTTTTGTTTGTATTTCTTCATTTAAGGAGAGTCTTTATGTTTGGGAGGAATTTGTCAACATTTCACTTTTGTTTCATCTATTTCTATGTTTATGCCATTAACTAATGATGCCAGGACCATTAACAAATAGAGATTGCCATGAAATTTCATCTAGAGACTACTTACCTCAAATAATTTCAGATTAAAATTTAAAATAGACGTGATTCTTCAACTTTTATATCAGTCATGGTTTTTCTTTAAAAAATTGCCATTTTGTGAAAATGGCAGAAGTTAAAAGCTATATACTAACGGAAAACCTATACACTAAAATTCAAATTCAACCAAGAATAGTATTTCTCCTTTTTTTTTATAAAGGTTCTATTTTAATTTTCTGTTCATTATACAATCATACAGCCTCACAGTTCCATATTTTTTAATAAAATAAAAGTCTAGATATCAGACCTGGATAAAAAATAAATTATTTCTCTTTTTAATTAAAAGTTAAATGACCTTCTTGGAGGAAATATTTTTTTTCCAACTTTATAAATAAGATTTCAGACTTCATAATACAGTTTTCTGATCCTAGTGGGAACTTAATAATTTTTTACTACAACTGAAATGTACTTTGCATATTGAAAACCAAAGCAATACTTTTGTACCATACATATGTACAGAAAAGGAAAATGATAGAACAACAAATACAAAATCAGAAACTAAGATGCATTGGGAAGCATGTCAGGGATTGGGAGGATTATTTTTATAATGTCAAATGATTATTCTACTGAAACCATTTCTATGGTGGTAATATCTTCGTTTTATTTCTCAATTTAACATAATATATTTTAATTAACTTGTAATTTAATCCACGTTTGTTAAAAATAATTTCTTTTTAGGTAGGTATGGTCTAAGAAAAACAGGAACAGAATATAAATATTTCTTTTGTTTTGCAGGACTATGTTGGCAAAATAAATTACTTTAATAGCATAATAAAAAACAACCTTGTTAATTTATACGTGCATAACCTTTTTGTTGAGAGCATAATTGATGAGTCTTGTTGCTATCTTCTAACAGGCCATTCTGATGGGAAGGGTTGGTAGGATTGGGTAAGCAAGAATTTGAAATCATCATCCACCAGCTGAACTTTTTTATTTAGTGATTAATTTATTTAATTCTAAATGTAGTGTTTGCCTCCACTGACTCCTTCATAAATAATTTGTTTAAACTAATTAGAGTAATAAATTAGATTTAAAAAGGTAAATGTATTCAACATCAATGTATAAATCAGTGAAGAAATGTGGATAAAATAGATTTGGAATTAATTTAAGAAACCATTAGCAAAAGAAATAAGATCAAGATGGATAAATAATAAAATGTGTTATTTGATTGGTTCATTATTTCATTTATAGGTCAATAGTGAATTTAAAAAGAAAAAACACTACTACAGCAAAAATGTTATTGCTGAATATGGACTGCAAATATATAGATTATTATATCTATCTAAATCACTCGCTTATATAAAAATTAACATCTTCACATATAATACCTACCTGTTATAAAAAAGCCAATCAATCTCTATTGGATAAGCTCAAATTTATTATAGCAAAGATTCCTAGCCTAGGAATTGAGTAAGAAGTTCTATTCCCTGTATTTTGACATAAAGGGAGCCAGTTTGACAATTGTGCTCTCAATATATATTCTAGGGAAAACAAACAAAAATAGACTAGTCCTAGATTTGCCAAGTAAACATTATGAAGGTGTATTGGCATATTCTGCGTGAATATCCTCCTAAGTTCCCACAGCTGGAAGCATTTGTAATCACAGAGCTTTTATTGCAAACAAGAAGTTAGCAATCCTTCTCTAGCTGAATATTCATCTATCAGTACCTTTGAAGTTAAATACAAAGGAGCCCCAGAATAAAAGGAGAAATCGTCATTTAAAAAATTCATCAGGTTATGATTCTGATAATTTGGCTACATGTAAATTATCGAACTACTTTTTATTTTTGTCAGAATGTTTGGTATTATTATGTAGACACAAACTGTGTTGTTATTTTAAATTTACAACCCTATAAAATACCTGTTCAAATATCCTAACATCTGTGCAGAAGGCAGCTTCTGAAATGACTGTCATGTACACCAGCCTCCAGCTACTCACATCTTTGGGTAATCTGTTCCCCTTGAGAGTGAGTTAGACCTTGTGTCCTGTTTCTAGCAAACAGAATATGGCAAAAATGATGGGACACCACTTCCAAGATTAGGTTAAAAGGATTGTGACATACGTCTCACTTGCATACTCTCTTTGTTGCTTCTCTTTACCAGATTTGATGAAGCCAGCTTTCATGTTACGAGCTACCTCTGTGGAGAAGCCCACATGTCAAGAGAGTGGATGACCCTCTTGCCCACAGCCAGTGAGGAATGGAGGCCCTGAGGCCAATGGGCTACAAAGAACTAAATCCTGTCAACATTCATATGCATGACCTTGGAATCAGATCCCACCCCCATCAAGGCCTGACATGACTGCAATCCCAGCTGACATTTTGATTGTAGTCATGTAAGAGTCCCAGAGGACCCAGTTAAGCTAGGCACAGTCTCTTAATGCGGGGAAATTGTGAAGTAATTAGTACTGTTGTTTTGGGATAATGTGTTACGTAACAAGAGACAGGTGATACAACATCTCTGAGATTCTCAACATGTTTGGTAAAAATAATTAAACTGCTTTTAATGTATATGTCATGATTAATGTTATCTATAATGAGTGTATTAGGGATACATTAATATTCACAAAGACTATATAGCTATTAACTAATTGTTCTGTGGCTTATAGACATAATTTTGGATGATTCGTTCTTTTTTTGCCACTAATAAATATACAAAAACCTTTCATGTTTTAAAATGAATAAAAAGTTATAATTCTGAAGAGGTCCTTTATTTAAATGAAACACACTAAAACCATTGAATTTTAATATTTATATTATGAAATGATCTGCCACTGTTTTTTGTAAGTGTACCTGCTATTATGACTATATTTTCAAGTTAAAGATTCATGACGTTTTTGTGAGAAAATATTTTAAAAACTTGTTAATTTTTTCAGATTAACTACAAAAAATCTATTGTAAAAATTTATAAAATACTAATAATTAAGTCTCTTTATTTTCATGTCAGTGCTCTTAAAATATAGGTTGTTTCAAAGACAGTAGCAATAAAAATGTCAATTCAGAATTCCTTCAGGGATGACCCTAAGTCTAACAGGTATATCCTTTGAAACAAGAAAAATATCTAGCACCTTGGGAAATGAAAATAGTACATTTTTATTTTCTCTTAATAAAATTAACTCAGATTGTCAATTGTTTATTGTTTCTGTTTGATACCATTGAGGTATTTGTTCCAGAGATAAAAATATGTATGCTGAAAATACTGGAAATTTTTGGATGTATTTTAAAACAGAAAAGAACAAGACCAGGTGCGGGGGCTCATGCCTGTAATCCCAGAACTTTGGGAGACTGAGGTGGGTGGATCACAAGGTGAAGAGTTCAAGACAAGCCTGGCCAAGATGGTGAAACCCTGTCCTACTAAAAATACAAAAATTAGCTGGGCATGGTGGCGTGCACCTGTAGTCCCAGCTACACAGGAGGCTGAGGCAGGAGGAGAATTGCTTGAACCTGGGTGGTGGAGGTTGCAGTGAGCCGAGATCGTGCCACTGCACTCCAGCCTGGGCAACAGAGTGACACTCCATCAAAAAAAACAAAAAACAAAAAAACAAGCCCCTCTCCAAGTAAAGCCTTTGTATATATATAATACAATGCTGCTAAAAACTAAATAATGTCAAAAGTACATAGCTTCACCCTTAAAAAGGGCTACAGTATAAACCAGCCAGTAACCAATACCTTTCTGTAATTTTAATAAATATAAAGGTGTTTATTCCATCCATAGTCGTTTTATCCTGGATTAAGACTGTCTCTTCACAGTTGGAAGAACGTTGTTTACTTCGAGAAGCCTTTGACATTCCATCATTCCTTTTAATCTTTGAACTGAAGTCGAGACTTCTGAAGTTTAAAAGATGGCTCCTTAAACCCCAAGGGAAGAATAAAACTTCTTGAAAGGCAGAAAATTCAAAAGTAGAATCTTCTTGCTTTTTAAAGAATGGTGAAAGAAAATCACTAGCTATTGAATAGAAACTCTAGAGCTTATACAAACCCCACTGTCCCACACAGTTCTTGTCAACTAATGAAGGTAACAAAAAAAAAAACTGAGAGTGAAATGAGAACAGTTTCTCAAACATAATTGTGACTACAGGAAATCAAAGGTAATTCAGAAGCTCAAAAAGTAAATCATTAATGTGGAAATTTAATATAACTAGGTTTAGGAAAGAAAATTTGGCAGACTATATTGGAAGTTATTCACTTTTCTTCTGTCTTTCCATTATGAATCCCTTGTCTGTATGCATGAAAATGTGCTGTAGTGGTTATTAACAATAATTATTTTCTTTCTTTAGCTATGAACACTTTTAACGAAAACTTACTCAACAGCCAATATATAAAACAGGCAAACTGATACTCCTTTTGAAATCCCTTCTAGTAGAAGAAACATTGAATTTCCATTTACAATAATATGGAAGACTCAATCAGAAAAGACCCTGCATAAAATGATATTTTGATTCATTGCTAGGCTTTTAGAGAGGAATAAAAATTTTAACAGAAAAGGAAAGAAAGGGAAAAAAATAAAAGTTAAGAAAATGAAACACACAAAAAACAGACATAGTTCCCAAGCTGACATAAAATTTGTGATGTCCCTCAGTGCACGTATGAATTAGCCGTGTGATATTCATACTGCATCTAAGATGAACATCAAGGAGAGGGAGGCAAACCTAAGAACCCTGATTAATTCTTAGAATCTGAGAAATGGCTCGAGTGGTTCCAGGTTATTTTCTCCCAAGGAGATACAGATGCAAACCCAATCATTTTTACACATTAATTATCCTCAATTCAGGCTATCAGGTTTTCTGTAGATTAATATAATTCAAATAAATTTAAAAATTAATGAAAACAAAAAGAGAGACGGCCATCATGAATGAAAGTCCATAGAAACAGCAAAATAACTTTATAATGTTAAATACCTTAGTTATTAGAATTAATAGAGAATATAAAATTAATCTGAATGCAAAATATGAAATAGAAAGCACATGTGATCAAAATAATCAGCAAATTATAATATATTATTTTTAGAGGCATATTAAAACTGTTTAAAGTGGAAAATATGTATAATTGTCTAAATAAAAAACAAAATAAATGAATCTGTGCCAAATAAGAATAATAACTCTCTTGATAGGGTTATCACTGGCCATATTTGGGCTCATTTGAATCATAGAATAATGATAGTGGGAAGAATACGGCTAACAGCTGGTTTTAAACTTATTCTTTCTCACCAGGGATTTTCAGGCAAATGAATGTCCTTAACCAGAATTCCCTGTAAATCTGATCTTTATAGTGATTTTTTACCAGGTTTCCTTGTAGTAATGATTTAACAGGAAAGGAAAAAAATGCCGTTATTTATAGCATATATTTTGTTAGTACAGTCTTGACCTTTTACAACTGGTCATTTGGGGGAAAAAAATGAAGATTTTTGGACAGGACATGTCACTCCTTTCATTACAAATGTAGAGTTATTTCTCCTCCCCTTAAATCTAAGCCCACTCTGTGTCCTGTTATGACCAATAAAATGAGGTAGAAGTGACCCTGTGTCCATTTCAGTTGGCAAGAGAGGCCGTGTAGAAAGGAGATGATATTAAAAACATCATGTGGAGAAAAAAGCCACATAAGAAGAACAGTCACCTTATTCAATAGCATAAAGTTCTCGGATATAAGAGAAGCCTTCTTGGATTTTTGATCCCTGTTTAGCCCCTAGATAAATGCAGTCACATAAGTAGCCCCAGGTGGTACTTTGTGAGGCAGAAGCAACAACAAGTAAATCTCTTAAATTTTAAGACTAGTAAACCATTTTGTTGCTTTAATACACCAAGTTTTAGAATGTTTCTTTTGTAGCAATAGATAACTGATAAACAGACTAACAATGCCATAGAATCTCGATGGCAAGAAATGAAACTAGAAGACTGTGAAATACAATCAACAATTGATTCTCCATAGGAATAGCACTATAAGAAGAAAGGGTGATCAAATTAATTGCTAAATTTATGAGTAAAGATAAAAGGCCTTATCATTACAAAATAATAATGCCGGTGTCTAAATAATAGGGCCATAAAAATGGTAGAACATGAGTGATGCAGAATAGAACATAAAGCAGGAAAAGTGTGGCCTGAGTTACTGTTCTCAGGAACCTACTGCTTAAGAGAGCCATATTTTTCAACAGTCTTACTGATGTGTATTAAACTTTGTTAAGTACATGAGATAAAATCAGAAGAATCAATGTTAAGAAATAAAAAGTTTATATAACTTCCAAACTGTAAGTCAGTAATGGAAAAAAGTGGAATAACACAAACAAAAAATGAAAGCAATAAAAGTCAATTTAAAGCAGCAAAATATTTAAAATATGCATAGTAAAATATAAGCTCAGACTTATTACTAAACACAATAAATGTAAATAATATAAGTTTAGAGAAAGAAGTCATCTGATTAATTTTTAAAAGATTTTTTGTACTTTGTTTATAAGAAACAATCCCAAATCAAGTGGAGAGAACTGGAAACCAATGGAAAGAAAAAGATTTACAAGTGGATACCAGCTAAGAATTGCATGTGTGTATTGAATTTTCAATTGATCTAAGAGTTACAACATTACAAACGCATCAAGATATAAAGTACCCTGAAAATACATAAAACTAAAATTGATAAATCCTCAGGGAGAAAATTTTAGATACATCATCACAATAAAATATTTCAACTTATTTCTTTTAGATATATAAAAAACTGGTACAAATGTAGATGAATTGACAAACATTCATAAGCTTGGTTAATGAAATATTTATATAAGGAATTAGTGACCTGAGCAACAAACAGTGATATGTCCTCTTTTTAAGTACATATAGAACATCTATAAAAACTCAACATATTTTAGGCTATAAAAATAAACTTTAATGAAGTATTAATGTCAATAGACTATAAGTTCTATGAAGGCAAATGAGTTTTGTCTGTTTATTCACCAGGCTATCTGAAGAACAAAGACAAGTACCTACTGTGCAGTAGGTACTCAACGAATACTTGTAGTTTGAATGAATGCAATAATATTTTCAGACTCAAATCTGTTCAAACAGATGCCAATAACAAAAACATAATGAAAATGAATATGAATAAATGTATAATTCTGAATGGCCAATGTCAAAAGAAGGAATCATAATAAAATATAAAAGTACAATACTAAAAATAAACTAATATTGAAAATATTACCCATTAAAATGATGGGAAGTAGTTAATGGATACCTAAGAAAAAATACGTTACCTCAAATATGAACATGAGAAAGAAAAAAGCTGATAGTGAACTAAAAGCCTAAAATTAAGAAAATAGAGAAAAATAAAATGAAATTAAATCCAACAAAGTAAAGTTAAATCAAAAGTTGATTCTTTGAAATGACCAAAAATATACACAAAGCTTCTAATAATTAATAGGACTTATCAAAGAGAGAAGAGAAAATAAATTATAAATAATTGATTTTTAGAATGAAAATTTGACATACGTACATATCTAGCAAATATTCAATTTAATAGAATAATATAACAAATGCAGTCCAGTATATTAGAAAATGTCCAACAAATTGAACTTAAAAATCAACCTCAAGAAGAATTTTAAAAGCTATCTTGGAACCTTAAATAAATTGATTTGGGAGTTCAAATAATTACTCTTGCGCTAAACGTATACCTAAAGAAAACACTAGAATAAAATTGTTCTATAACAGTGGTCTGATAAACTTTCAAAGAACAGATCACTCTAATATAAAAACAAGACAGAAACAAAATCTTTTAGAGAAAAAATAAAGAAAAGGACTACTACACAAAATTTTACATGAGGCCAGCATAACCTTGATGCCCAAACCGAAAAAGATACGAGGGAAAAACAGAAGTCACACCAAGGTGCAAATATCAAATCAGCAATTATAAAATAAATACACAATAGTCTTGTTGGTTTTATTGATGATTAGAAAGTATATTATGATACAATACCATATTTATAAGTTACAATGGAAAAGACATGAGATTTTTATCAATAGATGAAAAAAAGCACGTTAATATTCAAACCTTAACCTTCGGTGAAAGACCTATACTTTGATAACTACAAAACGTGTTGATTAAACTTAAAGAAGACCTAAACAGGAGGAGAAATAGAACATGTTCATTGGCAAGAACAAAATGTGACTTAAACAAATTTTTAAAAAGCATAATAAATTGAACTTCATAAAATTAAGAACTTCTGCTCTTTGAAAGACACTCTTAAGATAATGAACAGATAAAGTACACTAAAAATATTTGAAAGTCACATATCTCAAGAAAGACATATTCAGAAGATATAAATCATCTCAAAATTCGATAAACTTATTAAAAATAATGGACAAATATTTTAACAGACACTTCCCCAAAGAAAATATAGAGAAGACGAAAAAAAGCACTTGAAAAAATGCTCAACATCATTATGATCTACAGCACAATGAGATACTACTCCACACTTATTTGAATATCTAAAATTTAAAAGACTGACTATGCCAAGTGTGGGTGACAATATGGAGAAGATGGAAATCTTATCTACTGCTCAGAGGATTGTAAAAATTTTGAACGACTTTGGATAACAGTTTGCCAGCTTCTTAAAAAGTTAAACATACACAGACCATGTGATTCGGATATTGCACTCTTAGGCATTTACCCATGAAAAATAAAAGCATATATTCATACTAGAATTCTACACATATTTTTTGTAGCAGCTTTAGTAATAATAGCTAAAAACTGTAAACGATACAAATGTTCATCAAGGGAATGGATGAACAAATTTTGGTTGGTGCAAAAATCTTCACAAAGGAGTGAATATTAACCAAGATGTTAACAGATGTAATTAAGATACAGAGATCAAGAGGAGAAATCTTTGCTGCAGTATCTGAGTAGGCCCTAAATGCAAGCACCTGTGTCCTCAATTTAAAAAGAAATTAAAAAGGAAACAAAAAAGTCCACCAAAGAGGAAATGTGTTAGAAAAACTTTGTCACATAGATACCATTAAATATATAGTAATGAAAAGAAATGAATTTAAATAAAAACACACAAAAACCCCAGCCTGGATATATCTTAAAAACATAAAATTAGATTTTAAAAATCAGTAAGAGAAGCCATAGCAATCAGCTAATGCCACATTTTTGCTTTGCAACAAACTACCCCCCAAACTGATGATTTATAACATCATTTATTCTGATGCTTTCAGGTATTCAGATTGATTGCCATATGGGTGATGAAGTCTGGGCTTGTCTGAGTCTCTGCTCTTTGAGTGCTGCACTTTCTGATGATGGCTACCGTTAGGGAGGTTAAGTCTGGGTCTGCTGCAACACCTCTGGTTCTGGGATCCAGATGGAAACAATAGCAACTACCTGGGCATGTTTTTGACATGGTCTATTATTATAGTCCATGAGTTAATGCAAGCCACACTACTAGCACATTCAAATTCCTTTCCTGCTTGCTTTGAGTTTGTTAACTTTCCATTGTTTAAAGTGCATCACATGGCCAAGGCCACAATCAGTGGTTTGAAAATGTATTTACACCACTATAGATCTTTGGAGCTCAGATCTTTGTTGATCAATAATCCAATCTACAGCAAACAATAATATTTATAATAATATTTTAATAAATCTACAAAAAAAGCCTAAGCAGTACATTGAATTGCTTAATAGTATTTACACACATGATAAAAACTTTTTAAAGGATTTTTGATAAAGTGATGTAGTGAAAAACACTAAATTTAGAATAGTAGTTAATTCCATGTGCTTACAGTTAAATGCACAGATATTAGTAATATTTTATTTCTTTATGTGATAGGATCAGTTATGTATTTTGTCATTATGCAATTTTTTAATATACATATTATTTTGTATGTATAAATATTATTGCATAATTTTAAAAGAAACACAAGGAGCAAAAGTTCTGGAAACACAGAAAAGTGAATCCTGGCTCTATTTACTATGTGACACAAAGGAAGTAATTCACGCATGTGAGTTTCTTAAGACATTTATATAATGGAGGAACTTATACAAACACAAGAGATGTTGTCATAATTAAATGAGATAGCATATATAGATGACTTGGCACAAAGTAGATGCTCAATAAATAACTCTTCTTTATTAAAAAATCTGTCTATATATATTCTCTCTATATAACTGCATATTACTCTCTATAGATTATCTCTATATGTTACTATATATAACTATATAGTAATAGTAAATATTGCGATACTATATTTATTACATAGTAATTTACTATATAATTACTGTAGTGTTATAGTATTAACTGTATAATTTACTATATAGTAATTAATATATATAGTATATGGTAGATATAGTGTATAGTATATATTATGTATAGTAAATAATATAGCACATTAGTAAATATATTGGTAATAGTAAATATATTTAATAACTGTTACTATATAGTAATAGTAAATACAATTAATAATTTATATATTACTATATAGTAATGGCAAATATATTTAATAACATACTATATAGTAATAGCAAATATATTTAATATATTCATATATTTAAATATATAAATAGTAAATATATAATAAAAATATAAAATATATAAATCGTAAATATATTTAACATATTACCATATATTACTTGATATATGGTAATATAGAGAGTAACAAATAGAGAGAATATGGAATGAGTAATATATAGTAACATGTATAGGGAATATGCATGGGAAATACATAGATACTATATAGTATACTCTATATACTATATAGTAATATAAAATATATTTTCTATACCTCTGTCTGTATATGTGTGTGTGTGTGTGTGTGTGTGTGTGTGGAGAGGGGGAGACGGGAGAGAGAGAGAGAGAGAAAGAGAGAGAAGCATATATATAGTTATTTTTCTCCACTGAGAGTATTTGTGCTATCACTACAATCAACAAAAGATACTCATTTAATTCCAGAAGAATGACACTTCTACCGACGCTTCTCTCTAAAACTCTTCATATGCACAGCATATGACTCTAACAAACATACACAAATTGTGCATGTGGCTGATACAGAGTATAAATAATAAAATTCAAAAGAGAAAACTAAGAAATAGGATATTTACACAGAGGTAGCATGTGGAAACACACCAGTGGAGCAGTAAATGGAAGAAGGTGACAACCCACATGGCATGATTCGAAGGACAGAGGAATGGATTTGGGGTGAGAGCCACGGTATGAGGCCCTCCTCTGCCACTTACTAGCTGAGAGAATGTAGCTCTAATCTGTTTAAATCCGCTTCCATAAGTGAAAAATAAAGTTAATAAAAATGTTCTCACAGGATAACTGTGAGTAACAGATAAAAGTTCAAACATGATATTGTAAAGTGTCTTGACATTAGAAAGAAACACTGTGATACTTCTGAAGCAAATACATACATGTGCTCTGTCCACAGCTGCTAAAGAGCAAGACCTCAGTCTATTTAATTGCTGAATTTTACCTCAAAATATGTTTAGAGCATAACGATAAATTTATGCAATTAAAACTGTAATATAAAGTTTTTTTATTATAATACTGTTTTATAAAACTGTGTGGTTATATAAATACATATATTCTTCTTGAGTGTGTACCAAATTATTGTAACTTTTTGGAAAGAACTTCCAAATGTCCAACACATGCATGGAAATGCACTAAATATCTGTGTTTTTTATTTTAGACTTTCCCTATAATTGCTAATAGAATTGAGAACCATATTTATCTCAGTATCTGCCCTAAAGTAGGCAAAAAAGTATTTGTTGAAAATATATAAATAAATCAAAATAAGAAAACATTCTGAAGTCCCTGGCTGAGAATTGTCTTCTTTTAAAAAAATCCTCTTTTTTTAAATTTTCTTATTATTGGCATTCCTGCAGGAGTAAGGTGGTATAACATCATAGTTTTAATTTGCATTTCCCTGATCACTAGTGATGTTGAGCATAGATGCTGGTGTTGATGCTGTGGAAAGGGAACACTTCTAACCTGCTGGTGGCAATGTAAACTAGTACAATCACTGTGGCAAACAGTGTGGAGATTTCTTAAAGACATTAAAGATTTCTTAAAGAATTAAAAGTAAAAATACCATTTGATCCCACAATCCCACTATTGGGTATCTAGTAGAGGACAAGAAGTCATTATACATAAAAGATACTTGCATATGCATGCTTATAGAAGCACAATTCACGATTGCAAAAATATGGAACCATCTGAAAAGCCCATCAATCAACCAGTGGATAAAGAAATTGTGATATATATATCATATATATATATGCACACACACACAATGGAATACTACTGAGCCAACAGAAAGGAACAAATTAATGGCATTTACAGCAACCTGCATGGAACTGGAGACTATTATTCTAAGTGGAGTAACTCAGGAATGCAAAACCAAACATTGTATGTTGTCTGTCATAAAAGGGGGCTAAGTTATGAGGATGCAAAGGTATAAGAATAATACAATGGACTTTGGAGACTTGGAGGAAAGGGTGGGAGGGGGTGAGGCATAAAATACTACAAATTGGGTTCAGTGTATACTGTTCAGGTGATGGGTGCACCAAAATCTCACAAATCTCCACTAAAGAACTTACTCATGTAACCAAACACCACCTGCTCCCCAAAAACCTATGGAAATAAAAACATTAAAAAAAAAGATTTTTTTAAAAAAGGGCCTAGTACATAA
Organism: Homo sapiens; assembly: GCF_000001405.40. Classification (NCBI taxonomy): domain Eukaryota; kingdom Metazoa; phylum Chordata; class Mammalia; order Primates; family Hominidae; genus Homo; species Homo sapiens. The sequence goes on from NC_000018.10 coordinate 65,457,702, forward strand.
AGTTATTGGTGACAATTAAATGAGATTTATTTTTTAAAAAAACCTCTATATATCAAAATACTTTTTAGTAATAGCAAAGGGATGTGCTCAAGTGAAGACACATTGATACAAGGTAAGTATCTGAGAATTCCAGATAATTCGTGTCGGGACCAATATTCGAACCTGCAAATTCTGGCTCTAAAACCCGTGTCCTAAAGCACTGGGGCATATACCCTTCTATGTGGGAGAATAAATTATATTGTGAAGGCTTTTCACATTTTTATTTATTCTAGTACATGGGAATGGTATTATATCTACAGAGGTCACAAAACCCTTGTGATAGAGTTGGGATGAGAATCCACAGTTTCTAATATAATCCAGTTCTCATTCCCATAAGATTGTCTATGGATAGTTGGAGCTGCTAAAAAGTATTGTGTCAATATCTAAATTAACAATTTAGTTATAAGAACCATTATTATATTCAGCAGACCTGCAGTCTCCTGGTGGTTTTCTGAATTTGTGAGAGCTCTGAGCCATCTATTCTATAGGCCATATTCCTATCTCCAAACACGTCTCAAAAGCTTACAGCGTGATACCATACATAGCATAAAATATAGAATCCAGTTAATTATTTCTACTCTGAGCTTTTCTACTTTTCATATAATTGCTAAGAAAATAACTGAACACATGCTTGCATTTCTACTCACCAGATTTGACATAAAGAGCTCCATCAACACCAAAAATGTCACAGTATCAGTGTTCTCAATAGTTCCAGTCACATGTTTAGTATTTGGAAATACTCTTCAAGTACACTTGTGAACACAATATGGAAAAGACGAGGTCAACACACAGGAGGACAACTAGTATGGGAAATTGAAGTGAAGCTCTATAATGTTGTGTTTAAGAGATATTTCAATGATCTAAGCCTGTATTAGTTTAAAAGCTTGTTGTAATGTTGCCCTTGGAATGTAAAGCACATAATTTTGCCAGCATCCTTTCTTTTCCCTCCTGTCAAACATTTCAAAGATTAGGGTCGTGTTGGCAGCTTAAAAGCCTCTGCCAAAGTTAACAGAATCTCTGTTTTTTCTTCAAAATTGTTCAAGCAAAAGATGCAGATCCTTGATAAGTGTCTTTATCTAATCCCAGCTTGCCTTATCACTATTGACTCTCTACTTTGTGGAGGAGTACATCAATTTCAAGACGACCTTAAATATACTGCACAAAAAGTACTTCATTGCTTTCTATTTTTGATCAGTGTTACACAAAAGATTGATGGACTCATTGTGGGGGTAAGGTTTGATGATTATTTCTTAGCTCCTGTGCTTACAGAACATTCTGATCACAGCTCCCCACAGATTAGGTGAGGGTGAGAGAAAAGTGCTAATTTAGGTAAATTCTGCAGAGTTTGAAGAGACTGGAACCTGGAAAGAGCAGAGCAGATCCATTTAAGGAGCAGTACACTACAGGATAAAGATTGCACACCTTGGAATAAGATAGATTTTAGCTGAATTCCCAACTCTGTCACTTGTTAGCTCTGTGAACTTGGGCAAATTACTCAGGGCTTGTGAAGCTCAGTTTTCTCATTTGTAAATGCGATTAATAATGGCAACCTCTTCAGAATTTCATAAAGATTAAATAAGAAATTCTGTGTAAATCCCTTAGCTCAGTGCTGGTCACATAGTAGGTATATTAATTAGAGTACAGTCTAAGCTGTTATGACAAAGATATTGAAAAATACAGTATCACAAACAGTTGATTACATATTTCTATTTCATATGACAGTCTGGTAAGCAAGAGGTCCAGGGAGGATAGGAAGCTCCGCTCAGTAGGTGATTCCAGGACAGACACAAATTCCTTTTATCTTGCTGCTTTGCTACCACCTCCAATATCACATTGCCTGCATGTTCAAAAGGTAGCCCTCAAAATATATCAATCAAGGTCCCTGCAAGAAACATAGGACGGAATCCATCGACATATTTCAAATGAATTTGGAAATGGGACAGTTTACAGCAGCAGGCACAGGGTTAAAGGAAACAAAAAGGATTTGGTAAAACCTAGGAGAAGGGGACCAGAGCAGAGAGCCTAGAGCAACTTGCCTGAAGGGACAAGCAAAGGGAGCATTTATGGAACCTGTGGGAGAGGGATGTTCAAAAGGAGCTGTCCAGAGGGAGCATTTAGGAAGATAGGCGGTCATTTTTCCTGAAGAAAAGACATATTCACAAAATGGACAACATAATAATTCCCATCAGCTATTGCATAATCACAGATCAATGTCAATTTGGCTACGCTCTGATCTGACAATGAACTTCAGCTAATATCAGCACTTCTTATATAAGGTAAAGGGGAAAAAAAGGAAAATACAAAATGAGCTAATGTAATGCAAACAAAACTTCAATAGCCCCCCTCCGCATTCCATGTTTCCCTTACCCAAGTACCTTGGCTTGACTGGATTGTTTAACCCAAAACTTTATCGAATCAGTACCTTGTGGCTATTGGTTGGCCATGTTTTCCCATGGATTAAAACTACAGGACAAGAAATAACGAAGAGATTTCCTGGTGAATATTTTCTGTTCCACATCGTTTTCCTTGCCCCCACCACTTTGCAACAACTCAATTTTCCTTCTGTGATTGAGATCAGACACTGCTACGGGCAGTGAAGAGACCACTGGTCTTCTGAGGAATGAGCTTAACAGGAGCAACATGACCAAGGTCCAATCCCAGGTTACCATTGAACAAAACTACATTTATTGGTTAAAAACTTTTCTTCCTCGGGTACTACTAGGACCTTTATATGAATGGAGGTCTTAATAAAAGAAAGTAAAAATTCTCCCAGTATTTTATTTGGAACAATAGTGAGAGAGGCCACTTCCCATTTGGCCCCATTTGGGATAGAAAAGAAGGAAACCCTCCAAAGTATTGTCTACAAAATTATCCTACACCTGAGATTTCAGAAAGCAAATGCATCATTTTAAGAAGAGTTTTCTTCTGGGTGGCAGGGTATGAGGAAAGGACAGTTAATACAATAGGAGTGAGCTCAATACCTCCTTTTCTCTATTGTAAAATGAATTATTTGCAAGAAGCTATGTTGCGTGTTGTGCTATAGTGATGGTGACCGTTTTCAAAGACCTTAAATGATAATTATCCACCATCTTTGACATGCAAGTTTCTTACTAAGGTATCTGTGGTGCTTCCTACCCCATGAACATCAAGCACAATTATCGTATTGTTTTATAATTTTATTTATTTTGAGACGGAGTTTCACTCTTGTTGCCCAGGCTGGAGTGCAATGGCATGATCTCAGCTCACCACAACCTCCGTTTCCCAGGTTCAAGCAATTCTCCTGCCTCAGCCTCCCGAGTAGCTGGGATTACAGGCGCCTGCCACAACGGCAGGCTAATTTTGTATTTTTAGTAGAGACGGGGTTTCTCCATGTTGGTCAGGCTGGTCTTGAACTCCTGACCTCAGGTCATCCACCTGCCTTGCCCTCCCAAAGTGCTGGGATCAGTGCAGGCTTCTATGATAAAAGGCTTCGTGGCTTAAACAACCAACATTTATTTCACATAATTCTGAAGGCTGAAAGTTTGAGCTCAAGGTGCAGACTGATTTGTTTTCTGGTGAAAGCTATCTTTTTGGTTTACAGGCAGTTCTCTTCTTGCTGCATCCTTACTTGGTGGGAAAGAAAGATGTCTTTTGTCTTTTGTCTCTATCTCTCTCTCTCTCTCTTTTTTTTTTTTTTTTTTTGAGATAGAATTTCACTCTTGTCACCCAGGCTAGAGTGTAATAGTGTGATCCCAGCTCATTGCAACCTACGCTTCCTGGGTTCAAGTAATTCTCCTGCCTCAGAGTAGCCAGGATTACAGGCACCTTTCACCATGCCCCCACCACTTATTTATTTATTTGTTTTTTTGTATTTTTAATAGAGACGGGGTTTCACCATGTTGGCCAGGCTGGTCTTGAACTCCTGACCTCAGGGGATCCGCCCATCTTGGCCTCCCAAAGTGCTGGGATTACAGGTGTGAGCCACTGTACCTGGCCTCTTTCTCTTCTTTAAAAGAACACTAATCCCATCCTATGTGTGCCACATCATGACCTCACCTAAACCTAATTACCTCCCAAATGTCCTGCCTCCAAACCATCACATTGAGGATTAAGGCTTCAACATATGAATTTTAGGGGAAAACAAACATTCAGTCAATAATAATTATCAATATAACAGATCAGCATGGAATATTACAGCTATCACTTGAAAGTCAACTGATTCTCATTTTCTTTAATGATGCAAATGGAGGACAAAATAGATTTGGTGATTCTGACTTTCTCTAAAAATGACTATCTAGAACCACAGCGACCACAGCAACACCAGCAGATTAAGTTTGTTCTAATCTCTTGCTACTCAAATTTGAATTGGCAATCAGTAGCACCTGCATCTGTCTCCTGGAAATGTGTTAGAAATGCAGAATCTGACAGGTCATCCTAGACTTATTTAATCAAAATGTGCCTTTTAACAAGATTATCTCTGGTGAGATTTATGTAGATTACAGTTTGGGAAGTACAGTTACAAATTATAGTTTTTTTCTTAATTTTTTTAGGTGCATTTAGTTTGGGGGCCAGCCAATCAATTAAGTGAGGATTTTAGAGGAATCAACATTTCTGTATTTTTCATTACTTTGAAAAACATTCTAATCTCTGGAGTTCCCACAGAAAGGTCATATTGCTTTTGGTTTACTAGATTGGTGTGGGTGTGGAAGACAGTTCCAGTATCTTAAACTTTTTCTTTACTGCCATGATAGACATAATTTCAACATTCAGAAACAAATATCTCCTAACTTATGTCACAGACTTTAGTAGTTTTCTTATCGATTTTATTTCTAAGAACTTTGGGACTAATTAGGTGTTATTAAGAATGATGGTCAAATGCTTTGAATATCATGTAACCCTGTTGCTAATTGTCACCACTCTAACCCTGTAATCCACCTTGTGTCTGATTTTCAGTGCTATAAAAAGGCCTTAACCTTCTTTATTTACCTCTTCCTTCCGCTGTTCTCATTCAGATTGATAACCTAAACTAATTGTGATATTCCCCATTTTCATCTCCAGACTACACTAGACAGTCACCCCTGAATTTTTAAAAGATTCTGTTGTCCCCATCACCAAGCCATTTTTTACTGCTAGCTTTGATGACCAGAATGCCCTCCTGGCCCTCCCATTGGTTGTGGCTTAAAACCATCTTATTTTATACATAATAGATACACCATGATGTTCTCATGCGTGATCTAGGGTACTCTTTCATCTAGTATATGCCAGGACAGTACTGATATTTGATCTTCATTGAATTTAGGCCAAACAATTAGTATCCTTATGGAAGGTAAATGCCACTCCCCAGGGCCGAAGCCAACACTTTAAACCTAGAAACCTGAGGAAGTGCACCAATGTTAATAAACTCAAGATGATAATATCTTCTGTTTTGCATGTCTTCTCTAACACCTTCAGAATACAATCTTACAATTGTCAGGTTTATGTTCATCAAAATTGACAATGTTATGCAACTCTTTCAGTATATTGGCTATTTTCTGCCAGATCTTGTACTTTTGCATTGGCAATAGGCTGGGCATTAACTCATGAGCTTGGAGAAAAATGACGATTTGTCAGGGTAGGTTATGGGGAGAATCCCTCTATAAGGCAACTGTAGTACAGTAATTTAAAGATGATTTCAGGTAGTAAATTCAGGTTTCCTCAGACAGAGAGGGGCCAGAATGCTTCTACCAGTAAGGGAGTTTTACGTTATTTGAGGGTTCAGTTTCTCAGCTTCAAGTGTCCTCTACCCAATTTCAGGGTTTCAGTGTGTCTCCATCACTTCCTTTATCTAAGCATCAGAGACCTGGTGAGGATAAGCATTTAACTTGGGCTGCAATTCTGCAACCCCTGAAATCCGACTGTGGGCCTGATCCTCAGTTTTATCTTCCTCATAGAGGTTTTCAGACTTTGCATCCTAGTTTGAGTTAGACTGACAAAGTCAACATTCATTTTAGGGTCAACAGAAGCAACCAGCTTATCCCACAATCCTTATATTGACTATGATCTCCTCAGCAACTAAGTGCCATGGCCACATGATCTCGAGATGCTTGACTTTCCATCCATCCGCATTTTTAATCCTATGATTGTGCATGATAATTTGAACAATTATTATGGCACTGGATGTCTCACACTATCTGTGTCCTTTTTCCTCTCAGCAAGGAGGACTGCAGATATGTGAGCAAACCTATCCCACAAACCTACTTAATGACCTGTTTTGTGGCGCAACTCTTAGTACTATGCATTGTTATCAATCAAGGTCTCAGAAGGGGTGGAGGCACTCAACTGAACAAATGAAAAGAGTTTAATAAAGGAGCCGTTTATAAAGATATAGAGAGAGTTAAATGAACCTCAAAACAATAAAATCATTATCATGCCTAGAACTTAAAAGGAAAAAATATTTGGAATCCAAAAATCCAAGAAGAATAGCCGCAGCTGCAGGACTAGACACAGTTCTCCAGGAAATACGGTCTTGAACAAGAGAACATAGCCTCGAAAACAGGAGAACCCATAAAAATACATCATTCTTTGCATGTACCAATCTTCCACTGACTGAACCAATTTGAAGCCAGAGCACCTGAGAGTCCATAACAGCCTGTTTCTGAGAGCACAGAACAACTGAATAGGGGAGAGTGGGTCTAGATGGGCAAAGAAATATCCAGCCTCTCAATTAATTCCATGATCCAGTCCATGAAAAAAAAAAAAAAAAAAGGGAGGCATACCAGAAGATAAGCAATGTACTTTTTTAAAAGTTTCAGAATGTGAGTACGTTGATTTCCTTTGAATCTCTTGGGTCAAAATTTAGGCACATGGCCACACCATCTGCAAGGAAGACTTAGAAATATAAATTCAAGCTGCATGGCCATATGCACAGCTAAAACTTGAAGGTTTATTTACTAAAATAAAGAAGAAGGGAATGAATATTGAGGGAAATTTAGTAGGTCTTGTCATAGCAGATGTCAAGGAAGGTCAATAATATTTATTATCATTAGTAGTATTAGTGGCAAAGGTAAAGCAAGGTTATATGAATGGACTGTGATAGCATCCATAATGCAACAAAGATTTATTTACCATCCACCTTGTGTTCAGAACTATGAATTTGATAGAGGGCCATAGAGGGATGTCATGCATAAAACTTACCTTGCTGGCACTGGTTGACTCCCCTTTCCAGGTCACTCTCTTCCAATCTTATAGATCACATCCTTGAGGACAAATAACAAAAAAGAGATAACTAAGTTATTAAAATATATTTTTCTGGCATAAAAAGGGAATGTAGTGTTGGGAGCAAAAGTAGTGGAATTCCACAGAATTCATGAGGTTTATTCAACTAATATTTTTGACCACCTACTATGTGCCAACACTGAGCTTTTAGCAGTTAATAAAATCAAAATTCTGTCCTCCTTGAGCATATTTTTGGTTGGAGCAAAAATAAAATTATATATTTTTCAACATGAGAGAAACAAATGTCCTTGCAGATAGGGGTGCCAGAGAAGTTCTCTCTGAAAAGGCAACACTTGAATGCAATGAGAGAGAAATCACCAAAAATTGTGAGAAGAAGATTCAAGGCTCAAGAAAAAATAACTCTACATCCCTAGAAATTGGAGGATGCTTGATATAAAGAACAACCCAGAGGCCCAGAAGAGGATGAGTGGACAGAGAATGATAGAAAACAAGTTCCAAGAAAGCCATGGGCTGGAACACGTAGGATCTTAATGTCCATTAGAAGTCTTGGGATTTTATTATGAGTGTGGAATATAACTTTTTATGAGTGGAAGGTGAAAAAAATGATGTCCATTTTAAAGGTATCATTCTGGATTCTGTGTGAGAGGTCATGGTAGTTTGGAGATGAAGTGTGGTGGTGGTGGTAAGTGTTTGGTTTCCAGAAATATTTTGAAAGTACAATTAATAGGATTGACTAATGTATTAGTTTAGTATGTGTGAGAAAAAATATTGGATGATTTTAATGTTTCCAGGATAAGCAACTGAATAGCTAGGTAACACTGAGGTATGAGTATGTATGGGTAGAAAAATCAATGATTTGTTCTGGACATATTAAAATTGTGATGTGATTATATATCTATGTATAGAGATGATTAATAGCCCATTAGCTTTACAAGACTGAAATTCAAAGAACAAAAAGGTTCTAAAGACAAAACTGGGAATCTTCAGCACACGGTGATATTTAAACCACAGAAGTGGACTAGATCTTATTGTGTAGTGAGTGTAGGGAAGAGAATCATCTTGAGACTAACCATTTTAAGAACTGCAGAGTACAGGTAGCTCTGACTTATGAAACACACATATACATATTGCGTGTATGTATATGTTTGCATGTGTGTGTGTCAGCATGTGTGTATCAGAGAGAGAAAGAGAAGAAAGAGAATGAGAAGAGAAAGAGAGAGAGAGAAGAAAGAGAACGCAAACGAGAACGAGAAAGAGAGAGGGAAGGGGAAGTCTGAGCCCACCTGATCTCCTTTGTCTTGCTCATTCTGTTTCCAATCAAAGACCTTTAAAATAAACAAAAACAAAAACTTGGCACATGACACGTCTATTTCCTAAAAATTAAACAAAGGTAAGAAACTAGGTAAAGTTTTATTAGGAAATCAGGAGGAAAAAAGAAAACCAAAGCATCCAGACTTTTAAACTACTAAATGCCATTTATTCTTCTGTAAATTCAACTCATAAAAGATTATTTTGATTTAACGAATATCCCTAAAATGCAAGTAACCCAGAGGGTCTTAGAAATTTTCAATAATTTTTGGATTAATGTTAATTCTTTATAAATTTGTTTTGGTAGATGTAGATTTAAGGGTTATCAGCATAACTATAATGTTTGGAACCATAGGCACCTCTGAGAGGATGTGTATCAGAAATTTAGGTAGACTTGGACAGAACCCTGGAACACTAGCAAAATACCTGCTTTTTTAATCTCTCTCATTTCATTTTCCTATTCCCAAGAGACAGTATCCCAGATTCATATTGTTAATTTATTTTCATTAGTGTTAAATAGCTTTTGTTGTCTAGCTTAAAAATGTACTTTTTATTTTTGGGAAGATATCTTCCGTAACCTAAAAACAAGATTATAGATATAAAATGACAAGCTACTGGTAAACTTCAGAGGGACCAGTCTATTTCTTTAACATGCCTTTAATGTAAAGCAAAGTTAACTTGGATTTAAACACTTTTATTTTCTTCTTAAAGGATCAGGGATTATAAAGATCAGTCAATATTTCAATTGTGAGGAGTTAGTTAAATAGAAGTATAAAGTTAGCAAGATCAATGCAATGATCTTATGACATGCTATAACAGTTCTCAATTATTGAATAGATATTCTGATATCAGCCTACTTTCTTAAATGTAAGCTTTAAAATGGAAAAAGAAAAATATAATAGAAAAATATTGAAAGAAATACAGTTTAATTTATGCAGAGGTTGTCATAATGATCATTTTTTCTAGCTAGGATGGTATACAAGATTTAATATTTGAACATGGATAGTTTATGTGGAAAATACCATAAAAATATTTTCAAAGCATTTGTCTCTGAAATGTAATGAAACTGGTAGCTTTCACTAAAAATATAACACTGTCAATAACTGACCATAATTCATTTATTTTGTTTTACATTTTTTGAGTTCTAATGAAAGATGAATTGTTTCTCTTGATATACATGATTTGCTAAGATTTATATTTCAACAAGGTGAAATGACTCAACAGAGGTCACTGGGGTGAGCTCATGTCTTCTCCTCGTGTTCTATTTTAGTTTACATTTTCCGAAAGAGATAATGTTCATATGTTTGAACAAATGTGTGTGATTTGATTGATCTGGATAACAAAACTGACAGCAGCTGAAGTTCTTAGGTGCTCAGTGATTTTTCTATTCCATATTTTGGTATTACAATAGTGTGAAATAACTAAATTTGTGAGGTGCTGTAATAGAACAAAGGTAATTATGAAGGATGTGTCAGCCTCTGTTAAATATTACTACTTTAATATGCCTCTTGAAAAATATTTCTTACATAATTGTGGTGAAGGAAAACATATATTTTATAAATCTCTTTTTGGAGGTAATATATCAAAAGTGCACATTGCCACACAATAATACAGAAGTAGTAAACACATGCAAAATAAGTTTATACGTTGCCTTATATGCAATGAAAGAGTAGTCATAGTTATAGATTAGTCTCACTGAAAATGAAGACGGATGATAAATATATATATATACGCATACCTGCTTATATATGTTAGAAGATATAACTAACTGCAGAAGAATTATGTAGAAACAAATTTTAGTTTAAGTCCCTGAAGAAACATGAAAAGTATCCAGTGAAGAATCCTCAACACACATCACTAACTCAAAAGTTTAATTTCAAACATGTGGTCTTTGTAAAATTTTATGTTCAAATATTTTACTACATACATATAAAACACACACACACATACACACACACACACACACACACACACACTGCTTTTCCTTTTACTGATTCTCTACTCCCAACTTCCATTGCCTAGAACATGTTAATGGTTTTTGATAAAACATAATTATGAACAAAAAGTAGGTAAAGTAAAACCGAAATCATGTCTATTGTTAGTAGAGTATATTTAAGGCTATGAAAGTTTAACGTAAGGAATTTACTTATAATACAATAAACATATTCTTCTGTGATTCTGTTTTTTAAGGTATTTTTCCTAGTTTGATTATTTTAGACTAAGCACAACTCCTGTAAATTGTGAGATTTCAGGGAGAGCCTTTCATCTGTCCCTGTGTCTCTTCGAAGTGATTCTTACAGGGGTTATTTATTTGCTTCTTCCCTCCAATTTTCTGGACTGCCAGGAGTCAGTAATTCCTGATGTATATATCTGCCATGATAACCCAAACTTTTCTTTAGACTGTTCCAAAGTCTAGACATTAAGGAAATATTGTGATTAAGAAGCCTGTGGTCATAGACTCAAACTATATTCTCTGATGCAGCTTTAGTAAATATAAGGATTTTATTTTGATTTCAATTTATTGTCTTTCTAGGTGTCTATTGCTATGTAACAAATAACTTCCAGATTTAAATCTTAAAACTAATGCTTAAACTAGGTTTTAAACTTTTAAAGTAAAACTTAAAACTAAACAACAAATTTTGCTGCTGAATCTGTAATTTGAGCAGAAGTCAGTGGAGGTGGCTCTACTCAGCTCCACAAACCTGGAGGACCTACTAGCAAAATGGCGTACTCCTATCTTCGGTAATGTGGTACTGGCCCTGGGAACTCAGCTGGGATTGCTGGCTGGTTCCTCTTCACGTGGGTGTCTTTGGGATTCCTCACACTCTGGTGCTTGGTATTCCTCAAAGCATAGTGGCTGGATTCCAAGAGCAAGTGCTCCAAGAGTGTAGGTGGAAGCCATCTGTTTCTTAAGGCCTGGACTCAGAAATTGGCAGAGCATATGTTCAAATGTATGCTCTTAGCCAGATAGTCCCAGAAATCCATTCAAATACCAGCAGAGGAGACATAGATCCTCTACTCTTGATAGGGATGGACATTTGCAGCTTTCTTTAATCTACCACAGTTCTCAACTCAAGAAGTGATGAAAGAAGCCTTCTGTATTAGGTCCCTGACAATATCATCTATTATTAATTATTATGATTTGTAATATAAATTGGTCAGTAATAAGTTTAGTGTTTTGTTCATTCTTTTCACTACAAATGATGAAACTAGGGCATAAAACAATTGATTTACCTAGTTCTCTCAATGAATCAATGGCTCAAAAAAATAGCATTTAGATTGTGTTCTAGACTATTTTAGATGTGAAATGAAAATATGTGCTTGCTCAATTCAATTAAAAAAAAAACTATGTATTGTAACCCTATCATTCATTTTTAATGAGCCCATGGCCAAATAAGCATCTGGCCTCAAGAAGCTGATAATACAGGGAAATGACATGCTAGTAAGCAATAAGCCCTAAATTCAGCTACATTAACATGCTCAGGGCTGCTGTACCTTTGTCTTTTCAATTAAGATACATGTGAGAATTTGTTTTTATAGTTTACTTGAGCCTGTTGGAGCTTCCCAAAACACACATTGAAGACCTTTTCTTCTTCCATTACATAGTTTTATCATTTGAAAATCTTACATGATGCTGCTTCAACAGACCAAGGAGTTACATTTTTTTTTATCTCCAGTCCTGGCTTTCCAACTTAGCTTCACACAATATGTTCAATTGCCTACATAACATTTCCATTAAGAAGCTTTAAACACATCTCAAATTCAATATTCCCACACCAATTCATGTTGATTGTCCCCAAACTTGTTATTCTTCCAGTGTTCTTTATAATGGTTCCCATAGATTTGCATTAGCCCAAAGGAGAACCGATCTTTGACAATCTTGTCTCCCTCAGCCTCCATGCTATATTTATTTGTCTCCAACTACACTGTTAACCCCACAAAGTAGACTCCACAAAGGCAAGGATTATGTTATTGTTGTTATCATTGCATCCCCAGTGCCAGGGTATAGTGTTGGTATTCCTTAAATTTTGCAAAATGAAAGAATTATTCTTAATTCTGTCATTATTTTGGAGATATTTTTGATGAATTCACAAAAGCAAATGGAGTTCTGAAGTGCATATGGTGAGAAACATGTGAGAATATATTTCCTTAAGTTTGATCATTTATAGAGATGAATCAGAGTGCACTAAGAATTGTTAAGAACTAAAAAAAAAAAAAAAAAAAAAAAAAGTTTGTGGAAAAAAATTCCATCTTGTAGATGTTAGGTAGTTTTAGGATTCCTAAGGGACTGTACAGACTTTTTCCCAAAGGAAGAACTAAATTTAGCACATCTCTGAATTCACATCACAAAAGTAGTCACACGATTTTATACTTCAGTCACCAACAGAGAGAAATGGCAAAATAGCACAAAAGACTGTTTCTCACATAGTGTAAATCATGTAGCAAGAATAAGATTTTCTGTTTTCTAGACTATCAATATAGCTGAAAGAATTTCCTCTGAGACAGGTAACACAGAACTAGACAGGCCATTCAAATGCCATTTAAACCTTAGATACTGAAAGCCCAGGTACTATTATTGCTTTTTTTTTACTTTTTGCTTATTTATCAAGTTTCAAGTAACCTCATGTTTTTATTTTTGCCTGTCATTGAATCATTTTTCTAGTTCCAGATAAAATTTCTTTACTCTTAAATTATTTTAAAAAGTGCATTCCTATCCATTCTTTTCCATTTGTTCTCAGCTCCAATGAGTTCTAATGATACCACCAGTTGGGAAGTAATTTTCTATTTACTTTTCTATTTTTCCAGTAAATTCTCAAGTTCTTAAGGCTGAATGTCATCTTGTATTGTTTCTTGTATTTGTGATATTTAACTACATTATTCCTTTTAAGTATGCATGTGCCAAGTCAGAGAGACTTGTGCAGACTTGGCACATGCATACTTATAAAAAAGAAATAATGAAGTGTTCAGATAAATATTAGGAAGCAAAACATAGTGTACTTCTGTGAAGGGCAAAAACAAGAAGTAAAAGAGAATGCAAGAAGAGAAAACCAGAAGGGAGAATATGAAGGTGAAAAGCTCACACTGTTTTGTAAACTACCACTTTTTAAACTCCAGTTTTAAGAAAATTAGCTTATTAGGTATATTTTCAGTTAAGATAGTTGTATTTTTCGAGCACTTTGGCCACAACTCATGTTAATAATTATACTAGGCATAAAGACTCAGTATTCAAATATGCACACAGAAATACACACATACACATGCACACAGCTGAAAATATTCATCAACAACATATATCCTTACTTCATGGCATGAATTCCAACTTTTTACCATCATATTTTATTCTTTTTCTGTTTTATAAATTGATTTCACAAATCGTTATTGAGCTGTGACCTGAAGTTTGGAAATATAGTAAATGGGAAGTATTCTGGAATATTGCGTATTGTGCGGAACATCTATAAATAACAATTTGCAGCAGTACTTTATCTTACAGTGTGTTTCTTCATCAGCTGTCAGTGATGAAGTAAGAACTACGAAAATAAAACAATGAATCTCGGATCTTAAATGTTCTGGACCAAGAATTTTGTGGAATCTCCGCCTATGGCAAAACCTTAAGATTCATTTAAAGAGATTACTTGACACATTTAATCATTTTTGTAAATGTTTCAGGTAAATGACTTTGGGTCATTATGTATTGAATGAGCCCAAAATATTTTAGAGGGAAAAATGACGTATTGGATTAATTCTGATTTATAGAAATTAAACAAATATTTTATCTTCCTATCAAAACATACTTTTTAAACCTGATCTATCACCATCAAACTCTACCTTACTGAATTTCACAAGCTTATTTTATATCAAAAAGAAAGATTTTGCATATTTATCGTATACCATAATTTTGAAGTAAAAACACTGTTAAATGTCTTCTTTTTTTAGGTAACATTATTGATATAAGAAAAACAATCTTAATTCTTTAGAGGATTTTTGTTTTTCTTTCTCATTTAATATAAGGGATTTCAATTTTAGCTTAAATTAAATTTACAATTTCTAAGGTAAAAACATAAATTTTATAGAAGTCAAGACACATAGAAGCTTGTAGACTTATTTTTGAACATTTAAATAAATATTGAGAAGTTTACAGTAATGAATATAAGGTGGCCAAGACAAAATGAAGGACAAATATATTTAATCAAGCTGCAGCAAGTGAAGTTTTGGGCAGAGCATTTAGACACATGCACTGCAGTAGTCTAATTTGAAATATACAATTCTTGAGATGCTATTTATATTTTCAATTCAGATCTAGAATGCAAGAGCATATCCAAAATTTAGCACTAAAAATGCAATTTCAATGTATCTCATTATGGCATGTTAAGCTTCTGAAGGTATTTATTTTAGATATATTTTACAGAAGTAAAATAATTTTTTGAGGTTTTTGTTTGTTTGTTTTATTTGAGACGGAGTCTTGCTCTGTCGCCCAGGCTGCAGTGCAGTGGCGCGATCTCGGCCCACTGCAAGCTCTGCCTCCCGGGTTCACGCCATTTTCCTGCCTCAGCCTCCTGAGTAGCTGGAACTACAGGCATCAGCCACCACGCCTGGCTAATTTTTTGTATTTTTCATAGAAACTGGGTTTCACCGTGTTAGACAGGATGGTCTCGATCTCCTGACCTCGTGATCTGCCCGCCTCGGCCTCCCAAAGTGCTGGGATTACAGGCCTGAGCCACCGCGCCCGGCCCGTTTTGTTTTTTTATGAAGTCTCACTCTTGTCGCCCAGGCTGGAGTGCGATGGCAGGATCTCTTCTCACTGCGATCTCCGCCTCCCGGGTTCAAGTGATTCTCCTGCCTCAGCCTCCCGAGTAGCTGGGATTACAGGAGGCTGCCACCACACCCGGCTAATTTTTGTATTTTTAGTAGAGATGGGGTTTCACCATGTTGGCCAGGCTGGTCTCGAACTCCTGACCTCAGGTGATCCGCCCGCCTCGGCCTCCCAAAGTGCTGGGATTATAGGCGTGTGCCACCGCTCCCGGCCATAAAATAATATTTTATAGCACCATGTAACTATCACTCTAAGAGGGATTACTGAAAAATGTAAGTCCCTGAGAGAACTGTACAGTTTATTACAAACAAATAGACAAAAATATAATGGGCTAGGAGTAGAGGTGGCAGTTTTATGAGAAGCCAAATTATCTAATATTTAAAAGTGGCAAGACCCTTCTACAGCCAAGTTGCCATCAAGTTTACCCTTCACCCTTAACTTATTATTTATTGGATATTGACAATACCAGTTAAAAACAGGTTGCATTTTTGAGGCAGAAATTAAGCAGATATATGTTGTAGTAAAAAAAATATATAAATAAAAAGGGCTAATAATTACTTTTAACATCTTTTAAAAGGAGGATAAGAAGAAAATTAAGTAAGAAAAAAATTTAAAAATTTTTTATAAATATTTGAGGATTGCCTGTATATTTGAGAGATTTTGTCTACCTAGTATTACATGTCTACGTGGTAGCAAACTTCTTGTAAACTAAATGTAAAAGTGGTCAAATGACAAAAAATTAACAAAACTATGATTGATAATTTTATTTTACTTTTTCACCAATTAGTTTGATAATATGTAATTAAATAAACTGACAAATGCTTAGTCATTATAAAAATGTTAGCCCAGATTTTTAAACTAAGTTTCTGGTTCAATAGTTGAAATTACTGGAGTACATTAGTTACTGGCATGATCACTGGGTCCAAATCCTGGATCCAGTTGGGATTTGTAGTGTGTGTATGAGTTTGGGAAATGGATTAATCTCTTGGTGCTTTAGCTTCTTGAAATAAAAAATGGGTACATATATTTTTTGAGATAGTTAATAGAAATGATTGAAGTACTTAAAACATTGATGAGTAACTATTTAGCACTACATAAGAATTTGCTTTTATTGGCTATGCCTTAGTCCTTTTGGGTTAATATAACAAAATACCGTAAACTGAGTGGCTTATAAACAACACACATTTATTAATCACAGTTCTGGAGGATGGAAAGTCTGAGATAAAGGTGCCAGCAGATTCACTATCTGGTGAGGGCCAGTTCCTCATAAATGGCAACTTCTTGTGTCCTCTCCTAGTGGAAAATGCCAATGAGCCCCTTGGACCTCTTTTATAAAGGTTCTAATCCCAGTCCTGAGAGCTCCTTCCTCATGATATGATCTCCTCCAAAGACCCCACCCTTAATAATATCACATATGGGATTAGGCTTTAAAACATACTTTCAGGGACTACAAATATTCACACCGTAACAGTCTATTTTAATACTAGGAAAAAGAATAAATAAATGTCTGTCAATAAATTGATTATACATATGTGGATGCTGAATATACTACAGTTTATAAGAGAAGGAATTCCCTTATAATTTGGATGAATATAAAATTATACCTATGTAGGTTACATAGAAACTAAACTAGAAATATGTAGGTGTAAATAATTGGCCATTGTATGATTAAATCAAGAATAATCAACCCTTATAATAATATTTGACCTTAAAATTAATATTGTTTCCATTTCTTCACTAAATGTGGCCCAACGTATTTGCTACCAATTTTCTAACCTGTGTCTTTAAAACACAGATAAGGTTCTATATTGTAACAAGAAATGATAGGTCCTTAGACAGCAGTTTATTTTATATTTTGTAACAAACATAAAATCCTCATTGGTTTGTAATATATTGAGGGAGTAAATAATTTCAGCAATTTGGGGAGCAACCTTAAAACATAAAAGAGCCAGGATTTCCCACTGGCCAAATTAAAAAGAAATCATAATCAAAATTACAATTATAGTTAAGAGAAGCCATTGTGATTTTAAAGTCACAAATTCGTAACGACAAAATGCAGTTGAAATAAGAAAAAAGAGTGCCTGTAAGCAGATGTGATTGCTTTTGCTGTTGCCCATTTTCTCTTTGGGAAATTGAAAAAGAGAAATACCAAAAACTATGGTTAAACGAAATTCTTCTTAAATAGAAGACATAAAAGGAAAAGAGGATAAAACAGTACCAGTGGTCCCCAAAAATAACGAGAAAAATAGCTTTTTAATGATTGGTCAGCACATGCTGATATTCACAAGATAACAACATGGATTTTACCTTTCATCTCTTAAGAGGCATAAACAGATGACAGTGAAGTATGTACAGACAGAAAAAAAAAAAAAAAAAAAAAAAACGCTATATTGGCCAACCCAGGCTGAGCCTGTATTCCTGCTTTACTTTTGGCTTTGCTAAAAGATTGTAACTCTAGAGTCCATGGCCATTGCACCCTGAATATGCCCAATCTTGCGTGATCTCAAAAGCTAAGCAAGTTTGGCCTGGTTAATACTTGGATGGGAGTACATGATAACTCTGTCAAGGTACTTAAATAAATATATCCCTAGCTCAGTCTGGGGAGCACTTTTAATAGCAAAAGCTGCAATTACTTTTGCACCAACCTAACATAAAATAACAATTGTAGTAATAATAACAGGAGTACAGAGTAATAATAATTGTAATTTGAAGAAATTCAGGTATAAGAAAGTATATCCTAAATGTGTGGTATCTTCTTAAGTAAACACCTATGGGGATTTAAATATTAACTGTAATTCTTCTTTGTTTTATTATTTATATAATGTATTCAAATTTTTAGAGAAATACTGGTTAAACAATTTTATAAAATTAATCTATTGAGTGTCAAACAACAAATAAAGTTTCCTCTTGCACAAAAGTGTCTTCAATTAAAAAGTCTGTCTAATAATATGAAAATTTTCTACAATGTAACAACTCTAATAACAGGTTAATAGTGTCATATACGAATAGCTTATCATCTTCCCATTTGTTTTTTTCTAAAGCTTATATATAAAATATTACACAATGTAAACAATTTTGAGTTGTGGGAAATAACCAACCTTATTATGATAATGATTTCTAACAAAGAAATTTTCATTGTTCATGTTAATTTATGGTATAAAGAAGATATTACTTGGTAAAAATGTTTAGCCAAATTATAACTAAAATAGAAATTTTTATATTTAAAATTTTGATAAAATAGAAATTTTGATAAAATGGAAATTTTCACCTTTGAAAGTTGAATTCTGAACTAAGATTTTCAATAAAATTCTCTTTTCCTTAAAAAAAAAAGCAAAATTGGGACTAAAAAACAGAACTCCATTTAAAAAAACAGAACTCCATTCTTTGCAGCAACATGGATGCAGCTGGAGGCTGTTATCCTAAGTGAACTGATGCAGAAACAGAAAACCAAATTCTGAGTAGTGTCACTTATATGTGAGAGCTAAATCTTGGGCTCACATGGACATAAAGCTAGGAACAGTAGACACTGGGGAATGCAAAAGGAGGGAGGGAGAAAAGGGGCAAGGGCTGAAAAACTTCCTATTGGGTACTATGTTCAGTATCTGGGTGACAGGATCAATAGAAGCCCAAACTTAAGCACCACGCAATATAGCCTGTAACAAACCTGCATAGGTACCCCCTGAGTCTAAAGTAAAATGGAAATCAGAAAAAAAATAGTATTCTATAGCACTGAGAATTCGAAGTCTGATGGAGTTGCTCTATTTTTTTGATATGCACATCTCATAATCATTTTATATATTTGAAACTGTTTTCAAGGGGAGTAGTTAATATGACCTTCACATTTTATAATGTTAAAATATTAATAGCAAAATAATAGTGATAAAAGAATTAATACACTCCTTCTCTTCTAAAGGATGCCACATGATTTTAACAACATTAAAAGGAAATCTTTCTCTTTTAACATGACCTTAACCCTGTTTTCTAAAAAATGTAATATTTAAGAGTTATCTACAAAATAATGGTTATGGTGCTACACCCCAATCACTCTGCTCTGTGTTTAGAAAGTGTGATGAAAAGGCAAAATAAAAGGTTTCGCAGAAAGCATTTCTAGAGGTTTCTAGAAAGTTTGTATAGACTGTCAATATTGTTTGAACACACTTTGGAAGCCCATTTACCTTCTTGAAATAATGTAGATCGTTTTGATTTCTATATGAATGGGAAATCACCCTGAGATGTCTAGTACCATGCAGACAACATCTTCCTATTCTGCACGAAGACTCCACGTCAATAAAGGACCCCAGGTTAAAGAACGATTGGAATTTATTTGCATAGTATGTTCACATCTACTTGATGTGGGTTGCATTTAGCTATAACCTGCAGCAGGCCTTCTTTTGGAATCAAGGACATGTTGTTCCAGGCACACAGGAACTAATCAAGAGACCTAGCTTCCAGACCCATCTGCAATACACATCAAGCTACCAACTATGAAAAATAAATTAGTCTTTGTGATACACTAGTCTTGCCATCTGGAAAATTATAGTGAAACAAGGACTTTGATTTTCGATCTTTAGCGTTCTGCAGAGCTCTAATGGATTAAGAGTGGTGATATGGAGGCCCTCACGTGGGGAGGGGAGACAGTGCTTTGATCTGATCTTTATACTGGAGTTTATCCAAGTATTTCTGAGCTTGAAAAGAGTACAAACTGGTGAAAATAACTGGATTAAGTGGCCTCTAAGGTTTCTTCTGGTTCTCATCATCTATGATATGTATTTCCATTCTCAGTACAGTCATTTCATAATATTAAGAAGCCTCAACCTGAATATGATTTACTGTATCTGCTTAGGGGCATGATGCTTTCCCAATTTTTTTTTTTTTTTTTTTTTTAGTAAAAGCTTCATAGTAACATCTTCAGAAGCAGACCTCCTGTGACTTATTACATAATAGATATTCATATGAGAGTTGAATATATTTGACAGTGTTCATTTTTAAAAAATTTAATTTTAAATAAAGGGATATCTTTCACCATATGTCCTATAATTATCGTTGAAAAAATGTTATAACATATGCCACTTTAATTCGACACTTCTGTTAGTCTTCAAATTTTTTTCCAGATGAGCTTTGTTTTGGAGTGATGAATTTTTGTTCTTAAAATATTCCATTGGGAAAGCACTCTAAAACACGAGGACAGTTTAAACATTTTTTTACAACTGACTAAATATAAAATTATAAATTTAAAAGTATTTGTGCATTTAGAGTATCAGAGTTCCTAGAAAAAATGAGTTATGTAATATCCACATTTCTTACTTTTTGCAGTTACTAAAAAATTTTCCTTTGGTGTTTGACATCTAATGTATGTCATTTTTAGAGTACAGGTTATTTGTACTAACGTGTGTGTCTTTTGAATAGTTTAGCATATGTTCAGATCTTCAGATTTCCAGATATAAAAACTGTTTGCCTAAAAATATTAAAAATTAAAAAAAACTATAGAGACACATTGATGTCCATTGAAATTAATGTGAGTAGCTTAAAGTTTTAGGACTAAAAACTAAAATTCAGAGTTAGAAAGCTTTTTTTTTTTTTTTTTTTTTGAGATGGAGCCTCACTCTGGCGCCCAGGCTGGAGTGCAGTGGCACCATCTCGGCTCACTGCAAGCTCCGCCTCCCGGGTTCACCCCATTCTCCTGCCTCAGCCTCCCAAACAGCTGGAACTACAGGCGCCCGCCACCACTCCTGACTAATTTTTTGTATTTTTAGTAGAGACGGGGTTTCACCGTGTTAGCCAGGATGGTCTCGATCTCCTGATCTTGTGATCCACCTGCCCTGGCCTCCCAAAGTGCTGGGATTACAGGCATGAACCACCATGCCTGGAAGTTGAATCTCTCTGGTAAATTAATGATAATCCCTGGAATCTCTGAAAGTTTCTGTTCAGTTCTTATCCATAGACCTTGTGATTACTAAATATCCACAATTAGAAGAAAGGCTAATGAATATTTGTGAGGTGGACATCACATTGTGTCAATCTTTGTATTCATATAAATATCATTTTACTATGCATATCTGTATAGTATATACTGACACAACACACATTACGTGTGTGTGTGTGTTTATATATATATATATATATGCCTATATATGCTTATATACTTGTACTTTGAAATTGAATTAAGTTGTAGTTTTTGCTTTCTCTCTGCCCCTGTTCTGTTTCCTGAAGCTGAGACAGATCATTCCTATTTACCCTGATGGCTTCCTCCCTCAAGGACCTGAGTCTCTCTGTGTCTTTGCATGGAGGTTTTCTTTAGCCTCCCTGAGAGCTCTTCCAGTCTTCTCTCAGGAGAACTCAGGAGTTCCTGGGATTTAACATTCCCCAAGAGCAGCCATCAACCAATTAGGACCATGATTTCACGGGAAATTTTAAGGCATCGCTACACTAGGTTACTCACAGCTTCCCAGTTAAAGGCTAGTTGCCCTCAGTGGTAGCCTGTTCTAATGAGCATACCCTTCTTTGACTTTTCTTCCTACTCTTTTTCATTCTCCCTAATCCCTCATTTTTGCTTTCTGGAATATCTACCAAATAAACTACGGGCATTCAGATCCTGTCTCAGGAACTCTTTTAGGGGAACATAACCTAAGAAACCAATTTTATGAAATTACTAACAGTCTTCCAAATAGTACTTTATGTTGGTGTAGTGGCCATTGGTTTTTGCAAATGTCATTTAAAGTGGAATCTAGGAACTTTCCTTTGTCTCAATTTTATAGAAATGCCAGAAGACTCTATAGCTGGCAACACATTCGCAATGGTTACATTCAAAATGATTAAATACAATTTATTATCTATGTAAAAAAAAACTGAGAACCAGGAAATAGAAATTTACATGGTACCCAAGGGCAAATACTAATCAGTAACTGAATAAGAATCTACATTTTTTTCCCAAAAGAAATTTGTCTATGACTTTGAGTCTGTTTTTATTGTAGATATTCTTTTTTTATAGAGATACAAACCAATATACAGAAAATACTGCTTAGTCTTCAAAAAATATCATTTAATGAACACACAGGTCAATCCACATGACAGAACCCATGTAACTGCACGTTGCTGTCCCCAAATCTAAAACACTGGTAGCAGTAAACTTTTCATCAAATTCGCTTTGAGTAATAACATTCTTTTATTAATTGATTGCCAGTTTTAACTGGTTTTTTGGCCTATTATTTCTCAGCAAGTTTGAATAAGTCTCTCTAATGTTCAAAAATCTATCCTCTGTAAACGTAACCACTCCCTTTAAGATGTACATGAAGATAAATTTACTTCAGGGTATGTTTTTCAATCACTTCAAGGGAAAAAATATCAAACTCCAGAGGCATATTCTCAAAATGTATACATCAGAGGTCCCCAACTTTTTGGCACCAGGGACTGGTTTTCATGGAAGACAATTTTTCTTTGTTTTATTATTATTATTATACTTTAAGTTTTGGGACACATGTGCAGAACGTGCAGTTTTGTTACATAGGTATACACGTGCCATGGCGGTTTGCTGCACCCATCGTCAACCCGTCATCTACATTAGGTATTTCTCCTAATGCTATCCCTCCCCTAACCCCCCACCCCACAAAGGCCCTGGTGTGTGATGTTCCCCTCCCTATGTCTATGTGTTCTCATTGTTCAACTCCCACTTATGAGTGAGAAAATGCAGTGTTTGGTTTTTTGATCTTCTGATAGTTTGCTGAGAATGATGTTTTCCAGCTTCATCCATGTACCTGCAAAAGACATGAACTCATCCTCTTTTATGGCTGCATAGTATTCCATGGTGTATATGTGCCACATTTTCTTAATCCAGTCTATCACTGATGGTCATTTGGGTTGGTTCCAAGTCTTTGCTATTGTGAATAGTGCTGCAATAAACATAGGTGTGCATGTGTCTTTATTGTAGAATGATTTATAATCCTTTGGGTATATGCCCAGTAATGGGATTGCTGGGTCAAATGGTATTTCTAGTTGTATATCCTTGAGGAATTGCCACACTGTCTTCCACAATGGTTAAACTAATTTATACCCCCACCAACAGTGTAAAAGCGTTCCTATTTTTCCACATCCTCTCTAGCACCTGTTGTTTCCTGACTTTGTAATGGTCATCATTCTAAATGGCATGAGATGGTATCTCATTGTGGTTTTGACTCGCATTTCTCTAATGACCTGTGATGATGAGCATTTTTTCGTATGTCTGTTGGCTGCATAAATGGAAAGACAATTTTTCTATGGGCTGGGTTTTGGGGGGATGGTTTTGGGGTGAAACTGGTCTTCTTCAGATCATCAGGCATTAGATACTCATAGGGAGCATGCAACCTAGAACCCTCGCATGTACAGTTCATAATAGGGTTCATGCTCCTATGAGAATCTAATGCCACCACTGATCTGACAGGAAGCGGAGCTCAGGCAGTAATGCTGGTTTGCTGCTCAGCTCCTGCGTAGCCCAGTTCCAAACAGGCCACGGACCAATGCCAGTCCATGGCCTAGGGGTTGGGAACTCCTAGTATGCATGTGTGGAATCATAAACATTAATGAATTAAGGAGTGCCTGCTGATGCTACTCACCATTTATATAATCCCATTTTAATACTAGTGCAGCATCCTCCAATTAGGGGAAAACTGGTAATTACAGGGAAGTTTTGAAGCAAAAAGTTGGGTCAATATAAAGAACATTGTAAGACACACACAAACACATACACACATGCACAAAATTCTGGGTTGTTTGGCATTATGAATAAAGCTTTTATAAACATTCATGTATAATGAGTGTACAACTTTCTCTTTCTACAGGTGGAATTGCTGGTATGTAAGTGTGTATTTCAATTCATAAGAAATTGTCAGGCTCATGTTCTAAATAGTTGTACCATTTTACACTCCTACTAGTATCCTTTGATGGCTTTTCTTCACATACTTGAAGTCGTTATCACTGCAACCCTTCTGGTAGGTAATAATATTGCATTGTGGTTTTAATGTACATATTACTATGAATATTAATCTAGTATATTTGGGGGCCTTTTATGTAGCTACCTTTTAAAAATACAGTTTTCGGCCAGGTGCGGTGCCTCAAGTCTGGAATCCCAGCACTTTGGGAGCCCAGGGCAGGCGGAACACGAGGTCAGGAGATGGAGACCATCCTGGCAACATGTTGAAACCCCATCTCTATTAAAAATACAAAAATTAGCTGAGGATGGTGGTGTGCGCCTGTAATCCCAGCTACTTGGGAGGCTGAGGCAGGAGAATTGCTTGAACCCAGGAGGCAGAAGTTGCAGTGAGCCGAGATTGCACCACTGCACTCCAGCCTGGTGACAGAGGGAGACTCTGCCCCCCGCCCCCAACAAAAAATACAGTTGTCAATCTTTTATTATTGAGTAGTTGTATTTCTTTATATATCTTAGAAATAAATCCTTTGGAAATATATATTTTAGGAATATTTTCTCACTGGCTATTCATTTTCTCTTTCATGGTACCTGATGATTATATCTTCGAGTTTTGAAAAAGCCAGTTTACCCACTGTTTGGAGACTTTTCCCCATGGATCATGCATTTCTGAACATCAGTGAAGTTTGCAAAGCTACTCTGATGCAGGATGTAGCATTTTTGATATTCTAGGAGACTAAAAAAATAATAATGTCTCCCTCCCCTCCCCAGATAAATTTTACAAGGTAATAAAGAAAATGTCTTCTTCCAGATTAGGGGGAAGATTTGTTTCCTGACTAGGATAATAAAGTTAATAGCTGTCTCCAGAGGGCAGAATGATAGGTTTGCCAGCCACTCTCTGTAAGATTGAGTGGATTCCAAAGTAGAGTGGTCCTTAGCTACAAAACAGACTGTTCACCTGAAGCCACCTCTATGACAACTCTATGGAACTTGGCTACATGAGGAACTGATGCGAACCTGAAATTCAAGCTGCTGGTTCTGCTAAGAGTAATAAACTGTCTAAATCCATTTGGGCTCATTGTTTCCCTACTGACCAAAACTGTGGAAATTTGGCAAGTCAACCTAGCTGATGCAGCAGTCACTGCTGCTTAGGAAGTGCTTGACTGCATAGCAACATTTGTTTTTTTTATAGTTATTGCTTTATATGTCCTATCTAAGAAAACATTTGCTTACCCCAGCGTTATGAAGACATGTCAAGAAATCGTCAAAAGTTTCTTTGGCTTCATATTTTAGCATTTACATTGATAGACTTAACCATTTAGAATTAAATTTTTGTTATAATTACAGACAGGTTTGGAGCTTTAGTTTTTAAATTGGATATTCAATTTTATCAGCAATATCTGTTAAAAGAAAAAAAATACCACTGAATTGCTTAAATACTTTCCTTGAACACCCTGAGCTTTTGTTTATCTGTGTTTGTGAGAATACTTTAGCTGTATATGGAATTCTGGGGTGATTTTCTTGTAGCATTTTAATGATATAATCCCACTGTCTTCTAGCCTCCATTGTTTCTAAGGAGAAGTCAGGATAAACATATTGTTACATTTCATGTGCTTGTCGGTTTTCTCTAGCTACTTTGAAAATTGTCCTCTTTATCATTGGTTTTAAACAGTTACATTCCCTACATTGTTTCTATGTGTGTGTGTGTGTGTGTGTGTGTGTGTGTGTGTGCACGTGCACTCACAAGCCTGTGTGTGTTTTATAATTTTTAACACTGGACTCACTAAATTTAATTTGTAAATGTATGTCTTTCAACAATTTGAAGAAATTTTCAGCCATTCAGTTTTCCTTTTTTTCTGTCTCATACTATCTTTTTCTCCTTCTGGAACTTTGATATTAACTCTGGGTTGTTTTTCAACTTTTCTCTCAATCTTTTTAATTTCTATTTTTCAGATTGGATGAT
This sequence comes from Homo sapiens, assembly GCF_000001405.40. Classification (NCBI taxonomy): domain Eukaryota; kingdom Metazoa; phylum Chordata; class Mammalia; order Primates; family Hominidae; genus Homo; species Homo sapiens. The sequence continues at coordinate 65,483,913 of NC_000018.10, forward strand.
TTTGATTGGTCTATCTGCAAGTTTGTGGACGTTTTGTTCTGTATTTCCAACCAGGTGATAACCCCATTTAAACATTTTTGTTGTTGTTTCAAATATTGTGATTTTCAGCTCCAGAGCTTTCAATTTTTTCTTAATTTCTATTTTCTACACATTATTCTCTTTTGAGGATATTTTTCTTTACATCATTGAAAGTAAATATTGCTGCTCTAAAATTTTCACCTGCTGATTCTAAGTTGGGATCAGGTAAGTGTTAATCTTAATTTATTTCTCTTCGTTTTGAGTACACGTGAAATGAAGCTTCCTATTTCCTTACATGCCAGGTAATTTTGGAATGCATTCTGTATATTGTGAATGATATACTGGGTAGATTTCAGATACCATTATATTCTTTTGAAGTGTACTGATTTGATTAATTGATTGATTTTTTAAGTTTTAATAGGGAGTCACTTTAGCTGAACTCAAACTTCAGTCTCAGTCTCTTCTGTGGTGGGAAGCAGGTAAAACTTCTGTTTACATATTTTGTTCTTAGTTTGGCTCCTTAGATTCTACTATACACCTGAATAATGCAGGGGTCATGCAGAGATTTGGGCAGAACTTGTTTTCAAAATGTGAAGATATTCCTCCATGTACTTATCCTATCCCAGATGTTTCCTGTTACATTCTAGCTACTGTGTTCACCCTGAAGTCTTCATCCCGACTTTTAAAGATAGCAGGCCTGTCAGTTTCTACCTAATTTTGGGTCTTCCCTCAAGCAGGAAGCCATAAAAATAGAAAAATGACTTCCCACCTTTTTCTTATTGTGAGTATTAACTTTTCTCAAGTTTACAACTGCTTTTGTCACTTTCTTATGCCTTTCAAAAGTTGTTTTTAAAATCTTTGTAGAGTGTGTAGCTCTATACTCAAGTCGTATCTTGGAAGATTGGTTTGGTAGGAGATATTTCCCTATTACTAGAAGAAGAATACCAATTATCTTTTGATTGACCTGTTTAATCTTATTATTTTTAGCCAATAATAAAATCTACTAGCTTCTTTGGGTTTGATACTACTAAAGTCTTTGTTAATTCCCTGGGGAGATGTTAATAAAACTTCCTAATAAGTTTTAGCCTCCTGGCTTCCCCTCTATCCATTCATTTAACTCTCAATAATAAGAGCTCACTGAGCATGTTCTTATCAGTTTTATATTAACTCATTCAGGTGATTTTATTCATAGCTCTTTCCAGGAATATATAGTTGTTTTTTTTCCTGGATCTGCTGACTCCTATAAAGAGTTATATCAGTGATAAACATCCTCTCTAATAGCTTTCTTTGCTATTATGTGAGCTTTGCTCTGTCATTTTTCTAGTTTTGTTTAATAAGACTAGGATATCCTCTCCATTATTGACTTAATTGACTAATTACTTTATGAATTATGCCCAATAATTCTTCAATCCTTCACTCCCCATGCACATAATTTATTCCAGAAAAGTATTTGTATGAAACTTTCAATACTTTCCTAAGTTTTCAAAACTATTTAAAAACTCCATCTATCTACTTATTTATATTTATTGCCTACCCAAGAAAACTAATTTAAAAATTTCTCCAGTGTATCTAAGATAATCACTCACTTTCATAAGAGATTTAGATTTTATAAATTTAGGAATACTCACAATGGTGTTAGCTATGAATTGCCAACTTAGTATAAGACTATACCTGTAACATGTTTGATGTATTATAATGAAATTCACAGACTACATCAATGACTTTGTAATATATGAAAATCTATTAAAATCAATAACACCTTTGAAGTTTAGGAAAAGTAATTGTCTTCTAAATTCTCTAAATTTTCATGTTTTCTAAAACATTCTTTGAAGTTCTTACATATCAAGATAAAAACTGACTAAAACAAGCAAAAAGATGAACAATTACAAATTTTGATAACTGCCACAAGGACACTAGGAGATAAAACAGGACAGGGTGCTTTAGTCAGGAAGGTCGGAGAAATCCCACTGAGGTGTCTCTTTAAGTAAGAAAAATTGGTGAGAAAAATTCAACTATGCAAAGAATTATCAGTGCATGAGGGCTGGAGGGAGGATTATTGGGAGCCAATAACACTGAAAACCACTTGTGGCTCATCACGTTATAAGCAATTTGTAAACCCACCCGTCCTTCTGGATTTCAGTGACAAAGAGTGGGAAAAAGGGAGGGAAGAAGGAGGAATCAATTATATGAGCTGATTTTTAGGGTGCATAAGAGAGAGATCATAACAGGATTTGCAGGATAACATAAGAAAATTATATTTTATTTTAATTAACAATAACTATTTGAATGATTTTAAGTTGGGGAATGATATGATGTGATTTCCATTTGTAGAGAAAGATCTGTCTTCCGAATGGAGAATGAACAGGAGAAGGGGCTCAAGTAAAGTGGGAGATGAGCAAGTTATTAATAGTTCTTGCAGTTTCAATTATGTGTTTTTTTCTCACATCTATGATTAGACAAGCCCATCCATGTCGTCTGTACCTCAAAGTCATACTTATTCCCAAAATCCTTAGCCCCTGGGTCCAAATGTGTTAAATTAGGCTTTTATCTCAGAGGCTTTGGTTACTGTAACCACAGTAACACTGGCTACAATGTATCAGCTACCTGTGCTTTCTAAATGACCTATTTTGTTAGAATTAAAAGAGTCATGCTTTTTCATAGACTGCTCTTTAAAAGGTCCTATTTTCTATAGCATGAATGTGAAACAGGGCTGGAGATTTCGATATGGTTTTAAATACATGTAATAGTTACCAATGCTTTACAAGTAAATGTATTACTTAAATAATATAACCCCAGTTCAGGCTTGACCTGTCTTATCTTTCTCACACAGTGATGACAAACAATTTAGGGCTTCTCTTCTCGGCCTCCGAAGTTTATTTTATAGTCTTTAACTCTGCTCCTGAGTGTTGTTGTTAAGAGAAAAGAATTTTTTATTCTGACAACTCCGATATCCTTTGCATTTTCTACAAATGAGTGAAAGAAAGATGTTGTGTAAAGGGATTTGATTTGTAACACAATAGCTGCTTTTCCTCAGCTAAAGTATAGAGCATGGAACAAATTTACATTAAATATATGCTCTTGTGAAGGAAGAAATAAGCATTTGGGTTTGAAATATGTCAAGCAACTATTTTTATGAAGGGAAAGTCATTTTGTTCAGCTGTGATTTTAGTTCCAACTAACAAAGTCTCACTCTAAGCACTCATTTTCTACTTCTGGATGTCTTGTTGGTTAAGCTTTAAATCTTCCACATTGTCCCTTTTTTCCCTAACAGGTAGGTACCAGACAATGTTGGCTGTGCTGTAAAATTTTACAGCTCAGTGGTAATAAAATACCACCGGTGGAAACTATTTCATGCCCTTTTAGCAATGTAGATAGACAGATTCAGAACAGAGAAATGTATCTGGCCATGCAAAATATCTAACTTACGCCCTCATTTAATTGATGACAGATCTATTAGCTGAACAATACAGGCCTCAAAATGGATTTTGTGCATCCATCCCAGTTACTTTTTTTTTTTGGCCTGTCAATGAAATGTCTGAAAGATACTGAAAGGTTAAACCACTGGTGGTCATGGTTAATAGGAAACATTTGAATAGCAGATGGTGGGATAAACCACAAATGCACAGCTTGAGTAGCTTCTTGAGCCCCAGGAGACAGAATAATAGACCCAAACATAGCTGTGTCTCATTTACTAAAACACATGTTACCTTTCTTTCTCTCAAATAAAAAGGACGCTGGTAGCATGACTATGTCAACAGCAATAAAAGATCACTATAAATACGAAGATAGCACCATGGCTTCATTCTCACTGCTCTTCTATTTGTTTTGATGGTTGTCAGTGACCTTGCACTCCTTCTATGGTATTCATGTTCAGACCAGGCAATACAGCTAGCAATATACTTTCTGGCAGTGAAATAAATTACTTGATATTTAAGGTCAGCTGCATAAGTCACCTTGCATGGCCCTACACTCTGACAGTTCCCTCAGACCTTGGAGAAATTAGGCTGCTTTTTGCTGTAGTGAATTGAAACTCCAATTAAAATTGCTTTTAAACAAGAAGAAAATATAATAAACATAATATTGATTACTATGAATGGAAATCTATGGGTAGCGTCACCTTAACAGTTGACTTAATTAATGGCTATTTCAAGCTCCGTTTAATCACATTTTTCTATCTCAGACCTTAGTCTTTCTGGTCTTAACCTCAGACCATCAAAACTGGCTGAAGAAATCCCAGGTGGCAGATCTAAATGACAGAGAGTGCCTCTTCTTGTTATTCTCAAAATTACCAGTGAAGAAAGATTTCAGAATCCCAGAATAAAACTTCTTACATTTCATTGATCCAAATTTAATCAAATTCTAATTCAAAATGCATGCTCTTGATGTAGGAAACACTACACACCCATCATCTTAAGCCTGATTCTTGAACAAGTCAGTGGTGAAGACCATGTTTTCTCTAATTAACTTTAAATGATTAAAGCTCATCCTTTCATGGATTTTAGAAAATTGAATACATTATCAATGCCACCCTACCCCTGCCCTACAAATGAGGATTTTCGATGTGGGTGAATAATTTGCAAGTATTAGTATGTAGAGTTTTCGTTGATCATTAGAGGAAGCAGGTAAATGTAGTCTGTGACTCTTCTGTGTGATACTTGCTTTGGGTTTGGTCCTCTCTATTCCACGTGGGAGTGTGATACATTGGGTTGCCTCCTTCTCCTGCCACTGAAAGTGTGAGAAGGCACTGAATGTCCCAGCAGCAGGCATGTAAATATGCCATATTTTATTCTAGACTCATTGGATAAAAACCTGCCTTCAGTTCTCTCTTCTTGCCTTCTCCAACAAAGTAGTAAAATCCAGAGGAATAAAAACATGCTGCACTCTAAAAGACAGTTTCTAAATAAAATAAAATATAACAAAACAAAACTGTCTGTTCCCTATGTAGGTGAAAGAAGAACTTGCAATGTGATATACAACCCAGCATATATTGTCAAAATAATACATTATGTAGACTTTACCCAGCAATCCCATTATTGGGTATATACTTCTAAAGAATATAAGCCACTCTACCATAAAGACAGCTGCATGCATATTTTCACTGCAGCACTATCCACAATAGCAAAGCTATGGAATAAATCTAACAGTAGATTGAATAAAGAAAATGTGGTATGTATATACCATGGAATACTACACAGCCATAAAAAAGAATGAGGTCATTTTCTTTCCAGCAACATGGATGGAGCTGGAGGCCTTTATCCTAAGTGAACTAATGCAGGAACAAAAAAACCAAATACCACATATTCTGACATATAATTTGAAGCTAAACTTCAAATACATATGGACACAAAGAAGGGAATAACAGACACTAGAGCCTACACAAGGTAGGGGGTAAGGATGGAAAAACTACCTGTTGGGTAATATCTTTATTACCTAGGTAATGAAATAATCTGTGCACCAAACAGATTATTTGTGACACACAATTTACTTATACCATAAACCTGCACATGTACCCGTGAACCTAAAATAAAATTTTTAAAAGAAAGTATTTGGTTAATCATCCTGACAATAAAGGTAAAATTGCCTTGATTATGGTGAACATATGACCCTTATGAAGTTGGTACATTGAAAGGTGAGGGATCTAGGGTCATAGCCTAATAGTCTTTTCCCTAAAGCCATTTATAACTCTATTTATGTTAGTATATAAGCAATTACAGTCTCATTTATACTGATCTACTTTAAGTTGTAAAATGTCCTTTCAGGTTGTAAAATATAAAACAATATACTCCATTTTATTAGTTCTAATATGGAGCACCTATTTACTTTTTTTTAATATTAAGATATAATCCAATCAATCATTTTACAATGCTGAGCATTCAACATAGATGGTCATGGATGGCACCTGTGTTTTCACTAACTATTCTAAAACAAGAGAGATGAGTAACAAAAACTTGTCATCATAACTGGTTTTATTTTGCTAAGAATTCATAAGTTTAAATATTAGTTTGAACATTTTCAGAGTCAAGGATAAATGTGTCAGAACAGAGTATAGTATTGAGCTTCCATTAGATGAAAGATGAGTTTGAACGTCTGAAAATAAATGGCAATAAACATTGAAAGCAAGAGATAAATAATTGAATAGAGAACAATATATTATTATATCCAAAGCCTTATTTTTTATCTGAAAATATTTAGGTAGGCTTCTCCATATCTAATATGCTGTGAATCAATTATTGCAATCCTTACTGAATAACATTTGACCCACTATAAATTGGACCAAAGAGGGTCTCCCAAGATCCCGTGTAAATAACTCATGTCGCAAATTATTCTCAACATATCATGATTCCCTTTTAATGATTTCTCCTTAGAAAATGCATTTCAAATTTTGATAATTCAGGAGTACCAAGATATGACTAATCATTAAATTTACTATCTTAATCAGGAGTTGGCTTTTAATAGGAACACGAGAGTCTAAATTAATGCTGTCCAATAGAAAAATGTGATCTACAAATGCAAGCCACATAGAGGATTGTAAATTTTGTAGTCACATTTTAAATAGTAAAAGAAAAAGTAGCTGTGATTAATTTTAGTAATATATTGTATTTAAACTGGTACATATTTTAATACATAATTAAAATTTTAAAAATTACTAATGGAATATTTTGCATTTTTTTTACTGTCTTCAAAATCTGACATGTATGTTACACTCACAGAAAATCACTATTTAACCACATCTTAAGTGCTTGATAGCTGCAGGTGTTTGGTGGCTACTATATTGACCAGTGCAAATCTAATCTTGCCATGCAAAATACCATAGACTAGGTGGCTTAAACAACAGATATTTATTTCTCACAGTTCTGGAGTCTTAAAGTCCAAAATCAGGGTGGCAGCATGGTCAAGGTCTGGTGAGGACTTTCCTCCAGACTCATAGATGGTCATCTTCTCACTGTGTCCTCATAAGACAGAGAGAGAAAACTAGTTCCTCAGTGTCTCTTCTTATAAGGACACTAATCCCATCACAAGACCCCCACATCTATGAACTCATTTAACAAAGGCTCCGCCTCCAAATACCATCACACTGGGTGTTAGGACTTCCGCACATGCAGTTTGATTCATTCCTCAATGCTGTTGCTATGGTGATATGTCTTTAGGAAAACTCCCTTGACGTGAGCTTAGGCTCATCATGACCTTGTTATGATTCGCTCTTGGCTTTCAGGAGTGAGGATTTTTCTTCGAGTTTTTGCTTTTGTTTTTAATAATAAGTCCTTTTAAACAGGACTTTGTAACTGCTGAATTTTTTTTTAAAAAAAAGATGTTTGAAAGAGTTTAGGAGAAACATATGCTCTTTTAAAAAGTGTTAATGAGAAATTAAGTAAAAATTGTTGTACCTAGGAAATAGCACTATCCTCTTAGGTCTACTTATCTTCTTTAGTGTTTTTAAAGTGGAAACAGAGACATTATCCTAATTAGGAAATTTTTAATTAAGAAGACATAGATCATTTGGGGAAAATTAGCTAACTAGTTTGTGATTTAACATCAAGTACAGACTTTTTTTTTTTTCATGAAGTCCTGTGGCTTACAAAAAAGGTTGAAATAAAACTGGCTTAATGTCTGAATTTTGTTTTGCAGTTGGTTCCCTGTATGTTGATCTAGAACTATAAACTCATTCGCAAGTATTTAGAATATTTGATTCAGGGTGGATTCTTTTATTACTCCACAAATAATGCAGATCATAATAAATCTGATAATATGGATTGTAAAATAACTGTAAATGACTAAAAAAAACCTGTCTTCAAATATATCCCTATTATTCTGTAAATAAATATTCAGAGGTTTTATTGATATGTCTCACTTGAAAGCTGAGAAATAAATATTTGTTTAAGGTCAAACACATAATTTGTATTATTTTGATGATTAGTTCTCCTGGTTCCCAAAACAATGTTTCTTCATGGTTTAATACTAGACACCCAGATCACTGAAATCCAATCATTTTTTCAGCATTGGCACATTGTCATTAAATTATATCCTAAGGCTTGGTGACACGAAAGTGTAGATGAGCCCTAATATATGGTCTTCCGGTTTCCCACCAGGTCATTTGCATTAAGTGTTCACTTAGACCCCGCTACATAACAAGTGCCTGAGAAAAGAATTCTGCCTTGGTCTCATGAAATCTGAAGAGACTTGAATGCAATTGAATGAGATTGATTTTCCCTTTAATAAATAACTATTAATATGTGTTTGAGTTACTAAGTGGCCATTTTTCTCATCAAAAATATTTTCAAAAGGAAGAAGAAGATAAGGAGAAGGGGGGAAAGAAGGATGAATTCTAGAAGACAAGGAGAAAAGATGGAGAGTGGGGAGAAGGAGGAAACAGTATGAGGGAGAAAATAAAGTTATAATTTGAGTCAATTGTAGGGAAATCTTTCAATTTCTACAGACACAGATGTTTAATAATTTAGGCACATTAAGGAAACACTGTGGATCATATCAGAACAGAGATATTGATTGATGAACTAAAACAGCAGATTATTTTCCTCTATTTTTCTATTGATAAGGTTCAAAGCTTTGGAAAACACTCAAAGTAACAATGTTCTTCACTTATCTGTATCAAATTTGCAAATTATATATCTGCAGAAAGTATAGCAATTTTCTAAAATTACAAAATTAAATCATGTAGATGTCTTGGCTTTAATGAAATAAGCAAAGCCAAAATATCACAATTTTAATAATCCTAAGTAACTCTGCTTTTTAAAATCATTTTATGCACATAATTTAAGGAATTAAAAAATTAGAAATTGTTATTTAGCAAAAAGTGTGAATAGATTTATCTTTAAAACAATTTTCAGTTATTTTATTTATTTATTTATTTATTTATTTATTTTTTGAGATGTAGTTTTGCTCTTGCTGCCCAGGCTGGAGTGCAGTGGCACCATCTCAGCTCACTGCAACCTCTGCCCCCCGGGTTCAAGCGATTCTCCTGCCTCAGGCTCCCAAGTAGCTGAGATTACAGGTGCCTGCCACCATGCCCAGCTAAATTTTTGTATTTTTAGTAGAGACGGGGTTTCATCATGTTGGCCAGGCTGGACTCAGGTGATCCATCTACCTCCACCTCCCAAAGTGCTGAGATTACAGGCGTGAGCCACCACGCGCGGCCTCAGTCATTTTTAAATTTTAAAAATGTTGTTTTAAAAAATGCATAATGCATTATTGTTTACATTGCGTCATGAAGTCAATTTAATTTATTGCCAGAAAAATATTTTGAAGGTTTTGTTTTCTGAAAAAGCACTATGACTTTTTAATTGGATTATGTGCTCATAAAAATGTAAGAAAATGCCCTAAATACGGCATTTCTACCATTTCTATTAAAATAAGCCAACTGAACTTATTGAGAATATTGTAGCTTTTTTTAACTTTCTAAATCTTGGGTATAAGGATCAAAGGCAAACAAATAAAAACTGGTTGGAAAAATGAAACGGAAAATCGTATTGGAAAGATTAATTCTTCAGGTAAGTACAGTGAACAAAGTTCTATTGCTTGTCAGAGTCACTGTGTGACTAGAGATTTAGGGACTCAACTACTACATTTCTCTCTGCATACTTACATTGAATGCATGAGTTTACATTTTTTAGTGCTTGAGATAGATAGATAGATAGACAGATAGATAGACAGATAGATAGATAGACAGATAGATAGATTTGTCCAGATATCTAGATAGATTTGTAGATAGATAGATTTGTAGATAGATAGATACATAGATAGATAGCTAGATAGATATCTATCACAAACCCTAAAAAAGATAGATTTTTCTATCTATCTGTCTATCTATCTCTCTGTCTATCTATCTATCATCTATCTATCTGCTACTTTACTCTTATTTCTTCCTTGTATTTTCTTCAAATAATCAAATTAAGTTGCTGCTGGTATTATCCTAATTTTATAGATCAAGAAACTGAGACTCAGGAAGGAAAAACAAATCTCCCAAGTTCACAGAGTTAATATCTATTAATTCTTGTCCAACTGACTGTAACTCCAGTGTCCAAGCTGTTAAATGTCTTGCTAAATTTCCTCTCTACTTCTTCTAAATCTTAATCATGATTAATTCTCTGGAAAATGTATGTTGCTTATAACTAAAAATATATACATTGGAATAATGATGAATTGTACATATTAATCACCACAGGTGAGAAAGTGACTTATTTGGAAATAATTTATGTCATATCCTCTGACATACTAAGAGTATCATAACTTTTTCCTCATTAAATAGCAAACTGAAAAAAAGCTTTCATTGTCATGTTAAGTATGTTTTAATCAGACTTAAAAAATAATACTAAAGCTTGTCCTTTCAGAATATAGAGATATAAGTTATGTCAGAATCACAATCATTATTTTTAGTGTTATGGTATATTCAAAATGTTAAACTAATTTGAGTTAATCAACATAAAAAACAATTTTTACTTTTTTCCAAAGGATACTTGGCTACTTTCGACTTGCTTTACGGATAGCTTTGCCAAATCTTTGTACCTCCTTTGATTACTTTTGGGATAGCAGCAACAACAAATATGTTTTTTTTTTTCCTTTTGAATAATGCCTTGGAATTTTGCTTTTGATGAATTGACAATTTCTATATGAAACATATTATATTGAAGAATTACACAGAATTTCAAAGTAAGTAGAATAGAACTTAAAACTTCCTATTTGTAAGGTTGCATTATTGTGAATGAGAGAAAATAACAAGGGTTTACTATTCTTTTCTTCCTGAACTGGCTGTAGAAGTTAAAATGACCTCTTCATCACCTAAGAAGAATGTGGCACTGTGTTAGTGGTCAAATGTGATGATAACACAGGAGAATAAAACCACAACCTTTTTTATTTTTTAAGACTACTATGGATTTCTCATTTCTTAAATTATCTCTCCATTAAATAAACAAATTCAGCAATAAATAGTTTTGAACATTTCTTTGAGCAGAAAACATAAGCCAGTTTTTGTGGCCGATGTTGAGATTACAAAACTGAATATGATGTGGTCTAGATATTGGCATTGCTTAATCTTTGTACAACACAAGTAATTGCTAAGGTCAGGTCTTGTAGATTGGACATCTGTGTATACGTGGTGAGCCAAAAAAAAAAAAAAAAAAAGCTTGCAAAGTCCAAGTTATGTGCAAGTTACTTTGCGAACGAAATTTTCGCCAATGACATCATTGTTTTGAATAGTGTCACCATTACCAAGATGTCAGCATTTCTTGGAAGGAATTAAGCAGCATGTCCATGGTCATTTCTTTGTTTGCTCTGAACATTTCTAGGAAAGAAATAAGCCAGGAGACCTGATCTAATTCCCTGGGGAGCATAATAATAACAGACCACCTGACAAACAAGTGCTAGAGATTTTGTTAGCAGAAGAGTTGTTATCTATTCAATGCTTTTAACAGTATATTCCTTGTTCTTATAGATTGTTTAGGGTGAACAAGTTACTAACCTATCATTCGTATGACCTGACTCCAAGGAAAGTATCCTATCAATCATCCATACCAATATGTGAATATAAAATGAAGATGTTTAATGAACTTAATGATTCTTTTTGATATGTAAGTGAGGGGATAATACCAACTAGAAATGGCATCTATCATCTTGGGCAAATGCATATCAGGTATGTAAAGATTATATTTCCATTGGTCTATATGTAGACCAATGTAGAAATGGGTAAACAACACTTGTGGAAAATTAGAAAAGATGGAAATGTTTTAATATTAAGTTTAAAAAGTACTTAAAGTCATGTGAAATCTGTCAAGATAGTTAAGAGTTATTGGGACAGGATTCAGAGTAGGATGGAGGTATAGGGAGTGAGCCCAGTATTCAAGGTCAGTTTCCTCTTAGAAGCATGATACATCTCAGAGCAGGCACTTGAAAAGCTCAGAGCCAAAGGTTAAGCACTGCAGTTATGGCAGCCTCACAATGTTAGTGGGACAATAGTCAGAGTCCAAGACTGAGACAAATGTCTGAGTAAACTCTATTAATTTGGATGATATTCTGAAATATTGCATCATAGAAGTAATGTAAGCTGGAAACCAATGTGAACTATGAAAGACCTTAGAACACATTTGAATCATTTTATTGAAACCAATTTACTTTGAAATGCATCAAAATATAAAATTCATTGATGGATATATATATATATATATATATATATATATATGTGAATAGATATATATGCGGAAAAGTAAATGTGTTAAACCTAACAATGACAGGATCTACGTAGTAGAAGTGTGGTTGTTCACTATAAATCAATTTGATTTTCTTTCTTTAAAGATTTTCATACTAAAATATTGTGAAAATGTGAATAGAATTAAGACTTTTCCTGGCCAAAAATTATACTATACCATGATATTACCAGTACACATATGTTAAGTAAAGTATTAGAGAATATGGGATCTTCTCAAGAAGGCAAAGCTTTCTAGATGGAAGCTAAAAGATGTATGAAGAAATGATGAGCAAGAAAAACAGTAGGTATAAATAAATGTTGATTCCACATAACAACAATAATAAAGACATATATCAAGTGTATGTATTGCTATGTAATGTATACTATTTAAAGTAAATAGAATGGTCCCAACTAACATTAAAACCGTATTTTTTATAATCATAGAGTAATTTATGAGAACACTTTTAATAGTAAAGAGAGTGGACCAATGTCAATTAATGACAACAAAAAATAAAAAAAAATATGATCAATTCAAAAGAAGACAAAAAAGTAAGAAAAAAGGGAAAGATTATATGAATATAAATGACTTTTTAAAAGTCATTAAATTGTGTATCTAATGTAAATAATATGCTCTACACTCAAATTGCATATAAAGATTGTAAAACAGTATAAAATTTTCTCAATTATTTGTCATTTACAAAGGAAATGTCTAAAATATAAAGATATATGAATAAAACTGAATGGATAAGCATAAGCTTTGCAAACACTTATTAATATGAAAATATTGATGTCAAAATAGACATCAAACCAAAAAGCATTACTAGTGATAAATAGACATTGTATTATGCTGAAGAATTTACTTAGTTAAGAAATTATAAAGTTTTATAATCATACAAAACTGACATAAACAATGGAAAAATAAACAAACCAATAATTTTAGAAGGATTATTCGAACTATCTCAAAAACTCATAAACAAAGACACCAAAATCAGTAAAGATAAAATAAAGATTAGGACGTCACAATCAGTAAAATTAATGGTGAAGATATCGCACTCCTTAAACTGCAGAGTGTACTTTCTTTTCAAGTATGCACTAGACATTTACCAAAGTTGACCATATGTTGTGCCATATAGAAGGTCTTTATAAATAATTTTTAATGTTGGAAATCATACACATCATCGTATCTTGCTGAAAATAAATTAAACTAAAAATTAATAAAAATGATAACTAGAAAATCCTTGTTGCATATTAAATAATGCACTTCTAAATAACTCATAGAACAAATAAGAAATTACAATTTTAAATATAAATATATTAATTACCTAAAAGAAAATGAAAAATTTAAAAATATGAAATGTTTTATTGTCACAATTGGCTGGTGGTTATATGAACGTTCTCTTTGTGACAAACTATTGAGCTATAGATGTTTATTTTGTGTGATTTTCTGTACCTGGAATATATTTTTAAAATGCTTAAGGAGAAGCATATTACTCTGGTACTTTGGCCACAGAAAGTAAGATAAGATAATTCAATATATCCACGAAAAATATAATGATTTGAGATGGAGAAAAAAATATTATTGGGGATTATATCTTTTTTATATGGTTTATAATTTTGCCTAAGCTAAAAGGATATTTACCTTTATGTTCTGATTGTTTATAAAATTATGAAGAACTATCTCCTTAGGTAACATACACACATAAATAACAATAGTGGTTACTCCACAGATTCTGGAACCTAAATTCACATTCCAGGTTTACCAGACACTACTCCTGTACCTGTAGAGAAGTAATCTCTCCATGTCTCAGTTTTCTCATCTGTAAAATAAAAATTATACTATATTATAATAATAGTAATCTATTGGGCTATGTGAGTAGATACATTTAAAATGAGTAAAACAGCTCCTGGTCCATAGTAATTGCTCAATAATGGTTAGCTATGTTTTCTTCTCTATAATATTCTCAGTTTGCAATGCAATTTTTATATAAGAATAGTCCTTTACAAATCAGAAAATTATCTGTGACTATAAAATTTGACCACAAAGTATCTGTTATTCTTAAATAAAAACTATCCAGTTGGATTAACTGCTTTTATTCAATTTATTTCTGCTTAAAATTACAATGTTGTTCATGAGAATATGAACAACTTCTCTTTGAAAATTCTAAGGATTAAACAGCTATGCTTTTTTTCACATGAAATATCAGTCTTTACAACCAACATATTACAATTTTCATGATTACAATTTAATTGAAAATATTTTCCTTGGAGGGAAAGTCTGTTGGTACCTTGGTGATAATTTTATTTTTTTTAGTACCTCGTTTATAAATAAACTCTGTAACATATTATTTCTTAACTGAGGTAGGATTTTATGTTACTATGTAACAAATTTCCACAAATTTATTAGCTTAAATGATACCTATTTTATTGGCTCACGGTATGGTAGGTCAGAAATCTGGCATCGCGTGTTGGTTCTCTGCTTGGGGTTTTACAAGGCTGAAATCAAGGTGTTTGTTGGGCTGAGTTCTTATCTGGAAGATCTGCAGAGAAATATCTGAGCTCATGCAGTTTGTTGGTAGAAGTCAGTTACTTGCTGTTGTTAAACTGAGATTTCCTTTTCCCTGCTGGCTGTAAACTGGGAGTCCCCCTTGCTCTCAGAAGCCACCTGTACTCCTACTTCAGTGGAGCCCTTCAACACCAGCAAAAGAATGTCAAGTCCTTTGACTTTGAATCTCTCTCACTTCCCCTTCTATCACCAGCCAAATAAAGCACTCTGCTTTTAAAGGTTCATAGGATTAGATCAGGCCCACTTGATCAACTGATCAACCATGCCATATAATGTAACCTAATCACCACAGTGATATCCCATCATTTACAGTACTTGGGATTAGGATATGGAATTTTAGAATGAGAGACATCCTGTTTTTTGCTTTTCACAAATGATGTTATGGCTGGCTAAAAGGGCTCCTTTTGTACATCTCTGTCTACTCAAGGTGAGGACCATGGATCTTATTCCATAGTTCTAGAGATAAATTCTTTGCGATTTCTAGATGCTTTAACTACAGATACTTCAAAGATAGGAATGAAAATTACAAGGTCTAAGGATTTTCTGGTAATCCATCCTGTTCAGCAGTGGAACAGATTAAGTTTTGATGTCATAAACTTGTTGCTACAGAACTTATTTTGCTGATAGAAAATGACTGCCTAGTTTGGATATAATGTGTAACATCTCTGCCATAGGGAGGAAGACTAGACAAAGAACTCTTTGTTCCCTCCCAACTCTGGTATTCTATAAGTCAAAGACTTTAAGAATGACTTACTACATAGCCTTTTAAATGTAATTTTTTGTGCTTCTAGTATTAACCTTGAAACATTAATTCAGTTTTTTTTTAAAAAAAGAGATTCTAAGAGAAAGCATAAATATTATCTGAATTTCTTACATTTTACATATGTCAAAACAAAAGTTCCAATAAATTAAATGACCTTTTCATCTTCGTCAACAACAGAATTTTGGCCCTAAGCTAGATATTATGGTGCCAAATACATAAGTCTCTGAATACATTTGGCTTCTTCTAAGCCAAATATAAGCATAGGGAAAAATGTCAGGATAAATAAGGCCTAATGTTAACACTGGAGTTTTTCATTCTCTCTGCAATCTTCATGGATGGAAATGATTTTGATAAGTTGTTGAGGCAGCAGTTTCATGTCTATTCTGAGTGCAAAGAGACTGAAAGAAGACAAGATGAACTTTCAAGGAGAGATCAATATGGAAATTCCTTACTGAATGAATATAAATGAGTTAATTTGATAGAAGACATATTAAGTTTTACTAGAGACATTCCTGGAAGAAAGCAGAAATCCTATGAAATGTACTATAAATTACTTGGAATTTTGTAATTTTTAAAAATGATGAAACTGTTTGAGAAAACAGATAATGTAAGCAGAAGGCAGGAAGTGGCATTTAGAATATTCAGCAGTATGAACTTGAAGGGAAAGGCTTTATGAATATTCTTTCCAATTTGTCACAATAGCAAATGGACACTGATTCCAGAATAGTAGATATTAAAAGAAAACTAAGTTAACTGTCTGGGTGGGATAGATTTATGAATATTAATTCAATTCAATAAGCTTTTATAAGACTCTGCTGTGCATGTATCCTCAAATTAGGTACTAGGTGATTAAAATTAATAATAATAATAATAATAATAATAATAATAATAATAGCTTTTGACCTAGTAGAAGAGGGGGCAATTTTTTAGCTAACTAGAAAGCATGTCAGATTATAATAAATTCTGCAATTGTAAATATAAATAAAATATGATGGAATCACAAAGGAGAGAGTAACTAAATTGGCCAAGCAAAATCAGGAAAGGATTCAAAAAAGTAGCAAATTTGGGCTGTTTGTCAAAAAAATTCAATGGGCTAAATTGAGTGGAAAGAAATGCCAATTAGACGGAATAGAATAAAACAGGATGAAATAGCATCAGCAAAGCCAGTGAGTCTCCCAAGTGTTTGCTGTGACCAGAGAGGAATGAAACACTAGAAGATAAGACCAGCAAGGTAATTTAAACACAAAGTAGAAAGGATCTTGAATATTGGATAAATTAAATAATCTTCTTTGTTAATAGAAAATCTGACTTTTTTAACATGAGTTGTCAAATAATGCTATCTTAAATATAATAATGGTAATAATATTTTTTGTAAACATTTGGAGGATAGGAATATAGAGAACATAGAATGTGAAGACATGGAGACCTGTTGGGAAATTATTACAGATACTCAAGTGGCTTATCATAGGGAATTCATATCAAATAAGACTGGACACAATGGAAAGTGGCTGACGGATTTAGCCACTTCATTTCTTCTCTGATTCTATATTACCCTTTAACTTGGAAAGCTGTATTGCCTTTTGACACTTTCTGTCCACTCTTACTAGATTTTGTTTTAGCTTCAATTATGTGATGCCATTTTCTGAGAACTTCAGAATTCTTTATAAAAGACAACCAAGGATCCATTCATAGGTACTTGATAAAACATATTCCTTTTTAAATTCATAATCCAAGTTATAAAAAGACTTTTATTGGACAACCGATATGCTCTGTGAATTACATGAATTGATATATACATGCTATGTAAATGCTTTCAAATAATAAACTTAAAAAGTAATAATGTAGGTTAATATAGTATATATTTTATTCTGCCATTTTTCTTTAATTATATCCCAAATAAATGTTCAAAGGCTCATAAAGTATATTTGTGTAGTATTCAATATTTTATATTATCATAATTTTCCTAGACATAGTAAGGGCTGAATATATTTAGTGCTAATTCTTAATTATATTTTCTAGGGAAGTAATAAGAAAGACATTTTTTACCTTACCCATCATATGCCTTTAACAACATCCACTTATTTTAGAATACGTTTTTATGCTTATTAATTACAACCTCATGTACTACCAAAGAACAACTATAGAAACTTAATATACATAAACCCTTATTTATTCAGAAATCTAACTCTTCATGTCAATCAGCACATTAATGGGAACACAATATGAATCAGTTGCTTCACTAGATGATTGACACTGCCTTACTAACTTCGCATAACCACTCAGAGAGATAGATATTATTTCATCATTTAATAGAGGAGAAAATTGGTTCAAATGTACAAAAATATTAATAAAAGTCTGTTAGTAGATTGGATTATCACAGTTTACACCCTAAACTATCTGCTCATTGTCTCCCAATATTCAATTCTTTTCCCTTCTTTTATAACAGATTTCATTTTGTTTGAAATTAGACCTACATATGGATAATTATATACAGGAAAGTCTACTTTTTCATTTAAAATCTATGAAACAGCTGAAAGTGCTATCCTCTTCCTGTTGTTTAAAAAAACAAAAACAAAAAACATCATACAGCTAGAGCAAACGGCTATTGTCTTTCTACTTCCTCTTCAATTGTGAATGTTAAATACAGCAACCGTCATGTCAGATGGGAACGTAATTCACAAACTAAAGATGTTAGAACAGAAAAGAAGACCAGGTCCTTGTGACATAGTGGAGCACTGGCCATGGATTTCTTGCCTCTGATTTTTTTTCTAGGTGAGAAATATACACCCTTACTTCATTAAGCCATTGTATTCAGTTTTCTATTAAAAGCAGCCCAAAGTAATGTAGATGATTGTATATGCCATTAAATAATAAGAAAGAAATTATGGGCTAGGTAGTTGGAATGAGTTAACTTAAACTGAACCAATCTTAGTTTTCAGTGTCTAAGCAACCAAAATTATTAAGCAAGCATATTATATACCAGTAATATGAAAAAAATGTAGAACATTATGAGCAAGAATAGGAATCTCCTGAAGTTTAGAGAGGCTACTCTCTGGAAGAGACGACACAAGTGTTTTGCATGCATCATCTTTAATCCTCGCTACAATGGAGGCTGCATACTGATTGATATGTAAAGAAACACAGTAGCAAATGATATGTACATTAAAACAGTGTATTTAGAAATACACACATATGTAAATATACATAACTAAAATATTATATGTGGTCATGTTTAGATAATTGGATAATGAATAATTTTTAAAATACTTAATCTTCTCATGTCATTAACTATGCTTCAAATTTAAAATTTTGTGTTCGCATAATTTATTTCCTATTGTTGTAAAAACTGCATCAAGATAATACAAAATAACAGCAGCCACAACAGCAATGACAGCATCCTCATACATAATTTTGTCTACATCTCAGTTCTATTCATAATTTTACACAAATTCACAGATGCAATTATTTAATCAAGGTGAATTAAATGTTCCTTGCCTGTTCATTAGATTCTCTACCAAACTATGAAAGGTTAACAGGACTGTGATGCTTTGTTAGTCATTGTGGCTAATTTGGAATAACTAAGATAATATATGGAAGTAGGAGTGACACAAGTCATGATAATTCCCAGATACAAGCTGTCTTCTTAAAGGTTCATATTATACAGATCTATCTCTTATGCAATAACAGACAGTTGAAAATCTCAGAGATGACTGAATAAGTCCTTCCCCAAATGGCATTTCTTTTCTTAATGAATAAGATAAAAATTTAATGATACAACTTATAATTTTTTCTCTGCCTAGTTATTTACAACTAATTTGGTGATGGTTTTATTTAGAGTTAATGAGTAAACATTTTTATTTTCATTGAAGTATACAGAATATGAAATTCTTGAGTTATTTGGCCATGGCCATTTAACATTTCATAGCAGTTAGGAAAATCAGGAAGCTGTCATTGTTATGAAGCCAAAATGTTTGACTTTTCAAATTCTAGCATCAGTATAGCAAACATAAGGTGAACACCAAAATTATAAGAAGGTATAAAGATACAATGTCAAGATGCAAAAATTACCAAGATCATCACCACTGTTATCATTATCATAATCAAGGCTCTTAACATAATATCTTAGAAAAATGAAGATGAGGCAACCTGGTAGGTCCAATTTTTCCAAATAGTTCTTGCCTCTCTAGATACGTGCAATCCAAAATATAATCTGTGCCACATAGGTAATGCTAAATTTTCTAGTAGCTGTATTACAAAAGTAAAAGAAACAAGAGAGACTAATTTTAATAATATACTTAATTTAGTAAGTCAAAAGTATTATTTTAATATTTAATCAACAAAACGTTGTTGAGATCTTTTATATTTTTAATTTTCCTACCAAGGTTTCAGAATTTTGTCTGTGTTTTACGCTGTAGCAATTCTCAATTTGGACTGGCCACATTTCAGTGCTTGATAGTCAGATGTGGCTAATGGATACCCAGTCAATATAATTCTAAGTAACCTCAAGATTGTAAGGCTTACCTCAGTAATCTTAGAAATCCAACTTTAAAACTTCTATAATAAATATTTTTGGCTTATTTGATTATCTTTTCATGTATTTTATAGGTTCAGAAATCTCAAATTTGTGTGTAGTTTACTTTTACCTTTTTATTTATTTCATTGTTTTTATACTTAAAGTATCCTTTCTGAGTATTGTCTAAATATTCAGTAGCACTTCTTATTTACAGTTTACAATTTAACTGAAGCCTCTTCATTTTATATTGGGTCTATTATGGCATGCAATGTAAGGGAAAATGATTAATAATTTTTGAATGTTTAGATAATTTTCTCTGTAATATTTATTGAATAATTATTTATTTTCCCATTGAGTTATAACATCACTCAATCATATATTCTATTAGGGCAATTATCTTTGCCTGTGTTGCTTTTTACTATTCTTTTTGATTAGTTTTAGAATCTTTTTGTCTAGATAAATATCACATTGGAATTCTATAAAATTTGTAATTAACATTGGAAAAATTCCT
Organism: Homo sapiens; assembly: GCF_000001405.40. NCBI lineage: Eukaryota > Metazoa > Chordata > Mammalia > Primates > Hominidae > Homo > Homo sapiens. The sequence goes on from NC_000018.10 coordinate 65,504,474, forward strand.
ATATTTTTTGGATCAACCTGTATTTCATTGGCCACTCCAACCATTATACTCCAACATTTAACGATTTAACCTGTACTATATTGAACTTTATTTTTGGTATTCCTCTCTACCTGATATTGTATTGCTTATTGCCTATGATTGGTATGGCCAAGTAAGTTTCATTAGGGTAGTTCTGCTTCAAGCTCGTTATCTTTAATGCCTAGAACAATGTAAGCATATAGCAAATTCTAATAGATATATGCTGGACTAGGGAAGGTGGATAATTGAGATATTCACAATGATTAGTTTCTTTCTACAAGAATGTGGAAGTAGAATGATACTGACTGTTGAGCAAATATATAATGTTTAAAGGCCAATAACAATTTTTGAGAGAATTCAAAATGCCAATATTTCTGGAAGATGTGTATACCTTATTTGTTTGATCTCATGGTTACCTAAAGTGACTATTTGTTGAGTTTTGAAGCTGAGCTATCTGAGGATCAGGATCAGAGATTGTGTGCCTTACTCAAATTTAGAGTCGTACATGGAAGAGATCAAGTCTGAAGCTTTTTCTTTTTCTTTTTTTAATCTGTTGCATGTTACCTTTCCATGTGTAAATGCATGAAAGAAACTAACCTTGCAAGATTTTGTTCCTGGAAATGTGCTAGGGAGTCTCACATACATTATTTCATTTAGTACTTACAACAATACTTAAAGTTTAAAAATCTGCATTTTTCCTAGTAATACAAGATGGTTTGAAATTCAGAGAGTTATACAAATAAAAAGTATTCATAGTAGATATTTGACCACAGACCTAATTTGCATCTTGGCAATTTACCATAAATGACCATTTTAATTCTTACATTTTTCTCAGCATATTTACCTTTTTAAAGCACTAAAGGATTCTTAAGGCAAATAGAATTTTCTTAATGATCAATTCCATGATGAAATGATATAATAAACAGTGGCACTGGCTTAGAAAATTTGAGATAAAGGAGCTCTTAAATCTAAAAAAAAAAAAAATTCATAAATTGTCCAAATTTCTGACTCTTTTCATATCAAAAGGAGCCATTTTAGGAGCCTATGTAGAAAACAGGAAACATGAAATCTTTGTATGTTGTCCGCACTGTGACTGATGCAGTTTATACCAGCGTACATGCCACTAATAATCTACTGCACAATTTCATTTAAGCTACAGTAATTTAGCAGGAATCTGTGTCTATAAGTTTTAATTATCTGTTTAATCAGTTTTTGAATAAACCAAAGTAGGTTAATTTTTAAAATCCTACTTGGAGCATATGTTTTGACTAAATTTGAAACTTAGCCAACACTTGCTGAGATTGTAGGAAAGAAGTGAAACGGATACACTAACAAAAATTATATGTGCCAATATCCATAACTTTGCTTTGATAAATCGACAGTTTTCTAAGCATGATTCTTGTAATTAATTAGAAGGGGGTCATGAAACCAAATGCTCTGCTGTTTTAAATGGGAGTGTTTGATAGCAATGTGTTGTTATGTTATGCCAATTTCAAGAACAGACACTTGGAAATTTTAGTTGAGACAATATTATGATGTACCAGCATAGTATGTTGTGATCTGCATAGTTAAATGGACCATGTCCTTCTATATTCTAGTTCTTTTAGATTTGTGGGTATAACTGATCCCTTAGTATATTCTGACTGTTCAGGGACTATATATATTTATAGAACATGAAGGCATAATAGTATAGGGTGTCCCTAGTGGGTATAGTTAATCTGAATACTCATTACCACAATTCTCCAGGGATGGCAGTGCACAACGCAATGTGAATGCTAATTAATTTCAATATTCAATACTTAGGAACTAGTCTCTTGTCAAAATTGTTTTTCCACAATTATGTGGGAAAAGCAAAGCAATTATTTTCAACTGCAGAATTGAGAAAGGAAACTCAAGTTCACTCCACTTTCACTCAACACTGGGGAAAATATTGAACATTTATTACAGCAATAAAAGATACTGAAGCCCTGTCTTTAAAACATTGATTCCCAAAAGAAGCAATAACCAGCCATTTCAGTATGGTAAAGAAAAGAATTTTCATTTTTTAATACTTGATTGACGTACCTATGTTAAAATTTTCTATGATAGATCCTCAGAACGGAAATTATAGCTTATAGCAAATATTTCACTGAAAAGTTGGAGGTTGGATTCCTTGGGCATATTATTCTCCTTCTGGTGGAGAACATCTGTAAATTGGAAAGAAAAATGACATGAAAAGAAAATTGAAATCCTAACTCATGTGGAGAAAATTATACAAATTTTGTTCTAAAAGAACAGAAAGAATAGCTTATTAAGTGGCACTGAATGAGGTTTATTGTTTCTGGACAGGTGATATTCATTATAGCTACATAAAATATAATATTATTTCAATCTTATAAATTGCAACAACAGGAATTACTTTTTGATGTTATATACTTTAAAATGTGATATATAAGTGCTTATATTTTATTAATTAAAATATTAAAATTTATATTTTCTGTTGTTTTGTGCTTACTCAAGAGTGACCCACTTCCAAAAACAGAAATACCATAGAGATGATTCGCTGGCATTCAATAAGGAGATCCACTCAAGGATGAGCTCTTAGAAGTGTTTCCCTTTGCTTTCTCATTAATGAAGAAAAGGGTCCTTTCTAATTAGCAGCATATATTTAATATATTAAGGATGACTTTTTGTTGCTGAAATTAATGTTTTGATAATAATAACCATAATGGGCATTACACGTGGTTTTCACTGGTTAAATTATTGACCTAAACTGGATAGAAGATTTTAGCTTTTTCACCTTTAGTCGTAGGGAAAACAGCTCAGCTGCGATCCCTAAAACGGCTATCACCTGAACCTGATTAGATGGTTAATTGAGTTTTGGCTATTGCTCAATAGGCCGGTTTGCCTTGAGGGACCTTTTCATTCTAGACGCTCTGTGAGTAACAGAATAGGCAGAGACTGAGACTTCAGGTAGCTTCTAGACTGATTTTGTCTACTAACTCCTGTTTTGCTAATAAAAGTCAAAGAAATGGAAATAATTTTGTCTGGGGTTTGTTTTCACCATAGCCTTGATGTTGTAGAAAAGTAGCACATTTATATTCACCTTCAGGTGTCTCTGCACATTAACATTACCAAGAAATTAATAATACTTATGAATTCTAAAACTCGATTAAGTCAGTTAAATTTCTGATTTCTGCACAAGGCTTCAGGTTAAAACAAGTAAGTTGGAGCCAAAATCTGACCCCTGCTTTTCTGAATAAGCTTTATCCTTTGAGGGTTACATCATCCCAGAGGGATGAACTTCTACCAATGTAGATAAAGGCCATTATACTTCCCTTCTGACTCACCATTACCCTCTATATAGAAAGCTTAGAAATGAGTCTAAATATTTTCGAAGAACAACATTTACAAGAGAATTTATCTTTATACCAAGTTCACTCCAAGCTTGACAAATATGCAACTTATTTTTTAAAAATAAAGTAGTTAAATTGGTGAAGAAAAGATACAAAAGAGGGGTTGAAGTTATAAAATTGTAAAAGAAGAAAGGGACTCCATCTCATGCTAGAATATTCATCTATATCAATCTATCTAGCATAGCAATATGTATGTGTGGGTATAAAATGCTTATATATGTGAATACATAAATAATACATATATGTACACATATATAAAAATTATCTTGTTTTTCCAAATACATGTCTATCTATATCTATACATGCTTATGTTTATAATGTTAAAAGATAATGTTTAGGAAGAAGATAAAATCATGATTTTTATGCACATATAAAAGGTAAACATATTTAAAAATTCTATTTTAATCACATGACATGAGATAACTCAGCAGGTGTAATTACTGATATTAGGGAAAATCAAAAAGCACAAAACTAGAGAAAAGGAATACTGAAAAGTATTGCAAATGGAAACAATGCTGGTTATTTCACAGAAGGGGGATAAGTCAATTAAATTCGTACCATATAGAATATAATTTACATAATTATCAGGTAACTACAATTTACAAAGTGTACCAAAATATCCCCGAAACAATGAACAAAGCTAGATCTGAGAATACAGAAAGGATGCACAGTTCTAGAGGACAGATAATTTTCCGTGGAAACACAATTTCCCATTGTGATTTTGATTTGCATTTTTCCAATAGTCAGTGATGTGCCATGGTGGTTTGCTGGAACATGGATGGAGCTGAAGGCCATTATTCTTAGCAAACTAACACAGAAACAGAAAACCAAATAACCAAGGTTCTCATTCACATATGGGAGCTAAAAGATGAGAACACAGGGATATATAGCAGGGAACAATGGACACTGGGGACTACCAGAGGGTGGAAAGCGGGAGAGGAATAGAATCAGGAAAAATATATAATGAGTACTAGGCTTAATACTTGGGTGACAAAATAATCTGTACATCAAACCCCTATGACACAAGTTTACCTATATAACAAACCCACACGTATTCCCCTGAACTTAAAAGTTTAAAAAAGAAACACAACTTCCATAAAATAAGTACATATATAAAGTTGTATTGTTATACCTTATTTTAAAAAATTGAAATAAAGATAACCCATGATTTGTATTCAACTTTTTTTACAGCTGTGAAAACAATGCTTTTATAATTAACTCTTTTATTTATTTGCACCTTTTTATTGTTTCTACTGTTCTAACTATATTTTCAGTTTCACCCAAAATACTAGGTAAAATTAGATTATCTTTTACTATTTCTACTCAGGATAATAACAGTGTTATGAAATAATACTGTTAAATTATAACAGATTATCTTTTATTATTTCTACTGTATCTTTTATTATTTATATTGTTTCTACAGTATCTAACTATATCTTTAGTTTTACCCAAATACTAGGTAAAAAAAAATTATCTTTTATTATTTATATCTTGTCCACAGCAGAAAACTTTTAGAATGCTATGTTAATTTCATTGCAAACTTTGCAAATCTGTTTTTAAATGCAATCTTAAGTATTTTTTAATGTACACAGCTTGGATTTTATTTTTTCTAGTAACTGAAAGAATTTTACATGTATAAAGAGACTGTGACACACATATGTTAAAAAAAAAAACAACTCCTGCATTTGTGGAAAGCAACAAATAATAGGAAAGAAAATAAAATTTTAAAAAGCAGCTTTTCAGGAGTGATGATAATGGAGTATGTAGCTCCAAGAGCCCTTCTCTCCAGATAAATATTGAAAAAATGAGTGCAACCATCAGACTCCACTTTCACATTTGTTCCAACTTTGGCAAAGAGTCAAAGGTTTACAGCAACCACAACCGGCAGATGCTGAATTAAGGAAAAGGTAAATTAAACTTGGTCAGATAACTTTGTGGAATTTGTCCTTGTCTTTGGCCCAATACCCTCTGCTTTGCAGCAGCTATTTTGAAAACCACAGCTCATATTCCCAATTTGTAATTTTGGTCACTGGTTCTGAAAGGAAGAGAGTATATGTTATTCCCAAATAATTGTGTTTTTCCATTATTACTTAATCTGGCAGTCAACTGAAAGAATAACCCAAGGTGCCTGCTTTTGTTTTGTCTAGCTCAGAAATCACAGAGGGTGGAAATGTGGCTATAACAGAAGGTATCCCTTGAAGATATTTTAATTCAAATGAAAAATCCACTGCAACATTGGAAAAAGGTACAGTTGAGCAAATTATAGGTACACTGAAAGCCTCAGAGGACAACTCAAGGAGAAAATATATGTGGATAATTAAAAATTATTTTTCTTCTTCCTGGTGTTCAAGCAAATCCCTGTCCAAAATGAGCTGCGTATAGCTAAATGACCAGAGAATTAAGAGACTACACATAACAAGAAGAATAAAGGATTTACAAGAGTAATTTAGAAAAGTTACTGAACAAAGAACTACTTATGCAAAGTAATAAAAGCAAACCCCAAGGAGGAGGATGAATATAATTTTCAGAGATGCCATATTATAATATTCAAAATGCCCAGTTTTCAATAAGGAATTGAGAAAGAAAGAAAGAAAGAGAGAGAGAGAGAGAGAGAAAGAAAGAAGGAAGGAAGGAAAGAAAGAAAGGAAGAAGAGAAAGAGAAAGAAAGAAAGAAAGAAAGAAAGAAAGAAAGAAAGAAAGAAAGAAAGAAAGAAAGAAAGAAAGAAAGAAAGAAAGACAGACCCATTTCTAGGAGATACTAAGAGAGGCTTTCCCAGAGGAAGCACAGACATTGAACTTGCTTGACAAACACTCTCAAAATAGACTCAGCCAACTAAAGAAAACAATGAACAAAAGACAATAGGATCTTGGAAGAATGATGTCTTAAGAAACACAGAATATGAGTGGACATAAATTATTAAAAAGGTAATGAAACAAATTCTATAGCTGACAATAATTGAAATGAAAAATTAACTGAAGAGGTTCATCAGCAGATACTGGCAGGCTAAAGAAATAATCAACAAATCTGAAAATTGGTTAACTTACACTATACATTCTGAGATCCAGAATAACAAAAAAATAAAACTGAACAGAGACTAAAAGACTTTGGGAATATTATCAGTTATACCAACATATATATAATAAGAGCCTCAGAAAGAGAGTTGAAGAGGCAGAAATAATATTAAGAGAAATAATGGCTGATAACATTTAAATTTGATGAAAGTCATAAATCTATACATTCTAAAAGCTCAACAAATTCTAAGCAGGATAAACTCAAAATGATTGACTCTAAAATACATTATAATCACACTGCTGAAAGCAAAGACAAAGACAGAAGCATATAAAGCATGCACTAAGGCTCCCCAGTAAGACCTACAGTCTATTTTTCACCAGAAGCTATAGATGTCAGACGACAGTGGGATGGCATATTCTATGTGCTGTGAAAAAACGGAGACTATCAAACAAGAATCCTATATCCAGCAAAACTATCATTCAAAAATGAGGGAGAAATTAAGATTTTTCCAAATAAAAGATGAACAAAAGCTAAGGGAATTTGTATCACTGGAGCAGCCCTATAAAAAATGCTAAAGGTGGTTCTTCTGGTTGAAATAAAAAGATACAAGACAGTAACTCAAAGCTATATGAAGAAGTTAGGCATGGTGGCTCATGTCTGTAGTCCCAGCACTTTGGGAGGCTGAGGTGCACAGATCACCTGAGGTCAGGAGTTCAAGACCAGCCTGGCCAACATGGTGAAACTCTGTCTCTACTAAAAATTAAAAAATTAGGCATGGTGGCATGTGCCTGTAATCCCAGCTACTTGGGAGGTTGAGGCAGGAGAATTGTTTGAACCCAGGAGGCGGAGGTTGAACCCAGGTGGTGGAGGATGCAGTGAGCTGAGATCGTTCCACTGCACTCCAGCCTGGGCAACAGAGCAAGACTTTGTCTCAAAACAAAAACAAACAAACAAAACAACAACAACAAAAACAAAGCTGTATGAAGAAAAAAAAAGTCTCTGTTAAAGGTAAGACATGGGCAAATATAAGAGCCAGTATTATTTTTTTGGTTTGAAACTTCACTCTTCATTTCCTACAGGATTTAAATACAAATACTTAAAATAATCATAAATCTATATTATTGGGAACATAACGCATAATGATTTAATTTGTAACAACAACCACATAAGCAATGAGAGATGACCTGTGTAGGGGCAGAGTTTATGTACACTACTAAGGCTAATTGGTATCAATTCAAAATAAATTGCTATACTTTGAAGAGGTTAATTGTAATCCATGGGTAACCACGAAGAAATTAACTAAAAATATATATGGAAAAGTAAGTGAGAAAGAAATCGAAAGGGTACACTACAAAAAATTACTTAAACACAAAGAAGCAGTAATACAGGAATTTGTGGAACAAAATAAAATGACATGGGGAGCAAATAACAAAATGGCAGAAGTTTTTACTTATCTGCCATTAATTTAAATGCATGTGAATTAAACTCTCCAATTAAAAGGTAGAGAATAACATAGTGGATTTAAAAAGCATGATCCTACAATACACCTACAAGAGACTCCATTTAAATTCCAAAACACAAAGAGGTGGAAGTGAAAGGATGGAGACAGATACTCTATGCAAATAATAACCAAACTAGAACCAGTGGTACCTACTATCAGATAAAACAGACTTTAAGTAAAAATGGTTATCAGAGACAAAGAAGGTCCAGACATTACATAATGATGAAAGGAAAAATCCATCAAGAAGATGAATTATAAACACATATATATATACACACACACATATATATATATATGACAATCACAGAATTGAAGGGAGAAGTTAACAGCTCTACAGTATTAGAAGACTTCAATATCACACTTTCAATAACAGAAAAACTAGGCAAAAAAACAGCAAGAAAACAGAGGACTTGATCAACACTATAAACTAGCTAGGCATAAAAGAAAAAATATGGAACACTCCACTGAAACAGGAGAATACATATTTTTTCCCAAGTGTACATGAAACTGTCTCAGTTTTTGCTACCTATATTGATTTCTATCTGGCTTACTATTATTTCAAATGAAATTATTCTAAGTACACTAGTTTTCATAAAATTAGTTGTTTAGCTGAAAAGAAGGGTACTTTTGTTGCAAAAATGAAAGCAAAATTTTACAGTAGATATTTAAATTTTTTTTTAGCAGGTTTTGTTTTGTTTTCTTTTCCCTCAGAAAACTGTTACTTCTGGCAGACTAATTTTGGGTTTTAATTCAACTGTATTAAAACGTAGGCCAGTTTGATTAACAAAATGAGACAATATTAGCACATTCATTTTGCTGGAAACTTAAGGTGAAGGACAACTAAAGAAAACAATCCCAGCACTTTGGGTGGCCCAGGTGGGTAGATCACGAGGTCAGGAGATGGAGACCATCCTGGCTAACTTGTTGAAACCCTGTCTCTACTGAAAATACAAAAAATTAGCTGGGTGTGGTGGCACGCACCTGTAGCCTCAGCTACTCGGGAGGCTAAGGCAGGAGAGTCACTTGAACCGGGGAGGCAGAGGTTGCAGTGAGCCTAGATTGCGCCACTGCACTCCAGCCTGGGCGACAGAGTGAGAATCCATCTCAAAACAACAACAACAACAAAATCTAACTTATAGAATAATCATGATGAAAAATCAAGCAGTGGCTTGGCTTTCTAAGCCTGTTTAAACCTACAATTTAATATGTTTCAGAAAGCTTCACAAATTATTAATAGCATGAAACATTATTTTGGTGGTTGGCCTTAAAATACTTTCACAATCTCATACTATTGGCCATTTAATGCCACAAGGAGATCAATTTCGTTTTCAAGCAAGAAGAATCCCTGGTGTTCATCTTTACTCTGTTAATAGGCTGAATTGTGTTGGTTGATTTTGTTGAAATCCAAATAGCCCAGCATTCTCAAGTTAAATACAATTAATTATGATATTTTATCTTTTTAATGTATTTCAAGGTATTTTATTGATAATTTTTGCTTCAATGTCCATGAGAATTACTGGTTTATAGTCTGTCTTTCTTCCTCATCCTACACAAAAACAACAATGAGGTCAACTATTCAAAAATGAGAATGATGAGCTCTGGAATATTGCTGGAGTGCTGTTAGAAGGCTACAGCAACACAGAGGAGTACAGAGACCAGGGATGGGTGCATATAAAGAAGAAGAAAATATTTGTCTGTATCACCACCTCCCTCGCCGCCAGGCTGGTGCAGTACAGAGACCAGGGATGACTGCATATAAAGGAGAAGAAGGTATTTTGTCTGCATCACCCCACCTCTCCAGGCTGGTGCAGCACCAAGATAAATCCCCTCAGTCAAAAATTCCCCCCTGGATTGAGAAGGGGAGCAGGGAACCTCAGCAGCCTTTGACACAGTGGATCCCAGCCACCATAGCTACTGCCACAGAAGACTCACCTAATCTTCACTGATGTCAAACCAAGCCACTGGCACTGCCCAGAGCCAGAACCACTGCATTGAACTCATGCTGTTTGGTTCATGGATTATTTTTTTCTGATTTCACTGAATTTGCTATTAATGTTCTCTTGTAGTTTGCTGAACTTCTTTACAACAATTATTTTCAATTATTTGTCTGGAAATCATACAATCCCATTAATTTGGGGTCAGTTACTGGGGAATTATCACATTATTTTGGCAATGTCATGTATCTCTGTTTTTCTTTGTTCCTTATAGCCTTGCTTTCAAAAATGTGACAGAAATCATAAAAAGAACTAATTTCTGGTGTGGAAGAATACAATGACTAAAATGAAAATTATATAGAGAGCTTCAATGACACATTCGATCAAGCAGAAGAAATACTAAACAAATTCAAAGACAGAATACTTGAAATTATCCTGACATAGTAGGAAAAATAATAAAAAAGAGTAGAGAATATCTATGGGATTTATGGAACACTATTAAGTGAATTGATGTAAGCATTGTGGAAGTCTTGTGTGGCAAAAAGGGAACCCTTGTACACTGTTGATGGGAATGTAAATTAGTACATCCATTACGAGAATCAGAATGAAATTTCCTCAAAAAAATTAAAAAAAAAACGAAACTTTTTTACCATATGACCCAGCAATCCCATCACTTGGTATATTTAAAGGAAATGAAATCAATATCTAGAAAAGATATCTGCACTGCTACATTCAGTGCAGCATTATTCACAATACCCAAGATATGTAAACAACCTATGTGTCCATTGAAAGATGCATGGATAAAGAAAAGGGGGTACACATGTGTGTACAATTGAGTATTATTCAGCCTTAAAATGAAAGAAAATTCTGCCATTCACAACATGGATGAGCACTGGGACATGCTGAGTGAAATAAGCCAGATACAGAAAGAAAAACACTGCATAACCTAACATATATATGGAATCTAATAATCAAATAGTCAAATTCATAAAAGTAGAGAGCAAAATGATGGTTGCAAAAAGTGGGAGAAAATGGAGAGAAGTTGATTAAAGGGTACAAGCTTTCAGTTGTGTAAGATTAATAAATTCTAGAGATCTGATATACATAATGGTGACTATAGTTAATACTGCGTCTACACTTGATAATTGCTAAGTAAGTAAATTTTGAATGTTCTCGCCACACAGAGAACAAAAGGTGATTATATGAGGTGATGGATACGCTAATTAGCTTGACTGCAGTAATCAATTCTCATTTATATGTATTTGAAAACAGCAAATTATATTTTATAAAACTGTTATTTTAAAATAAAACAAATGTTACTAATTTAAGAAAAGAAAGAAAATGAGAGCATAATAGTAAATATTCACAGGTTTAAATTCAGATATTGTTTTAAATATAGAATATTAATAATTAGTAAATATGACATAATTATGATCATGCCCAGGATATAAGAATACTTAAAATAAAAGAGCAGTCAGTCATTTTTTTCAAAAAGTTCTATATATCTATCATTATAAAGGTAATATATATTTTACTAAAGCTATATGCTCCTTTCATTAATGTGTATAACTGATATCATGGTAATAAAAGAAAAATAACTGCTCTGAAACTTAATATTGTATTTTAGCAGTACTTCACCTAGGTCATGATCACAAGTGCTAATGTTAACCACCTTGCAGGCAAACATGATTAACCAAAGCATGTGTTTATAGATATTAATTTTCAAATCCCATCTTGAGTTGTTGCCATTATCTCAATCTTTTTCCTTCTTACAAATTAGATCTTTGTTTGTGCACAACATCTCATTCAGGAGTAGGAACAGTAATTCTGTAGCTTTTGGAAAGTTTCTAGTGCTAGCAGTTTTACCCACCAGCTGGCGTGGGCACTGCAAGCTCAAACTACACGCAATCCCAAACACTTACTCCCTTGTTGGGCCATTCTGTAGAGATAGCTAAAATATAAATATGTCTTTTTCTACCCTTTCTGACAAATGGGGTTTACTTATGTCACATATCTGGATAGGGAGTTGAGGTCAAGAGGGTCTAGGCACTATCAGGGAGACACACACATGATGACGTCACAGAAATAAAGCCCTGTCATCAGGGAACCTCATAGTCAGTGGCAGTAGAGCCGTGGCAACATCAGCCCAGCTATGAGCTTCTTAAGATTGAAACCTCTCTTTACTGAAGCTGATATTAATGAGGTCTCCGACTGACCCACCAGCATTATGGATTCTTGATGGGGTCAAAAGATGTTATTTCCATCCCATAGTTGGGTGGTTGGCTGATTTTTAAGAACTAAAATAAAATTAAACAAATAAACAAAAACTTATTTCCAAAATAGTATTAAATGACAACTGAAAGTGATAATTGTCAAGAACTCAGAACACATCTCAGCAGTTACATAAGACCTTATGATATCTATCTATCTATCTATCTATCTATCTATCTATCTATCTATCATCTATATTTCCTATTTGTGGATACATAAATTATGTGGAAGAGTATTTCCATGAAGTATATATTTTCACTAATGCACTTTTTAAAAACACAAGTATGCATGTAGTGTACAGATGCAGTAGGAAATTCAAATATTGTTTTCTAAATCTACAAGGAAAAGTCTCTCTTTGCTCTCCCCCAATCACCTAGTTCTCCTCTCCTGAGAAAACCTCTACTATTAATGCTGTTAATGCTTGTGGGTTTTTTATGTTGTTGTTGTTTTTCTTTTGAGATGAAGTATTGCCCATCACCCAGGCTGGAGTGCAGTGGTACAATCTCGGCTCACTGCAACCTCAGCCTCCCTGACTCAAGCGATTCTCATGCCTAAGCCTCCTGAGCAGCTGGAAGTACAGGTGCATGCCACCATGCCTAGCTAATAATGTTTGTGTTTTCCTTCAGAGTTACTGATCTGTTTTTAAAGGTGTGTGTAAAATATGTTTTGTGTCCATAAAATTTTTAAAAAGCACGCATTTAATAATACACTTGTCTGGTCTACTAACTCTGAAGCCCTGCTACTTTTATTGGTAAGAATATGAAAATTGACTATTTCTTGTTCCACTACCTCTTTTTGCCTCCACCTAGTGTTCTGAAGCTTGCATTTGTGAACAACTTGCTATGATTTAGCAACCTAAGCTTTATCAATTTTATTTTGGGATTCAGAACCTAATGGACTATTCAACCTCCTCTACCTCCCACAAAAATATTTTGAAGTTTGACTTTTCATATAGTTTTCTGAATGGAGACCTTAGTGATGTTAGAACATTTTTCTTTCTTGGGGCTGATTACTCTTTGCAGCGCTACCCCTACAACCCAAATATCACCCCCCCCCACCACAATTAAAATCACCCTGCTAGTCTTATCTCATTTCTGATATATATTCAAGGAATGTTACATAATACAAATGCATATTAAAGTGAATTAAATTAGATCATTAGACAGCGATTTAATATGGCTTTTTTGCTTAGATTTATATAAATTATATTTGAACTAAATATCTAAGCTCTAAAGATATGCTGTTTGAGTTATTCATCTTTAGCTTCACCTTGGGAAAGCAAAACCAGTTATTAGTCAGTTAATGTAATCATTTTGTGATTAATTTGTAAATTCTTCTAGAGGACAAAGACAGTATATTTTTCATTTTGGTATTCTCAGAGACTACTATAAAAGCTGATCCAAGAAAAATAAGGATCAATGGCTTTACCCAACATTTAGCTTAACAACAATGTAGGTGTTTGCTAGTTAATTAACAGGATATTTTCTGATGTCATCCTATGAAATGCATACCTTAACCAGTTTGTAACAAAATTTTTGGTGGAAATGCCCTGCAATTTAATTGGATAGAAATGTGTTAATATCTACTTACTATTAACATAATGTGTGTGTGTGTGTGTGTGTGTGTATACTGAATGGGTTGTGTAGAAGCAGTAAAGACCATAAATTGCTATAATTTGGCAAAACCATCTAGTGACTACATTTTCTTAAACACTTGCCTGTATTAATGGGGAGTTCCAGATGTCTGTTGTCTTAATTCTTCTAGGCCTTAAGGGTAGCCATGCATTTGAGCTGATAGCTTTATGATGAAAATATTCTCTATACATTAGAAGAGGCAAGAACATGAGCTACGATCATGCAAAAATCCAATAATACAGTATTTGTATAAAGATTTTACAGAAACGGTCACATTATAAGCTTAGTTATGTTGACATTTAATATCATTGCTAACAGCAATTTTTTAAAATAAATACTTGTTTAAATACTCAAGTTTTAAATAAATGTTCTAAATGCTCAAGAAAAGTTTGCTTTATAAGTAAATTCTCAGGGACACTTTTGTATATTTATGACTTAGGACAGAAATAAAACATATTCAAAATTTGCATTTTCTATTTGAAATGAATCTTAGAAAGTATCAGTTGTGTCACTTGATTACAGTTACCTCACTAATATTTCTAAAGAGTAGTTAACAGTCATTATTTTCTATGGATGCTATCTATTTACATATGGTTTTTTCTCCTATTGCAAGTTTTATTGTGAATCAGCTATACTCGATAAATAGTCTTTGAAAATATAAGCTATAATTTTTATACCTTTGGGTTAAAAAATACACTACAGAGTATAAATTCTCATTGGAAAAAGTGATGTGGCTGTAACTATATAAAAATTTCAGAGTCTAAAATTTAAATACATAAATTTAAATATATGTTTTGAAAGATACAAAGAAAAAATGACATTCTAGAAATTGAGCATTTGTAGTAAATTTATCTATTTATGCATTCTAAAAATACTATTCAACTGTTGTGAATCCTTAGAAATATTAGAACAGCGTAATGAACTTGCTATGTAAGTCACAGAGAACAGAGACATACATTTAATCCAAAAAAAAAAACCCTGAAATAAACAAATAGGTAACGTTTTTGACCAAAAGCAATCTTATTGTTTATTAACCATTTTGCGAAGTTCAAATTGTATTGTGGTTTTAAACAGACACTAAGGATATTAAGTTTAGAGGCATTAGCGTTGTCTGCCACCCTCAAGAAGACCTCTCTATAAGGATTAAGTTCAATCTTTAATATCTTATGATGATGCCTCTGTTTCTAAAATAATAATGCTTTTAAACTAGAGGAATGAGAGATGATGAACGTATCAGTATGGTGGAAAGATAAATAGATGTAGATTGAGAAAAACAACAAATTAGAGAACCATATTTTCATACATTTAAAATGATCACAGATTTCTCTAGGATAATAACAAATGCTTCATTATGTGTCTTTAAAAAATACCAACAAGTGAGGACAACCAGTAATAACTATAGACTAGACTTTGTCAATTACTTGTTACTTACTTTAGCTTAACAGATATATATAACCTCTGAATAACTTCTTAAGCTGGTTATCTCTGGATAGGAAATTGTTCTTTCCTGCAAAAGAGGTCACAGAATCCCTGACTCTTGTAATGTTATGAAACACAATTTCAGGATGGTTAAATACATAACTTGTGAAATGTCTATTAACAACAAAAAAAAGTATCTTAGTGGGAACCATATCAAGAGCTAATGAAGAAAGATTCAGAACCACTATCTAGGCTAACAAATACCCTAACATTTTGAAATATCCTATTGACTGATTTCACCTGGATGAAATTATTAAGCACAACTTTAAAATGTCACAAAAGAGAAAGTAATACATCTTCTTTCAGTAACACTCTTTTATTCAGCAGTTTGTTTGTTTTTTTAAATTTTGAGTTTTTCTTCAAAGGATACATTCTCTTTCCAAGGTATTTTCCCTCTCCCCAAAAATGGCCCTCAACATTTTTATAGTCATTTTCTTTTGTTTTCCAGTAGCCAGTACCCTCCATCATCAGTATCTTCCCACTTTTAGTGATATTCTCAGTGATATCTGAGAGTAAAGCTTATTTGGTGTTATCTGTGCTGCAACTGTCCTTGCTCTTTTTTATTCTGTCCAAGTCCTTATTGACTCTCTACTCCCGGTTAGTCTTAGGATATAACTACTTTTCTCAGGTACTTATTTATCCACATTGTACTGTTTAGACTAAATTTACATTTGTGAAATGTATATGGCCCAACACTGCTGTAGCTATGGTCAATGTCTTATTTTATGTGCTCTGCTTATTGGGCTGTATTTTTCTCAAAGTAGAAAAGATAAAAATATTTGTATAGAACATTATTTTATAGGACTTCACAGTTATTTTGAGTGAGGAAATACATATCTCAAGTTTTAATTATGCTAAGATGTATAGTATATAGATCAATTATTGACTGTAAATCTTTAAGAATTATCTTAAGATTTATTGAACTATTAAAACAAGAGACATAGGAAAATGGCACAAAAAAAAGAAAAGGGGACTTTACATTACTTTCTCTTTTGTGACATTTTAAAGTTGTGCTTAATCACTTCATCATAGCAACAGTACAAGGCGCTCAAACTAAAACCCAAGGAAGTAAACCATTTGCTCTCTAGCCTCTTCCCAAACAGGACTCCCTATTATTTTCAATGAAGAAAAATTCTAAACAAAACAGTCAACAAACATACACGAAGCAAATAACCTCAAACAAAAGTTTGAGAATCAAAACTTCACAACAAATAATAAAACTCCAAAAAGAGAAAAGAGCTATGAAAAGAAAAAAAAACAAGAAACATGATATTTTGGCACTAATTACATATAATTAAATAAATGTGTATATAAAAATCATTCATCAGAAATGTAGAAATTCAGAATATAGACATACAATAGTAAGTACTAAAATAGGAAATATTTATACTCCAAAATTAAATAAAATAATAAATCATACCACCAATAAAAAGTAAATTACAAGATTTCCACATAAGGAAACAGTAAAATTATATAAAATAGAATGAAAAAAGCAGAAAAATATAAGTTGGATAAAAAATAATGTAATAAAAAAGCAGACAGAGAAGAAGGTTCCAACATATGAATAACTAAAGTCTCTTTAAAAGAAAAACAGTGCAAAAGATCATTAATATTTAAAACTACATTTTAAGGACTATTTCCAGAAATAAGAGAAAATCAAGCTCTAACACTTGAAAGGGCTCACTGAATTCATGGGAAAATTGTGTGAGAAAAACTCTAGTAACGTTTGTAGACTTCAAGTTTAAGAAATTACATTGGATCTCTAGGAAAAAGTCTATCATTTAAAGAGAGAAGAAACAAATTAATTTGATAGATTATGACAAAAAACAAAGCAAAGCAACAGAATATCATTTTGACAGAGTACAAAGCAAGAAATGTAAAAACTAATGTTTTAATAGCCACATCAGATATTTTTCAAGAATCAAGGATATTTTAAAAACCATATTAGCATGGAAAGAAGGAGCCAGAGAAGTATGGCTGAATGGAAGCCTCCAGTGATCGTCCCCCCAACAGGAACATCAAATTAAACAACTAACCACACACAAAAAATGCACCTCCATAAGAACCAAAAATCAGGTGAGCAATCACAGTACCTGGTTTTAACTTCATATTGCTGAAAAAGGCACTGAAGAGGTTAGAATAAACACCCTTGCATTACCTACACCAGCCCCAACCATCCCTCAGCAGTGGCTGGGTGGCATGGAGAAAGAATCTGTGCACTTGGAGGAGATAGAGTACAGTGATTGTGAGACTTTGCATTTTTTAATTTTATTTATTTATTTAGAGACAGAGTCTCGCTCTGTCGCCCAGGCTGGAGTGCAGTGGTGTGATCTCGGCTCACTGCAACCTCCGCCTCCTGAGTTCAAGCGATTCTCCTGCCTCATCCTCCTGAGTAGAGTAGCTGGGATTACAGGTGCCCACCACCACGCCCGGCCATTTTAGACTTCGCATTTAAACCCATTGCTGCCCTGTCACAGCAAAAAGTGACACAGGACCAAATCTGGCTAGCACCCAGGAGAGCGTAATTAGACTAGCCCGGGGGCAAATCATCTACCCCAGGAGTCAGAACTTTAGTTTTGGCAAGCCTTACCACCATGGGCTAAAGAACTCTGGGGTCCTAAAGAAACTTGATAGTCTTTCCTTCAGGAGCTCTTGTAAGACTGGATAAAGAAAATGTGGCACATATACACCATGGAATACTATGCAGCCATAAAAAGAATGAGTTCATGTCCTTTGCAGGGACATGGATGAAACTGGAAACCACCATTCTCAGCAAACAAACACAGGAGCAGAAAACCAAACACCACATGTTTTCACTCAAGTGGGAGTTGAACAATGAGAACATATGGGCACAGGGAGGGGAACATCACACACTGGGGCCTGTCAGGGGTTGGTGGGCAAGGGGAGGGATAGCATTAGGGGAAATACCTAATGTAGATGATGGGTTGATGGGTGCAGCAAAGTACCATGGCACAGGCATGTAACAAACTTGCAAGTTCTGCACGTGTATCACAGAACTTAAGTATAATAATAAAAAAGAAGAAAGAAAGAGAGAGAGACAGAGAGTGAAAGAAAGAAAGAGAGAAAGAAAGAAAGACAGAAAGAGAAAGAAAAAGAAAGAAAGAAGAAAGAAAGAAAGACAGAAAGAGAAAGAAAAAAAGAAAGAAGAAAGAAAGAAAAAGAAAGAAAGAAAGAAAGAAAAAGAAAGGAGGGAGGGAAGGAAGGAGGGAAGGAAGGAAGGAAGGAAGGAAGGAAGGAAGGACAAAAAAGAAAGAAACTTGAAAGGCAGCCTAGGGCACAAGGACTGCAATTCCCAGGCGAGTCCTTGTACTGTGCTGGGCTAGAAGCCAGTGGACCTGGGGTGCATGGGACGTAGTGAGACCCCTGCTGCAGCAGCCAAGACAGTGCCTGTGCCACCTCTCCCACAACTCCAGGAAGCACAGCTCGCAGCTCTGGGAAAGGCTTACACCCTGTGCTTGAAGAGAGAAGAGGGGATAGTAAAGAAAACTTCTGTCTTGCCTCCTAGTACCAGTTCAGTCACAGTAGAATAACGCATCAGGCAAACTCCCAAGGCCCCCATTGCAGGCCCTAGTTCCTGGACACCATTTATAAACACACCGTGGGCCAGAAAGAAAACTGTTGCCTTGAAGAGAAGGTCCCAACCCTGATAGAATTTATCAACTGCTGACTAAGGAGTCCATAGGTCCTGAATAATCAGCAGTGGTAGCCAGGCAGTACTCCCTGTGGGCCTTAGGTGAGACTCAGAATTGTGCTGGCTTCAGATGTGACCAAGCACATTCCCAGCTGTGGTGGCTATGGGGAGAGACTCCTTCTGCTTGAGGAAAGGAGAGGAAAGAGTAAAGGAAACTTTGTCTAGCAGCTTGCATACAAGCTCAGCTACAGTTAGGTAATACGCTAAGCAGCCTCCAGGGGTCTGTGATTCCAGTCTTTGGCTCCTGAATAGCATTTCTGGACCTACCCTTGGCCAGTGGGGAGCCAAGTGCCCTGAATGGAGAGACTCAGGCCCTGAATGGAGAGACTCAGCAGCATTCGCCACAGCTGACTGAAGAGCCTTTGGGCCTTAAGTGAACATCAGTGGTAACCGGGTAGTATTTACTGTGGAAATGGAGTGATGGTGGCCATGGGGAGACTCCTCTGCTTGAAGATAGGGGAGGAAAGAGTGGGGAGTACTTTGTCTTGTAGCTTGGGTGCCAGATCTATCAGTAGAATTAAGCAACAGGTAGACAAGATGTGCCTAACAGGTGTTTGCAAGAGGTTTCATCCAATGGCTGCAGAATAAATATTCTTCTTAGTACACTGATGATTCTCAAGAATACACCACTGTTAGGGTCCAAAACAAGTATAAAACGTTCAAAAAATTGAAATAATATCAAGTGTTTTCTCTGAACACAATGGAATAAAACTAGAAATAAATAACAAGAGGAATTTCAGAAACTACATAAACACATAGACATTAAACAGTTTGCTTCTCTATGACCAGTGGGTCAATGAAAAAATGAAGAAGAAAATTGAAAATTTTCTTGAAACAAATGATAAGGAAACACAACATATCAAAACCTATGGGATACAGTGAAAGCAGTACTGAGAGAATTTTATAACTATGAGCGCCTACATCAAAAATGTGGAAAAACTTCAAATAAATAAACAATGCATCTTAAAGAAAAGCAAGAACAAACCAAATCCCAAATTTGTAGACAAAAATAAGTAATGAATGAAATTGAAATGAAAAAAAATACGAAACATCAATGAAACAAATAGTTGTTTTTTTTAAGAGAAACAAAATTGAAAAACCTTTAGCTAGACTAACAAAAACTGAGAGAAGACTCAAATAAATAAAATCAGAGTTGAGAAAAAAAGCAGTACAGCCAATACCACAGATATTCAAACAATCATTAATGGGTACCATGAGCAACATATTTGCCAATAAATTAAAAGACCTAGAAGAAATTGACACATTCCTAGGCACTTACAATCTATCAAGATTGGGCATTTACAATCTACCAAGATTGAATCATGAAGAAATTAAAAATATGAACAGACTAATAACAAGTAACAAGATCAAAGCCAGTTTCAATTTTCTGTGTATGGCTAGGCAGTTCTCCCAGTACCATTTATTAAATAGGGAATCCTTTCCCCATTGCTTGTTTTTGTCAGGTTTGTTGAAGATCAGATGGATGTAGATTTGCAGTCTTATTTCTGAGTTCTCTATTCTGTTCCATTGGTAATTTATAGATTTATAGATTCAATGCTATTTCCATTAAACAAGAGAAGTGAAGGACCTCTTCAACGAGAACCACAAACCACCTCTCAAGGAAGCCAGAGAGGTCACAAACAAATGGAAAAACATTCTATGTTCATGGATAGGAAGAAACAATATCATAAAAATGACCATACTGCCCAAAGTAATTTATTGATTCAATGCCATTCCCATTAAATTACCATTGACATTTTTCATAGATTTAGAAGAAACTATTTTAAAATTCATATGGAGCCAAAAAAGCTCATATAGCCAAGACAATCCTAAGCAAAAGGAACAAAGCTGGAGGCATCATGCTACTGGACTTCAAACTATACTACAAGGCTACAATAACCAAAACAGCATGGTACTGGTACACAAACAGACACTATGTCTGTATGATGCAGCAATCCCTCTGCTAGTTATATACGAAAAACGAAAAACAAAATCAGTTTATCGAAGAGATATCTGCACTCTCATGTTTATTGGCAGCCGTATTCATAAGAGCCAAAATTTGGAATCAACCTAAGTGTGCATCAACAGACAAATTGATAAACAAAATGTAGTTCATATAAACAATGGAAGTACTATTCTGCCATAAATAAATGAGATCCTGTCATTTGCAAAAACATGGATGGAACTGGAGGTCATCATATCAAGTGAGATAAGCCAGGCACAGAAAGACAAACTTCATATATTCTCACCCATATGTGGGAGCTAAAAATTAAAGCCATTGAACTCATGGAGGTAGAGAGTAGACTGATGGTTACCAATGACTATGAAGGGTAGTGGGGGAGGGGCAGTGGGGGATGGTTAATGGATACTAAATATAGTTAGAATAAATAAGATCTGGTATTTGATAGCACAACAGGGCAACTACAGTCAACAATTTTGTTGTACATTTAAAAATAACTAAGAATATAATTGGACTGTTTGTAACACGAAAGGATAAATGCTTGAGAGGATGAATATTCCATTCTCTCTGTTGTGATTATTACACAATGTATGCCTATATCAGAATCTCTCATGTACCTCATGTACCTACTATGTAAACACAAAAATTAAAAATTAAAAAATAGACAATAAAAAAGAAATATTAGAAGGATATAAAAACAATAAATGAGTTTACAAAATAAACTCTATTAGCATTCAAATTTTAGAGATGATTTTACTGCTATGTTTCCTATGATCATCTAGAGAATGAACTTTATTTGATTAATAAGTAACTTAGTTATTCTGGGGTTTATATTTACCCTTTAACACAGGAGTTGTTGAATGTAGTTGTTTATTTTTAGGCAGTTGGGCCTATAAAATTTCTCATTTAATTAGTTTTGCAGCGTGATTGCATCATAATCAGAAAACATTCCAACCCTAGACAGTTCAGTTGCATCTCCTAAGAAATACATGACCTTTTCCTTGTAATAATAATATGATTATCACAGTTTAAAAATTAACAATAATTTCCTCATGTTATCTAACATTTAAACAATATTCAAATTTATTCTAAATGTTTACAAAATAATATGTATAATTTTGATTTTGAAACAAGATTCCATCTAAGTTTTGTAGGAGATCATTTACCTGAATTTCTGCCAAACAGCATAATCTTACAAGCTTCAAGACTGTAGACACAAATATTTTGATAAATTAATTTTCTTTTTGTGAAAGAAACCACCAGAATAATTTTAGGATTTCTGAAGTTAGAATGATTAAATGAGTTCTTACCATTGATCAAATAACTTTAGTCAGACTATATACTTAAGGTGCTATATAATGAATCAATATAAAAAAGCAAAGAAAGTACTAACTGTGTATGCATATCATGTCCTAGATGCCCTTGTATCCTTCGTATGTAAAGACACTCCTAGTTTTCTCTAATACTTCAACATTTCTTTCCCCTTTATGGCATTTTTAAAGCGATTAAATCAGTTGTCAATAGATTGTAAATATTTTAAATTTGTCTTACGGTTCCTGGTATTTTCTTAAATATATTCCTCTGTCTTTTCGTTGGAAAACTGAAATGAGGACTAGAGAAGTGATTAGATGAAGGTTAAATGGTGAGAACCTTTCAGAAGTAATGCCATGTATTTTGTGTTTTGTATTATCATCAGGTATGTAAGGTCAAGTTTTCCCACTATTCATGATGCTGAGGTTGAGTCCTTGGTTAGGATGGTGGCTGGAAGCTCTCTATTAAATAAATGATTTTTTTCCTCTGAAATTAGTAGGCAATCTGTGAAACATTGGTACTATACAAATACGCTTTCCACCTTATTTTGGAACCCATTGCTGATTCCTTCCCAAAGAATCACTTCACTAGGGTTACAAATGCTGATTTTTTAATTCTATCACTCCTTCTCCATTTATTACCTACCATCATCTTCTGTAAAAAGAACTCCCTGGTGTCTACATGTGTGTATCACTCTGAGTCCATGGATTGTTATCTATTCAATATTTCAAAATTAGTCATCACCTTTTTTGATCATTAAAATGTCACAAATTTGGCAAGTAGAAGAAATAAGGAGAGAGAGAGTGAGAGAGTGAGAAAGAGAGAGAGAACGAGTATGAAAGAAAACTAATTTGTCAGGGTATTAACAATTATTAAATCCAAATGTAGGTTATATGGCATTTATTTTACTATCCTTCGAATTTTCTATATTTAAAAAAACACAATAAAATTTAGAGAAAAAGGTAAAATAAACTATTCTTCATTTAAACTATATTTAAACTATTACACATATTATACTAATATTAAATTGCAAGCAAGAAATTAATAAATGTGATAGACAATGAAATACAAATTTTTCTATAGGTTTTATTAATGAGAAACTAGATTTTGAAAAGCATTATGCTAGATGCTTTATATATTTTATCATTTTACTCCAAAAACTTGTAAATTACATTTTGTTTTTATTTGCCAATAGAAATTAAATGAATTACACAAGACCATATTACTACTAAGTTTTATCTTGACTCCAAAACCTATATTCTTTCCTATATACCACACATTGAAGGAAGTAGCATTGAGACTAAATTTCAGAAAAGTGGTTACTTTGCAATTTAAAATGAGTCACTATGAGGAATACAAAGGCAATCCAGGACATGCAATGCGTGTCACAGACCATACTTAGTATTTTTGTGGATTTTCAAATTGATTCGCTATGTGGCACCTTAGCTGTAGAGTGGAGAGAACAATTCATTCAATCACGCCAAATTTAAACTCAGAAAACCATAAAGTTACTCAGTTGGTAAGTTTCTTAAAATGGAAAATAATTTATCACAAATAGTTTTGCCTATAGGCTTTAAGCTTGTCATTTTATACTGTTTGGCAAAAATCCAGTCATGTGGTTTATTACAATGCTGCCTATGTAACATTGGCAGAAATACAAAATTAAACATTTTGTTCAAATGTCCCTTCAGTCATTAAAAAGAAAAGTAGTCTTTTAAGTACAACGTTACCCTAGAGTAAATCATGTCTTATTTTCATAAGGATAGAGGGAGTACACTAGCTTTTAGTACTTAATGGCTATGGATCATGTTATAGCCAGAAACTGCAAGAGCTAGCATTGGTCCCCTGAGAGACATGTTATCTCCCAGGAGCACACCACAGGACAAACATGATTTATTTCTCCTAAATGCCTTGTAATTTTCTAAAATTGCTTAATATCTGTGGTATCAGGAAATAAAAACAGAATTTATTTTAACTGTAAACACAACAGTAGTTCTTTATTTTCGTTGGGTGGAGAGGTGAATCCCTGGAATAATAAATTGAAAAAATTAAGTACATTTAAAATGGCTTCTTTATAATTATCAATTATAACTCAGAGATTTTTTTCCTAAAGACTCCAAATAAATATTTGTTGATTAATGTTATTCATTAATATGTACCATAAAATGGCAATTTAAAAATATTAATGTGTAGTATTCAAGTCAATGCTCCTAATATTAATTATATAAATGTATATCATGTGGTATCATTATTAAAATTCATTATTAGTTAATAGGTTTTAATATATAGGGTGACCTTCAAAAATGGTAATTCAATATGCTTTGCATTATTTACTACTTAATTTGTAAGAAGAAAGACCGAAGGCAGGTGGATAAATTTTGTATAAAAGAAGTAACCCCATTTATCCACAGGGATCAGCTTAGTCAGAAAATATGATTGAACATAAATCTCAGTATTTAGAGGACTAGAAAGAGCAAAACAATGGAAACAGACATAATCCTTGACCTCTACATTTTGCTTGTAGGCTAAAGCAATATTGATTTTACAAACAACAAAAGAAACACACACAAAAATCCATGTTAAACATGGCAGCAAAAAATCAAGCAGCTTGGAAACCCGTGTGGTGGAGACCAGCTGTGTGTTTCACAGCAGACAATTCCAGATACAAATTTTCGCCCTGGCCAAATTGATCCTTTCACTTTACCCCTGTATTCAAATCCACAGGTCAGAATACCATCATATCCTACTGTGGCCAATGGGAAAGTCACTCTCCATAGATGTTTACATTTGTAAAACTTAAATAATAATAATGCTAAATAAGTTAGATTCATGCATATTAAATACCTGGCAAAATAAAATATTCGAAAAAGACTAGTTCTCTCTCTCTTTGCATATGTATGTAAGGTTGAATCTCTGTAAGCACATATTTATGCACAGATATACTACAATAACAAATGTACTTCTTTATAATTAATAAAGCTAGGTTCTTAGCTTTATTCGTTATGAAATATATAAATTACTCTTGGTCAGTTTTTATTAATGTGAGTAGACTATAAGGTAAAGCAAATAAGCATAACTCTAAAGAAGAGAAAGTTTTTTATAAAACTTGGACACTTTGCCAAACATATGCACAAGGATTAACTCATGTAATTCAAGCACAATATAGCTTTAGGTTTACTACAATCCCAGTGTTGATGGATGAGATTATGAAAATTCAATGATGTTGAATGACTTGACTAAAATTATGTAGCCAGCAATTAAATTGCAGACCTACTGATGACAGTGAATTATCGCTGATTTTCATATTTCAATTCACCATACACACTGGCATGAGACATTACAGGTAAGAATGGTGGCATTATCATCTTGCTCCCTGATACCATTGCCTGCTTGAGAATACACAAACGAATATATTTAGAGATTAGAAGAGGAGAAAGAGTAGATAATTTACTCACAAAAAATATTAAAATGCCAAGTTCAAAATTTTAGCAGTTAAAATAATTGAAGATAGAGAGTTGGCACAAAAAGTAAAGGTAGAAGGAATAGCTAAAAATTATAATAATTTCTAAAGAAGGCCTCAGTACCACGGAAGAAGCAGAAACCATGTCAGCGATGTGTTTTGGAAGTAGAAAGAGAAGATGCAGTAATGTGGGTAGAAAATGATATATTTCTGAACTGAAGATTTAAATAAAGAGGAAAAGAAAGGAACCATGGCAGGAATTTTATATGAGAACGACTTGGTTCATCCATCCATTCATTCATTCATTCATTCTTTTATTTTTACCCGCCAGCTTCCCAGGCTCCAACTTGCAGAGCTGGACAAAGCAGTTACACTGTAAAAGCCAGGGAGCTGCAGGCTTAACAAGTACAACCAGGTGATTTCGACGCAGGTGGGAATAGTTAGAGACACTTTTGTTTCAATGCTGGTAAGTTGGTGAAAAGGTAAAATTGAACATTAGAAAAGTTTCCATAAATTGGGGTGAAAATATGCAACATTCTAGATTTTATATATAGCTGAGATTTATATATCTTTTCTGTAGAAGACAGAAATATCTGTCTTTGTGTTTCTACTAAAAAAATTGTCATCTGTTCTCAGAAGTCAGAGTTTCAGTAAAGAGGCACCCTACAGTTTGAACATCTCATTTATAACCTAGAATTAGGACAGTTCATTCATCAAGGAGAGAAAACAAGACTGCATGGCCAGTGGTAGAATAACCTAAGATAACAAATGTGAGGCTCGTGCTTCTAACAATTCAATAAGTATTTTATGAACATTCTGTGTTTAGAGCTAGGTTCCTTAGGACAACATTTTCAGGACATTGTGCCTTTTAACTTACGCAGTCAATTTCAAACATTAATGCCTCATTCTTCAGGCTCCTCACATATTAACAATTTTAATTTATACCTCTAAAATGAAATACTGTTAAAATATATAGAAGTAAAGACTGCATTTTAAAATCACTGCAATAATGAGTCGAATCTCTCTGAAACAAGTTTCCCTAACAGATAGGATACAGCCTTAGGTAAGTTTGAGTACGAACTCCCTCCAGAGTCAGATTGTCAGTACTTACGTGCTAGCTAGATTACTGATAGCTGTTGATACGGGGTAAATCTTAGCCTCAGTTTTCTTATCTATATAATAGAGGCAATGCATTATCCTAAGTGAATGCAGAAACAGAAAATCAAATGCCACATGTTCTCACTTATAATTAGGAGCTAAACAATGGATACACATGAACATAAAGATGGAAATAATAGACACTGCAGGCTCAAAAATGGGTGAGGGTGGGAGAGGAAGAAAGGGTTGAAAAATTACCTATAAAGTACAATGTTCACTAGTTGGGTAATAGGTGGAGACCAGTAGGTAATGTACCCTTGTTAAAAACATGCACATGTACACCCTGAATCTAAAATAAAATACAATTTTAAAAAACTTAAAATCAATAGAGAAATAAAATACAGGCAATAATAATATCACCCATTATAACTTTGTTCTTAACATTAAATAAGCTAGTAAATGACAACAGTTTAGACCAGGGTCTGATACAAAGAAAGTACTCAGTATATTTTGACTGCTTTTAAAAATTATTATTATTATTATTCTTACGTGTCCTTTGAATTAATTTCCAATGTTTATTTTTTATAGTGGTCAGATTCCTGCAGCTGAAATCAATACATTTTGATGCTCAATGTAGTGAAAATATCTGTTAACATTCTTCAGTCATTCTAAATCTCCCAATGACAACTGCTGCTCATAAGTCGCTTGGAGTCAAGAGAATTAAGAATGAAGATTGGATACAATTCTCCAGTAGTTAATAGGTGCTATTTTTTTTTTTACAAGATTCATTCTTTAGGAAAATCACAGATGGATAAATCACCATTTCCAACCTTGAGTTCATATACTGATAGAATGAAAATATATCCAGATAATGAAAACTGTCTAAAATGATGCGGTATGTTGAAATATTAGTAGGGAGTACCAAAGAGGGAGAGGTAGGTTCATGATCACAAAGGTACAACCTTTGACACAATACCCTTTAGGCAGTGAAGAACAGGAAAAAAAAAAATCCAGATTCTGGATTTGCGACTAGATAAGGTGGAAGGTGATAGTCAGCTAAGATAAAAAACGATAAATTCAACACTGTATATGTGTTAGTTCATTCTCACACTGCTATAAAGAAATACCTGAGAATCGGTAATTTATAAAGAAAAGAGGCTTAATTGGTTCACAGTTCTGCATGTCTGGGGAGGCCTCAGAAAACTTACAATCATGGCAAAAGGGGAAGAGGCATGTCTCACATGGCAGCAGGCAAGAGATAGCAGGCAAGAGCAGGGAAAATTACCTTATAAAACCATCGGAGCTCGTGAGAACTCACTAACTGTCATGAGAATGGCATGGAGGAAACTGCCCCAATGATCCAGTCACCTCCCACCTGGTTCCTAATTCAACATGTCGGGATTATGAGGATTACAATTCAAGATGAGATTTGGGTGGGAACACAGAGCCAAATCATATCAGTATAGAATGCAATTTATAAAGCTTTAGACCAAAATAGTTTTTTTTCTCTACTTAAATAGAAACGAAATGCTAAAGAGATATCTGTGTCCAATATACATCAACTCACTAGTGTACCCACAGGATATTGAAAGAAATAAGTCTCTCTGAAGAGATTATTTTCTATACATAGGGCTTCTTGGGGAGCAAAAATAAGTTGGGTAAACACTTTTCTGTATTTATAAACATGTTCTTTTAAAATAATAAATTATCAGTTTATTTTATTATTCTCAGCTCTTTCATTTTATATATTTTATTGATACATAATAGATGTACATATTTTGAGGGTACAAGTGATAATTTGATACATTGATATAAAGAATGTAAAGATCAAATCAGTTTAATTGGGATAGCCATCACCTTCAACATTTATCTTAGTTTTTAGGGTAGGAACTTTTGGATTATTCTTTGATAACTATTTTGAAATTAATTGAATAACTGAATTCCTTATTCATTTAAAACAACAGTCATGTTGGTGCAAATATAATACAGGACAACAGAACATGCAAAAATCACACTTGTACTAGCAAAAGCTGCATATTTGGATAGCCTACCAATATTAGTGATTCACATGCACTCAATCTGTTAGTTTTGTATTAGAATTACCATTACTGTTTTTCATGTCAAGATGAATATATATAAATATATAATATACATGCTTGTTTTTTAATAAGATGATACAAAACACAAAAATATATATATTTTTCTCTTTTGAGTCGTTACTTTTAACTAGCTTTGTCAGAATTCTTAGATGTTTCTTTATATGTATGAATGAAACACTAAGTTTATTATGATAGATGGTGGCTGAGTGTCCTCTGCCATTACATAGATTCAATTGTATAACAGATCTCTCCATAAATGTGGGGGGGGGTCTGAATATAAGCTACATATACATAAATGAAGATCCATTTCAACATTTACTGGAAAGAGGCAGTGACTTTTTGAGTGACTCTTCAAAAAGACAGGAATTTGGCATATCTATTCAACCTTAAAATGCACATACAGAGTTGCTGGAGCAAATTTGCTTCATTTATTCTTTTTTGCCTTATCAAGAGTGAAAACTCATTGCTTGCTCATTCTCAAGCAAAAAATAATAATTATTGTTATTATAGTTAGATACCTTTTTATTAAGATATTTTAGTTTTCAGTATGTTTAATAGTGAAATGAAAATACAAATAAGATGAAGAATATAAAAATAGAGGTAAACTGGTTAAGTGAAACTATAGGCATTTCACACACTGGTAAACTATTTCCAGCAATCATGTTATTCTTGAATATCAAAAATAATTGATACAGGAAAGTTACAAAAGAGAATGAAGGTGTGGGATTCAAAGCACAGATGTAGGGAATTGATTTCCCTTTTGCAGAATGGATAATGAGAACATTCATTGTAATGAAGAGTCAAGGAAAAGATCTAAACAATTAGGATGAAAGTAACTTAAAAATCACTTGGGAAAGCTTTTTTAAAAATCTTACATAATACCTTTTATTCTCTAATTGAAAAAGAAAGTATAATATTCTATGAGTATGAGGTATGTGGATGGAGGTGTTCTGTTATATTTGAGCAAAGTAGAGAGGTTAATCAATAACCACTACAGAAAATAGAAAGCAGAGCTTACTAGGTAAATTTCAGTAACATAAATTTCCAGCAACATTATTTACATAATTTATGGTTTTACTTCAGGGACAATAGCAATCTGGCATTAAAAGTATAGAAAATAAACAGATTAATCCAATTAGGCATCACAAAGTGTGTGCGTGTGTGTGCATGTGTGTGTGTGTGCATGTGTGTTCATGCATGTGCAGGTGTACAGGCAGACCAATTAGGTAAGCATGTAGAGGATATTGGCAAATAATTAGTTGAAGGGATTAACCATGATATCTTAGCTGAGTAAAAAAATTAGAAAAGGGAAGAGAAGTTTGCTAGCAGAAGGAAATGACCAAAGTCTAAGGAAAAATGCTCTGATATTTCTAAAGAACCATTGCAGAGACAATAAAGAAATAAGAGAAGTGGAAAATTTGGAGGACATAAAAAGACAGTGAACATAGTAATGTTTTAATGGTGAAAATGTTTCAGGTGATGTTAAGTTTCATTATTCAAGATACAGCCTGGAGTGAAAAGTAAATAAAAATATTTAGGAATGAGGATGTTACAGAGATAAGTGTCTATCTTTTTGGGTTCCAAAAAAAGTTGTTAATAAATAGAATGAAAGAAAGTATTGTGAATGAGAATACAATGTCCTCAAATAATGACAATAATGCAGTAATTAGAAGATCAGAATAGAAAGTAATACAAAGGGGTAATGGAAGCAAGATTTTTATATAAAAAGGAAATATTCCTTGAATGGGAAAATTCCTTAGACAGAAGTAGAAATAGAAATGGGGCTTTGGCAAATGGAAACACATCCCAAGCTCATGGATAGGTAGAATCAATATTGTGAAAATGACCACACTGCCAAAAGAAACCCACAAATTCAACGCAATTCCCATCAAAATACCATCATCATTCTTTATGGAACTAGAAAAAACAGTCTTAAAATTCATATGGAACCAAAAAAAGAGCCTGCATAGTCAAAGCAAGACCAAGCAAAAAGAACAGATCTGGAGGCATCACATTACCTGACTTCAAACTATACTATAAGGCCATTAGTCACCAAAACAGCATGGTACTGATATAAAAAAATAAGGAATATAGACCAATGGAACAGAATAGAGAACCCAGAAATAAACCCAAGTTCTAACCGCCAACTGATTTTCAACAAAGCAAACAAAAACAAAGTAGGGGAAAAAAAAAGACACCCTATTCAACAAATGGTGCTTGAATAATTGGCAAGCCACATGTAGGAGAGTGAAACTGGATCCTCATTTCTCAACTTACAAAAAAATCAACTGAAGATGGATCAAGGACTTAAATCTAAGACCTGAAACTATAAAAATTCTAGAAGATAACATCATAAAAACTCTTCTAGACGTTGGCTTAGGCAAAGATTTCATGACCAAGAGCACAACAAATGCAAACAAGAATAAATAGGTGGGAATTAAACTAAAGAGCTTCTGCACAGTAAAAGAAACAGTCAGTAGAGTAAACAGACAAGCCACAGAGTGGGATAAAGTCTTCACAATCTGTATATCTGAAAAAGGACTAATATCTAGAATCTATAAGAAACTCAAACAAGAATAAAATAAACAACTCCATGAAAAAGTGGGCTAAGGACATGAATAGACAATTACCAAAAGAAGATATACAAACGGCCAACAAACATGAAAAAATACTCAACATCACTAATGACAAGGGAAATACAAATCGAAACCACAATACAATATCACCTTACTCCTGTAAGAACGGCCATAATCAAAAAAATTAAAAACAAAAAAAAGATGTTGGTGGGGATGCAGTGAAAAGGGAACACTTGTACACTGCTGGTGGAAATGTAAACTAGTACCATCACTATGCAAAACAACGTGGAGATTCCTTAAAGAACTAAAAGTAGAACTACTATTTGATCCAGCAATACTACCACTGGGTATCTACCCAGAGGAAAAGAAATCATTATACGAAAAAGATACTTGCACATGCATGTCTATAGCAGCACAATTCGCAATTGCAAAAACATGGAACCAGCCAAAATGCCCATCAATCAACAAGTGGATAAAGAAATTGTGGTGTATATATCTATACATGATAGAATACTACTCAGCCATAGAAAGGAATGCGTTAATAGCATTCACAGCAACCTGGATGGAACTGGAGACTATTAGTCCAGTGAAGTAACCCAGGAATGGAAAACCAAACATTCTATGTTCTCACTCATAAGTGGGAGCTAAGCTATGAGGATGCAAAGGCATAAGAATGATACAATGGACTTTGCCAACTCAGGAGAAAGGGTGAGAGGGGAGTGAGGGATAAAAGACTACAAATTGGGTTCAGTGTATACTGTTCAGGTGATTGGTGCACCAAAATCTCACAAATTACTGCTAAAGAACTTATTCATGGGTGGGTATGGTGGCTCACACCTATAATCTCAGCACTTTGGGAGGCTGAGGCGGGCAGATCACCTGAGGTTAGGAGTTCGAGACCAGCCTGGCCAACATGGTGAAACCCCGTTCTCTACTAAAAAAAAAAATTATCTGAGTGTGGTGGCATGTGCCTGTAGTCCCAGCTACTCAGGAGGCTGAGGTAGGAGAATCGCTTGAACCCGGGAGGTGAAGGTTGCAGTGAGCCATGATTGTGCCAGTGCACTCCAGCCTGGGCAACAGAGTGACTCTGTCTAAAAAAAAAAAAAAAAAAAAAGAACTTTCTCATATAACCAAATACCACCTATTCCTCAAAAACCTATGGAGAAAAAAAATTAAAAAGAATAAATTAAAAAAAAGAAATGGGGCTTGGCTAATGTTTAATTTTAAATATAAATGTCCTTAATGGCATTTAAGAGACATGTATGTCAGAAGAGGTTGGAATATGGGTATTAAGAATCAAAACCAAAACTGAGTTTTATTCTGTGCTCATGTTATATGTACAACACAGATTAGTAGGCTTCCTAATCCATAGATCAATCAGGGACCCAGAGAGACTTTACTATCTTATTGCAGCCATGATCTTGAAGAGACGAATTCCTCCATCACATACATGGAGAAAGAGAGAAAGGGAAAAATGCCCAAAAATCATAAATGTAAATATCTAAAAATTATATAAAATATTTATCCTTAAAACTCATTGTCCAGAAAAGTCACGTGGCCACAAAAACATGCAAGGGAACTGGGAAATTTGGGGCAGTAGTAAATACAATTTCTCATATGGGATAGTTGAAATTAACTAAAGGGGAAACATGAAAATACAGTAAGAACAATTTATTCTCAGCTACAAAACTTGGAGAAAAATATCTACAAATTATATTTAGCTATACTGCCATTATCTGGAAAATAAACACCTGCATAAATATTTTAATACACATATCAGAAAGTATAGGTTAATTATACCATTTGCTTTTTCATTATTATTACCATCTTTGAACCATGTTGAATGCTAGTTTGTTTCTGAAAATATGTGTTGCTTTGATCTGCTAAAGAAGAACTGAATGCTAAAGGAAGAAAATATTATAGTATAACTGCTAACTGTTCACATAGAAGGATGTTATTGACAACCTCACCCCTTTGTTTTACTTCTGGAATAAGTAATGTTATATTAGTTCATTTGGATTGACCCTTGAAAATCGTCTTCATCAGGCAAGATTCACCAAGCAGCTGTACACTTCACAACAGCAGTTATGAGAGACATACCTTTTTATTGGATAAGAAGAAAGATAATAAAATTGTCAAAATGTATTGAGAAAAAAAGGTTTGTTCAAGATGTTGACCTTTTGATTTCTGAATGAGACTTGCTTACTGAAATAAAAAAGATTTCAGAGAACACAAGAGGTATAATATCCAAGATGAGCCGAGAGAATTGATTACAAACTAACAGCAGGAAAGAGAGCAAACCAGGGAGGGAATATGTCAGGAAGTTTCAGCTGGAGTATTTATTTTTATTAGTCAGGTGGTAGGGTTGCTTAATACTCAAAATAAGCGTTTTGATTTTTGGTTTTTGTTGTATATTGGTGAGAATTCCTCATGTACGAGGAGAAATTAAAGACTTAATAGTGTTTGGGAAATGCAATATTAAGTTGACTTTTCTTATAGAATGTTCCCATCTTGAAGGGTAAGGATTCTCTACAGTGAATGACTTTCTTTTTTTCTTTTCTTTTCTTTTCTTTTTTTTTTTTTTTTTTTTTTTTTTGAGACGGAGTCCTGCTCTGTTGCCCAGGCTGGAATGCAGTGGCACGATCTCGGCTCACTGCAAGCTCTGCCTCCCGGGTTCAGGCCATTCTCCTGCCTCAGCCTCCCGAGTAGCTGGGACTACAGGCGCCCACCACCACGCCCAGCTAATTTTTTTGTATTTTTAATAGAGACGGGGTTTCACCGTAGTAGCTAGGATGGTCTCGATCTCCTGACCTCGTGATCCGCCCTCCTCGGCCTCCCAAAGTGCTGGGATTACAGGCTTGAGCCACCACGCCCAGCCCTGCAGTGAATGACTTTCAAATGTCTTCCATATTTCTTCCCCAAGGAAGCATTCTCTTTCACCTACCAAATATTCTGCCCTATTTTTCCTTTTTTAAAAAAATATCCATCACTGTGTCAAATGAGAGCTGTTATTATTTCCCAGCACTACTTGAACAGATGACCTGGGTTTTGATTTTCTATCTCCACTTAATTAAAGAGCTTTAAGTGGTAATATCACTGTTTGAAGATTTCTGATAATCTTACTAAGGTGTATCTATGTTAAACCAAACCAGTCCTTTTCATGAATTATTCCTTGAATGCCATTTTAAATCACTTTAGTTGCTGTTAATGGCTTATTGCAAAAAGGGTGACATTTCAATGGTAGGCTTCCTTTGAAATTGAAGTGTTTTCCCTAAGGATGACTTCCCTTCTGGTGTGGTTGGAAGTCTCAATAAAAGTGGCTTTATTTCACATCTCCCCAAAAAGTCAGGTTATTTAGGAGTTGTAAAAAATAAATAAATTTTATCTAGTAGTACCTAAACACAAATACCTCTTAACGAACAGAGCATGAATTATGAATCTTTCTTTTGATATTCAAGAATAACATGATTGCTGGAAATAGTTTACCAGTGTGTGAAATGCCTATAGTTTCACTTAACCAGTTTATTTTATTATTCTCAGCTCTTTCATTTTATATATTTTATTGATACATAATAGATGTACATATTTTGAGGGTACAAGTGATAATTTGATACATTGATATAAAGAATGTAAAGATCAAATCAGTTTAATTGGGATAGCCATCACCTTCAACATTTATCTTAGTTTTTAGGGTAGGAACTTTTGGATTATTCTTTGATAACTATTTTGAAATTAATTGAATAACTGAATTCCTTATTCTTTTAAAACAATAGTCATGTTGGTGCAAATATAATACAAGACAACAGAACATGCAAAAATCACACTTATACTAGCAAAAGCTGCATATTTGGATAGCCTACCAATATTAGTGATTCACATGCACTCAATCTGTTAGTTTTTGTATTAGAATTACCATTACTGTTTTTCATGTCAAGATGAATATATATAAATATATAATATACATGCTTGTTTTTTAATAAGATGATACAAAACACAAAAATAAAAAGAATAAATGAAGCAAATTTGCTCCAGCAACTCTGTATGTGCATTTTAAGGTTGAATAGATATGCCAAATTCCTGTCTTTTTGAAGAGTCACTCAAATATCTCATGCAGATATTCGAATATTTTATCATTTTCAATTCTGAATAGGAAAAAAATCTTTCTTATGGTTTAATTTTCTCTACATGATGATTAGTAGGATTAGGCAGCATTTCAAATTTGCATTTAGTCTTCTATTAATTCCCTGTTCACAGCTTTTGTTCTTTTTTATGGATTGTTGTATTTAATTTTACAAGTTTTTATAATACCAATGTTTCAAAACAATGTGAATGTTCTGACTACAAGTACCCTATATATGCTTTATATAATAGTCTATAGTTATATTTAGAATATACAGATGCATGTGTGTTGACTAAAGAGATAGATATCTAGATTTGTGTGCTGATTGAAGATTCTATGTGTGTATATATATGTGTGTGTGTGTATATATATAGATGTGTGTATATATGTGTTTGTGTGTGTGTATATATAAATATATATATACAATCACATTCTAGTCCTTTAAATTGAATTATGCTGCCTTGGTTATTCTAGTATGTTTTATTTTGATAGACATTTTTACCATTTCTTTATGACTTCTGACTTACCTGACACTGAGAAAGCCTTGTCCATGTTAAGAAAGCAGAGGTAAATCGAATTTCAACATAAACCTATGCATTGGTGAAAGAACATTCCTTCAGATCATCTGATTTTTTCCTTCTTTGCCTTTGCATTATTTTTCCACAATTTATTGTCTACATAGGGCACTCCTTTTTAGATTATCTGTTTCGAGTATGAACAATTTTCTTTTTTTATTTTATTATTATTATACTTTAAGTTTTAGGGTACATGAACAATTTTCTAACTCTGTATAAATACATCTGTTCTTTGGTTGGAAATTTGGTTTTATGGTTTCCATTTTTGGTGGTTCTGGAAATGAATTAATGGTTTACGGAGTTATAGTCTCTGTTGGGTGAAACGTGACAAGAAATTTGGTTTGTTAGTCTTTTGTTTGTTTGCATATTGGCCTATTTTGAGCTCAAACAATTAAGTTTGTGCCCAACGGAAAGAGAACCTCTTGTGTATCTGAACCGGTGAATTTTGTGTTTCTGTGCTTAATCTTTACCTATTGCTAAAATTTCAGAATTGAAACTACCAGTTCTCTCTGAGTATTCCTAAATGTCTATATTTCATAAAGTCCTTTACTTTATATAGTGTATTGTAATTATTCTATCTCCAAATTGTCTTTGCAAATTAGATTATAAAATCTGTAAAATTAAAGAAGCTTAGTATATAGAGATGAAATCAAATTAAAAATGTTTAAATTTTCCAAGAAAATAGAATTATTTCTAATATGTTTAATAAACTAGAAAGGAAATGTATTTTTACAGAAACCAATTCAAAAGCGTTAAGAATTCAAGTTCATAAAATGTAGGTAAATCTTCAACAAACAAAACTAATACTTTTGGTCTAACAAAACAGCTCTGTCTTCTGTGGTTTATGAGTGGTAAGTATAATACATGCGTATGTTTGTATTCCACTTGCATATGTTTTCCCTTTACTTATATATATTTACTTATCAAATAAACTAACATTATTGCTACTTAATGTTTAAGGTTATAAAAAATTTAAGTTGTTGTTTAACCAAAATGAATCGTTATTCTGACAAACTATTCCAATATTAATTATGTTTGTAGAATGTTACCTTGAAGATAATCCAAAATTTTGGCCAATAATATTTTGGAATGATATTAAATGGAGTTAATTCATTGATAATTATTAAATGCCTAGCTCATTTCTAAGATAAAATACTGAAACATTGATAACTAGGCAATATTTTAAATTTATATGCACTTCTTATTTTTCTATACCACAGAAAAGCACTAGCTTTAGAACTTATTTTCTAAACTACAGGGAAGCTCTGTTAATAGATATGTTCATTTTTGCTTCTTCAAGCAGTTTTTAAAGAAATAGTTGTAGGTATAGAAACTAATGTTATGTGTATTCATGAGCTTTGTTGCTAAAATGCTGATGCCTGGCAGACAGTTCACAACTGTTCATCCTATAGTTTCCTTTGTGCAATAGAAGTTACTTTGATTAGAAGTTGTAATTAGTAAAATTAGGTTATAATTAGTATACATAAATGAGACTACTGAGAGCAAAAATGACATGGAAGTACAAGTTTGTATACAAGATAATTAGATAGGTATTTGTTTATCAAGAGAAAAACATGTATTTTTGTCCTAAAGTAAAATGTCTGGTCATTACAGAATGAGAAAGAGAAGAGTGAAGAACAAAATTTGAGTGGATATAGAAAGTTCTAGGTCTGTGGAAGAGGGATTTTGATTTGCCTTGAACTGCACATACAAATAATGAGTCTGAAAAGTAGCACTAAAATTTAAAAAGATGTATTAAGATTATGCTGAAATTTCTAACCCAAGATTCAGCAAAATAAGAATTAATCACAGAGGATTGAATGAACTGATGAGGGATGGCTGCAATTTTTGTTTTGCTGTTGATATTATGGATATCTTAATGATCTGTTTTCTGGATATTTTAGAAAGCCCTTTTTCTTTCTTCTTAAGCTGTCTGTAACTCAAAACAACTTAGTAAATTTTGTTTCTGTACTCTGAAATAAAACACTTTAAAATGATCTCTTATTATTTCTTCCTGGCCCTCTCCCCCTAGAATTCAGAAATTCTTATTGAATCTTACTATTCATGACAATACAGTTATTTGCATACGTTCAGTGAAAAAAAGCATTCTTTTTTTATTAGGATGTAATTGGAAAAAATGATTTTGCAACCAAGAACTTGCCTGGAATGTCATATTTGAAAACCATGCTCATTTAATCAACTATGACCAGAAACTTTTAATCAAGTGAGATTGATTTTACAGAGCAATATTTACAAGACCCTCTTGGGAAAATGGAACCTGTTACTGGTCTACAGTGCTCTCAGCCTTAATGGTGAGCGAGAAAGTTTACTTCCTGGTAAGTCCAGGGAACTTAGGATATTTTGGAGACAGAATTCACCTAAATGTATAGTTACTTCAGGTAAATCCTGCTGGAGAGTGTGTCTTAGTTTAGATTCCTAGAGTCAAGAAAGTTTGTTAAGACAATTTAAAAATCCTTATGTGGGATTTCTTAGGAAAATTCCGGTAAAGTTACAAAGGCCTACATGGTAAATTTACACTTTTGCTACAGCTCTGTAAATAATCAGTCAGATCTAATGAGAACAACCTTAGTTTGTTATTAATAATAATAATTATTATTTCAGAAAATTTTTGATAGAACAAAGGGAGAACCTCAGGGAAAAAAAAATGTGTTTCAATCAAACACTGCTTCTATAGAACATACTATTTTGCATAAAATAGAACAATATTGATTGATTTATTATAAAGTATTATAGGTATATTTTTAAGAAAACATGACATACACTACATATTCTTATAATCAGAGTAATTAAAATGTTAGAAGGGTTTGTATTAGGAAATGAGGGATATTCAAATGCACTGCAATATAAAATTGTAACATGAAAGTATTTCTAGATGAATGTATTTTAAAAAGTCTTATCTGTTGAGTAAATGGTATGCTCTGGCATTAATGGTATGTGATTCAATAAAAAGAGAATCTCAATTAACTCTACAGTTAGACAGAAGTATAAGGTGTTTTGTTTACTGGAAGACAGAAGTTGACCATGCATATTAGATACTGATTTAGACACATCAACATTTAAATAAGGAAATATTGGCCGGGTGCAGTGGCTCACGCCTGTAATCCCAGCACTTTGGAAGGCCAAGACGGGTGGATCACGAGGTCAGGAGATCGAGGCCATCCTGGCTAACACGGTGAAACCCCGTCTCTACTGAAAATACAAAAAAATTAGCCGGACGTGGTGGTGGGTGCCTGTAGTCCCAGCAACTCGGGAGGCTGAGGCAGGAGAACGACGTGAACCCGGGAGGCGGAGCTTGCAGCGAGCCGAGATCGCGCCACTGCACTCCAGCCTGGGCGACAGAGTGAGACTCCGTCTCAAACAAAAAAAAAAGAAAAAAAGGAAATATTTTAGTTTAATAGTTTTTTAGGAATTAAGTTTAAATATTTTGTTTACTATAGAAAATAACAAAAATAATATTATTTCACTCCAAAATGAGATCTGAGGTCACAAATGAACAACCTGAGTAATGTCAAGCAGACATGTTTTTGCTTCTGTTTCTTTTTAATTTTTGACCACCACGAAGTTATAAAATAGAGATCTTATAAAAATAGAGATCTCTGATCTGAAAATCCAGATTTTAGACTTCTATTTTTAAACATGGAAGAATTTTCTCAAGCTTAGTAATCGGGCTTAACTGAAAATTTTGCTCATTATTAGTAATTCCCCCTTCTCCCTAGCCCCCGGGTAACCATCATTCCTCTATTTGATTCTATGAATTTGACAATTAACAATAAAAAAGATGTGAAAACAACCTAAGTGTCCATCAACAGGTACATGGATAAAGAAAATACACACTATACACACAATGGAATACCATTCAGCCACAAGGAGGTTGCAGTATGCAACAATATGGATGAAACTTGAGGATATTAGTCTAAGTAAAAAAAGCCAGTCACGGAAAGACAAATGCTGTATGATTCTACTCATAGGAGGCACACTGCCTGTCTTTGAGTCTGCCAAAAGAAATTGATGATGATTGACTTCTTTGCCAGGGCATGCTCTGAATGAATTTCTTCTGGTTTGTTCTCTTTCAGATCTTCTTTGCAGACTTCGCAATACCTTATCTACTGTACTACTGCTCACGTGTTAGCACAGAGCATCCTGTGTGCAATTCCTCTCAGAGTCCAAATTTAAGGGAGAAATCCAGCTCCTTCTGCTTCCTCCTTGCCCTCAATCTGTCTAAAATTCCTAGCATTCATTAACGCATGGTGTTGAATTTCTTCTTAAGAACAAGTCAGACTAGATCGGGCACATTCAGGATGGTATGGCAGTAGACAGAAAAAAGTCAGGAAACAACAGATGCTGGAGAGGATGTGGAGAAATAGAAACACTTTTACACTGTTGGTGGGAGTGTAAATTAGTTCCACCATTGCAGAAGACAGTGTTGCGATCGCTCAAGGATGTAGAACTAGAAATACCATTTGACCCAGCAATCCCATTACCGGGTATATACCCAAAGGGTTATAAATCATTCAAATATAAAGACACATGCACACGTATGTTTATTGCAGCACTGTTCACAATAGCAGAGACTTGGAACCAACCCAAATGTCCATCAATGATAGACTGGATAAAGAAAATGTGGCACATACTCACCATGGAATACTATGCAGCCATTAAAAAGGATAAGTTCATGTCCTTTGCAGGGACATGGATGAAGCTGGAAACCATCTTTCTCAGAAAACACAGGAACAGAAAACCAAACGCTGTATGTTCTCACTCATAAGTGGGAGGTGAACAATGAGAACACATGGACCAGGGAGGGGAACATCACACACTGGGACCTGTCGAAGGGGATAAGGCTGGGGCAGGGATAGCATTAGGAGAAATACCTAATGTAGATGGCGGGTTGATGGGCGCAGCAAACAACCATGGTATGTGTATATCTATGTAACAAACCTGCATGTTCTGCACATGTATACCAGAACATAAAGTATAATTAAACAAACAAACAAACAACAACAAAAAAATTGACTTGTATACTGAGACCTTGATAAATTCACTTTTGATTTCTGGTAGCTTATTCGTAGAGTTTCCTATGAATCATGTTTATGTGAATAAAGCCACTTTA
Organism: Homo sapiens; assembly: GCF_000001405.40. NCBI lineage: Eukaryota > Metazoa > Chordata > Mammalia > Primates > Hominidae > Homo > Homo sapiens. The sequence goes on from NC_000018.10 coordinate 65,545,761, forward strand.
ACATCTATTTTTTTGTTTTGTTTTGTTTTTTAAATAAAATGAAAGTCAGAACCTTGACCTAGATTCTGCATACCCAGATCTCTTCACCTGCTGCTTGATTATTAGAGTTGAAGGAAAGCTGCCTTGACTCATCCTGCCTTTCTACTTAACACCAGATTAATTGTGTGCTTGTGACAATGCTTGATTTCAAGCTTGCTGCAAGAGATGAGATTTCTACAAAATTTAGTTCAAACATTTTCTTAAGTTGGGGAGTTTTTAAAGGAAAAAAAGTGACTAGAAAACATTTTTTGATGATATTTAAGAAACGCAATGTCTGGTTAAAGGTTATTAGACTTCTTACAAAATTGAAATTTAGCTTTCTGAATAAATTCAACTCACCAGAATGGAATTTAATCTTGCGGCATCTTTCAGAAATTATTCAGATGTTTCCTTTAAAAGGGTTGTTAATTCCAACAAATAACTTAGTTTGTTCCAGATAGTCTCTTCATCAGTTTAGACAGTTTGCTTTTTTATTTGCTTTCGGAATTCGCTCTTTGAGCACTAGCATGTTAGAGTGCATAAATTATTTTACTTCATTTTTTTTTTACAATGAACTTAAGCAGAATCTCTAATTCGATAACCAAGGTTAAGTGATTATTTGTTCTAAGTGTCATTCACCGTCCTCTTCCCTTAGACAATAATTTTTAGACACTTGGCTTATACTTAACAGCAATAAGCTGTGACTTGTAAGCGGTATAAAAGAATGAAGTAGATATTGAATTAGCATTTTAAAATATTTCAGGTGTTTTTTTTTAACCTCTTTCTTCCCAGTCTAATAAAATTTCATCTACCAATAGGCTAGTTTTCATACAAAAAAAATCTTGAATTCTACCAGTTTTATTAAGAAATTTTTTTTTCGGAAATCCGACGACCAAGAGATACCAGTCCAGATCTTCTTTTCATCTTACTTACTGTATAGGTTAATGGTAGTGGCTTTCACAGCTTCCCACTGGCTTATTTTATTCAAATTCAGAAACTTACTCTGAACTGTTTGTTTTCTCCCTGGAAATGTGCTTCTTACTCCTAAATGTTTCATTTATTATGGATTTACATATGTCAGTTGTTTGAAAAGCCTCTAGGGTAAGGTTCTAGGTGAATCTTTAGCATTGTAAAAACAGCTTGAACATAATTTGAGACATTGCCAAACATGTTTGTATCACGTTTTGATTTTATTTTTATGAGAATCTTTGATTGATAATTCAGGTTTTTTTTTTCCTTTTTTTCAGTTGGCAGGTGCTCAGGGAAAGAAAGAATATACATATTTAATCAATAGATGTAGTGACACTGGTTACTTACAGGTAAGGTCAATACAAATTTCTAAAACAAATTGATTTTATGCATTTGCAATGCCTTTTGAAAACTATTTACAAATATTGTAGAATGAACACAAGACAGTCTACTTCCTATTTTACCTCATGACTCATTGCATGAGTAATTCACCATCTGTGCCTTGATTTCTCAATTATATCCTCTAGAATCATATTTTACATGTTTCCATATGAATAAAAATGGTACTCTTACATCAATGGAAAGGGAGAGTTTCTACTTTTCTGGTTAGTTTTGTCAGCAGAAGTAGAAAAATATATATTCAAAGAAACAATATATGACACTTACCCATACCCCTATCACAAATATGTATAGTTCAGTCAATTTTACATTTCAAACTGGCCATAAATGACTATCAGGACTAAAGGATCCCTGAAGCTAACCAAACTGGCCCTTTTTATAAAGCATGAATCTCTTTAGAACACGCCCAGTAAGTGGGTATGAACATGAGGAAGTCCACTTCATTTTTTAAACAATTTTACTTGTTAGAATCATCTTTGAAAATGAGTTTTGCCCTCCCAGGAACTCCTCCATGCACTTAATTTGCATTAGTCTTACAATATTTCCAGATTCATTTCACTATACTGTTTTGCAAATAAATAGCTGAAATGCAAAAATATTGATTTTCTTGCTCAAGTTTACAGAGCTAGTACACAGTAAAGCAGAATTTCCCATCCTACTCTGATTCACTCCATATTTTCTTCATTTTGATAGTCCTCTGATCATATTACCCATATTTTCTGTGCCTTGAGCAAACGGTGACACAGGAGAAATATAGATAGCCCCTCCCTGAGAAAAGAATACCAAGCATTTATTCATATCCCACCGATGTAAGGCCTGGTTTTACTACAATTATTTTAGATTTCACTATGCAGTTCCCTAATGGATGTCTCCTGATCACCACTAACACATCAATAATTAACTTTGGATTTTCCTTCAGACCAAATCAATAAGAACAAATTTGAATAGGGAACTGAATTGTTGCTACCTAATGCATTTTTCTAGATAATAAAAGCAAAATAAAATTAAATTACTAGGTGATTTAAAAGGTTATTTTATAATCTGTGGATTTACCCATTGAGTCACTTTCTGAAGTACAAAGGATCATATATGGTCTTATCTGCTTATCAAACATTTCTCAACTTTCATTCATTGCTTGAATCACTGCTGCCATTCTTAAATGAGTATAAAAGAATAAACTACTGAGCTATGTCAAGTAAGAGAAGCTGCCAAATAGATTTCAATAAATAGTCTTGATAGGACTTACAATTTTTAATTAGTTCAATCAGCACTCATGGAGAATATAATTACAAGGAGCTCTCTTCAGAACGGTGCCCCACGTTTAGACATATTTCTGAAAAATGCCCTAAAGGCCATTTTTAATTAAATGTAGACTTTTATTCCCCTTAAGAATCACTTTCAAGGCAAAAAAAAATTCTAAATACTTTAGAAGGAAAGAAAAATATTCTTACATTCGGTGCACATTTCCTGTGATATCCTTCAGGGACAGTTCCTGCCAAACATGACCAAAGGGTGTTTTACAAGTTTAGATAACTGTTTCAGTTACAGAGGTAACATGCCTAGTAAGCCGTTAATTATATAGAAGTATTTTTCCTGAAGGTATACATGGATTGCCAAAAGTTTATTTCTGTAGGTCATGTTGTATATTTCAAAAGTTAAGCAGTATTTATAATACCCTCACCAAAATAAGAATTTTATACCCAGAAAAATATCAAAAACAAATATGAAACAATAATTAAATCATTCTCAATCCAATATAAACTCATAAAATAGGATAATTTCTTCAATTGTTTCATACTATAATGATAATAACCATTACAAATGTTTATGGAATATTTTTATGTGGGTGGTCATTTTCCCTGTACTAAATTATATAATTCAACAACTTTTAAAGAAAGGTATTATTATTAGCTCATTTTATAGATGACAAAACTGAGGCACAGAAAAGTTGACAGATAAGCCACACTGTTAATACGTAATCAAACTGTAACTCACAGCCAGGCCATAAGGCTTCAGTGCCTCAACTCATCACAAAACACAGACCACATATTGAACGATTGCCTACATGTCTACCTAACTCATTGACTGCATGATTTGAATGCTGACCATCCTACTATATCATAATTGAAACAGCTGCCTAGTGATAAATCCTACCACCTTTTCTAAACAGTGATCTGCTAATATTGTCAGGGTTTAGTCACTTATCAATAATAAGGCTAAAGTGATTTTCATTAAGACTAATAATAAATATTCCTTTAGTATCTATTGTTTTGTGCCATAAGGATCTTTCTATATGTAACAGATATATTCCAAAAATGTGCCTTTAAAGAAAATTTTCATAGCAATATTATTGTCATTATAAAATTATTAGAATTATGTTGAATTACTTTTTTTAATTTTATTTTATTATTATTATACTTTAAGTTTTAGGGTACATGTGCACAATTACTTAAGAGTCCACTTCATGGAAAAATATGAATAACATTGTTATGCTTGATTAATAACGAACTTGTATCCAATAATTTAAATTCCTTATTTTGTAAACTATGTATTTTTAAAAAATTCAGTAATATCACAAAAACATAAGCATAAGAAAACATGAGTCAGTATTTTATTAATCAAAATAACATGCTAACACATTGTTAAAATAACATTATTAAAATAACAACATTATTTGAAAGGAGAAGAATGCATGTTGAATGCATTTTATATTTTTAACAATAAATCAAAATTTATTTAAAATTAAACAATTCTTTACAGATATATTCCAGCAGAAAGATAGCTATACATGGAGGAGATACACAGTATGTATTTCATTCAATTAATCATGTGTATAATAAAAAATTAATATTACTCCAAAAAGACAAATATCAAGTCTCTTAAACAGAAAACATTACTACTACAATCATCCTAAAGTGGTGTAGAGATATTCAAGTACAAATCACAGATAATTGATTAATGTTTACATTGCATCACAAATCCTTAAAAGTTTCTAATCAAGGTGCTAAGAAAACTTGTTTACACCTCTATCATTAAACAAAATCATTTCCTTCCAGAAGCCTTTAACCCTGGAAAAGCGCAAAGTATAATTTCAAATAACATTATAACTATAAGAAAAAAATGCAGTAACAACAGAAAAATAATCTTTTATTTTAATGGATTCTGAACAATGATTTTTCAATGTAAAAATAACTGTCTTGAAAACAATAATAAAAAAAATCCTGTGACTTAAAATGTGAATTTTTCCGTAGAAAGCCCATCCTACTATTGCAAAACAAATTCTATTTGCCACAAAAAATCTCCACTCTATCTCATCCCCATTCAGCACAGAAGAATTTAGAAATCCAAAGATTAAATTACAATTTAATTTTAAATAAAAAACTGAAAGTTCAATAAAAAATTAAGTCACTCATAAAACATTCTTTACAAATCTGTTTAAATCTCTACCTCTGTTATAGTTAACAGAAAAAAAAAAGTCTCTAAGTTTGGCTTAAACTGACCTAGAGGTAAAACCTAATTTACTATGAATAATCTGGGAAACTTTACACGAATTTCTTTAAATCTTCAGATTTTCAATTCCACACATGTAAAATAAAAGAATAAAATAATTTTGTAGATATTTAGTAAGAATTAAGAAAAATACTGTAAACGCCAATAAGGCTGGCCAATGGTAGGTATACAAGAAATATTTTCTGAAAGCAAACATAATTTTAAATAATATTAATATCATGTAATTATAGAAAATATTCTAGGATATATGTTTATGTTTTTTCTCACTTATGTAAAGTTTTTCTCAATATGCTAAAAAATGTTAGATAACATGAAAGGCATTAAGGATGTAGCTGTAAATGTTTTAGTCATTGTGAATGAGTTTTAGAGATAGTTGATTTATACATGTATAAAATAAAAAATGTCAACATTTTTATACAAGCCTAACTTTTGAAGAAGTTAAAAATATAGAACAATATACGTCAGACCATTTATGTAATGATAATAAAATCTAAATATAATATTTTTATTAATATTTGGAAAGTTTTTTCCCTTTGAAAATTGTTAATACACATCAAATTTATCTTTTCTAATATTTAGCTTATAAAGTATAATAGCATACATTTTTTACTTAACACGATAGCTTATGAAATTTCTATTTCATTAAAGATTCCTCAGAAATATTATCCTTAATGGTAGTTTCAATTTATAGCCTCTCAACATTCTATGATTTATTAAGCTATAATTCAAACACTGCCTTTTAAATAACCCATTTGTTTCCAAATGAATTTGATGTTTCTTTTATCACACATAAATCTGTTCATTTCTTTATTTATTTAGTAATTTATTACACATGTTGTTCCATAAACATGACTTTTGCTTGTTTAGATAATAGCAGGCCCTTGATTTGAATAAGCAACCATCATAGCATTACACCATCAAAAATGTTTTGCTCACTTTCTACCCCTGGTAAACACATTCTCTATCCTTCCTATGAAGTACAACTGAAAACTCTAGACATTATACATGAAACAATCATAAGAAGAGTCTGAAAAATGGAGAGAAGGCAGAATGGCCCGAGGTCTCAGGATTTAAGAAATGGCATGATGGTGAGGTCCTTAGATTTTCTTTCTGTCTCATATATCCTATATATAAAGATGAAGATGCTGGCAGCAAAAATGCTACAGGGCTAAGACAAATTAGCTCTCTAAAATTCTGTTCTCTCTAGCCATATGATAAAGAAAGAAGTGATCTAACAAGAGAGACCTATTTCCAGCTGTGGCTTCACTCTCACCCAGGCCCACAATGATCAAGTGGGGAACCACAGCTTTTCCCTTACTGGATTCTAACAGGTCTCCTTAATTCCCACTCCAAACCAGGATAGTGTCAGACAAGGCTAAGGAGGGAGCCAGGACTTCATTCACACCAGGTGGTAAAAAGGTCTCCACTCTCCATGATCAGACAAGGCTAAGGAGGGAGCCAGGACTTCATTCACACCAGGTGGTAAAAAGGTCTCCACTCTCCGTGAAGTCTCTGGAGACAATGTGGAAACGTTAATGAGGCTCTCCCATCTGGACTTGCCAGGAATGTATCAGTGAAGGCCTAGTGGGGAGCTGGACCTATCACATCCTCCCAGCAATAACGAGAAGCCACTTCCTGTTGAGTATCAATAGAAGGAAAACTGGACTTACAAATTCTACTACCAGGAATGAACACAGAGACACCAAAAATTTTTAAGTTATTTTAAAAAGAAAATAATAGGCAGGAATCTCACAAAATATGTACAATATTTTTATGCTGAAAACTATACAACAGTGGTTTAAAAAGTCAAAGAACGCACAATGGAGAGAAATATCATGTTTATGAATTAGAAGACAAAATGTAGTAAATTTGTTTATGCTCTATTAATTGATACACTGGGTTAATGCAATTTCTATCAAAATCTCAGCAATATTTGTTGATGTAGAAAAGATGTTTATTCCAAAACTTATGTGGAAAGGCAAAGGAACTATATGATCTAAAACAATATTGAAAAAGAAAAATAATGTGAACAGAATCAGTCTATCCAATTTCAAGTTGTATTATATACAGTACCAGCAATCCAAACTGTGTGGTACTGGTGAAGGCATAGACATAAAAATCAATAGAACAGAATAGAGAACCCAGAAATAGACCCACATAAATATGCCCAACTGAATTTTGACAAAGGTGCAAAAGCAGTTCAATTGAAGTAAAATGGTCCTTTCAGCAAATAGTGGTGCTGAAGCAATTAGACATCCATGGAGGCGGGCAGTGGGGAGGATGTCCAAAATATCTCACAAATTATACAAAAAGTAACTCAAAATGGTTCATGGACTTAAATGAAACCATGAAAGTATAAAACATTTAGAAAAAAATAAATAAACCGAAGAAGCAGCTTCAAAATATAGGTCTAGACAAAGAGTTCTAAGAATTCTGAAAATTCTGCTAATACCCTAGTCTTAAAGGGAAAAGTGGTTACATTAGAATTCATAAAATCAAAATTTTGCCGTGAAAAGGACCCTATGAAGATATTGAAAAAGACAAACGACAGACTGAGGGAAAATATTTGTAAATCACACATCTGACAAAAACTATTATCTAGATGCATGAAAATCTCTCAAAATTCAACAGTAAAAACAACAAAAAATCCACACTGAACATGAGCAACATATATAAAAAGACATTTTACCAAAATATACAGGTGACAAATAAGCACATGAAAATATGTTTGACACCATTCCCTATTAAAGAAATGCAAATTACACCTATAATTCGATATCATTATACACTTATAAAATAGCTAAAACAAAATTTTGTAACAACATCAAATGCTAGTAAAGATGTGGGGAATCTGGATCAATCATACATTAATGATGGAAATACAAAACGATAAAACACTCTGGAAAATAATTGTCAGTTTCTTGAAAAACTAAACATGCATGCATTATACAATCCAACAATTGCATCTCTAGGCATTTATTGCCAAGAAATAAAGGGTTATGTTTAGAGACTGTCTATAAATAAAAGTTTAGAGCAGTTTTACTCATAATAACCCCAAACTGGAGTCAATCCAGTTGACCTTCTACATGTGAATGATCAAACAAGCTCTAGCATACCTGTATCATGGATTATTATTCTACAATAACAAGGAATAAACTATTGATATACACAAAAAACTGGATGACTCTCCAAAGAGTTTTGCTGAGAAAAAAAAAAGCCATTCCCAAAAGGTTACATATTGTATGATTCCAATTGTATAATATTCTTGAAATGATAAAAATCATAGAGATGGAAAATGATTACTGGTTGTCAGGGGTTAATAATAGGGTGTTTATTGGGAAGGAAGTGAATATGGATATAAAAGTTCAAATGAGAGATCTGATGTCAGCAAGATGGCAGACTAGGTATTGTCTACCGTCATTGATTTTAACAAGCACTTGTGAACAAGAATAGCTTTGTGGAAATCCCAAAGTCCAGTAAAGAAGTTCAGAAATGACACTGGAACACAAAATCTAAAAACAAACAACTGAAGACTGTAATAACAGTTTTACCTCACCCGTCATCTTCCCCAAAGCAGCACAGTTCAGTGTAAAGAGAGACACTTGTTATTTCTACCACAGAAAAAAGTGAGTGCATAGTGAGTGCCTGCTTTCCCCAACTGTGTGGGATGCTGTCCAAGAGAACCTCCTCTTTCTCACCTCACTTAGACTGCTGACATGACTGAGTGGTTGGGAGAAGCTGGGAGCAGGGAAAATAGGAAGAAACTCACGGAAACCAGGACTGTGAAGTGAAAAGATGGCCACCAATTACTTGTGGAGTCCATCCGGGAGCCTACCTGGGAGCCACTCAGGAGGCTTCACCTGTGAATCCCTCAAACTGGCCCGTGGGCACCACCAGTAACTGAGAAAATCTGTCCCAACCTAACTTTATTTCCTCAGAAATGAAGGAGAAACTCACTGGTAAAGTTAAGTATGCAATCAAATTTAGAATATTCACATTATTATAACAGTGCCATGTAAATCACTCTTAACTCTAGTATAAAAATTAAAAGAGAAACTATTAAATATAACTGCAGCTAAAATAACACGTTAACGGATACATGATATAACAACATGTAAAATGTGACATCAAAAAATAAAATATAGATGGAAGGAAGTACAAGTGTAGAGATGGTGTATGCAATTGAATTTAAGTTGTAATTGCCTTAAAATGTACTATTTTCTTTGTAAGATGTGTTAGGTAAACCTCATGTTAACTACAAGGCAAAAATTTATAGTAGATACGCAAGAGGTAAAAACAAATAAATCAAAGCTTACCAATGCAGTAAATTATTAAATTTCAGAGGAAAATAGCAGGAGAAGAAGAAAGGAACGATGGGACTGTCAGAAACAGTCAGAAAACACTTAACCGGATGGGAATACTAAGTCCTTTTATATAAATATTTACTTTAAAAGTAAATTGATTAAGCTCTGTAATCAAAAGAAGGAGTGGCTAAGTGGATAAAAATAAAAATCAAGACCCCACTACAAGCTGCCTGTAATAGACTTACTTGAGCTTTAGGGATAAACATAGAGTGAAAATAAAGGAATAGAGAAAGATCTTCTTCTTTTTTTCTTTTTTCTTTTGTGAAACGGAGTCCTGCTCTGTCGCCCAGACTGGAGTGCACTGGCGAGATCTCAGCCCACTGCAAGCTCCGCCTCCTGGGTTCCCACCATTCTCCTGCCTCAGCCTCCCGAGTAGCTGGGACTACAGGCACCTGCCACCACGCCTGGCTGATTTTTTTCGTATTTTTAGTAGAGACGGGGTTTCACCCTGTTAGCTAGGATGGTCTCGATCTCCTGACCTGGTGATCTGCCCGCCTCAACCTCCCAAAGTGGTGGGATTACAGGTGTGAGCCACCATGCCCAGCCAACAAAGATCTTCTATGCCAATGGAAACCAAAAGAAAATAGGGATACTTATATGAAAAAAATAAATTTTCCCAGCACCATTTGTTAAATAGGGAATCCTTTCCCCATTTCTTGTTTTTGTAAGGTTTGTCAAAGATCAGATAGTTGTAGATGTGTGGTATTATTTCTGAGGGCTCTGTTCCATTCCATTGGTCTATATCTCTGTTTTGGTACCAGTACCATGCTGTTTTGGTTACTGTAGCCTTGCAGTATAGTTTGAAGTCAGGGAGTGTGATGCCTCCAGCTTTGGTCTTTTGGCTTAGGATTGACTTGGTAATGCCGGCTCTTTTTTGGTTCCATATGAACTTTAAAGTGGTTTTTCCCAATTCTGTGAAGAAAGTCATTGGTAGCTTGATGGGGATGGCATTAAATCTATAAATTACCTTGGGCAGTATGGTCATTTTCACAATATTGATTCTTCCTATCCATGAGCATGGAATGTTCTTCCATTTGTTTGTGTCCTCTGTTATTTCCTTGAGCAGTGGTTTGTAGTTATCCTTGAAGAGGTCCTTCACATACCTTGTAAGTTGGATTCCTAGGTATTTTATTCTCTTTGAAGCAATTGTGAATGGGAGTTCACTCATGATTTGGCTTTCTGTTTGTCTGTTATTAGTGTATAAGAATGCTTGTGATTTTTCCACATTGATTTTGTATCCTGAGACTTTGCTGAAGTTGCTTATCAGCTTAAGGAGATTTTGGCCTGAGACAATGGGGTTTTCTAAATATACAGACATGTCATCTGCAAACAGGGGCAATTTGACTTCCTCTTTTCCTAATTGAATACCCTTTATGTCTTTCTCTTGCCTGATTGCCCTGGCCAGAACTTCCAACACAATGTTGAATAGGAGTGGTGAGAGAGGGCATCCCTGTCTTGTGCCAGTTTTCAAAGGGAATGCTTCCAGTTTTTGCCCATTCAGTATGATATTGGCTGTGGGTTTGTCATAAATAGCTGTTATTATTTTGAGATACATCCCATCAATACCTAATTTATTGAGAGTTTTTAGCATGAAGGGCTGTTGAATTTTGTCAAAGGCCTTTTCTGCATCTATTGAGATAATCATGTGGTTTTTGTCTTTGGTTCTGTTTATATGCTGGATTACGTTTCTTGATTTGTATATGTTCAACCAGCCTTGCATCCCAGGGATGAAGCCCACTTGATCGTGGTGGATAAGCTTTTCGATGTGCTGCTGGATTCAGTTTGCCAGTATTTTATTGAGGATTTTTGCATCGACATTCATCAGGGATATTGGTCTAAAATTCTCTTTTTTTTTGCTGTGTCTCTGCCAGTCTTTGATATCAGGATGATGCTGGCCTCATAAAATGAGTTAGGGAGGATTCCCTCTTTTTCTATTGATTGAAATAGTTTGAGAAGGAATGGTACCAGCTCCTCCTTATACCTCTGGTAGAATTCCGTGGTGAATCCATCTGGTCCTGGACTTTTTTTGTTTGGTAAGCTATAAATTATTGCCTCAATTTGAGAACCTGTTATTGGAAGCTGAAACTGGATCCCTTCCTTACACCTTATACAAACATTAATTCAAGACGGATTAAAGACTTAAATGTTAGACCTAAAACCATAAAAACCCTAGAAGAAAACAGGCAATACCATAAATAGGCATGGACAAGGACTTCATGTGTAAAACACCAAATGCAATGGCAACAAAAGCCAAAATTGACAAATGGTATCTAATTAAACTAAAGAGTTTCTGCACAGCAAAACAAACTACCATCAGAGTGAACAGGCAACCTACAGAATGGGAGAAAATTTTTGCAATCTACTTATCTGACAAAGGGCTAATATCCAGAATCTACAAAGAACTCACTCAAACAAATTTACAAGAAAAAAAACAAACAACCCCATCAAAAAGTGGGCAAAGGATATGAACAGACACTTCTCAAAAGAAGACATTTATGCAGCCAACAGACACATGAAAAATGCTCATCATCACTGGCCATCAGAGAAGTGCAAACCAAAACCACAATGAGATACCATCTCACACCAGTTAGAATGGTGATCATTAAAAAGTCAGGAAACAACAGGTGCTGGAGCAGATGTGGAGAAATAGGAATGCTTTTACACTGTTGGTGGGACTGTAAACTAGTTCAACCATTGTGGAAGACAGTGTGGCGATTCCTCAGGGATCTAGAACTAGAAATACCATTTGACCCAGCCATCCCATTACTGAGTATATAACCAAAGGAATATAAATCATGCTGCTATAAAGACACATGCACACGTATGTTTATTGTGGCACTACTCACAATAGCAAAGACTTGGAACCAAGCCAAATGTCCTACAATGATAGACTGAAGAAAATGTGGCACATTTACCCATGGAATACTATGCAGCCATAAAAAATGATGAGTTCATGTCCTTTGTAGAGACATGGATGAGGCTGGAAACCATCATTCTCAGCAAACTATCTCAAGGACAGAAAACCAAATACCACATGTTCTCACTCATAGGTGGGAATTGAACAGTGAGAACGCTTGAACACAGGAAGGGGAACATCACACCCTGGGGCCCGTTGTGAGGTGGGGGAAGGGGGGAGGGATAGCACTAGGAGATATACCTAATGTAAATGACGACTTAATGGGTGCAGCACAGCAACATGGCACATGTATACATATGTAACAAATCTGCACATTGTGCACCTGTACCCTAGAACTTAAATTATAATTAAAATATATATAATAAAATAAAGAAAAAAAGGAATTTGGATTCAAAAACTGTCAAAAGAGAAAAAGAAGGTCATTATATAGTGATGAAGCGGCCAATTAAGTAATATAACAGTTGTAAATATATGTATACCCAACATCAGAACACTTAATATGTAAGGAAAATATTAATATAACTGAGGGGACAAAGATACAGCAACACAATGATAATATGGGACTTCAGTGTCCCACTTTCAAAAATGGGTAGATTATCCAGAAAGATAATCAATAAGGAAACACTGGATTCCACTTTAGACCAAATAGATTTAACAGACATGACAGAACCTTCCATCAAACTGCAATAGAATACATCTCCTCCAGTGCACATGGAAGACACTTTAGTATAGATCATATGTTAAGCTACAAAATAAGTGTTAACAAATTTAAGAAGATTGAAATTATACCATGTATGTTTTTTGAACACAATGTTGTTAAACTAGAAATAAAAAATATGAGGATAATTAGAAAATTTACAGATAGGAAGAAATTAAACAGCACACTCCTAAACAACGAATAGTTTAAAGAAGAGATAGATAGATAGATGATAGATAGATAGATAGATAGATAGATAGATAGATAGATACCACTGAAAATGCAAACACAAAATAGCAGAATATATGTGATGCAGCAAAGGCAATTCTAAGTAGAATTCTAACTGCTACATTGATAGCAGTAACCACTGACATTAACGGAAAAGAATGGTATCCAATAAACAACCTAACTATATACCTTCAGCAGCTGGAAAATAAGAATAAAGCTTAAACTGAGTAAAAAGAAGAAAGTAACAAAGATCAGAGCATAGTTATATGAAATAAAGACCAAAAAATAATAGAAATTATCAACAAAAGTTGATTTTTGAGAAAATAAACAATATTGACAAACCTTCTCCTACACTGTGAAAAACATGGGAGAGGACTCAAATAAGTAAAATTAGAAATGAAAGATGGGACATTGCAACTGAGACTGCAAAAATGGCAAATGATCATAAGAGGCTACTATGAATAATTATGTACTAACAAATTGGATAACCTATAGGAAATGGATAAATTCCTAGACGCAAACAAGCTACCAATATTAAATCATATTGAAATAGAAAATATGAACAGACCAATAATGAGAAAGCATTTTGAGTCGTTAATCAAAAACTTCCCAAAAAAGAATGGCCTGGAACCACACGGCATCACTAGTGAATTTTCGCCTAACATTTAAACAATTAATGTCAATGCTTTTCAAACTCCTCAAAAAAATTGAGGAAGAGGGGAGACTTCCAAATTCATGTTACAATGTCAGTATTGCCCTGATACTAAAGACATAAAAGGACACTGCAGGAAAAGAAAACAGGCCATTACCTCTGATGAACATAGACGCAAATCTCCTGAACAAACTACAAGCAAACCAAATTCATAAGCACATTATAAGGATCACATACTATGATCAAGTGACATGTAACACTGAGATGCAAAGACGATTCAACATACACGAGTCAATAATGTGATACAACACATTAATAGAGGTAAGAATAGGAAATATATGCTCATCTGAATATATGCAGAAAAAGCATTTGACAAACTTCAGGTTTCTTTTATAATAAAAACTGTCAACAAATTAGATATAAAAGGAATGTACTTCAACATAACAAAGGCCATATATGACAAGCCCACAGCTATCAACATACTCAATGGTAAAAAGCTGAAAGCTTTTTCCCTAAGATTAGGAACCAGACAAGGATGCCCACTCATCATTTTTATTCAAGATAGTAATATAAGTCCTAGCCAGGATGCTTAGGCAAGAAAAGGAAATGAAAGACATTCAAATAGTAAGAGAAGAATTAAAATTGCTTCTATGAGCAAGTGACATGGTCTCATATATAGAAAACCATAAGGACACCACCAATAAACTGTTAGAACAAATAAATGAATTCAGGAAATAAAGTTACAGGATACATAATCTGCATAGAAAAACAGTTGCATTTGTATAAACTAACAACAAGCTATTGAAAAAAATAAATTAAGAAAGCAATCCCATTAGCAATAGCATAAAAAACAATAAAATACTTAGAAGTAATGTTAACCAAGCAAGTGAAAGACCTGTACATTGAAATCTATAAAACATTAATTTAATAAATTGAAGAAGACAAACAAAGACATATTATGTTCATGGACTGGAAAAATAATATTAGTGAATTAAGATAATTAAATTATTAAAATGCCCATATTACCTAAAGACATCTACAAAATCAATTCGATCTCTATCAAAATTCATATGGCAATTTTTGCAGAAATAGTTACAACAATTTTAAAATGTATATGGAATCTCAAAAGGCCTCTAATGGCCAAAGCAGTCATAAGCAAAAACAAATCACACTTTCTGATTTCAAATCACATTTCAAAGCTGCAGTAATAAAAAAAATATGGTACTGGCATTAAACAGACACATAGACAAAGAGAAGTGAATAGAGCCTAGAAATAAATTCACATATATACGGTCAACTTTGACAAAGGTGCAAAAAATATATAATGGGGGAGGGTTAGTTTTTTCAATAAATAGTGTTAGGAAAACTGGATATCCACATGGAAAAATGATGAAATTCAGCCTTTATTTTATATCATACACAAAAATCAACTCAATACAGCTTAAAGACAATAATTAGACCTAACACCGTAAAACTCCTAGAAGAAAACATAGAGGAAAAAGCTCCATGGTGTTGATCTTGACAATGATTTTTTTGAACAGGACAACAAAAGCACAGACATTAAAAGCAAAAATAAACAAATGGGACTACATCAAACTAAACTAGAAACTTTCTGCAGAGCAAAAAGAGAAAACAACAACAACAAAATGAAAAGACAATCTATATATTGGAAGAAAATATTTGCAAACCGTATATTAAATAGGGTTAATATTAAACAATAGGAAGGAACTCTTACAACATAACATCCAAAAAGACAACCCAGTTAAAAAATGGACAAAAAAGCCAATAGAAATTTTTCTCAAGGATACACAAATACACAAACACACACACAAACACATACACACGCAAACATACACACACACACACGTACACACACTATTCTGCCTTTAAAAGCAAAAGAGAATTCTTCCATTTCCAACAACATAGGTTTTCCTGGAGGGCATTATGTTTAATGGAAAAATCTAGACACAGACAAATACTGCATGCTCTCACTTATATATGAAATCTAAAAAATTCAAATTCATAGAGAGTAGAATTGCGATTACCAGTGCCTAGAGGGTGCAGAAATTCAGGGATGTTGGTCAATAGTTCCATGGTTTCACTTACAAGATGTAATTATTTCTGGAGACCTAATATACAATATGATGACTGTAGTTAATAATAATGTACTCTGTGCTTGAAATTTGCTAATAGAGTAGATCTCACGTGTTCTTGCCATGCACACAAAAATATGATAGCTGTGTGAGGTGATGGATATGTTAATTAGCTTGATCGTGGTAATCATTTCACATTGTCTATTTATATTAAGACATCACATTGTGTACATTAAATATATAAAATTTCAATTTATCAATTATACTTCAGTTAAACTAGAAAAAAATTCAACCTGAATGACCCTTGTGGTAATGATAATGTTCTGTATGGCGACTACACCAATGCTAATATAGGTGTGTTATTGAGCTACAGCAGTGTAAGAGATTACCATCACAAAAACAGCATGGGGGAAACCACCCCCATGATGCAATTACCTCCACATGGTCTCTCCCTTGACACGTGGGAATTATGGAGATTGTAACTCAAGATGAGATTTGACTGGGGACACAAAGCCTAACCATATCAGATGGATATTATAAGAAAAAAAGAAAGCAAGAGCTGGTGAATATGTGGAGAAAAGGGAACCCTTGCAGACTGTTGATAAGAAGGTAAAGTGGTGAAATTGCAACACAAAACATGTAGAAGTTCCTTAGAATATTGAAAATAGAACTACCATATGATCCAGCAACACAACTTCTGGGTTTACATCCAAAGGAAATAAAATCACTATCTCAAGGAGATACCTGCACTCCCACGTTCATTGCAGTATTATTCACAATAGCCAATATATGGAAGCCACTTGTCTGTTGACAGTTTAATACATAAAGAAAATGTAGCATATATTTTTGTACAATAAAATGTTATTCTGACTTGAAAGAGAATGAAAAGGAAATCTTTCCATTTGCAACAACATGAGTGAAACTGTAGGACATTTTGTTCAGTAATATAAGCAAGACACAAAAGGACAAATATTGCACGATCTCACTCATATGAGGTAACTAAAATAATCAAATTTGAAGAAGCAGAAACTAGAATGGTAGTTAACCAGGGTCTGGGGAAGGAGGACATCGCGAGTTATTCAATGAGCATAAAGTTTCAGTTATGCAAGGTAAATAAATTCTAGAGTTCCTCTGTAAAACATTATGCCTGTAATTAACAATACTGTATTGAATATTTTAAAAATTTGTTAGGAAACTAGATCCCAAATTAAGTGTTCTCACCATACACAAAAATGATAACATGGTGTCTTTTAGAGAGTAATCGAAATGTGATTGTATCAAAGAAAAATACTGCTTTTATATTCAACTTGGTAATTCTCAAAATAAGTTTTTTAAACCAAAGGTTTGCTGTAGTTGTGGAGCTGAACTTACTGAGAGCCTTTTTGTTTCTTTAAGCTATTGTCTGAAATTGAGAACGAAATTATTAAAAATAAAGGATTTATTTCAACCTTGTTGCTTAAATGTGTAGTTATATTCCATAAATACAAAGATTTAAAAAACAATACATTCCCTATTTTTGTGACACTTGATAAGAGCATATTTACATGTATTTATGTCAAATATGTATAACTGATTAATTATTGAAAAATTGTTCTACTAAACAAAGTTCCAGCCATTCATTTACTATAGCAGCTGCAGTGAATATATCCCTCTCCATTATTTATATTGATTTTTATTTCTGGAAATGCTGCATGGGCACCATTTTGTCAAGAATGAATATTATTTTTAAAAATAGCTGAAAAATTCACAATTTTTCAATTAATAGTACAGAACATAATGCTTTTCTACTCGACAGTATAAAAAAGCCTTATTAATGCTATTTGAGGCTTCTTTTAAAATGAATAAAAAATATTTTCTTAAAAATTGTGAAAGAAAGTATCTTGGGCCCCCAAAATCACCAAGCTAAAAGGAAAACTCAAGCTGGAAACTGCTTAGGGCAAACCTGCCTCTCCTTCTACGCAGTTATCCATCCCTCTGCTCACTGAAATCAATGCATATCTGATTGCCTCCTTTGGAAAGGCTAATCAGAAACTCAAAAGAACACAACTGCTTGTCTCTCACCTATCTGTGACCCGGAAGACCCCTCCCAACTTTGAGTCTTCCTTCCTTTGCTTCAAGTTGTCCCGCCTTTCCAGACCGAACCAATGTACTTCTTATGTATATTGATTGATGTCTCATATCTCCCTAAAATGTATAAAACCAAGCTGTGCCCCAACCACCTTGGGCACGTTGTCAGGACCTCCTGTGGCTGTGTCACGGAAGAGTATCCTCAACCTTGGCAAAATAAACTTTCAAAATTAACTGAGACCATTCTCAGGTTTTCTGGGTTTACAAAATTAACAGCCAAATTGTAAAATTTAAATAATCAAAAAAAGTTTAAAGTATTCTTAATGTATTAGAACACTGCCTGATACAATATCATGCAGCACGAAATAGTCTAGCTGAAGCCAGACCCAACTGGACTTGTGTGATGGCGCTGTTTTAGCCAGAGTACTGCTTTATCGCACAGACTTGAAAACATAAAGATTGAAAAATTAATCCATTTAGTGACCATAAGCAATTAAAATAGTGCATACTCAGTAATTTGAGTTTAATTTTGCAGGCAATTTTTTACTCTTGTGGTTTTTGTTTTCTTGTTGTTGTTGTTTTTCTGGCTTTTGGCCTTTTCTCTCTATTCCCTAGGGCACATACCTATTCTGTCATATTTTCTATTTGAATTACATAGTAACAATTCATACATTTAGTGATTGAACCACTAGGAATTTCCCAAGGCAAATGTGTGAGGTAGATATCCAATCTTACCTTGTTTCCAACTGTCTTAACACCAGTTACTGAAGAGTGTAGTTTCTCCTTCAGGTTATCAACGCTGCTAATGCTTATTAGTAATCCCTGGCGGCTCAGAAGCAGTAATTATCTATCATGGCCGTTCATTAGAGTTGTCTGAGAAGCTTTTAAAACACACCAATGCCTGAGCCTCACCTTCAGAAATTGTTCTGGGGCAGGGCCAAGGTGTTGAGACGTTTTAATCACACAGATTATTGGACTTGTGGTTAAATTTTGTCCGGAGTTGGTTCCTTCCGGTGGGTTCTTGGTCTCGCTGACTTCAAGAATGAAGCCGCAGACCTTTACAGTGAGTGTTATGTCTGGAGTTTGTTCCTTCAGATGTGTCCAGAGTTTCTTCCTTCCGGTGGGTTAGTGGTCTCACTGACTTCAAGAACGAAGTCTCAGACCTCCACAGCAAGTGTTACAGCGTGTTACAGCTCTTAAAGGTGGTGTGGACCCAAAGAATGAGCAGCAGCAAGATTTATTCTGAAGAGCTAAAGAACAACGCTTCCACAGCACGGAAGGGAACCTGAGCGGGTTGCTGCTGCTGGCTGGGGTGGCCAGCTTTTATTCCATTATTTGTCCCTGCCCATGTCCTGCTGATTGGTCCATTTTACAGAGTGCTGATTGGTCCATTTTACAGAGTGCTGATTGGTCCATTTTACAGAGTGCTGATTGGTGCATTTACAATCCTTTAGCTAGACACAGAGCGCTGATTGGTGTTTTTACAGAGGGCTGATTGGTGCATTTACAATCCTTTAGCTAGTCACAGAGCACTGATTGGTGCGTTTTTACAGGGTGCTGATTGGTGTATTTACAATCCTTTAGCTAGAGAGAAAAGTTCTCCGAGTCCCCACTCAATCCAGGAAGTCCAGCTGGCTTCACCTCTCAAAATGATTTAAGCCTGTTCTAGGGTTAAATTGCTGGAGTCTGAATCCTGGTTCTATCTGCTGCTAATGGTGGCATTGGAAAGTTACTTTACATTTCTGTGCCTCAGTTTCCTCACCCAGAAAATCATCATCCTAATAGATTTTAATACATGGACTTTCATAATTATATAAAATAATGCAGAAATAATTAGCCATAATGACTAAAGTGGCTATGAAAAAATAAGGATGCAAGCACCCAAGAGAAAGTAACACCAACAAAACCTTCCCATTAAAGAAATTCTTAGAAATATTTTATGAGATTGAACGTGCAAAGGATAAAATGTTGGAAACTGATGCAAACTTTAAGAGAGGCAGTTGGCCTCACTCTGTATCCTGAAATTACACCATGAGAAGAGTGCTGGCTCTCTTCAAACTACTCATAAGTTTTTTACAGAAACATAAATATTTTCTGTCAATGTTTCTGATATTTTATCTTAAAGTATACTAAATATGCATTAGTTTTACTATTGTTTTCATTTTTCTATCCACTTTTAACCAACAATAGGAGGCTGTTCAATGTTTTCACAAAAATTTTCATAGGTCACAGAACAATCATTTTTTCTATTAACTATTAAGATCATTTTGCACTTTGAGAGTGTAAGATTAAAAGCCACTAAAAATATATTCATTCAAGTCCTTTCTGAAATTATGATATTCATCAAATGTGAATGGAAAGAAAGGAACAAATGAAAGATAATATTACTTTTCACAAGTATGTCGTCTAGTACAGATAATAACAAGCCTTCTAATTATAATTTAAAACATTATATAGTACAAAAAAATACTTGTAAGCTTTTTTGTTTACATACATCAAAAATATCAGTTGATGGTATTCAAATGTGTGTATGTGTGGCTGTGTTTAATATTTTATCATCTGGCTTAGATTTGTTTTTTCTTATCATCACAGAGTTGATTTTGGAGACATAATTTTTATCCAGCCATAATTGTATTGTTTTATTGGTTCTCTATAATATTTTATAGAAATCTATATATCTAAATCCATATATTTCTCCCAACGTTAAAATTATGTTCACATCACTGTATCCTTTTGAAGAAATTTTGCATTTAGTCATTACAAATGCTTACATGGAAAAGTGCATCTATAAAATTTTCACCTCACTCTTTATCTTAGAAATATTCAGCATTTCAACCAAAGTTAATGATGATGTATTTCCTCTATTACAGTTTTCTCTGTGCTTTGGTTACTAAATAAGTACATTTTTATTCTCTTAAATTGTTTAAGAGAATCTCTATTAACAGAGAAAACTACAATAGAGATAATATATCAGCCTGGTCACAATAAAGATTGCAAATAATGAAAAGAAGAAGCTCATTTTGGAGAAGTAAAGCACCAAAAAATGTGCATAATTAATAAGTAACGTTCAGTCACAGCTGAAAATGTGAGAAAATATTTGACAGATTTAGTTTATATCAGGAACCAAATGAAATATTAGATGTCCTAATTTTTTTGTTTTTATTTTTTGTATTTATTTATTTATTTATTTATTTTGAGACAGAGTTTCACTCTTGTTGCCCAGGCTGGAGTGCAATGGTGTGATCTCGGCTCACTGCAACCTCCACCTCCCGGGTTCACGCCATTCTCCTGCCTCAGCCTCCTGAGTAGCTGGGTTTACAGGCACCCACCACAAGGCCCTTGAAGACATCCCTTCTCCTGTACCTCTGTGAAAGTATAAGCTGGGGAACCCTGCTGAAGGACAAGGTCGTATTTGTTGTGCAAATATTTTCAGTTTTTTGTCTTTTGGGGGAGCATAGATAAAAGCCATGTTTTTCATTATATTTTTCTTTGAGAAAATCCTTTAATAACATATTCTGAATAATTTTTAATATCCTACAGGCACATATATCCTTCTGCGCATGCTTCAGGTAAGGGTCTATATTTTATTTTCCAAGAAAATAATTTTCTATAGTTTGACATTCAGAATAATAGAGTCAAACAGAGTCATGAATTGATACACATATTTTTCCAAGTCATAAACAAATCAATGATATTCATTTGGTAGGTCTAAGAAACATTTACAACCTATATTCCCTTTCAGTCATTTGCATCTAACTACTCTTTTTTAAAAAACATTGATTTTCTATTTCCAAATTAATATTACAATAAATGTCATCCATACATATGGTTAAAGAAACAACAAACTACAAGCTTCTTCTTTCCTCCTCTAGGGAGTCAGCTATGCCCTCTAGAGGTAAGCACGTTTTATTATGCCTCTTCTTCGTACTCCAGTGTTTTCGACAAGGAAAGTTACACAATTTTTAATTTGCCTGATGGTTTCCCTTATGGAGCCATAACATTTGTTCACCCATTTATTTTCTATAAAAGACCTGTTAAGTCTGAGAGTGTGGATAGATTCATGTAAAAATATTTGTGGCAAGTGTTATTACTTTTTTTCTTTCCTTTTTTATATACATTTATTTATTTTAACTGACAAATAATAATTGTGGCACGTATATTAAAAAATTGATCACTTGGAAACAGAAGAAAAGGGGTTGCCAGATGCTGGGGGAAGGAGAAGAATTAGGAAAGAGGAGATGTCTATTAAAATAAGAGCACAAAGTTTCAGACTTCAGGAAACTCTTGGTGATCTATTGCACAGCATGGTGACTTCAGTTAATAAAAATGTAGCATACATTACAAAATTGTTTAACAAGAGATTTTTAACATTTGCACAACACAAAAACATGATAAATTGCTAAGGTGATAGATATGTTAGTTGGCTTGATTTAACATACCTGTGATATATACATAGATCCAACATATGTTGTTGTCAGTACTTTATACTGTCTCAATCAAGAAGCAATTAATGTCAAATTGTCTCACCTTTTATAATGCTAACTTCGAAAATTTGATCACGGTGGTCACCACCAGACCTATTAATTTCCAACATGTTTTCCCCTTTGCAAATAGCAATTAAGTTTGGGGTGGATATTTGAAACTGTGTAAATATCATGATTATCAACAAATTTCACTAAAAAATGTTAGCATTTATTTAAGATCTTTTCCTATTCAATTTTTCCACTGGAGTTGTAGAAAAGTAATTTTTAAATTTTTTGGAGAAAGGCAGTGCCTCACGCCTATAATCCCAGCACTTTGGGAGGCCAAGGCTGGTGGATTACTTGAGGTCAGGAGTTTGAGACCAGCTGGATCAAAAAGGTAAAACCTCGTCTCTACTAAGAATAAAAATAAAAACAAATTACAAAAAAAAAAAAAAAACCTAGCTGTGCATGGTGGCATGCACTAGTAATCACAGCTACTCGGGAAGCACAAAAATCCTTTGAGCCTGGGAGACAGAGGTTGCAGTGAGTGGAAATTGTGCCATTAAACTCCAGCCTGGGCAACAGAGTTGAGACACCATCTAAAAAAAAATAATAATTATATATATATATATATATATATATATATATATATATATAAAATATATATATAATATATTATATGTAAATGTATACATATTATACATTTAATATATATACATACATATATTATGTACATATAAATGTACATATATATACATTTACTAGCCTATAAATTAACTGAATTCTCTTTAAACAAGCATTTTTCCTCCTTTCAAGTGTAATTGAAATAGCATTCTTTCTGAAAATTGAGGGTGAATGCCTAATTCTTTCCTATTAATCACCACTTTACAGAATGAGATGATGAAATCATCACTTCCATTGGTAGCAAAGGAGTCAGCTCACCTCGCCCCACCCCACCCTTTTCCTTCTTGTACTGCCTCAGAACAACAGATTTTATTTTTTCAATGTTTCACTAAATTACAAACATCTTTTTTTGACATTGATTTTGACACAACGTTGGCTCAGGAGAGCCTCTGCAAGTTTCCTCCTGTTATAGCAACATCTTCACCTCTGAGATTCCTTGGTTTCTAACACAAGATTTTGAAGATGCACTTTGTACAGACCTGTTCCACAGCAGGACTCCAAATACCCCTGGAAAATTTTAGTGGACAATTGTATGTAGAAAACATACGATGGCTGCTAGGCTTCTTTATTTTACTACAGTATCCTCTCAAATTCTAGGGCCTTACAGTGGGCAGTGCTAGGAGATACATAAAAAACATGTGTGTGTGTGTGTGTGTGTGTGTGTGTGTGTGTGTGTGTGTATATATACACATATATATATCATATGTGCTATTGTTACTAAAGCCAAATTTAATATCAATTTAATATCACAGTTTTTGCTTAAATTTTTCTTATTTTACCTCTCCTTTTATAATAATAGCATACTTATGTTATTTTTACATTGTTTTATATACAGTCATGTAATAGTCTATTAGATTTTTGCAATTTCTTGTGTTTTTTTATTTTTATTTTAGATTTGGGGGTACATGTGAAGGTTTGTTACATAGGTAAACGTGTCATGAGGGTTTGTTGTACATATTATTTTTTCTTTCTTTGTGTGTGTGTGTGTATGTGTGTAGGTGTGAGAGAGACAGAGAGAGACAAGGTCTCACTCTATAGCCCAGGCTGGAATGCTGTGGCTCCATCTCAGCCCACTGCAACCTCTGCCTCCCAGGTCCAAACCATCCTCCCATCTCAGCCTACTGAGTAGCTGGGACTACAGACACGTGCCACCATGACTGGCTAATTTTTGTACTTTTTGTAGAAATGAGGTTTCGCCCTGTTGCCCAGGCTGGTCTCAAACTTGTGAGTTCAAGCAATCTGCCCTCCTCGTCCTCCTAAAGTGCTAGGATTACAGTCTGTTGTAAATATTATTTCATCACCCAGGTATTAAACCCAGTACCCAATAGTTATATTTTTAAGCATATTTATTAATAGACTTTATAACAGGCTATATAAAAAAGAGGTTAAAAATCACCAACCCCAACAGTAGTTCAAACATTAATACTGCCAAATAAACTTTCACAGATTTTAGTAAATCTTTATTCTTAAAATATACTCTGCTAATATTAATATAAATAATTGAAGTTATATGTTCAAAAGTAATTTGAATCAGTATTTGTTCTATTTCATTTTACATGCACCTGTATGTGTTTGTGTGTATAAATTTGTTAAACTGTTAGGTATATATTTTTTCCATATTGTAATATGCTTCCTCTCTTAATCTATGAACTCTTAATATATAAAATATTATATGGAGGCAATTCAAATATATAAAAATACATACACAAATAAGTAACTCATTCATCCCTACTTCTTTCTCCCTAGTCCTCATGCTTTAGGATGAGGATTTAACATTCTTTAGGATGTTAACATTAAAATACTTTAGGATTTAACATTCTAAGGTTTATGATGTGAAACTCTAATGCTGTTTTCTAAAACTAAGCAAAAGCCCATAAATATTTTTATTTCATTTAATTATTTTTTTATTTAGTTTTTTATTTAATTGTATTTTTAATTTAATTTTTATTTAATTATTTTTCTTATTTTATATGAATGGAAAATATCAGAAACATTATTCTTTATTTGCATTTTGTTACTATATGTGTATACATATGTATCCATACACACATGTTATTTAATGTGTATTTAACCTCTACTTAACTTGTACTTAATTACCTTTCTCAGGTTTTTCAAATTCATGTTATTCAAATTCTGGCATATATTTTTAAATGGCTCTCAGACAGTGCAACACCACTTACTGAAGAAACCATTGTTGCCTCTAACGATTTAAAAAACGTCATCTTTATCAAATACCAAATGTGCACAGATATTTAGGTATTTGTGGAACTTTTTCTTGTTTTATTTACTCTCTGCTTATTCACATTCTAGCACCTTATTATTTTAAGTATAAGAGTGTACAACAGATTTTATAAACCTAGATCTAGCACCCCCTTCAAATCATTGCTTTTTATTAAGAGTGTTCTGGCTAGTCTTGATGATTTCCTTAAATGAAATTTATAATCAATGTATCTAGCTTTCCCAAAATAATTCATTGACAGCTTAACTAGCATAGCCTTAAAATTTTAAGAAAACTTAGAAAGAATTGACATATTGATGATGTGGAGCCACCCAATCCAAGAGCAAGGTATATCTTACCATTTGTTTGAGGCTACAGTTTTAGCCTTTCATGAGTGTTTTAAATCTTGAGCTTCCAGTAAACATTTCTGCCTTTCAAGGTGCCTCATTTTCTAATTCCCTTTTTAAAAATTTAATAGTATACATATATATATATAAAAAATAAAAATTTAAAAATTTTGTAAAAAATTAAAAATTTAATAGTATGTATACTGTTAAGTAATATATATACACATCTCTATATTATATAATAGTATTAACTAATAGCAAGTATCAAGTTCATTTCTTTAGTAATGTTGGGAACTTCCCACCCTCTGTAATTCAATCGGGCAATATTAACTATGATCAGCAACCTCAAAGATACTGCCATAGTCTATTACCTTTGCTTCAATCCCAGTGTGACTCTTGGTTCTGACTTAATCTACTCTTCAAGACTTTCACAGACCATTTTACCCATATCATGGAACAGTTTGAATGTGATCAAGAAGTCAAGGATTCTGTGTTGCTACAGCTGCTTGTGGAGTATAGGAAGGTTTCAAGAAAGAGCAAAATAAGCCTAAATCCATACATTTTAATGCCAAGACATTGATTGAAAATAGAAAAATTTATAAGGCAATGTTCAAAATCATCTCTTATTTTTTGGTGGCACGAGAGTGATATAGCCAAAAACAAACTCAAAATCTGACATTGATGTGGGTATCTAGATGGCATTATTGCTAAAAATCACAGCCTTGTCAATCTGTTTTATGGAAGTCCTGACATTCATTGAGAAGTGGGGTCCCCAAAATTAGAATTAGAGACATGTGGAGAGGGATTTAAAGGATGGTGAGCATTTCAAACCTTTAATCCCTCCAAGATTTCTTGCTAATGAATCAATTATTTCTTCCATGTCTGATAAGGTTGTCCCCACCTCTTTTAGGCCACTCCCTCAGCTTCCACTTCCCTCACCCATTATTTTCTTGAAGTCTGTAAATAGCATTTGATCTCAGCACATGCTCAGATGGGACAATACAAGGAAAATTCATATAAAGGCATACTAAAAGAATCAGAAAACTTTATAATCCATATTAACAAAAACCTAGAGAAGCTGTGCAGGATTGAATTCTGAAGTTCTTTTGCAAGAAGAAGGTGTCATAATTTTATTTTATAGTTGACTGTATTTGTGTATGGATGTGTGTTTACCAGAAATTTTAGACTTAGTGTGTAACCTTGCTTGGTTAGCCATGGTTCTAATGGTTTGCTCATCATGTTTATAAAACCTTGTCCATGATAAATAAAGTTCAGTTACCATAATTTCTAGGCAAAACATAGCCAAAAAAAAAAAAAACAAGGGCATGAAACAAGTATATTTACTTTATTTGCAAATATTTGACCCTGGCAGTAAGATAACACTAATTTCCGAACACTCAAAATTCCACTGATATCTAATGGCCAAGGGAAGTCTTTTGGAAGTCAAATAATTGGTTCTATTTTGTCCCTCGTCTGCCTTCAGATAGCCCAGCAGGAACAATCAATATTATCACCAGTTCCTCATTGTATAATTGGAGTAAATTTTTCTAAAAATTAGCAGATTCCTTTTACTGGTGTCCTACATACACATTGTGGGCCCTTATTATCATATAGGAAGGGTCAAACTGGAGAAACACCAAAAAAAAAAGAGATTTGAAAGGTTCTTTAGCAGTGATTTCTGTAACAAACCAATTAATGTGCTCATTTAATGTAAAAACAAGTTTCAACTAAATCGATAAGTTTAAGCTGGTAGTCATTCAGATATCAGTTGCATTTCAGATGTCATTCCACTAAAGAAAATTAATCCAGCTTATTTTACTATGCATCTGTTTTCTTGGGAATGCTTTATTACCTCTAAACTATTATTCTGAAAACACCAGAAGTGGTTTGCTTTTATGTGGCAGAGAACTTCATCGCTGCACAGGCTGAATATGTAATTCTCTAGTTTTGTTGAAGTTGAGCCATATCCATCATCATTCCACAAAAAGGGCCTCATGATGCTCTGCTATATTGATGACATCAATCTGGACAGCTGGATGTAGTGGATTCCCCCAGGGAACAACAGAAAAAATAAAAGCCTGTGGAAAACAATCCAACCCATCGTCTGTTTTTGTAAATAAAGTTTTATTGAACCACCGCCATGCACATTCACTTACATATTTTCTATGGCTGCTTTCATGCTCTGATTATTAAGGTGAATAGTTGTGACATGTCTAACAAAGTCTAAAATATTTACTATCTGGCGCTTTATGGAAAGAAATTTGTCAACTGCTACTCTAGATAGTTTGGTTAGGTATGTTATGCCAGAGAGAAAGCCATAAATTCCAGCAATCCCTCAGTGAAGTTTTTTGGGTTCCAGCAGTCTATACCATGTAGGGCACCTTGTTCCTAGGACATCTTTCACCCTCCTGCCATTAAGAAAACAGTCACTGCTGGGCAGGGTGGTTCATGCCTGTAACCTCAGCATTTTGGAAAGCCAAGGTGGGCAGATCACCTGAGGTCAGGCGTTTGAGACCAGCTTGGCCAAAATTGCCAAACCCTGCCTCTAGTAAAAATGCAAAAATTAGCCAGGCATGGTGGTGCGTGTCTGTAATCAAAGCTACTCAGGAGGCTGAGACAGGAGAATCGCTTGAACCTGGGAGACGGAAGTTGCAATGAGCGGAGATCACGCCACTGCACTCCAGCCTGGAAGACAGCAAGACTCCATCTCAAAAAAAAAAAAAAAAAAAGAAAACAATCACAACAATACTGTGAATATTTGGATTTTAAAGAATTTTTATGTATTTTTATGTATACATATATACATACACACACACACATATATATATGTACATACACACACACACTTTAAAAACCAATATATGATATAGATTTGGGATTATATATAAT
Source organism: Homo sapiens (assembly GCF_000001405.40). Lineage (NCBI taxonomy): Eukaryota > Metazoa > Chordata > Mammalia > Primates > Hominidae > Homo > Homo sapiens. Next base: position 65,574,276 of record NC_000018.10, read on the forward strand.
ATATAGAGATTTGGAATGAGTTTATATTTAAAATATATATTTTATAAATATATAAAATATAAATGTATATAGTATGTGTGTGTGTGTATATATATATATACACACACATATATATACACATATATGTGTATATATATATAAAATCTCCCATTTGGTGATGCTAAACCTATCTACTTATTAAAGTAATCCAAAAGATGCCAATATAAAATAAGACAAGCTTTCCAATTCTGTTAAGCTGGAGACAGGTATATCTGCGACTGGGTCTTAGGAGCCAGAGATCCAAGAAATTTCAAGGTGCATAATGTATCTATAGCAGGCTGGGAGGTATGAAGGAATCCTCAAGAAATCCTTAATAGAGAAAGAAAAGAAGATGTCTTGCTTGAGATATTTTTCCACTATAATTTCCCTGCGCTACTGGTGGTCAGACCCTCCCGCGTATGGAACCATAAGGGCAACGCAGAGCACTTATGCCTTAAACTAATGTGGCATGAGATACTTCTGTAAAGCAAGAGCAATTTTTCTTTTCTCTGAAAATGATTACAGGAGATAATGCATAAGGCCTAAAGGCTGAGTGGATGAAGCTGTGGCAACATAGGGAGGGATACACATACTTTAGAGCAAGACAGTGTGAATAACTGAACTCCATAATGTATCAGCGGAAATATCAATACTATTATCTAATATTTATTGAATGTGTCTAAATACCAGACATTGCTCTAAGAGCTTTGCTTGTATTAACTAATTCATTCCTCATAACAACTCTCTAAAGTAGATATAGTTTTGATACCCCTTTAAAAACAAAGAAATTCAGCCATACAAAAATTAGCTAATTGGCACAAGCTCACATAGCTAGAAAGCGGTTGTTGCGGTTTGGACATATCCACTAAAAAATCCAAGTGTTGCTAATGTGATAGTAGCAAGAGGTGAGGCATTTGATAGGTGATTAGGCCATAAGCATTTCTCCTTAGTGAATAGAATTAAAGCCCTTATAAAAGAAGCTTCGGGCAGCATTCAACTCTTTGCCCTGTTAGAACAAAGCCTTCCTTCCCTCCAGAGCCCTCACCAGACAACCAAGCGTACCAGTGTCTTGATCTTGCACTTCCCAGCCTCTAAAGCTGTGAAAAAAATAAATTTCTATTATTTATAAATTGCCCAGTCTCAGGGGTTTTGTCGTAGTAGCACAAAACAGGTTAACGTTGTGGTGAAGCCAGGATTCTAAAAAAGAAAGTCTGATTCTACAATCAACATTTTACTTGTTGAGCTACCTTTCGAAATTCTTAAAAGCACTAAATATCGAATACTAAAGTCAAAATTCAGACAAGATATTATGCAAATCAATGCTTATATCCAGTAGAATTTTTAGATAATAATTATATAAGGAATTTTATTATTCATAATTATAAAATCCTAAATTATATAATTTGTTTTCATATAGTTACCTCTTTTCATTTAAAAAATTGTGATACTCTATTTTCTTTGTATACCATGATTTAAGCTAAACTATTTCTTGATAATTTAGCCAAAACTGTAGTTGTGGTAGCTGATAAATGGTCAGAAATACAGAAATTCTACTTCTGTTTCTGATTCTTATTTTGCCAGAGGCAAGCAAACATCTGTTGATACCTGTCAACACTGATATCAGTCATTTTGTTAATTTTTCCTTGTTTTCATATTCCCCAAAGTCATCACTGATCATATGATGTCCATTATAATTTGGTTCTCATGCCCTCTATGATGATCTTTTGTTTCATTTGTTCTCCTTTATTAGGGTCATTAGAATGTTGACATTGAGTTAGCATGTCACCAGGCATCTGGCCTGCTAGTTCTTATCTGTCACAGTGTCACAATATAAACTTTTAACAATGCCCGAATAATGACCTCTACATAGTAGAAATAAACAAATTAGGCCACACAGTAAAAATAAATTTTAAAGAACATTGAGAGAGAGAAAGAGAGAGCAGGAGAGAATTAGTCAGTTGTCCAAGGTGTATAGCAAGAAAATGAGTATAACTAAAAACTGCAACTCAAGTTTATTAAATGTTTACATCTATGATACTTGTTATCTATTCAAAATGTGCAGTTTCCAAAGTGTATGTTTTCTTCTACTTCTTCACAGCTATGGGGGAAAAATTCATTTGTTTCAAATTTTTTACTTCTATAGAATGTTTAAGCATGTCTTCTGTTAAAGAATGTAAACTAATTTTGTTCAAAATTTGCTTTAGTAAAATTATGATTATCATGTATTTGAATACAGATCAAACAAAATTAAAACTTAAAGTTTTCTGTTGAGTTTTCATATAGTCCATTACAATTTATAAAATGATTTAAAGCAAAAAATTAGCAAATCTATAAATGATACCTAAAGTCATGAGATGTCTGTAACTCTAAAACGTCATGAGACTTGTATTTTAACCTATTTCTAGATTTCAAAAAAAAAGTAACTTTTAAATTTGAATTGGGGATTTCTTCTTTCAGCCAATATAGAATAAAAGGAATCAGATTTAAATTGTATAAAATTATATCAAAAATGATTTTTTCATACATTAGACATCAGGCAAGACAGAACAGCGATCCTGATAGAGGGTGAACAAACAAGTTGAGCCTTACAATTTCTCAAGCTTTGTGCCCGGATAGAGTTATGAAGCTGACATGCAGGAGGAGGGAGAATGCCAACCCTGATGGCACCTCTCTGAGTTGCGGGAAAGGACTAGGGAGTCTGGAGAGTTCAGGAAGTTCTATTCCACAGAGCAGAGTGTAAAGAGAGGAGAGAAGCATGGAGCCAAACCTCTTGAAAAGGGCACAGAGTAGGCCGCCAGTTTTCAGCTTACAACTGATTAATGAAGGCATAACACAAAACATTGAAGCCAGAAAAGAAATAACAGAAAGAAGGACAGAGAGCAATACCAAGGATCAACAGGGCCAGGGAAAGTTCATGTTCCCACCAGTCAAAGTGGAAAAACTTATTCGCAGGGCATCACAAAGACTTCTTAAAAAGATATTGTCTCACCAGGGAGTCAAAATAGCCCTAGACTAAAAGTTGCTCAGTTTCCACAGAGCCTAAAAACAATACTTAAAAGAGTCGAACCATACTCAATCAAGTTAGCTTTATATCAGAACGAATTCAAGAACGTTTATAGGAATACACAATATCCACTAACGAAAAAGGGCAAAATCCACAGCATTTGGTTGCTAATCCAAAATTACCTGACATACAAAAAAGGCAAAATATGACACTTATATCATAAGCAGAAAAATCAATAACTTAGAAGAAAGTACACAAATAAGAGAAATAGTGAAGAAGATCATGAAAACAGTTATTATAATTTTAAATTATATATTCAAGAAGGTAGAAATAAGATGAAGCATGTTAGGTGATGATGTAAAATATATTTCAAAAGACCAAAATCCAACTTCTAAAGTAGAAAAATACAATGTCTATGATAAAAAAATACACTAGATAGGATTGAAAGCAGACACTGCCAAAAGTAATTAAGAAAAATTCTGAACTTGATGACAAAGAACCTACCCAAAATAAAACACAAAGGAATAAACAGAAATAAAATTATATAAAATATTAGTAATCTCTGGGAAAGCCTCACAGGACCCCCTTTATATATCACTGGAGTTTCTGGAAAGTGGGTTACAAAAACATTTGAAGAAATAAACGATAGAAGTTTTCTATGTTTAATGGAAATTACAAACTTTTGGGAAAAACAGTCGGATGCATCTTGCTTGACTCTTGCATGCCTGTTTGAGTGTGTCTTGGGCTGGAACAACATGTTCTTATGTGAACATAGGAACTCTCATAGACAGCTGGACTTACTGCATTTTTTGTGAATCTCTTTTCATAGTCTGGGCTTGATGTTACTTTATTCTGCTTAAAATGTGTGTGTCATGTGTTAACTGGCCAACCCCACTGCTATATCTGTTCCTGGTGGGGAGAAAACAGGGCCCTTCACCTGTAGCTCTAGAGGAGTGTGTGTGGAACTTGTCCTGTGTTGGCTGCAGGGCAAGACCTGCTGGCTATTGACGAATAACAGTCACTCTTGACACTGATCTTGCTATGTCTCTTCTCTGCATGAGTAAATCATTGATTCATCAGGTACTTGTAAGAGTCATGTCTCTTGGTGATCTTAATGCCTGCAAATAATGCAGTGACTGGACACCCTGAGACTATTGCTCCTTATAGCCAACAGATGTCACCTGCTCAAGAAAACCCTACAGATACAAGATGTCCAATAATCCTTACTCAAATAAAAACAATGAAAGAAAGGCACATAATCACATTGCTTAAGATGACTGATAAAAAGAATATCTTCAAAACAGCTGATGGAGGTCGGGGGAGGGGTGGATATTTTTAGTAAAACCAAAACAAGAGTGACAGCAGACTTTTTGATGTATGTATCCTGAAAGAGCATATCTTTTAAACTAAAAATCTATATCAAGCAAAATTGTTTTCTAAAAACAAGGTAGGCCAGGCACAGTGGTTCATATCTGTAATCCCAGGACTTCGGGAGGCCAAAGTGGACAGATTGCTTGAACCTAAGAGTTCAAGACCAGCCTGGGTAACATGACAAAAGCCCATCTCTACAAAAAATACAAGAAATTAGCTAGGCATGGTGGTGTATACCTGTAGTCCCAGCTACTTGGGAGGCTGAGATGAAAGTATTGAATGAGCCTGAGAGGTAAAGGCTGCAGTGAGAGCTGTGATCACACCATTGCACTCCAGCCTGGGTGATAGAGCAAGACTCTGTCTCAAATGAATGAATGAATAAATAAATAAATAAAAACATAGGTAAAATAAACTTTCAACAAATATAAAAATGTGAAAAAGTAGAATCAGTGACATGCCCTACAAAAAATGTTAAATAGTTTCTTAAGGACAAAGAAAAGATACCAGAGGTAGTGTGTAGTTCCTACAATACGCAGAGGTAAGACACATTTTTACAAATAGAGCAAAATACTAGAAGAGAGAAAATGAAAACATACTATTGTAAGATTTTTACAAAATATGTGAAAATGTATTACCTGAAGATAAATCATGATAAATTACAGATGCATATTATAAATCCCAAAGCAAACACAGGCACACAAAAGTAAAGAGTAATAGATAATTAACCAAAACAAAGAAGATAAGATAGAATCATAAAAAATTAAATTATTCAAAAAGGACCAATAACATATAAATAAATAGAAAACAGAAAGGTGACAGATTAAAAACCTTATTAATATTCATATTAAATAGAAATATCAAGAATTGAAAACTCGAGATTATGAGAGCAGATTAAAAAAACAAGAACCAGCAATATGGTAGCTTAACCAACAACAATCATAGCAACAAAAAACTTTAAATTAATGAAAAAAAGCTTATAAAATAATAAAGTTAATACAGCTAGTAACACAAATCAAACGAAAGCTGAAGAAATTCTATTAGTATTTGTGGTTGACAACCCTTAGGGAAACCCCAGTAATCCCCACCACCTGGTGTTTATACCTTGTTTAATTTCCTTCCCTTAAATGTGAGCAAGAATTCTGACTTGCTTCAGAAAAGAGAGAATGCCAAAGAAAAAGAAAATTTTCAGATACAATTAATCATCAACATGCAATGAGTTGATTTTGAGATAACCAAAAACATGATCTCCCTGAGTGAGTCTGACTCAGTAGGAGTAGGCCTCATTTGAGGAGACAGACTCTACTTGAGAGCTAGATGACATAAATGACCATGTTGGAGAATCTCAGATGAAATATAAGCAGTCTCTAGAAACTGTGGCTAACCCCTGGGACCCAGGAACAGACTCCAGCTGACAATGAGCAAAATGCCAGAGCCTAAAAACAAATTGATACAAGGAAATGAGTTCTGCCAGCAACCTGAATGTACTTGAGAGTGTATTCTTCCCCAGTCAAGCTTCCAGATGATAACTCATCCTTGCCAACACTTTAATTGCAGCCTTGTGAGACCCTGACCAGAGGATGCAGCTAAGTATTGCCCACACTTCTGTTACAAGGCAATTGTGAGACAATAAATGGATGCTGTCTTACATCACTAAATCTGTGATAATTTTTATCCAGCATTAGAAAATTAATTCAACTTCAGCCTAAATATATTTTAGAGCAAAGATATTATCAGGAATAAAAAAGCTTATTTTACACTAAGAAAGGGGCAAGAACACATAAAAATTGTAACAATCTAACATTTCATAATAGAGTTTCAAAATACACCAGAGAAAAACTGATAGAACTGCAAATAGAAATTGAAAATTGCACAAAATTATAGTTGGAGATTTTATCCAAGACAAATTAAAACACATATTCACACAAAGACTTGCACATAAATGTTCATAACAACTTTTTACTTGTGACAATCCAAAGCTGGCAACAACTCCAACGTTCATAAATATGTGCATGAATGAACAGATACGGTTTATTCCCATGATGGAAATCTGTTCAATAATAAAAAGAAATAAACTTTCAATACACCCACCAAGATAGAGAAATCTCAAAAAAAATTATTGTGAGTGAAAAAAAGGAAGAGAAAATGTACCTAAAATAAAATTTTATTAATCTAAATTATAAAAAATGCAAACTAATTTGTAGTTACAGAAAGTAGATCAGTAGTTGTTTGGCCTGAAGTAGAGTTATGAGGAGGGATGGAAGGGAGAGATCAGAAAGAGTTACAAGGAATTTTTTGGGAGGGTGATGAATATGTTCATTATCATGATTTTGTTGATAGATATACATCATTTCTCAAAATTTGTCACATGTAAAAATGTGTCAAAATTTTCCACATCATTTACTTTAAATATGTGCTGTTTACTGTACATAAATTATACTCACATTAAGCCAAAAAAATTAAATTAGGATGAGTTTTATTGTAAAATCATCAACACATTACAAGTACACTTTGTACATTAGAGTGTACTTGTAAATAATTGATTTGTATTTTTTCCCTTGTTACTTTAACACACTTATAATTTGTCCACTATTTGTAGTTTGCAGGGGAAAAATTCAAAATGACGGAAATAGAACCTAAAGAAAAAAAAAATCTCCAAGCAGAGACAGGAACCACTTGAGAGAGATATTAAATACAGTTTCTTCTACAATATTCATTGAATGACAATTAGCTATCAGGCACATTAGATTAAAGAGTATAGTAACCTTGTGATAATAGCGTTCAGTGAGCTTAAATCTGGAAAATAGATGTAATAGCCACTTTTCAATCTACCTTTTTTCTTCCTGCACTACTGTTACTTCACATAATATTGGGATAAATGAACAATGATTTTGTTGTTGATCTTTCTTGATGTTAATATTTTCATAATGTAATGTCTTTTTCTTTTAGAAATTTTAAATATAAATTGAGAGTTCTCAATTTTAAATTTGCACATATTTGTTCTGATATGTAAATGAACATAGCAGTTGTCTTTGTCTTAATAACAATTGTATATTCTTATGTATTCATCTTGTCACTGTATTATCCTTTTTTCTGAATTCACGTTGAGATAAAATATTTTAAAATTGCTATTATTTGGAGGGGAAACGACAGAAAAAAAAGTATTTTTCTTTGCAAGTGATGACAAATTTTAAAAATACCTAATAATGTTTAGCATTAGCACCATTTAAAAAATAAATGTCATACTCTCAACAGTAAAAGAATGTAAGCAGAATCAACACATTGGTCAGTATGATAAACTTTTGTGCTTAAATGCAGAAGTCTTTGCCCCTTATGATGCGCATTATGTATAAATTATCTATATAAAATTTTTAAATTGAAAGGCTTTTGTTATTTCACTCCTGTGACATCTGAATACTTAGTAGACACTATGTTTTAGCCAGTTATCCTCTGTCCAGAAGAAAGATTAAAATACATACCTTAAATTATTTGTTGCTAAATAGATAGGAGTATATGGTATCCATATTTATGGGCATACACTGAAATATTGACAAAGTCTTCTCCCTAAGTAATCATGACTCATGCTCCTGCAGCTCCTGTTTTTTTGTACTCGGCATACATTCAGTTGTGAAAACAAGGCGTCCCTCCTCTAGCAGCTGTTCTATGAATCTGAGCTCACTCAAGAACCACAGAGCTAGTTCCCTTGGTTTCATATGAAACTTCCCAGTTTTAGAGTCAATTCACCATAGACAGGTTTCCCAGTAAATACTTTAAAACTTACAGCCAGTGGAAATAAGACCCTGTGATTTTAATGAAATAAAAATCATTGCATAAACATTGATATGTAAGAGTCTTGATTTTAGTACCTAAGGATCAGTTTGGGGATTTTTTTTTCAGAAAGGATACCAAGATCTGTAAACTTCTAGTGATGTCTCGTTTATATGACCACCTTTTTTGTGGGCACAAACTCATCTTAAAGAACTGTCTTCCAGTTGATCACTTCTGTATTGATCACATAAAGAACTGTAGGCTCTTCTCAGTTACATCTCATGAAGCTGGATTCTTTTTCTCATTCTAGGTTGATGTGTTTTATAACCCACTCCTCCATCCTGTATATTTCTTCTAAAATAAGTATATGAAATTTTTTCTATGATGCCTGTATGAATATTTGAGCAGTTAATTCCACTATTAAATTTAATTGTTTTGAGTATAAATTTCAGCAAATGAAAACCCAAGAGAAGTAGAGAAATATGTTCATAGTGTAATATAGCTAGATGTATTGCAGTATGTAGTTTCCCAAACATATTTCATAGCATATACAACATATATATTTCTGTATAACATATTCCTTTCTGCATATTAATTGTGCCTGTGGTTTGAAATATGTTAACTATGATCATGGAATCAAAACAAGTACATATATACATACATGTAAGTGAATGAGTCTGTTACTGTATAACTTGTTAAAATAATAAGCTAAAATAAATTTCTATGTCTATGTAAGATTTCTAGTGATGTAGATTAGTATGCATGTAGTTGGACATTCAAGAAAAAGTGCAATCAAACTATAATCGTAAAAGTTTCATTGAGGATATCTGTAATCTAGAATTGAATTTATCTTTCTTAACATTTTTCTGTTTACTCTGATTTCCACTAAAATTCCCTGAAAAAATATTTTGGGTTCCCCTCTTCCTGGTCTCTGTATACATTCTGCAATAAGGCTGTTGCCTTCCCACTCACACCTCCATCAAAATTTCTCTTAGCAAGAGCACAATGCCCTCCTCCTGGTGTCAAAATCCCGTGGCCAATTCTCGTCCCTAGCTATGGCATTTGAGTCAGCCACTCCCATTTCCATGATATACTTTCTTCTCTATCCTTGCAAGACAGTTTTGTCTCACTTGCTTGATCTGCCTCTTCTCCTAGACTTGTTCATGTAGATGCTTGGTCCCTGACGTTAGTTCCTGTTGCTCCTGATGATCTTGTTCATAATTATGACATTTATAGAAGACAGTTCTTTAAGATGAGTTTGTGCCCACAAAAAGAGGTGGTCACATAGACGAGACATCACTAGACGTTTACAGATCTTGGTATCCTTTCTGAAAAAAAAAAATCCCCAAACTGATCCTTAGGTACTAAAATCAAGACTCTTACATATCAATGTTTATGCAATGATTTTTATTTCATTAAAATCACAGGGTCTTATTTCCACTGGCTGTAAGTTTTAAAGTATTTACTGGGAAACCTGTCTATGGTGAATTGACTCTAAAACTGGGAAGTTTCATATGAAACCAAGGGAACTAGCTCTGTGGTTCTTGAGTGAGCTCAGATTCATAGAACAGCTGCTAGAGGAGGGACGCCTTGTTTTCACAACTGAATGTATGCCGAGTACAAAAAAACAGGAGCTGCAGGAGCATGAGTCATGATTACTTAGGGAGAAGACTTTGTCAATATTTCAGTGTATGCCCATAAATATGGATACCATATACTCCTATCTATTTAGCAACAAATAATTTAAGGTATGTATTTTAATCTTTCTTCTGGACAGAGGATATATATTTTTTTTAATTTTTATGGGTATAGTAGGTGTAGATGAGATATTTATGGGGTAGATGAGATATTTTGATACAGGCGTACAATGCATAATAATCACATCAGGGTAAATGGGGTGTCCATCACCTTAAGCATTTATCCTTTGTGTTACAAACAATCCAATTGCACTACTTTAGTTATTTTTAAATAACTAGTAAATTATTTAAAATAAGTAAGTATAATTATAGTAAATTATGGCTAATTATTATTTGGCCATATTACTTGGCCAAATTTAATGGCCAATTAAAATTATGGCCAAATATTATAGCCACCACAACATGGTGGCTATTTGACTATAGTAAAATACAGTTTCTCAGTATGATGCCACCATGTTGTGCCATCAAATGCTAAATCTTATTCATTCTTTCTAAAAACTACGCCGTACCCATTAGCCATCCACACTTCCTCCCCATGACCTCACTATCCTTTCTAGCCCCTGGTAGCCATCACTGTATTCTCTATTTCCATGAGTTCAATTGTTTTAATGTTTACCTCCCATAAGTAAGTAAGAACATGAGAAGTTTGTCCTTCTGTGCCTGGCTTAATTCACTTAACATAATAACCTCCAGTTCCATTCATGTTGTTGAAAATGACAGGATCTCATTCTTTCTTAGGGCTGATTAGTACTCCATTGTGTATATCTAACACATTTTCTTTCTCTATTTTTCTGTTGGTGAACACAGAGGGTTGCTTCCAAGGCTTGTCTATTGTAAATAGTGCAGCCATAAACATGGGAGTGCAGATATCTCTTCAATGTACTGTTATCCTTTTTTTTTAAGTACATACCTGGCAGTGGGATTGCTGTATCATATATTAGGTCAATTTTTAGCTTTTTGAGTGACATCCAAACTGTTCTCCACAGTGGTTGTGCTAATTTACATTTCTACGAACAGTGTATGAGGATTCCCTTTTCTCCACCTCCTCGCCAGTATTTGTTATTGCTTGTCTTTTGGATAAAACACATTTTAACTGGGGTGAGATGATATCAATATTAGCTTTAATTTGCATTTCTCTGATGATAATAATATCAAGCACTTTTTCATACCTGTTTGCTATTTTTATGTCTTGTAATGACAAATGTCTGTTTAGATCTTTTGCCAATTTTTAGCTGGATTATTAGATTATTTCCTATTGAGTTGTTTGAGCTCCTAATATATTCTGGTTATTAATCTCTTCTCAGGTGAAGAGTTTGCAAATATTTTCTTCCATTCTGTGGGTTGTCTCTTCACTTTGTTACCTGTTTCCTTTGCTGTGCAGAAGCTTTTTAACTTCACGTGATCCCATTTGTCCACTTTTGCTTTGATTGCCTGTGTTGTGTGGTATTACTCAAGAAACTTTTGCTCACTCCAGTGTCCTGGAGAGATTCCCCAATGTTTTCTTTTAGTAATTGAATAGTTTGATGTCTTGGATTTAAGTCTTTAATCCATTTTGGTTTGAGCGTTGTATATGGCGAGACATACGGGTCTAGTTTCATTCTTCTGCACATGGATATTCAGTCTTCCCAGCATCATTTATCAAAGAGACTGTCCTTTCCCCAGTATATGTTCTTGGCACCTTTGTCATAAATGAGTTCATTGCAGATGTATGGATTTGTTCATGGGCTCTCTATATTGTTCCATTCGTCTATGTGTCTGGTTTTATGCCAGTACCATGCTGTTTTGGTACTGTTCATGTGATTCCTCCAGTTTTGTTCTTTTTGTTCAGAATAGCTTTGGCTCTTACGAGTCTTTCTAAAATAAAAAAAAAAAGGACTGACAGTAGGATTGTTTTTCTATTTCTGTGAAGAATGTCATTGGTATTTTGAGAGGTGTTTTATTGAACTGTAGATTTCTTAGAATACTATGGACATTTTAACAATATTGATTCTTCCACTCAATGAACATGGAATATCTTTCCATATTTTTGTGTCCTCTTCAATTTCCTTCATCAGTGTTTAATTGTAGAGATATTTTACTTCTTTGGTTAACTCCTACATATTTCATTTTCTTTGTAGCTATTGTAAATGGGATTACTTTCTTGTTTTTCATATTATTTGTTGCTGGCATATAGAGATGCTATTAATTTTTATATGTCAATTTTCTATCCTGCAGCTTTTTTAAATGTATTTATCAGTTCTTACACTTTTTGATGGAGTCTTTAGGTTTTTCCAAATGTAAGATTATGTCAACTGCAAACAAGGATAATTTGACACCTTCCTTTTCAATTTGGGTGCCCTTTATTTCTTTCTTTTGTCTGATTGCTCTAGCTAGGGCTTCCAGCAATATGTTGAATAACAGTGGTGACAGTGGGCATCCTTTTCATGTTACAGATCTTAGGGGAAAGGCTTTCAGTTTTTTTCCCCATTCAGTATAATGCTAGTTGTGGGTGTGTCATATATGGCTTTTATTGTATTGATGAATATTCCTTATACAGTTTTTTAGGTTTTTTTAGGGTTTTTTTTAATCATGAAGAGATGTTGAATTTTATCAAATTCTTTTTCAGCATCAATTGAAATGATCAGATGATTTTTATCCTTCATTCTTTTGATATGTATCACATTGATTGATATGTGTATGTTAAACTATCCTTGTATCCTTGGGATGAATCCCACTTGGTCAGGATGAATAATCTTTTTAATATGTAGTTTAATTCAATTTGCTAGCATTTTGTTGAGGATTTTTGCATCGATGTTCATAAGGAATACTGGTCTGTAGTTTTCCTTTTTTGATGTGTATTTTTCTGATTTTGGTATTAGAGTAACACTGGCCTCATAGAATGAGTTTGGGAGGATTCCCTCCTCTTCTGTTTTTGGAATTGTTTAAGCAGGATTGATATTAGTTCTTCTTTAAGTGTTTGGTAAAATTCAGCAGTGAAGCCATCAGAACCTAGGCTTTTCTTTGCTAGGGGACTTTTTATTAAGACTTCAATCTTTTTACATGTTATTGGTCTGTTCTGGTTTTGGATTTCTTCATAGTTCAACCTTAGCAGGTTATATGCGTCTAGGAATTTATCCATTTCTTCTAGGTTTTCCAATTTATTAGCATATAGTTGCTCATACTAGCTGCTAATGATCCTTTTAATTTCTGTGGTCTCAGCTGTAATCAGGATAATTACTTTAAATAACATTTAAATCCTGACAACACCAAAAGTTTCATCTCTACCCCAGATTCACATGCATTCAGAAACACTTATTTGACTTCTCCTCTTAAATGTTTAGAATACTTTCAAAATTGAACTTCTGATATTTCCCCTATAAACCTGTTCTATCTGCAGTCTACTTACTCGTCTCAGTCAATGGCATTTTCAATCTTCTGGTAGTTCAGACCAAAAAACTTGGACTCATTTTTGATTCTTCTTTGGTTCTCAGACTATGCTGGCTCACCAAAAATCCTGTTGTTTTGAACTCCCTGTCACCTGGTCTGGAGCGTAGTGTGATTATCATGACTCACTGCAACTTTCACTTCCCTAGCTCAAGCAATCCTCCCACCTCAGCTTCTTGAGTAGCTGGGACTACAGGCACACACCACCACACCTGGCTAATTTTTGTATACTTTTTATAGAGACAGGGTCTGTCTCACCATGTTGCCCAGGCTGGTCTCAAACTCCTTAGCTCAAGCAATCTGCCCGCCTTGGCCTCCCAAAGTGCTGAGATTACAGCCAGGAGCCATCATGCCCAGCTGAGCCACTGTTATTTCTAACCAAGTTATATGTCATCAGTTTCTAAGGTTATATCATTCCCTCTGTCTATTCTTGGCAAAGTCAAAGTTAAACTCTTAAAACAAAAGGTGAGTTATGTCACTCCTACCTTTCGAGCTCTGCAATGGCTTCCCCGTGAACTCGGAGGAAGTGCTTATGACAGCCTGCATGCCTATCCTAATGACATACATCCCCACCTCCTCAATTATCTCTCTGATTTGTCATCTACTCTTATTCCCCTCACTTTCTCCATTTCACTGGCCACAGGCCTCCTCGATATGTTTAGAACAGACCAGACAACATTCTGCTAACATGTGTTTTTGCATTGGCTTTTACTTCTCCCCAGAATGCCTTCCCTCCCCTTGGCTATCTAGGGTACCTCAACGGTTAACTTTTAACTTTTTTTTTAGTTCCTTACTCAAAAGTCACTTTAACAGTGAGGCCTACCTACCTTGAACACACTATTAAAATTTAGCCCATGAATAGCACTTCTGATCTTTTGCTCACTCTATTTTATGTATTTAATTAGCACTTGTCACCTTCTTTTATACTATATAATTTTCTCATTTAGTAGGTTTATTATTGATTTCTGTCCCTCTCCATTACAATGTAGAAAAGAAAGAGTTGTCTGCTTTCTTCACTGATGTCACCTAACCCCCATAAGCACAAACTAGGCACTTAATTAAATATTTGTTGTATTGAATAGACTCAGTTACATTACCAGGAATAACTTGAAACCATAGAGCAGACCCTTCCTGGGTCATTAACTATCCTTCTGGAAGAGGGTTTTGGATAACACAAAAGTGAAACAAAGAAACCTACACAGAACTTATGAGCACCACCTTATACTTCCAGCCCTGTCCAGCAACTGTGGCTCCCTGAAAAACCATTTAAATTAGTTAAACCTTAGCTTCTATAGACAGTGTCATAGCTATTTTAATTACAATATAACAAAATGCTTAATAAAATTAGATTCAAATATGTGGAATGCACAGCATGGCCCTAGAAGTTAACTTGCAATTAATTAAAAAATAGCTTCTTTTCATTCTTTCCCCTTTCTATTCTCTTTCTTGTTTTCAATTTGCTCACCCTGGGGACCTGTGGCTTTAAAGATACATTTTTTAAATGTTTATTTGCTTTTTTAAAAGTATATTTATTACACATATTTGGTGTACATGTTATGCTATTATATTTTCATACTTACATGTGTCTGACAGGAATCTGAACTCTTAGGAGTAAAGTGTTTAAAAATAATACAAGCCCTTTCGAAGCAAATTAGAATTGGTTCCAATATCATTCTCTTACCACTATACTTTAGGAGGCAAATTGAGCTTTTTCACTGCTATAAGATTATGTTTCATTATTAATCAGACAAGAAAAATTTTAAAAGCAATTTAATGTAAATATCTTGAAGTATTCTACATTAATAAAAACAAACTTGGTCTTCTGAATGAGTGTTTTTGATAGAGAGGCATAATTTGTCTCAGTTTATAGATAGAAAAATTACAGTTACATGAGCTGTCTAGGTACAAAGCTCAATCAATCAACTAACATGGAAGTTAATCATGTTATTGTCCCCACTTAACTCACTTCCCTCACACTCGGTAGGCACTAGTCCAAGAAGTAACATAACGATGCCATCAAGAACTCACAGGAGGATCCTGTATATTTCCACTGCCTTAAATAGAGCGTTTAAGCATCTTTGAGTTCACTTAACCTATCCATGAGTACTGTTAAAAGTGTTTCATGTAGAATACATTGAGAGTCCATATGATGAGAAATATTTAACATATACATATACATATATATATGTTTCTTTTTAATATTTTGAAGCCTTTGTGCAAAGGTGTCCCACTTGGCTATATAAAAAAGTATTCCTTTCCTGCTTTGAAAGTGTAAAACAGAGTAGATTAAACGTTCAGTTTTAAACAGAAGCATGATTGATGACTCTCTCCACCTCTCTTCCATCTAATTTTACCATGGACACTTTAAATATTAGAAGATGAAAGTGTATGCCATAGAAGTTAAGGATGCTTTCGATGAGAAAAAAGGTTATCTTCAATAACTTGGAAACACTGAAATATATTCCTTCCCTACTTTTCCCAGATCATAAAACTCAGCATTTTTTCTCCTGTGATGTTTTCTACTTTGTAACAATTTTGTTTTTCAAAAACAAGATAAACCAAGCAAGCAACAGAACAAAGAAAAAAAAATGAAACCCATCTAATCATACAGTGTACATTCTTAGGTAATGCTACTACATTGTGCCTAAGACTCTTACAACTGAGGAAGAGCGGAATTATTTTGCACTACTAGAGAATGAAGAACAATAAATCAAAGTGACAAGTGATCAACTTGTGACCTATAAGTAAATGTATGGATGAGACTAAATTGTTAACTCGTATGAGTTCCCCCTTGAGAGCTATTACATATTTAGTAATGAATGATTGGAAAAGCAAAGATGAAGAAAGGAAAGAACATAAAACTTTGTAGCACTTACTACTTTTCAGGCACTTGGCTATGAAGTTCTACATGCATTCTGATTTTTCTCAAGTAACTGTGTGGAGTATAACTGGGCCCATTTTTTAAGGCTGAAATCTGAGCCGTAGCTAGGTTGAGTCTTATTAGACCTTGTTAACATTGCTAGAAACTGGCAAAACACTGAGCGGTGCACCAAAGGGAATGATGTCTGATAAACACTATACAATGGGAAGAGAGTGAGGTTGCATTCAGGGTCTGTGATTATTAATGGCTTTCAAAATATGGTTGCTAAGTCAGTAGGAATGTTATATATGTTATATATGAGACATAAAAAAACACTTGTTTCTGAAGAAAGCTTTTTTTTTTTTTTTTTTTTTTTTTGAGACAGAGTCTCACTCTGTTGCCCAGGCTGCAGTGCAGTGGCGCGATCTCAGCTCACTGCAAGCTCCGCCTCCCAGGTTCATGCCATTCTCCTGCCTCAGCCTCCCGAGTAGCTGGGACTACAGGCGCCCGCCACCAGGCCCAGCTAATTTTTTTGTAATTTTAGTAGAGACGGGGTTTCACTGTGTTGGCCAGGATGGTCTCGATCTCCTGACCTCGTGATCCGCCCACCTCCGCCTCCCAAGTGCTGAGATTACAGGCGTGAGCCACCGCGCCCGGCCGAGGAAAGCTTTTAAAAACCTAACAAGGCAAGTGTTTGCCACAGACCAATAATTGGAACATTTGCCAAGCCAGATATATTGGCTTTTCTGTTTGGGGGGTGTTTGGTTTTTGTTCTTGATTTTTTCCCCATTGAGATTTTTATGCAAAATTATCTGATACAAAGATTGGGAAAAGGAAAAACAGGTGATTAAAACAGCTTAGATTCCACAAAAAAAAATGCTGATTGGTACAAGAGGTCTAACCAGATGGGTGACAAAAGTGCTTGGGGACCAATAATCTCTGCATGGTTGCTTCCCTTAGACAGGTGGCTGCAGAATTCTTACACTATAAATTAAGGAAACAGTTGGAATTCACCTTTAAACATCAGCCTTCCTGTCAGAGCACTGACAAGGTGATCTGTGGTGCTGACTCACTTTCAGCAACTGTTCAAAAGCACATTTTTAATATCAGATGCTTACTTTAAACAAAATATGTTTCCATCAGCACTGAGTTGTAGCCTCTAGACTACGTCTTAGTTTGTAGCTGCTTTTACAAGTTGAACATCGATTTAGAAAAGGGGGTTATGTTTCATAAGTATTGCATCTTTTCTTAATTTTTAGGGAACTGAAACTTGCTATTATTTGTACATTTACGTGTGTTTTATATTTATACGTGCCATAAACTTTCCTAGTTTGTAAATCAATTTAATGTGTTTATTAAATATTTTTGGTAGTTCAAGTTCACTTGGGTCTTAGATTTTTATGTACCCTTAGAACTTAAAAACTTCAAGCATTTTAAGAACTGGTTCTGCCCTGGAGAGGCAGTATAACTTTGAAATACTATTTCCTCATCAGTACCGTGATAATAACACCTAACTCACAACAAATTGTTAAACTAGGTTGACATATGTAAACCCCACATATATGGAATCCCATTAACTAAACTTTATATATAAAATATTTATATGTTACATATACAATATTTGCTGCATAAAATATTCAGAAAATGCTGCTATAATCCAACATCTAAGACTATTCTTTATATATATATATAAATACATATACACACACAGGCATACACAACACACACACACACCAGTATATATGTATAATATTTATATATGTGTATATATACCAGTTTTATATAAATTACTCTCTCTACATATAATGTAACTATATATTTAAATATATGTTATATTTATATTTATATAAAGAGAGATGATGTAAATACTCCTAACTAAAGGAAATGATGCCTGAGAAGTATATTTAGCACAGTATCTTGCACATAGCAAATAATAGGGGTGATGATGATAGTGATGACTTTTATGTTTATGTCATCAGGCACTTAATATCTAGTCAAATAAATACAGATGGCTCTTAAAATCATATAGTGGTTGTTTAAGTACGTGTTAGCTTGATTTTTCACTGAAACTTGGTTAAATTTGTGGTACAACTTTAAATGAGTGGGAACATGGGTAGAAGTAACAGAGAGTAAGTGGTAAAGTGTTTAATAAGCGAACCTTAGCAGGAACCGAAAATTGCAACTGAGTACCTGGAGGGAGGGGTTGGAGAGCTGTCAGCTTCAAGAGCCAAGTTGGAGAACCAGTCAGGTGAGAAAGGAAGATTACTTCCTCCTGATTAGAACAGAGAGCCATGGGAATTTGTTCTGCTGATGAGCAGATGTATAATGAAGATCTTTTTTCTTTTTGCTTCCGCCTGGAAAGAGAGAATCAGAAAAAGTCTTATAACAAAAAGTAAGTGGAAATAGAGCAAGGACTTTCTAGATGATTAGGAAAACCAGGAAAGCAAAAAGGATAACCATCTCCCTAAAAGACTTAGCAGACTGAATGGAGGAAAACCGCTAGCAGAAAACTCACTCACATTTTCTTTCATACCCAGTTGCCTTGGAATCCGCAAGTCACTGTTAGGTAAATGACCTGAAACGTTGTTTGGGTTTGAAGTTATCTCCTAGATAGAGTGATATTAGAGGACAAGAAATAGCTTGGGATCCAGATAGGTCTGGCCTTCTACCATAGCCAGGTTCTATGTTAATAAATGTGTACAAATTATTTAACCTCTCTGAAGTCTACTTTCCTGTTTAGTGCAAAGTAGATATAAATAACATCCTAAAAGCATTATGGTAAGAACAAAACAAATACAATTTACGTAAATTTTTTTGCATAAAATACTCAGACAATGCTGATTATAATCCAACATCTAAGATTATTTTTCCTTTATCTTTTCTATGAGTTCATTTCTTCTCTTCCTTCTCACTAGATTCTTTTTTGTTGTTGTTATTTTTTGTTTTTTTGGGTTTTTTTTGGCAGAGTCTTGCTCTATTGCCCAGGCTGAAGTGCAGTGGCGAGATCTCTGCTCACTGCAAGCTCCGCCTCCCAGGTTCAAGGGATTCTCCTGCCTCAACCTCCCTAGTAGCTGGGACTACAGACGCCCGCCACCACGCCCGGCTAATTTTTTGTATTTTTAGTAGAGACGGGGTTTCACCGTGTTAGCCAGGATGGCCTCAATCTCCTAACCTTGTGATCTGCCCGCCTCGGCCTCCCAAAGTGCTGGGATTGCAGGTGTGAGCCACCGTGCCCGGCCTCTCCTTGCTTTTTTTTAAAAAGCAATACTTGTTCTTCTTAGTCAATACCAACTTGCCTTATGCCCTTACTAGTCAAATAAAGAATGATGCCTAGCTGTAGAGATTGTTTCCCAAACTCCAGATCTGCATTTTAACTCTAACTAAATTGCTATCTCAACTTGTATCTTCTGCAGACATATTCAATTCAACATATCCCAAGTGACAACATCAGATCACCTCTTAACCTCATCTTTCCCCATCAATAGTATCTAGCTCAATTAATGGCTTTATAACACATTGTTTTCAAGGCTGTAACCCAGAGGTTTGCTATCTTATTTATCACTTTTAGTTTGGTAAAAATCATGTTCTTCATAATATTTAGACACTAGACACATTTCCAATCTCTTAGTTTAAGTCCAAAGCATCATCACCTGGACTAATCTCTTAAAGAATCCCTTTGCCTCTAAACTTGGCCATCTCTAATTATCACCACAATGTTTCCTGAGTTTTGTGGAAGCCAAATATTTTAAAAATAGGCACAATACCCTGAGAATGACACTGTAAAATAAAATAAAATAAAATAAATAAAATAAAGTAAAATACCAGGCACAATTAAGCTATACAATAAAAAATTAATCAAAGACTCTGGATGAACTGGAGCTAGAAAGAAATGTTATGTGATTATATTGGGTTGTATTGCAACTACTACTGTGTTGGTCTAAGTTCTCTTATCTCTCATCAAGTAAGAAGTACAATGATCTATAAAGCACTGGCACATATTGGAATAAATAGGAAATATTGAAGCTTTAACTGAAGACTGAAATTCCTGTCCCTTTATTCCCAGCTGATTACATTAACTTGTACTTCCCTGGAAAATTGATATCAGTAAATATGAACTTACTCATATTCCCTAGATTCTCTAACAAACTGCCAGGAGTATTTACCCACCATCTTCCCTTGCCTCTTTTCTATAGTTTCTCCTGTTATTGCTACAGTAAAATTGCAGCTTGAGTCTTATTGGGAGGAAGGCATGCTCAGGGGTATTTATAATCTGCACTGTGCAAATTATAAGTTTAGCTTCTGTTATCCAGGGCATTAGTGTATAAATTTATGTCCTCCATAGTTAAACTTTTAACCTTTTTATATAAACTGCCCATTTTCTCATCTAGAGACTCATATTTTCTTCTCCAAACTACATAATATTTTCTTCTATAAATTAAAATAATATAATGTAACAACAAAAACAATAACAAAAAGTTCCATTGAGACCGCTACTCCCTGGCACACCTTCTCACCTATTGATATGGAATGCCATGAGGGAGCAGCCAACTCATGTAGCTTGCACTTGCTCACTACTTTCTCCTTTTGCTCTGACTTCTACTTCCACAATTTGTTAGAAAAGTACTCTTTACTAAACACTGTATCTAACATTATTATTGATTTATAACTCATTGAATCAAGTCATCTTTTATCAATTCTCATCTTTGCTTTTCTGCAGCATTGGGAATTTTATGACATTTCTTAAACGTGGAAAATCATACTTCTACCTTATGTTTTAAGTTACTCTTTTTTTCCTATTTTTTTCTTGTGATCAAATATACCTAATGTTTATGATTTTAATCATTTGTAAATATATAATTCAGTGGCATTAAATACATTCACAATGCTGTGTACTCATCACCATTATTATGCCATAAATGTTTTTATCATTCCAAACATAAACTCTACCCATCAAAATAGGATTATTCCTTTCCTCTCCCTGTATCCCTGGTGACTTCTATTCTGCTTTCTATCTCTATGAATTTGTCTATTCTAGGTACCTCATATAAGTTGAACCATATAATTTCTGTCCTCCTCGTTTATTTCTTTTTATTTTATTTTTCTAAATTAAAAAATAAAAGTTGTGTATATTTATCTTGTACAATATGATATTTTGAAATATCAATACATTGTGGAATGACTAAATCAAGTTAATTAACATATGCATTTAAATTATTCTTCAAGTTCGGGTTCTAGGTGACGTTGAAATGCTCAAATTACCAACCCTGTATGCTATCAGTTGAGGTAACAGACTTATTTATTGCGAAGAAAATTGGAGTTATAGTTTCACTTATTCATAGCAAAACATATCATAACTTTTAAAATAAGCTCTTATGTTCTCTCTTCTGCCCAATTATTGAATTGTTAAATTATGTTGTTTCTTTTCATTGTATATTTTGTCCCCAGTGGCCAAACTAGAAATCTTGGAGTAAATCTTGGCTTTTACCCTTCCTGTATCCTGGACATCATGTATCATGCTGCACAAGTCAATCTAGTGTTGCGTCCTAAATGGTCATATCCAAAAATATAATCTGTAAAGTTAGGAGTCAATCTTTTGCACATGCTGAAATTACAGAAAATCTCCTAGGTACACAAATTATTTTAGTTATGTTCATCTCTACCCCAGCCTGTATTGGGCTTCCAGTCTGATCTTGTATTATGTCTAACATAATACTTTATCTACAGTTTCTCTTCATTTCCAGCCATTTGACTACAGCAGTGTTAGTGGAAATAGAGTAAATGAGATAATGCTGAGCATCAGTTAGATGACAGGGACTTACATTACAAACTCTTCCTGTATCTGTTGGTTCCAGCAAACAGCTCCAGAGCAGTGTCTCTTGCTGCTGTGACTCCTCCCAAACATTTCTGTCTGTGACAAAAATAAAAATATTTTAACTTTTCTTGTGTGGCTGTTTGCCTTTCTGGTTATATCGTGGGTTTCTAAAAGGTAGGTACCATTTCCTACCTTTAGATTGCATTATTTATAACACTGGTGTCCACGTCACACACCAATTTAATAATCTGAATATTGAATAGTAATGAAGAACTGGGAACAAAATATATGTATTAGCTTCTTATTGCTGAGTAACAAAGTGCCACGAATTTAGTAGCTCATGACAAAAACATTTATAATGTCACCACAACAAAACCATTTATAATGTCGCATTTTCTGTATAGCAGAAGCCCAGCCTATTGTGACTGGATTCTCTACTAAGGTTCTCACTGAACTAAAATCAATTATCGGCAAAGGATGCTGCTCTCACATGGGACTCTGGGTCTTCATTCAGGCACAAGGGTTTTGGTCAGAGTGTATTCCCTCCCACATCTTCTATGTGGTTCTCTCTGTCTTCAAGCACATCAAATCTTTCTCTCGCTTCAAATCTCACCAGTTTTCTCTCCTGTGTTTAAGGGCTCATGTGATTGCATTGAGCCCACCAGGATAGTAAGATAATCCCCCTATTTTGTAAGCCTGCTGGTTAATGACCACAGTTAACATTTGTACCGTTTCTATTGTCAGGTAATATATTCACAGACATAACACAAGGGACAAAATTCATGGGGGACAAGATTCTGTCAACCACAATATACCTAAGCTACATATTAATCAAGTAGAAAATAATACAAAATATATATTACACTATGATTGCAAGTATGCAAAAAACTGTAGGTGAGCAGAGTCAGGAAAAAATATTCCAAATATTAAGATTTATATAAATTATTATTTTCTATTTAGAAATGATATTTGGTCTTATTTATGAGATAAAATAGAAAACATATAAATACCAACATACAATTTTAAGGTTAAAAATATAATTAAAATTTTTTTAGTAACAAGGCATAAATTTCTAATTTTATTATCAGTGGCTGGAATTTTTCCTTACCTTAGAAAAGTTTTACTGGGTTATTTAATTTTATTTATTTTGTATTATTGAGTAATGATAATGTTCTGTCAGGATCATTTAATAAATCAAATACATAATTTGATTAGGTAGGTGAGGCAGTAAAATAAATAAAACATTGTTACATTGTTAACATAATAACAACATACGACTGCTAAGAAATGCAATCATATATTAACTCCACATACGTACTGAAAATGGGAGATACCATGACATGTTCAAAGTTTTCTGTAAATAACGGTTGACTTTCATTCTCAGTTTACCATCATTCATGAAGCAGGTTTTAAAACTTAGAAGCATTATATTAAGTAAAAGGTATTTGTGACAACTATTATGTAAAGATATTGATTTATTTGTATCAGCCTTCCTCTCTAAATTATTTAAAATGTTAGTCCTGTTAGCTATTAATAAACAATGGAAGGCCAGGCACGGTGGCTCACGCCTGTAATCCCAGCACTTTGAGAGGCTAAGGCGGGCAGATCACCTGAGTTTGGGAGTTCAAGACCAGCCTGACCAACATGCGGAAACGTCGTACCTACTAAAAATACAAAATTAGCAGGGTGTGGTGGTGTGAGCCTGTAATCCCAGCTACTCAGGAGGCTGAGGTAGGAGAATCTCTTGAATCCAGGAGACAGAGGTTGCGATGAGCCGAGATCGTGCCATTGCACTCCAGCCTGGGCAACAAGAGCGAAACTCCATCTCAAAAAATAAATAAATAAATAAACAATGGAAGATATTATGCAAATCCAGAGATTAATCTAGAAATCTTCAAAATGAAACTTTTTTTTTTAGAAATTATTTAAAATATTACAACAAAGCAAGGTAAAATACTAAATTGTTTTCAACACAAGTCAATACTTCAAGTACACTTGAAGTACTACTTTGATTTCCACTGCTAACTCATGAATTATTTTGAGACATTAATTTAATTTAGATCACAGTCAGTGAAAATGTTACCTGTTTTTACACTGAAACTACACATGAATAAGCAAATAGCCCTTGGGATGTGTGTAACAGCATGCATGTGAACAGATTTTTAATCAACTTATTTTTTAAATAAGCTTAAATATTTTCAACATTTCATTCTCCTCTCCTCCCTACCTCCCTATATTCAAATATATTCCAAGGTCTTGCGTGAAAATAATCCAATGCCTTCCAAGTGGCTCAGTATGAAAAAAACTGCATTGGATCATGATGGATGGAATTTATTTCCTAAATTATTTGGACCTGTGAGGTGATCTGAGGGAGATCACAAGGGTTAATATTTTGTAAAATAACAGGAAATAATCAAGATTTTTTTACTCATTATTTACATATTGCTCCTATGAATCCAATGGCACTCAAGAGAGTCCATCTGTTTTATAGCAATCTAGTTCTCTGATTCTGCAAGTGAAGTTGAAACCAATATATTTCTACATAATCTAACAGAATTTTTTTAGAAGTTACATTTTTTATTTTTAATGTATCATGATTTAAAGCATTATAGAACACTATTTGTATTTTTAATTATAAAAATAGTATTTCTGAATGTGTCACTTTCTCTTCCACATAATATATTTGCATTGTTTATATTTATAAAATATTATTTATGCTTATATTGTTTTATGTTAAACATAGATAAAAATAGAAAAAAAAGAAACATAAAATTAATTTCAGTCAGTATTTAAGATTTTTAAAATTTATATTTACTCAATTTTTGTCTACCAACTAAATCCTTTCCTATTTTAAAACTCCAATTAAAAGGTTGGCAATAAGAAAAGCTAACACTCATGCTAAGAAGGTACTGTTGAGAGTTTGCTTGAAGAAACAGTGAGAAAAAAGAAAGCAAATGTAAAGAAAAAAATATCACTTTCTTAGGCAACAATGTGATTAAATATTGGAATGATGAGCTGCAATTGAAAAAATATTAAAATCTTATAATGAGATAAAACAAAAGGTAATAATGCAGCCCTGTAGATGAGTTAAGGAAACATTTTCACCAAATAACAGTTATGATTGCCTTTGTTGATATTTATTATGGCTATCCCTCTTTAAATTTTGATATTTCCTTTAATGCATAAGCAATTTATAAAATGAGAGTATATTATAAATTGAGTCAATTCTTTACTTTCCCTTTTCATATATATGTGCATACATACATACAAATTAACATATACAGACGATCCCTGATTTAGAATGTTTTAACTTAATTTTTTTTTTTTTATGGTGATGCAAAAGGGATACGCGTTCAGTAGAGACCATTCTTCGGGGACCCGTATGACCATTCTGTTTTTCACTTTCACTGCAGTATTCAATAAATTATATGAGATATTCAACACGTTATTATAAAATAGGCTTTGTGCTAAGCGATTTTGTTCAACTATGGGCTATTGTGAGTATTCTGAGCATGTTTAAGGTAGGCAGGGTATTAAATGATTTTTTAACTTATGATTGGTGTATCAGGACATGATCTCATTAGAAGTTGAGGAGCATCTGTATTAAAAAACCTTCCCTTAAAACCTTCCCTATGCTAGGTTCTGGGAATAAAGAGATCTAGACCCTAGTGACAAAATTGAAATATGGAGTCAAACTATTATACAAACATGCAGAGCACTATAAAATGTCGACAGTAAAGACAACATATTGCGATGTTTATAAGCTTGGAAGGGGCATTAAATGATAAGTGTCATTATTAACATGACTAAAAAGTGGACAGATAATGAAAATGTCACACATTAAACATTTTTTTATGAGGGAAAGCATTATTTGAAGTGTCTACAAAAGGTTGAGTCCTATTCATCTGGAAAAAAGAATAACAGTATTGTTATTCATATTTTGGGTCTCAAATAAATATAAGCTGCTCTGTCTAGATGTAGAAAATAATTTAAGGTAGTTTAAATAATGAAGTAAAATGATTAAATAAAAATAATGTATTACTTGCCAAAATATGTAATTAAAACACTAATGAATGTCTTGAATCTTACCACTTCCTCAACTTGTATTGTTACATTATTAAGAAGTGATAGTGGCTGGGTGTGGTGGCTCACACCTGAATCCCAGCACTTTGGGAGGCCGAGGCGGCTGGATCACCTGAGGTCAGGAGTTTGAGACCAGACTGACCAACATGGAGAAACCCCGTCTCTACTAAAAATGCAAAATTAGCCAGGCATGGTGGTGCATGCCTGTAATCCCAGCTACCCGGAAGGCTGAGGCAGAAGAATCCCTTGAACCTGGGAGGTGGAGGTCATGGTGAGCCGAGATTGCACCATTGCACTCCAGCCTGGGCAACAGAGCAAGACTCAAAAAGAAGTGATAGTGTATTTAAATCTACCTTCTTCAAATACAGATAGTAATATCCACAGGTTTTAACATATTTAAGGTTTTAGTTAACACTTTAAAAATAAAATCTAAATAAATCATAAATCCTAGAGTAATTATAGATAAGTTATGCTGAGTTTCTTTTATAACATTCTGGAAATAGCAAGTTTAGAGAAGCATAGCTAAGGGGTGGGTGGGGAACATAAGAATGGTGAAGGCTGCTTGGATCCCTATGAGTAGTGCCAGAAAGCTACAATAAATAATAAATGGGCTTGTAATAAGGGAAGTGAACAATTAAGCACCAAGTAAGTGTAAAAGCAAAGTAAAATGTTCTGGCAAAATGTATGTCAAGTGTCTAGCAACTATGTTTCTGGACTGTGGCAAGACAATTAATGAGGGAGGCAGGAAAGTCAGCAAGTAATGCATTATAATTATCAATCAATAAGTGTAATGAATACATTGATCAAAGTCTAAATATCTCCTAAGTAAGAGGCATAATGGAGCTATAATTACTAGTATTGGTGGGATCCCAGAACAATTTCTTCAAGGACAATCATAAAATTAAAATGTGAAAATGTTGGGCAAATAGCCTAATTAGAGACATTTGTAAGTTTGAGGTGAGGTTGCTGAAAGCAGATGAGTCAGTAAAAGATAAGAAGAATTTTCCATGCTTGGTAATTACTGAAGTTCTGATTAGCTAATGTTTGTAGGTGGGATTAAAACATAACTACGCAGCAAAAAGAAAAACATTATTTAAAGTAAAAAAAGCAAAACATAACTTGAAGTAAAAAAAAAAAGGCCGTAAAAGAATACTCTTATTTATCAAGGTAAAACTGTATGTTATATTGTAATAATACTTATGTATTAATAATACGTATTATTGTATGTATAATATGTGTTATGTACATAATAATGTGTGTTATACTATAATACATGTACACATACAAAGACACACATATATATTAGTAGAGAAATATATATATATATATATATACACATGCAGATATTCAGGAATGCATATATATATAATTCAATCTTAAGCCAATTATCTCTCAAGTGGAAACAACAGCAAAATAGCGGTTTTTCTGTAACTGGAGAGAACATTAAACTACATAAATATTGCTTTAAATTTTAGTTCTCAGGAGCTTAAAAGGGAAAAAACCTGACATTTTAAAACTTATATTATTCCTCATTTTTAAAATTGCTCCTACGTACCTCTCTTTGGTGTGTCAGTATTATTGATTAGATTAGATTTGGTTTCCTGCAGGATGCCTCAAACCAATTTAGTTGGGTAGCCTTAAGTGTTCTTGCTGACAGATCACTCTTATTCATGTCAGTTAAAGGGAATTGCAATGATTTTTTTGAACTCCGTAAAAAGTGTCATTAAGGATTTCCTCCATGCTAGGCATGACTATTGCCTTCAACCCTGCTTTGACATTTCATTTATCCAAGGGTGTCCTTGCTTCCTTTCCCTCACCTAAACTCAATAATTATGGTGCCACACTATTTAGCCTTAGAGATAAATTTCCAAAACAATTCCAGATAGTCCAAAACTCAGTAATTTGTCAATTCATTTGCTCCAACAATGATAAAAGCATTTGAGTTTTAAAAAGAACTGTATGGTGTTATGAGGTAGTACATGTTCAAAAACAGTATTTTACCAAAAATTTAAAATAACCTCTTCTCTCTTTTCACAAACTTCTAAGTTGCTGTCAGTGATGTTGTTCTTAAACTTTTTCTGTCAATATTTATTTAAAAATCCATTTAAAATGGGTCATATGAACGAGAATTTTAATGCTGCATTGATACTAACAAATTAAGCAATACTCGTAAGTATTAAATATGAAATAACAGATATATCTTAAACATTTCCAATCCTCCCTTCTCCAAACACTAGAGATATTTTTGAAGCTCATGACCTAGTTTGCACACTACTATTTTCATTCATTACTTTTAGCTACCAATCAACTGATTACTTCCTTATTTATTGAATAACTAGATTCCCCTTCACCACTTTTGCCATCATTCCTAATAACTTCAGCAAACTTGTATGATCTATTCAACATGTTGTGTAGTTCCATTTCATCCTCATCTCTAAAATGTTTTTTCTCTACTTTCTTCAATTACCTACTCCCATGAGTTTGACCTAGATCTTCATAACCAATACCTTCATCCCCAATTCAAACGTATAATCAAAAGTATAATTTTCTAGCTCACCAACTCAATTACTCACACTTCACCACTCCAGAGCTCCAGAGAAACTTTCTAATCCTTGATCTTACCAATTTTCACGTAAGCCAAATTCTCATGTATAATCTCTTTATATATAGAAAAAATATATAAAGACACTCTGTATATGTGTCTATATATACACACACATATATATATCTTACAAAATTACATGTTTAATTCATAAAATTAAATATATAGAGAGATTAAAAGGGAAGGAGGAAGGGGGTAGATCATAAAACAAAATTATAAAACATTCTTTAATACACAATTTTAAATATTTAAAAGCTAGAAATGGTAATTATTTTACTAAGTTTACTAATGTGAAGGTAGGTAAAAGACTAGAGAGAAATGTACTTGGGGAGGAAAATGAAACAGCCATCTTTTGGCATGCTAGGTTTAAGCAATTAATCAAATATCCAAATGAAAATATCAAGTAACCATTGTATATTGTTACATTTATTTATATAGTACTATATATACACATTTATATATGTAAATACATATAAATATATAAATACTATATACATATTGTACATACAAATACATATAAGTATATAGACATACTATATATAGTATTTATATATACAATGTATACATAAATACAATGTATTTACGTATACAATGTAAAATATATATAAATACAATGTGTACATATACATTTATATACAAATATATAAATTATAAGTGTATATATATTATATATAAAATATAGATTTATGCATAATAAAATTTATATATAAAATTATAAATATAAATTTATATATATTATAAAATTTCTCTTAGTTTTAGATTTTACTCTAGATTTCATTCATTTTCTTTGTTTCTCTTTATAGCAAAACTCCTCACAGGCTGTGAGCATTTGCTGATTATACTTCCTTACTTTCTTTAGTCTTCTTAATCCATGCTGGGCTGGAGTGGTCTCCATGAGCCCATAATAGTCAGTCTTAAAAAATCCATAACCTGCCTCCTCTCAATTCCTATTTCCACTTCCCTGTCCTGGGCAAGTCAGACCCACAGAAGCACTCCTTCCTATTACTGCTTCTACCTGCGCACACTATTGTCCCTTGGTTTCCATGTGATATGTTCTCATGATTCTCCTCCTACCTCAGTAACTGCTCCTTCTAGGTCTCCTTGTAGTTGCTTTACTCTTTGACTCCTAGTTGCTTTACTACTTGCTCCTCCTAATTGCTTTACTCTTTGATTCCTAAATGCTAGAATGATCCAGAGCTCAGATTTTGGCCTCACATTCTGTCTGTCTCTAGGAGCAATATCTCTCAGAGATTGTATGTAATCGCATTACTTTATAGACCATTCACTACCAAATCAACAGCTTGATACCTGGAAATTCCCTGAAATTTAGATGATATAGTGCAATAGTGACTTGCTAACTTTATTGGATGTTTTCTATGCAGCTACAACCTAGCATATCAAAATACGACTCTTTCCCAAATCATTAGTCTTAGTAAATATACTATAATTCACTAGTTATTAAAATTTATTAAAATGCCCCAACAATGACACCCAAGCAAAATTCTCATGTATAATCTCTTTCTTTTGCATTCCATAGCAAAGTCTGTGAACTCTTTATTTTTATCCATTCCCACGGTCATGACACTAGTTTTATCATTCAACTTCCACTGTTCTTATACTGAACCAAAATGGCCTTCTAAAATATATCTTAGGTCATATTACTCCACTGCATAAAACCTTCTGGTTATCTCTTAAGCCTTCAGAATTAAATTCAATCTCCTTTCCATGGCTTTCAAGCCTTCCACGAGGTGGTCTTTCTTACTACAACTACCTTATTCCCATCCTCCAAATACAATCCAGGCACTTGAGACTTCTTTCTGTTCCTTGTTCTAGCCATAATTTGGAAGACTCTGTCACTACAGGATCCCACAGCTAGATCTTTCCCAGCACTTTGGTCTTAATCCAAATGGCAGTGAAATCAGGTAAATATTTAGAAAGTGACTGGAGAGATATATATGCTAAACTAATCAAGGACTGCCTCATACCACTTCCCAATTTCATTGTGTCCATAGAACTTACCATGTTCTAAAGTTATCTTGCCTATTAATTTCCTTTGTTTCTATCTCTTGCTTCCCAACTGAAATATATGATTCAGGACGAGAAGGCCATTGTCAAGACTGCCGATTGTTGAAACCTCAACACCTAGAACACGTAAACATATTGAGAGGTGACAGCGTGCTGGCAGTCCTCACAGCCCTCTCTCGCTCTCGGCGCCTCCTCTGCCTGGGCTCCCACTTTGGCGGCACTTGAGGAACCCTTCAGCCCACCGCTGCACTATGGGACCCCCTTTCTGGGCTGGCCAAGGCCGGAGCTCGCTCCCTCAGCTTGCAGGGAGGTGTGGAGGGAGAGGCGCGAGCGGGAACCGGGGCTGCGAGCGGCGCTTGCGGGCCAGCTGGAGTTCCGGGTGGGCGGGGGCTTGGCGGGCCCTGCACTCGGAGCAGCCGGCCGGCCCTGCCGGCCCCGGGGAATGAGGGGCTTAGCACCCGGGCCAGCGGCTGCGGAGGGTGTACTGGGTCCCCCAGCAGTGCCCGCCCACCCGCGCTGCGCTCGATTTCTCACCGGGCCTTAGCTGCCTTCCCGCGGGGCAGGGCTCGGGACCTGCAGCCCGCCATGCCTGAACCTCCCACCACCTCCGTGGGCTCCTGTGCCGCCCGAGCCTCCTCGAGGAGCGCCACCCCCGCTCCACGGCGCCCAGTCCCATCGACCACCCAAGGGCTGAGGAGTGTGGGCGCAGGGCGTGGGACTGGCAGGCAGCTCCATCTGCAGCCCCGGTGCGGGATCCACTGGGTGAAGCCCCCTGGGCCCCTGAGTCTGGTGGGAGAACCTTTGTGTCTAGCTCAGGGATTGTAAATACACCAATCGGCACTCTGTATCTAGCTCAAGGTTTGTAAACACACCAATCAGCACCCTGTGTCTAGCTCAGGGTTTGTGAATGCACCAATCAACACTCTGTATCCAGCTACTCTGGTGGGGCCTTGGAGAACCTTTGTGTGGACACTCTGTATCTAGCTAATCTGGTGGGGAGGTGGAGAACCTTTGTGTCTAGCTCAGGGATTGTAAACGCACCAATTAGTGCCCTGTCAAAACAGACCACTGGGCTCTACCAATCAGCAGGATGTGGGTGGGGCCAGATAAGAGAATAAAAGCAGGCTGCTGGAGCCAGCAGTTGCAACCCGCTGGCGTCCCCTTCCACACCGTGGAAGGTTTGTTCTTTCGCTCTTTTCAATAAATCTTGCTACCGCTCACTCTTTGGGTCCAGACTGCCTTTATGAACTGTAACACTCACCTCCAAGGTCTGCAGCTTCACTCCTGAAGCCAGTGAGACCACGAGCCCACCAGGAGGAACGAACAACTCCAGACGCGCCGCCTTAAGAGCTGTAACACTCACTGCTAAGGTCTACAGCTTCATTCCTGAGCCAGCGAGACCACGAACCCACCAGAAGGAAGAAACTCTGAACACATCCAAACATCAGAAGGAATAAACTCCGGACATGCCGCCTTTAAGAACTGTAACACTCACCGTGTTAAGAACTGTAACACTCACCGTGAGGGTCTGCGGCATCATTCTTGAAGTCAGTGAGACCAAGAACCCATCAATTCCAGACGCAATATGATGCACTTAATAAGTAAAGAATAAATCAATTAATTGAACATTCTTTGGAATGTTTTCTCACTCTAGAATCAAGTTAAAGTTTTGTTCTGAAATTTCAAGGCCTTTCACACCAATTTGATACGGTTTGGATTTGTGTCCCTGCTGGAATGTAAAGTTGAACTGTAATCCCGGATGCTGGATGAGGGACCTGCTGGGAGGTGATTGCATCATGGGGGCATATTTCCCCCTTGCTGTTCTCATGATGGTGAGTTCTCACAAGATCTAGTTGTTTAAAGGTTGTGTGCAGCACCTCCCTCTTCATTCTCTTCCTCCTGCTCCAGCCACATAAGATGTGTTTGCTTCCTCTTCTCCCATGACTGAATGTTTCCTGAGGCCTCCCCAGTCATGCTTCCGGTACAGCCTGTGAAACCATGAGCCAGTGAAACCTCTTCTCTTTATAAATTACTCTGATGTTTCTTTGTAGCAGTCTAAGAATGACTAATACAATTCTTTTTTTTTAATTTGATAACCTCAAGTAGGAGTAAGTAAATAGATCTAATGATTTCTAACATTTCATAAAATGTCAACAAAGCAAATGATGGGATAATATTCATGGCTTCTAAGTCCAGCAGCATTCTCATCTCTATCAACTTCAAAAGACAGTGTTTCCAGAATGTCTTAACAGCAGTGTATCTTTTCCCTTCTTAAGATACCCTCAGGCCTTATATCTCCACTCCTATTGGCAGCAGTAGCTGCCTATAACTGCTGCCATCAGTGACAGCTCTTATTCTGTGAATAACTTCTGGCTTACATTCTCTTATCAAAACTCCTATAAGCTGCTTCTCTTATAAGCGGCTCTTGGTATCAGGACTCCCAGGAGTGCTCAGACAATGCTCACAGAATCCCTGTGACTTCCTCTCAGTTCATTCAGTCTGTAGCTACTCTATCATCTTTGCACTCACACTAGTGCTTGCTTTCAAGCTTAGCACCACTAACATTTGGGGTGGATGTTCATTGTAGGAGGCTTTTCTTTGCGTTACGAGATATTCAGCAGCATCCCTGGCCTCTCCCCACTAAACGCGAGGAGCACCCTCCCTAGTCGTAGCTACAAAAGATGCTTCAAGACACTGCCAGATTTCTTCTCTAGAGGGTAAAATCACCACTCCCTTTCTATGTTGAGAACAACTCTAGTGGAAAATTCACAGGAAAAGAATTTTTAGAAAATATTATCTTTCCTGATTTGCATGGAGAGATTCTCTCCTGTGCTATATCTACCTGTCTGTCTGCTTCTTCTTTATTTTCTAAGGCAAAAGATGGCATTCTTTAAGATTAAATTATGTTTTGTTTCATTTTCTTTTCTTTTTACTCTATATACATCCTGAGTAATATGGTCACCCATGGCTTCAGTATTAACTGAACTTCTGTTTTCTGAGGAAAACCTCCCCATACTCCTAGTATAGGTCATAGGGTTTGTTACACATTCTCATAAGCCTGTTGCTTTGTTTCAGAGCACTTACTTCGGGCTGTAAGCCTTATGTAACACATTCATGATTATGATACTGTTTTTATTAATATCTATCTCCCGCACAAGGCAGTAAGTTCTCTGAGAGCTGGACATACATTTTGTACAACCGCATATTTCAATAGAGCTCAGAGACACTAAATCCAGGCCCAGGAAAAACTCGGATTTCCCCAGGCTACACATAAAACATACTCTCTGAATAGCCGTCCTAAGATTATTTCTGACGATACTCACTTAGTTATTTTCAAAAAAACCCAGTAAGTCCCAATTCTGTAGACTCAGTCTTCTCCCAGTTGCAAGATTTATCTTGACTTAAAGCATTGAGTACTTTATCAATACCTTCACTCAAGAAAATGTGGCTCCTGTCTCTGCTAGGCTTAACCAGGATATATGAACTGCTGCTCATTTGTTTCATTTTTGTTCCCCAGGATATAGCACTTTTTCGATACTTGCATATAGATTTATAATTTTTATACTAGATTCTCCTTTACTCTCTATTCTTAGAATCTGATTTAATTTGATCCAGTTGTCCTCATTTGAGTCTGCAACTCTTGTCCATAATCTGTTGCCTGTGGACAGACATTCTAGTACGCTAATGGTCTTGCATTGTGAGTATGACTCACAACCTGACAAAATGTTTACCTACTAAGATACTCATTTTCTTTATCATGGTTCAAGCTTTATGACTAGGACTTTTGCCCTGTCTTAACATACACTGAAGGTCAGCACACCACAGCCTCCAAATGACCTTATGAGACAGGCAAGTCTAAAGAATAGTTCTGAGTCTTCCCTAATGTCTCCTTATTGTAAAGAAATAAATTTGCTTCAAATATAATTTCAAAATATGGCAATTATATTCACATATAGTGCATAATTAGATATTCACATTTACCAGCAAACACAAGGAACAATAGAAATTAAAAATAAACTGAGCATAAAAGTTATTTTATCCATGTAACAAATGTTAATTAATTGCTCATTGTTTACTTGCCACACACTACTCTAGGCTTTGGGATACAACAATGAACAAAATACAATATAATAATAATTATTATTATTATAAATACCTGATCTCAAGGATTGGTTCCACCAGTAACTCACTATAGAGTTGTAGATAAATTAATTTTTTTTTTAGATTCAGTTTCTTCACTTGTAAAATGGAGATTATCTAATTTGCATTGTTATTGGAAGGCTTAAATGAAACAATATATATGAAGCAACTAGTGTAGTGCTTAGAATAAGAAAAAGTCAGCAAATAGTCTTTTTTTTCAGTTTAAAAAAAGTTTTAGAAGATTCCGGCCGGGCCCGGTGGCTCATGCCTGTAATCCCAGCACTTTGGGAGGCCGAAATGGGCAGATCACGAGGTCAGGAGATCGAAACCATCCTGGCTAACACGGTGAAACCCCATTTCCACTAAAAATACAAAAAATTAGCCGGGCGTGGTAGCGGGCGCCTGTAGTCCCATCTACTCGGGAGGCTGAGGCAGGAGAATGGCGTGAACCCGGGAGGCGGAGCTTGCAGTGAGCTGACATGGCGCCACTGCACTCCAGCCTGGGCCACAGGGCGAGACTCCGTCTCAAAAAAAAAGAAGATTCCAAAGTTTTTTTTTTTTTTTTTTTCCAGCCGTAACACATGACAGTCTGAGCTATGCATTAAACATGAGAAAATAATATAATCCTAATTCTCTTAGTAGCATAAATAAATTTAGATGTAAAATATGGAGGTCTCCTCAGAAAATTTGACGTGATTATAATTTTATGCAAACCTGATACAAACTGACTAAAGTAATAATCATTTTACAACTAAAACTTCTGAAAGTTATTTTTTCTTTTAAACAACAGGAAGAATTAATATTCACTTGTAGAGATTACTGTACTTCTGGTATAGAAGAATAAGCTCCTAAAAAATGATCCTGTCATGACTAGATAACAAGTTCCTCCCTCTCAAGGGGGTCCTCCCCATTAGAGTCTTATAAGTACAGGATCTGCACCTGAGAAAATCGAGTGCTTCCATAATTGTTGTGGGCTCATGTACATTGCCTACCTCATCCACTTTAAATAGTTCTAGTCAATTTGATGCTGAAAACCTTGACTCTTTCAAGGAAGAGGAACAAAAGAAAGAAAGATTGAAAAGGAAGAGTAAAACTGTCTTTATTTGCAGACAACATCCTTGTGTTTGTAGAGAATCCTGAAAAATTATTAGCAATAAAAAATAAATGGATAATATTGCTGATTGCATGATCAACAAAATAAGTGTGCATCTATCTGATGGTAATAAGCACATAAAAAATATAATAAATATATTATTTACACTAGCCTCAAAATATATACAATGTGTAACATACATGGTAGATACATGGAAAACTAAGAAATATTGTTAAAAGAATTAAAGAAGGCAAATAAATGAAAACATATTATCGTTACGATTGATGACTTAATGTTGTTAGATTAACTATACTTTCCAAATTAATTAGTTTCAACGCAAATCCAATCAAAATCCCAGTGGGCATTTTTGTTTTAAGAAATTGATAAGCATATTACAAAACAGAGAAAAGAAAAGGACCTAGAAAAGTACAAACAACCTTTAAAAAGGTGAACAAATTCAGAGCATGGCGCGTGTCTATCATCCCAGCTACTTGGGAGGCTGTACTGGGAGAATTCGCTTGAGCCCAGGAGTTCCAGGACAGCCTGAGCAACACAGAAAGATCTCGTCTCTAAAAAGCAAAACAAAACAAAAAAATAGAAAACAAAGAAAAGAAAAATAGAGGAGTGAATGTGAAGAAATTTGCTACCTGATTTTAAGACTTTCTCAAAAAGTAGAGAAATCTGGAGACTGTGATATTGATACAGAAATAGACAATGAGATTTATAGCTCAGTAAAAAACAAAAAAGGAATGTTAAAAATAGAAAAAAAAAAATCTGTTAAAGACAAAAGCAAATTTAAAAGGGGGCTTAATTCTCTCTGTTGAATGTAAAGAAAGGGATTTCTTCCCCCTCCCTTCTTTAGAGCATTTACTTTAGAAAACTTGTAATTCTGTTATTTCCCTGTCTCTTTGAAAGGTATGCAAATCTTTTTAAATGCTAAATAAGCCTCTTGTCAGTTAAGCAAACCAGGAAAGTCTTTCTTAAAGCCCTTGAGGACCTCTGTCTCTTTGAAAGGAAAAGACCCCTCAGGGAAGACAGCGCCTCTCTCTCTTGTTTATGTGGTAGGATCAGAGCCTAACGGGCTGAGGCCTTGCTCCAAAACTACCGCCTGTCATAAAGATATGAGAAGTCTATTTTTCCTTTGGATAAGCCAATTAGATACCATAGATGGTAACCCTAATTACCTAATAAATTTAGGAAAAGCTATGAGTGATAAATGGTGCTGTCAAATCCCTTTATTTGAGGACTAGTTTATCATGAGAACATGTATGTAATGGTTTGTATCTGCTTGGCTATATAAAAGGGTGATATTTTCTCTCTGCAATCTTTTAACAGATTGCCTACGCGGGGAAAGTTTTCTACTTTGTGGAGAGGTTTTCTGGGTTTGGAAAATATTCGTTTCCTATTGTAATTTCCTAACAGTACACACCAGGTCCTGCCACTCCAATGGCTGAAACTTAACTGTGGCTTCCAGTGTCTCTTTGGTAAAGTCTTAAAGTTTTGCACTGACCTATAAGGCCATGAATAACATGGCTTTTCTTCCTTGGACAGTCACAGATCAAACTGATTTTTCCTTCATCCTCTATGCTCTACTCACATCTTCTATCTTGCACATTTTTCTAGAGAACCATGCTCTCTCTCACCTCTGCACTATTGCATGTAAACTTAGTTCTGTCTTGAACACTTGCCCCATAAGGAAATTATCACCAAACTAATATCTACCTATCCTTCAAAGCCCATAAATCTCAAATCCTATAAATATAATTTATCTGAGAAGCATTCCTTCCCCAGAAGAATTAGGTTTCCTTGCTTATGACCCTGTTGTATAACTTCTCCCATGTAGCATGTCTCAGTACATATTAATGTCTACTGTGCCTGCCAGACTATGAGAAGGTAAGGATCAAATCAGCTGCCTCCTCAGCATCTACCTGAGTGATATGCATTTGGCAACCTCTCGTGGAAGTTTGTTGAATGCAGACATGAATAACCTCATGAATAACCCCGTGGAGTAAATGAGATTGTTTGGAGTAACCTGCTAGTCAGAAGTGCTGTTTTCATGCTCATAAAAGTCACTACAAACACATCCAGAGAACAAACATCTAAATTTCACAATATTTATTTTTCAAAATTCCCTCAATATTATCACTCACACCAGGTAATATGGCTAAGAATATTTGTTATTTGTAATAAATATGTAAAACAATCTAATGTCATGTTGGTATGTTCTGGCAATACTTAAATATCAATATTCATAGACTTTCAACTATGCAGAAACTATTTGGTATCAGAGATGTGGTGAACATCTCTGTACCCATCATCACGTAACATTAATATTCAGAAAATTGCCACATTTTCTCAATGTGCTGGAAATTTTAGTGTGGTATAAGCACAGTCTCAATGATGTAGCCTGTGATTTCAATGGAAAAAGTAGAATGTATATGTTCAAAGGAAATACTGATTATGATTCACAGCATCTTCTGCAGGGAGAATTTCTTCATGTTTGTATTTTGATTGTGGATCTGTAAGAGGATAATTTTATAATTCATATTTTATTTACTTGGTCCTCATGATAAGAATGTCTCCAAAATGATGGTATTTCTACTTCATTCTGCTTGTTTGGTGAGTTTGGTGCGCAGAACTTGAAGGTAAAAGTAGGTACTGTAAATATTACTTGAACCCAACTATTTAAAAAGCTTAAAATATAAGTTAAAAAAAAACTCTTAAGCACTTTCTCCTAAAACATATTATATAGAAATATATAAAAGAACGTTCTGCCAAAGTAAACCAAATAACTCAGAATGAGGCATACAGAACAAGTATCATACCTTTATTCATTATATTTTTGGATATGTGCCAAGTCACTAGAACAGATTATAGGAGTAGCAAAATTCAGAAGTAGCCTTGGGACACTTTCTCACAGCTTTAACCTTAGTTTCTTTCCCCTGAGAAATGGATATATTAGTTTAGCTAATCAGCTAATAAATGTTTTGCTTTTCTATGTCAAATCCAGTTATAGGTGCTAAGTTCAGAATATACCAAGGGTTAATATGTTCTCCTGACTTGAACCATAAGGGTAAACTTTGATTCCAGAAAATATTAACTTGTTATATTCATTGAGGTCTAATTGAAAAGAAAGCAAGAAAGGGAAGACAGGGAGGAGGGAAGGAAGAAGGGAGGAAGGGAAGGAAGAAGAAAGGAAGGAAGGGAGGAGGGAAGGAGAAAAGGGGGAAGGAAGGAGGGAGTGAAGGAAGAAAGAGAAAGGAGAAAGAAAAAAAGGGGAAAAGAGAGAGGGAAGAAATAAGGAAGGGAGGGAAAGCAATGAAAACAATGCAAGAAAAAAGGTGAATTACATTTATAATTACTTTTATAAGGTTTATGATTATGGCTTAAAAATGAGTGTAAACTACAACATACTTAGTTCGTCTATGTGTTGTAATTGAAGAATTTAAAACTTCCTTTAAAATCCCAGCTGTACTAACCTTCACCCTTTCTGAGGTAAATTAATTATAGAGTAGAGTATGTGAGGGTCTTTGAGGTGAGACCGTAAAAACCAAGGTCTTGTCTGGTATGTGTGGGTATTAAACATCCCCTGGCACTCTCTCACAGAGCTAGAGCTAATCCTGGTGTGACCTTGATTAAACTTGTTTCTCTTCCATCTATGAATTGTAGCAGCCTCTGATGGCAGATTAGTTAACTCTGTATTGTGCATCTCATATGTATATATATATATAGGAAGTTTATACATATATTTATATATTAACTACACAGTATGAAATTATATATACAAGTATATATATGTGTGTGTGTATATATACAAGTGTATACATATATGTGTGTGTATATACAAGTGTATACATATATATATATATACATGTGTATATATTTGTATGCATATATATTAACGTTGCAGGTTAACTGGAGAGCTACGTAGCACATCCAATACCAGCTTACCCGTAAGTCAACTTTAGATCGTCCCATAAATGGACATTGTTTGTCCTATAGCTTTATATTAAGAAAATTAACAGCTACACAGATTTGATTTTTTTCAAAACATAAGATTCATGCATATAATCTATCAAGAATAATATCCCCATATTTTTAACAAAGATTAAATCCTGGTTTTTAGAGTAATCAAATACCTTATTTTCGAGGAATATTGAATAGTTTGAAGATTAAATAATCGAGGATCAGTGAATCTATGATTTTAGGCACTAGGTAAATTTAGTTTTGCCAAATTGAGAAAAATAGTGAGGCTATCTGCTTAAAATTTAAAAAAAGTTAAATCTCAATAATTAGGCCTGTGACTCATGAAAGACTATATTCTTTCAAGCTATACGTGGTTTAGTGCCCAGTAAATCAGTAAAGTTCAAGGAGTTCATCCATACATCTGTCAAATCCTATTAAATTTTTACTTAATTTAGTAGACATGGTACTGTGAATAATTACAAATATTATCCATAAAGGAGAAAAAATACAACCCTTACAAAATATCACTGAAAAATGTTTCTTAGTCAATTTTTATTTGGCACTTTCATTAGAAATTGAGACTTTGCAAATACCTGATTAAAATAATATGACTTTCCCACAGATTTATTTCATTAGTGGTGATTCTACAATATTTATATTCTTTTTGTTTGTTTGTTTTTAAAAAAGTTAACTTGATTAAGAAATGTAAATATCCTGATGTTGATCGAATGTTCTTCCAGTATAGATAATAAATCATGGATTCAGTAGAGTTAACGTTTTCTTATTTGAAATATGATTATTCATCATTCTTAATTGCCTTATACTATCTTTACTCTTACTACTCTTCCAAAAAGGTGTGCAAAAGAACTTTATAGATGAGTTATAGATGTCTACTGGCAACTTTACAAGGACCTTTTCAAATGGTAGTATAGTGTAGACTCAAACTTTATTGTAATCTCTGTAAGTTATATTAAAGGTCAAATTGAAACTATTTTGTGTTGAATAAGTAGTATATTAAATGACATATGGTCAGAGGCAAAAATCCTCTGGTTCAATATTTATGGTATGCTGAAGTGCCATATAATTATATTCTCGAATTTGGGATTAGGTAGAAAAAAAACAAAGGTGAGTCATGGCTATTTGCTTCCCATTGCTTAATGCACTCAGGCATTTCAGAAAGTTTGCAGGACCTAAATCTATGTTTTATGCCTATTTCATAGAGACCTTATTTGTGCTTTATTAACTAATCTGCCAGAAAAAAGGCCCTCACCAAGAATTAAATATATTGGCACCTTAGTCTTGGAGGTCCCAGCCTTCAGGGCTGCGAGAAAATAAATATTGTATAAGCCAATCTATCTACAGTACTTTTTATAGCATCTCAAGCGAACTAATGAAGTATAATATCTATTTCTGCATTATTTAACATATTTGAATCTTTATATTTAAATTGAATATCTTGTAGAGAACATATAGGTGGGTCTTATTTATTTTGATCCACGCTAGTAATCTTTTTTAATTGGCGTATTTAGACCCTTAACACTAAATTATTTATATAGGTGGACTAATATCTACCATTGTTTGCAAATATTTTTTAGTCATTGCAATTTTTTTATCAGTTTTTCCTCTATTCTGGTTATCTCTTGTTTTCATTGAGCATTTCATAAGATGCCTTTATAACTCTTTTTTTAGCACATCAATTTTACTTTAAAAAATTTATCAGAGTTCCTAGAGTTTAAAGTTTACATTTTAAACTTCTCTGACTCTACATTCAAATAACACTCTACTGCTTTATATGCAGTGCAGGTAGCTTATATTCCCAATTCCTCCCGCCCATTCCTTATGGCGTTGCTGTTATTCATTTCACTTATTCATGTGTTATAATCATCTGATGCTATAATATTGTTAATATCATGACTTTCAACAAACTAAATTTTAAATCAATATAGAATAAAAAAATCTAAAAGATTTTATTTTAGCTTGATTAATTCCTTCTCTAATGCAGTTATATTATTTGATTCAAGTTTCTTACCTATATCATTTTCCTTTTCAATGAAAAACTTTAAACTTTTAACTTTTGGTCTATGTGTCTGTTTTTGTACCAGCATCTTGCTGTTTTCATTAGTGTCACCTTGTAGTGTAGTTTGAAATTGAGTATTGTGATGCCTTCACTTTGTTGTTTTTACTTAGGATTTCCTTGGCTATTCAATCTCTTTTTTGATTCTGTATAAATTTTAGAAAAGGTTTTTTTCCTAATTCTATGAAGAATTTCATTGGTATTTTGGTAAGAATAGCATTGAATCTGTAAATTGCTTTGGGCAGTATGGCTGTTTAAACAATATTGATTCCTCCTATACATAAGCATGGAATGTTTTCCCATTTGTTTGTGTTACCTCTGATTTCTTCAAGCAGTATTTTGTAATTCTCATTGTAGTGATCTTGCACCTCCCCGGTTAGCTGTGTTCCTAGGCGTTTTATTGTTTTCATGGCTATTGTGAATGAAATTGCATTCTTGATTTGGCTATCAGCTGGGATGCTGTTGGTGTGTGAAATGCTACCGATTTTTGTACATTGATTTTGTGTACTGAAACTTTGCTGAAATGTTTATCAAATCTAGGAGCCTTTGGGCAGAGGCTATGGGGTTTTCTATGTATGTAATCACATTGTCTACAAACAGGGATATTTTGGCTTTCTCTCTTCCTATTTGGATGCATTTTATTTCTTTCTCTTGCCCTATTGCTCTGGCCAGGACTTCCAGTACTGTGTTGAATAGGAGTGTTGAGAGAGAACATATTTGTGTTGTTGCAGTTCTCAAGGGGAATGATTCTAGCTTTTGCCTATTCAGTATGATGTTGGCTGTGGATTTTTCATAGATGGCTCTTATTATTTTGAAGTATTGCTTTCAATGCCTAGTGTGTTGAAGGTTTTTAACATAAAGGGATGTTGAATTTTATTGCAAGCCTTTTCTGCACCTATCAAGATATTCATGTCCGTTTTTTTCTTTAGCTCTGTTCATGTGATACATCACACGTATTTGCTTGTATATGTTGAAACAACATTGCATCCCAGGGAAAAAGGCTACTTGATCATGGTGGATTCACTTCTTGATATGATGCAGGATTTGGTTTGCCAGCATTTTGTTGAGGAATTTTTCACCCAGGATACTGGCCTGAAGTTTTTCATTTTTTTGTTGTGTCTTTGCCAGGTTTTGGTATCAAAATTGTGTTGGCTTCACAAAGTTAGAGAAGAGTCCCTCTCCCTCCATGTTTTGCAATAGTTTCAGTAGGAATGGTACCAGATCTTTTTTATACATCTGGTAGAATTCAGCTGTCAATCCATCTGGTCCTGGGCATTTTCTAGGTGATAGGGTTTTTATTACTGATGGAATTTTGGAACTTGTTATTGGTCTGTTCATGGATACTATCTGTTCTTGGTTCAATCTTAGGAGGTTGTATGTTTGTTTGTAAAAAGCCATTTCTGCTAGGTTCTCCAGTTAGTGTGCACAGAGTTGTTCATAGTAGTCTCTGAGTGCTTCTTTATATATCTGTGGGCTCAATGGTAACATCTCCCTGGTGGTTTCTGATTATGTTTATTTGAATCTTCTCTTTCTTTACTAGTCGAGCTAGTGGTCTATCCGTGTTTTTTAAATTCTTTCGAATAACTAAATCCTTGATTCATTGATCTTTTGTACAGTTTTTTATGTTTCAATTTCCTTCAGTTCAGCTCTGATTTTGGTTATTTTTTGTCTTCTACTAGCTTTGGAGTTGGTTTGCTCTTGATGATAGGTTGTTAATTTGAGATCTTCCTAACTTTTGATGAGGGTATTCACTGATATAAACTCCCCTCTCTTAACACTGCTTTAGCTGTGTTATAGAGATTCATGTTTGTTGTATCTTCTCATTAGTTTTGAAGATTTTCTTGATTTCTGCCTTAGTTTCGTCATTGACCCAAATTTTATTCAGGTGCAAGTTCAATTTTCATATAATTATGTGGTTTTGAGCAATTTTCTTCTTATTGATTTCTGTTTTTATCATGCTATGATCCAGGAATAGAGTTGATATGATTTCAGTGTTTTTGAATTTGCTGGAGATTGTTTTATGCCCAATTGTGTGGCCTGTTTTAGAGTATGTGCTCATGTGCAGAGAAGAATGTATATTCTGTTGGTTTTGAGTGGAGAGTTTTGTAGAGGTTTATTAGATCCATTTGGTCAAGTGTTGAGTTCAAATTCTGAGTATCTTAGATGGGTTTCTGCCTTGATAATTTAATATTGTCAGTGAGGTGTTGATGTATCCCACTATTATTGAGTGGTCATCTAAGTCTCTTCATAGGTCTCTAAGAACTTGCTTTATGTATCTGGGTGCTACTGTGTTGATCACATATATACTTAGAATAGTTTGATCCTCTTGTTAAATTGGGCCCTTTACTGTTATGTAATGCCCTTGTCTTTTAAAATTTTTCTTGGTTTAAAGTTTATTTTGTCTGAAATTAGAATAGTAAGCCCTGCTTTTTAAAAATTTTCTTTTGCTTGATAGAT
This sequence comes from Homo sapiens, assembly GCF_000001405.40. NCBI lineage: Eukaryota > Metazoa > Chordata > Mammalia > Primates > Hominidae > Homo > Homo sapiens. Next base: position 65,618,666 of record NC_000018.10, read on the forward strand.
TTTTCTCCTCCCTTTATTTTGAATCTATGTGTGTCATCGCATATGAGGTATGTCAATTGAAGACAGCATACTTTTGTGTCTTGCTTCTTTATCCAATTTGCCACTCTGTGTCTTTTAATTGGGTAATTTAGCTCATTTTCATTCAAGGTTAGTATTGATATGTCCAGATTTGATCATGTTGTTGTGTTGTTAGATGGTTATTATGCAGACTTGTTTGTGTGATTTATTTATAGTGTCACAACGGTGTATACATAAGTGTGTTTTTGTAATGGCTCATAATGGTCTTTCCTTTTTATTTAGCACTCCCTTCAGGACCTCTTGTAAGGCAAGTCTGATGGCAACATATTCCCCTAGCATTTGCTTGTCTGAAAAGGTCTTTGCTTATGAACATTTGACTGGATGTTAAATTATTGGTTAAATTATTGGTTGGAGATTCTGATCTTTAAGAATGCTGAATATAGGCCCCCAATCTTTTCTGGCTGAAAGGCCCACTGTTAACTCAATGGGGTTCCCTTTGAAGGTGATCTGCCCCTTCTTTCGAGATGCTATTAACATGTTTTGTTTCACTTGAACCTTGGAGAATCTGATGACTATGTGTCTTAGGGATGTTTTTCTTGTGTAGAATTTCACTGGGGTTATCTGCATTTCCTGATTTTGAAGTTGACCTCTGCAGTGAGGTTTAGGAAATTTTCATGGAAGATATCCTCAAATATATTTTCCAAGTTGCTTGCTTTCTCTCCTTTTTTAGGGATGTGAATGATACATAGATTTTGTCTTTTAAAATAATCCCATATTTCTCAAAGGTTTTGCTCATTCTCTCTCTCTTTTTTTTTAATTGTTGTCTGACTTATTTCAGAGTACTGGTCTTCAAGCTCTGATATTCTTTCCTCAGCTTGATGGATTCTGCTTGTTAATACTTGTGACTGTATTCAGAAATTCTTGAAGTGAGTTTTTCAGCTCTATTACATCAGTTTGTTTTTTTTATTTAAAGAGCCGTGTCAACTTTCATCTCCTGTATCATTTTATTTTATTCCTTCACATCCTTAGATTTCTCCTGAATGCTGATGATCTTTGTTCTCTTATACATATGCTCAATTCTGTTGCTGTCATTTCAGACATTTCAGCCTGGTTAAGAACCATTGCTGGAGAACTAGTGTGATCATTTGGAGTTAAGCAGACACTCTGGCTTTTTGTGTTGCCAGAGTTCTTACATTAGTTCTTTTTCATCTTTGCAGGCTGATGTTCCTTCCATCTTTGAAGTTACTGTCCTTTTCATTTTTTTTATTTTGCTTTTTGCTTTTATCTTCTTTGACGTCTTCAGGAGTTTGATTGTAGTGTAAGGCAGATTTAGTTGACTGGCTTTGTTTCTGGAAAATTTTAAAGGGGCAAGTCCTGGGCTGCATATTCTTACTCTGGGGGCTTAGTACTGGCCCCTAAATTTGTTCTCTGGCTCCTCAAGGTTAGAAATCTGCTGGCTGGAGGGGCTGAGATGTTCCTTGACTGCTGGCCAGAACATTCCGCCGGGGGGTGGCAACCGAAGTGTTTCTTTGGGCAATGGCAGCAGAATTCATGATTGTTTTCATGTGCCAGCAGCAGTGGCAGCGCAGTGAGTTGCATGATTGTTGGCTGGGGCTGAGTGCTGGCAGGCACTGGAGTGTTTGGCTTCCAGTAGAAATTCACAGCAGTAGTAGTGGTGGCATGGGAAGGAGGGCAGTGGTGGCATGGGGAGGACGGCAGGGCTGCCATGTCCATTTGCACAGTCTCACCAGCAGTGATGTCAGTGTGGGGGCGGGAAGTACCAGCGACTTCTGGGTGCATGTTCATGTTGGTGGTGGCCGTGGCATGGGCCAGGGGTCAAGGACACTGGCATCTTTGCATGCATTTGCACTGGCAGCTGTGTCAGCACAGGGGCGGGGCACTGGTGGGTGTGTGGCTGGCAGACTCCATTTGTGGCACAGAACCACAGGTCTCTGTTCAGTGTATTAAATATATTAAATATTAAATATATGAATATTAAGTCCACTCTTTTCTCACCTGTAAGTTTTCTGATGAGGAATCCAATGTATTTCTCAATATATTTCTCACATTTCTTACAAGGTAAAATTACTTTCCTCCTCTGGATTCACCTAAGATTTTTTTCATTGTGTTTGGTTTTCTGCAGTCTGTCTATGACATACTTAGGTATGCATAGTTTGTTTTTTATTATGTTTGGTGTGTTTTTCTTGTGACCTCAGTGCTCTGATGGGCTCAAAAAGAGTTGTTTTTTTCTGCTTTTTTCTCGTTGTAAGCATAAGAATGACAACTCACAAGCTATGTACATGTCATAGTTTAAAACTTTTTCAAAAATGTCCCTGAGAATGGTAGTACTATGTTCAGATTTCACATATCCCAGAAAGAGAGAATTCACTGTGCTCATTCATAGGAATGAGCAGTTCATCATGAGACAAGTTTTACAACATAGACTTAAGTTGTAACTAAGTCCTTGCAACTTATGTATATTCTTACATAATTAAGAAACACTACATTAAATAATGTTTCATTACAGTATACTAAAGTATTTAAACAAACTTTTATGGTTGTAGTCAGAAGATTTTTTCATAAAAAATAAAAATATTATACTGATATAACAATTTTGTAGATACAGTAGAAATTCTATAAAAATGTTTTAAAACCAGAAATATATATCTAAACACTGAGAAAATAATAATATTTAGTTATGTACTACTTATGTGTCCTTCCATGTGATAGAGTTTATGGCTTGGTGAATATACATACAGTTATAATTTATTTCATGCTCAAAGAAATTTAGTATCATAAAACTAATTGATTAATATTCTACCATGTATCAGACACTGCACTAGACACAGGCGACTCAAAGTAGTGCGCCAAACACACCCCTTGTGCTAAAAGTGTTTGTAAGTCAGCAGATACATAAATAAGAAAATAAATATATAATTAAAAACAAAAACAAAAATTCCTCTGCAGTCCCTCTGCCTCCATATAGGCCACATTTGATAAATATTTGCCAGAGAGATATTTGATAATACTGATATCACTGATTCAAATCATCTGAATATTAAACAAGTTTTTCCACCTCTTTATTATTTAGAAAGGTCATCTTACTGGCTAAATGTACCCTAATAGGCATTTAAATTTACCAAGAAACTTTCAAGCTACATGTATCCACGTGGTGGACTGTCATGAACCATGACATGGAGCACTGCAAATGCACCAGGGCATTGAGAATGTATTATGCTTTGTTCAAGCCCTAGACTTACACACATTGTGAACACATAGTTTGAAATGCAATTTAGTAAACATTCACTGGAAAACAACAATTTTACTCTGAAATGTTTGTCTATTGTTTTATTTAAACATTTAGGTTTTTACTATGAAATATTAGAAACATGTTTAGGTGGGCAAATAGGATCTTCTATTGCATCACTGATGTAACTAAATTATTCCCTGCCTGCCTCTTAAAGTACACACTCACATAGACGTAGATAGACACATTTTTACCCTATGTGTGTTTGCATACTCTGTTCTGTTTCGTATACTGTAATGTAAACCTTTACTTGGATACTTATTTTGTAAAATGGTGCATTGCAAAAACTGGAAAGTGAAGATAGAATAAGAAATCACATCAATGTTCTTTCCAAAATTGTATTGACAAAATCTTAACAAAATATTGAAAATAAAGTTTCTCTGAATGGTAGTTTTATCTAGGTAAGATAATCAGATTTTACTTAATTAAAAAATATCTGAGTGTTAATTTGGTGTTTCTGTTTCTTCACTGAATGAAACGAAGCTTTAATTTTCAGTTTGTTCACCAACATGTTCAGTGCTAGACGAAATTTCAAACCAAAGAATTTTTCAAGTGTTAAAACCGTTTTACCATTTGTAACTCTAATCTGATTTGGAAGTGTGCAGTTTAAAATGTTAACACTGTGAAGCACATACTGTGTTTGCTATTTAGAGCAAGACTGCAAGCTGAAAATGACCCAAACCAACAATATGTGTTGTTGTTGTTGTTTGGCATACTCAAGGGAGTTTGTGCTTTTTATTCCAGCAAATGGCAGTTTATTTTATTTCATAACCATTTGAGAGGTGAAATAAATCTTGCCACGTTTCTCTCTACCACATATCTGCTATATGAAAAAAACTGGTTATATACTTTACTTATTTTCTTCTCTGGAATAGGAGGAATGTCTTTCTTCAGTGCCAAAATTAATAACACCACCTCATTTACTCACATTAAAAAGGAGATGTTCTTAATGCTTAAGAGAAAGAAAGCAGTATTAAAATATATTTCAGTGCTTTCGCAATTTTTTAGTAACGTTTCCAGATATTTTATCAGAATTTTCTTCTTTAGGAGAACCAGGAAAGACTGAAAGGAACAGAAAATCTGTGAATGCTGGTGTTGTATGTGTGGGTCACCACCTTCCCTAACAGAGAACTCGAGATTTCTCTTAGGCTTCAGTTTTTATCATTTTGATGAGTTATGGAATTTGGTAGCTTATTATTAGCTATAAGCCACTTCAAAGTGGAAAAGAATCTGCCATTGACAGGAACAACACCTCAGACAGCTTGTGAAAGAGGAAGAGATGTCTTCGGCAATGTAAAATGGGTGCTTAAGAGCAAAGGGCTCTGTGATGGCTGAACTTTATTGAGAAGATTGGAGAAAATAAAGATGATCCCATGTATTTTTGTAGTGTACAGAGATAGTTTGTTCTAACATTGGCATTAAAAAGATTAATATATTGACTCAATTTTACATGTATTTTTTCTTATTAGGGCAGAGATGTTAGGAGGTATATGGGTAATTGTGTTATAGATTAATATTCTGACATCAAATGGTAATATATTTATGATTTTTCAATTATATGGGGCCCAAAGTATTTACTGATGTAAAAGCAACAGATCTTTCTTCTAAATGACTTTTCAATTATTTTATTTTCTGCCTTAATAGAACTGAAGGAGTTAATAATAAGTCAAAACTTACACTAAGGCATGACTTGAAATATGGATTTACGCTTGTCTGAATGGTCCTATATAGACTAGTAGGATGTGAGTTTTAAGGCTGGAGATTTTCTGTCTAAGGAATGTGTTTAGACAAGGGAAGCCACCATCAATCAAGCTTCCTGTGGATCACGACAGCTTGGTGGATGCCCGGACTCAGCAAGAATGCCTGGAAGTCCGACTGCCCCACCACACGCTGCCATTTGTGTTATTTCAGAGGGACACTGTGTGTGATGCTCTTGGTACTGTAAAGCCTAACAGAAATTTATCACAGGGCTTGGCAGCTCGGCCACACTTTTTGTCAAATGTTAGCTCTACCAGTAAGCACTGAAGTGTTAAGGTGGGATTGAATTGCTTGACACAGAGTGAAACACATCCAAGTGAAACTCTAGAAATGAGAAAAGAATACATTCTTCTGTTCTTTTGCTTAGGTTCCCAACACAGTTGTGTGGGAAGCATGTATTCTTTCTGGTCTATCGTCTTCTAATATCTGAAGACCCAGTAACTTCCATACGCACAAATTAGACAACGTGGGGGAATATAAAGATACTGTCAGATGCAGAGTGACAGAGACTAAATAATTCAGAAGCTAGCTCCTTTTCTTTAGTCTGCTTATAAAGTGCTTTTGGCATGTGATTGATAGATATTGTCTTAAATCTGGGGGAAAAGTTCCAGTAAAAAAGTTCCATGTAAATTCTCATCTTTTTCTTCATACTCAAAACATACACACAAAGAGAAGCAAATTAAGTCTCAAGGTTGTATTTGTTCAGCTTGCTAAAAGACAGAATTCGTTTCCTATAAGGTGCATATACTTTAAACCCAATTCAAACACATTCATTATTTGGAGGCCTAGAAGGAGCCAAAACGCTTTTTCATCTATAAACTGCTGTAAGGCCTCTGTAGAAATACGTAGGCGTTCGAGTTGAGTTTAGTTTTGTATTTAAAATTTTAAGTAATTTGTATTTTACCCATGAACATTTCATTTTGTTTAATTGGGATCTGATTGCAGTTGCCAAGATTAGAAATATTGCATCATTTGTGCTCAACGGCATATTGCATGAGCTTTCAAGTAGTTTCTATACATGTATTAAACCTTCACCTTAAACATTTTAAGGCGTTCTCTGTCACATAAAGTCACATACTGGATATATTCAGTAAATAATAGTAATTAATTATTTAATTTCTATTTTAGAATGAAAGTATTATTCTTATTTGTATATTCTGCTTTATTAGACACCATTGTTATAATGAGTAGGAAAATGTTGGCAGATACAGACTCTAAATGCTATTTTTCTATTATCTGAAGTCCCTAAGTCTGAGAACAAAGATGATATCCTGCAGATAATTCACATTAATTATTTTTACAAGTTTCATATTGTTATCTTGCATATTATATTACACGAAATAGTAGTTATAAAAACTACTACGTGTTCACTCCAAATAGTGGCTGAACCAGCACTGTTGGCAAGCTGTGATGTACAAACAATGGGTCTTGCTGGGTATTAGTACAAATGCACAGATTAAGTTACTAACCATTCTCTACCTTTGTCTTTTACCTACATGTGTTATAGTCTTTCCAGTCATTTTTCTTTCTGCTATATATTTTTTTACCCCAAATAACCCTTATTTATGTGCTTGTCATTGTCCTTTTGCTCGCCTCTGTCCTTATGTAGAAGTTGCCTCCTAATATTTGATGGCCATTAAGTACTAAATTAATGACCAATAATTAATTTTATAATGTGTGTAATATTTCCTGTAAGACTTTAATTTGAATAAAAACTTAAGTAAATTCATAAATGTGTATGTAAGGGTTCTAGCTCATGCACATCATAGCTCAGTGCATTGCCGGTTTGTGGCTGAAGCCTGTATTACCAGGGTCTTTAGTACCAGACTCTGGTACCTCCATCCCTGCTCCACATCCATACCTCACCTTCCACCCTGTGTCCCGTGTTTCTGCTGATGCTCTATACTGCCACTGTCCTTACTCAGTGAACTTACACCAGGAGCAAGACATGTTGGATGAATTCTTCTGCTCTCTCATCTTGCTCACAAGCCATGGTTCAGAGATGCAGTAATTTTTTTTCAGGCTCTCTGAAGACATCCATTTAGGTTGGAAATTTTAATGTTTCATGAAACTTGGTCATACATTTTCATGTATTCTCTTTCTTCCTTGATTGCCTCAGATGACTTCCCCTAGGATCCCACTCCCTAATAAAGTGTTGGCTCATAAATTTTCACATCCAGTCTTCTTTTCTAAGGTAGTCAAATTAAGAAGTTGAGTAGCTAGAGCTACTCTGGAAAGCATATGATCAGATGGGCTTTTGGAGTTTGCCAAGAAATCTGAAGTCAGTATGAACTTCGTTTCTAGCATCATCATTATTAAAACTTCACCTACGATTAACTGTGATAAGGTACAAGTGAGTGGTAATCTGCAGAGGAGCAAGGATATTGCTTTTAGGCCAATAACCAGAGTCTAGGTATGGCTAGGCACTTGTGGTGAAGCTGAATTCTTGCTTTGGAATTAGTGTACATATATATATATATATATATATATATATATATATATATATATGTTGTGTATATATTGATATTATACATTAGTATAATATATATGTTTAGTATATGTATAATTAGTCTTTGTGTATATATATGTGTGTATATATATATATACACATACATATACTGTGTGTCAGTAAGAGTCAGAAAGCTTATAGGGATGTTAATAAATTTACTATATGTATTAATAGATTTACTACATGTACATTTATTATATGCATTAATAAATTTACTATAAGACCTGAGATCTCACCCTTGTTTCTCAGGAGGTCCTAGAATCCATCCTTTCACTAAGGCAGTGTAAAATTTCCTAATGAGGATGTTATCAAAATGTTTGAGAAGCTCAATGGTTGGTGTCCTTGGAAAAGAGCATTGAGAGTTAGAGACCCTGTTGTAGACCTGCCCCATATCAATGTGAATAATAAGAATCTGGAATGTTAGAGGCCAGTGGCAATACTTATTGTCAGAAGCAAAGAATGCAAATAACTTAATGGGTATAGTAAAGTGACAATAAAGATGTCTGAATCTCCTACCACAATTAAAGTGGCTGTACTGAGCACAAGGGATATGACAGTCAAGCAGAGGTTTCCACAATTTGTATAAGAAATGAAAATAAGTGAGACTTTGCAAGCTTTCATCCACTACAATGCAAAATATATATCCTTATCTCAATTTCCAGATCTCAAATTAGTTCACGTGACCATAACATACTGACTGACAGGAAGACAAGGTCATCTCGAGGAAAGATCCTTCAATACCATAAATATATGGTCAAAAATACTTTGATCATGCCTCAAAGGACCTGCAGCCACTTCTTCAGGGAGCTGTGCACTGAGGAAATGGGGAAATACGACATTTTGAAGAACTTTTTGTATAATGTATGAGCTGAAACCAGAGTCCTAAGATGCCATCAGGGTTCTCAAGTTAAAGGGGGATAATGGAGGTCAAGGAATGAATGAGGAGGTGACCCAAGTCCATCTCACTGTAGACACAGTGCATCCATGGACTCAAGCTATACTTATAAGTACTAATATGCTTCCTGATTAGTTTATTTGGGTTGAATATATTTACCAGCTGGCAGAACTTTCATGTTGTTTCTCTGACCTGTAAAGTAAGAGCCGTTATTGTAGAAGGGTAAAAGTGAAAGCCAAGGCAACAGCCCACCCCACATTCCCATCTAGGAGTTTATATTGGGAGCAATATCTCATCTGAGGAGGAAGTTCATGTATTAATGCCACCATCAAATATTTGAAAAATTTAATGATAATAGTCTCCAGTATTTCCTCTTTCAATCTTTCAGTTCACCAGTCTAATCTCAGTTAAGAACAAACACCAAAAGATGGATCATTGTAATTCATAGTGGACCACTCTTAATTAGCCTCATTTGCAGCTTCTGCCTGCTATTAGCACAACTTCTGAAATTGGTATAAGGCTTTGGATTTGTTAAGGACATTTCTCTCAATCCTCTTAGCACGAAGGGCTCAAATCAGGTCATTTTTACCTGTTAAGGACAACATTCCCCCCTGCCTTTTTTTGCCACAGGGATAAATTAACTCTCTTGTCCTTTATTGTCAGATAGTCTGTAAGGATCATGACCATTTTGACCTTCCTGATAGCATCACCGTATTTTACTATATCAAGGAAAATTGGCCTAATTAGACAAGGTGAACAGGAGGTGGCCAGAACTTTAGGTTCTCTAATAAGATACACACGTGGCGAACTTGATAGATAAACAACAAAAGGACTCAGGAGCCTACAACACTAGTACATCTTAAGGAATCCAGTGATTTGGAATACTCCCGAGCATCTCCTCTAAGCTAGAGGACAAATGTTTCTCTGTGCATCCCCTACCTGAGAAAGAAGTACAGCACCGGGTGGGCCATTTTTATTTCAGAAGTAAAACGAAAATACTGCTTCAATGTATCTTAATATAGACCACACTCAAAATGACTGTGAACTGATATGTTCACAGTCATTTTGAGTGTGGTCTAGATTAAGAGGGGACTTTACAGCAGGCCTGGGCTGTAGTGTGAGCTTCCCTACCTCTTTGGCCATATAACGAAACAGATCAAAATAATGCTAGAAATATACAAATTGGTAAAAATGCTGTGCAGATTCTTTAACAAGCTCCCTAAGAAAGCTGCAGTACAGACATTTATGGCCATATCATTCTGTGTCAGAGAACTAGTCCCCTTTTCTCTCTCTCTCTCTATTTCTCTCTCTCTATCTCTCTCTCACACACACACACACACACACACACACACATACACACACTGTTAGTGTGCTACTTGGCTCAAATAGAGGCCGAGTGATAGTTACTGCAAGTAATTGTTTGTTATGAGTTGTGCATTACAGATCCATCAAGGACAATGACAAGCAAGCACACCAGCATTTTACTGTCAAATGTAAATAGTTATTTGAAATGGGCCTAGGAAAAATGAGAAAGAAGAGGTAAATCACATGAGCAGGTAGCTCAGGTACCTATCCCTTCTGTCATCACTTCTATTGCACTGATGTTCCTCCTTCAACTCACACCTCTGGCCAACTGACAGAATACGAGATAACTCAGGCCAGCTTCACAAAGTGGTTGATGTGATATGTTGATGGTGGTTAAAATTGGACCCCCATCAATTGCAGCCCTCACTGTAGTGGCTGACCATTCTGAATGGGAATTCTGGTGAGAAGAGCTGCAAGTAGTACATGAGGTTGTCCATTTCATACCAAGGAAAAGTTAGTCAACTTATGGATGCACATTAATTACTGAGCAGTAGTGAATAGCTTGGCTGCTTGGTCAAGGGGCTGGGAGAAACATCTGGAAGATTAAAAAACTCTTGGAAAATGCCCTCTGGATGTACTTGTGGGAATGGGCATTAAGTGAATAGAGCTTACATTAATGCCAGCCAGAGGGCATCCACCTAAGAGGAGGCTCTCAACTAGCAGATGGATGGATGACCTGACCTTGGATGTCAGCTGTCACCAGGCCGAAGCCAATTCAGCTCAGCTAAGGTGCCACCTCTTGGAAAATGTCTTCTGGATTGAGGATGCTATTACTATGAACTGAATTTTGTGCCCCCAAAATTCATATTTTGAAACCTCAAATCCTTAATGTGACTATATTTGGAAAAGGGCCTTTAAAAAAGCAATTAAGGTTAAATGAGGTCATAATGGTAGGGTTTTAATCTGATAGGGTTAGAATCTTTGTAAAAAAATACACAAGAGAGCTCATCCTCTTGCTGTGAGGACACACCAAGAAGGTGGCCATCTGCAAGCCAAGAAGGGAACAGACAACTTGACAGCCAATTCTGTTCCTCACTAGGAAAAGAAATGTGATGTCAGACTAGGTTATGGCCTCACCTATTTCAATAAGCTTGAATAACATCTTTGGCTCACTAGGAACAGAATTGACAGCCAGTTCTGTTCCTCACTAGGAAGAAAATTGGCTATCAGGTTTATATGACTTTAGACTTCCCAGCTTCTAGAACTATAAGAAATAAGTTTCTGCTCCATAAGCACCCAGGCTATAGTATTTAGCTATGGTAGCCTGATAATATGAATATACTATTCTCCATGAGGTTTGTAGGGGCCAAGGCTGTTGGCCTCCTGGAGGTTCACTGAAGTTCACTGACATGAGACAGATTGACTAATAAGAGAAAAGGCATATTAATTTGTTTGAAGCATATACAGGAAAGCCTTCAGAATTGAGACCCAAAGATATAGGGGAAATTGCCCATTTTTATGCTTAGGTTCAACAAAGTATGAACAGCTATGTAGAAATATGATTGGATAAGAGCACATGTTCTAATGTTAATAGACTGAGTGGGGAAACCCTGTAAGGCCTGTCTGTTTAGATTCTTCTTGGTCTCTCTGAGCATGCATTCTTTCCTTCTCAGTGTGGCACAGGGACCTTCCTGGAATGAGGGTCTTATGTTCATCTGCAATCAAATAAGGTAGATCAGAGAGTTTATTTATAGCCAGTTTTTACTCAAAATATTTTTAGGTTCTGTGGCTGTTTTTCAGGAAAAGGAGTTCTGGTTTCTATGACCCACCTTGGGGAAGAGGGATTCCAGTTTCTATAGCCAGCTTCAGCGGAGAATGGGACTGAGAAACAGGAGGACAGGAGAAGGTCAGAGAAAAACTTTTGCTTCTCCGGCTGCTGCTGAGGCCTTTAATTTGGGGTACTGTTTTCTGAACCCCAACGGTTTATATGCAATGACCCAAATGGATGATATTAAGTATGGTGTTCCCGATACCTAGAATATGTAGGTCAGGAACAAAAGAGTGACAGCATATCTGGGTCCTATCACTACCCATCTGGGAACTCAATTATGAACTTTTGTTTCTCAGTCCACAATCTTAAACCGTACCAGTTAAAGGTTCTGGTTTACAGGTCGAGAAAGCGTCTATTAGATTAGGTTAACTGAAAGCTATGAGTGACATCTGATCATTTTAGTATTCTCTTGCTGGTGTACTGGGGGCCAACGGAAGGAGTAACAAATCTGGCAGGGATAATCGACTTTGACTACCACAAGTGCCTAGGGTTGCTGCCACACAGGAGCAGAGCAGTATGCCTGGAATCAAATGAATTCACTTGGATATATCTTTGTGTTTTTGTGCTCAGTGATAGCCATTAATAGTTCATTGCAGCAACCACAACCCAACACAGACAAGACAACTAAGGACTCCAAACTCTTGAAGTAATAGTAATAGTTAATAGTAAAATGTTAATATAGTCACCTTTTGACCTATGGGTAAGAAGCAGACAGATCTAACCTCTTTTCTAAAGTGCAAATATTTTTTAAAGAAAAAAGATGTAAAATATGCATTTTTTAAAAATGCAACTTTGAATAGAAAAATAAATTAACTGCTATTGAATGTCCAACATTTTATAGCATTAGCTTCACAAATGAAATGTTATGTATTATTTTTAAAAGTCTTGGTAAACATTATATAATATGATTCATATGTCCTCTAAACTGAATATCTATTTTCTTATCAAATTTGGGCTTTTATTCCTTCTATATCCTCATAAACAGAATAAAGACATATTTGGGCATTAGTAGCTTCTTGAATCAGTACATTTAAATTATCTTCAATATGTGAAGAGAAAGGTTGAGTTTTTTCTGTCAAACATCAAAAGAAAGATTTTTAAAATAGTTGTCATGTCTCCAATTATTTAAACAGCTTGAAATTTGTACAGTCAAGATTACCTCTTCCTATGAAACAAGGCACGTCATTTTGGATAGATCATATTATAGATATATTCCTCAAAAAAATACTTTCCCTCTAGCATAACAGCAAACATTGGCTAATGTATTTTGTTACAGTTATTCAGAATGCTTATAAAAATAATATTTAATTCTTTTTTAAATTATTCATCTAAATCTAATCTTCAATAAAGGTACACAGTGGCTCTCTTGACTGACCGTCTTCTTAACCTGTATTATTCCCACCAAAATTCCGTTAGGAAGCATAAAATATGAGAAATTACAGATTTTTTTGAGGTTTTAAACATTATTTATACTAGCTAAACTGGCTAAACTGCTGCTGTAAATCTACATTTGCCTGCATACTGTATAATGGATTCCCCCACATAAGCTTCCTGCCCTGGCACTCTTACTTGATAGAAATCCCAATCTCTACAATGTCAGTGAGTTGTTAATATTTTCTCAGAAAAGTCTTAAGTGAATGTGACAGTTGGTAGTAATTATTAACCTTGCATTGAACCAGTAATTAAATGATGCAGCTTGAATGGGGAGGGGGTATGCTGCAAACTTGCCTACCCTTGCTCAGTGATCCTTCTGATTCTTCCTGCCCTAATCCGACATTATTAAAGCTCATTATTTCTTGACAGAGCTAAAGATTTAAATCATTACATGGAATATGTTTTAGATTCTGTACACCCATTTTTAAGCAACATTTTTATACATACTTCAATTCTATTTTTTAAAAAAGAAGAGTAAAACACAACAACAACAGCAACAAAAAAACATTAAATTTAAATTTCAGCTACCTTTCTGAAGAGTGGTTTGGCTAATTCCCTAAATAGATTTGAAATGTACAGTAATACATGTTCTTTGCTTCTGAAGTAGTCCCTAAATTTTAGAGCCTTTCTATTTTCACCGTCAACATACTTTGTCTTAGCTAATTTAAAATACATACGTGATACAGAGATAAAAAGAGCTTAAGGGAAGATTCATTAACTGCCTTTTAAGTGCCAAGTATGTTTCTTACTGTTTGCTCATTGACCCATTTAATCCTCACATCAACCCTATTCTCCCTGTCACTTTGATGAAAAAATAACTGAGGCTCAAAGTGTTTATGTTGTTTGCTCACAATTACCAAGCTTTCCTTTTTACAATTTTGTCTCTCAGATAACTTTGAAAGAAGTTGCTTTCTGTACTGGATAGTGAGTGATAATGCTGGGATTTGCTGAATGAAGAGAAATTGGACACAAATTAAAATTTCACTCAGAATAGTTTCTGTCAGCTCTTTGAAGAGCAAAACCTGCCTAAAAGTATGGAACGTGAATCTTTCTAAATGGTCCCGAGTTATTAAGCAACTAAGAAATATTGCATTCCTGATTACATAATTCATTTCTTCTGAGAACCTACAAGAATAAAAATTACTATCACTCATGGATCCAATGAATATTTTTGGACAAATTCACTACTAGATTGTGTTTGTGTTTTTTCTTTGCTTCTCCACCCTATCATTTTTAGGTGGTACATGCAAGCTAAGTTTATCAATACTTCAAACAATCCTCTAACTGGGAAGTCAGATCAACACAAGGTAAGTTGTAAGACTGCAATTTATCTTGCAGCTAGTTAGGACAGACACTGACCTAGGAACAGGGAAATGTATTATGCTTCTCAGAAGTAAGGTTGCCAAATTTAGCAAAGAAAAATACAGAATGCACAATTAAAATCCAGATTAAAAAAGTAAATAATTTTTAGTATACATATGTCTCCTGCAATATTTGGGACATTCTTACACTAAAAAAATTATTCGTGCATTATCTGAAGTGCAAATTTAACTAAGCATCCTGCATTTTATCTGGCAACCCTACTCATGGGACCTAAGGTGGGATATTTTTTCTCTAAAAATAGGAAGCAATGAAATAAATGTAAAATCTAAAACAGGAAACAACAGATGCTGGCAAAGCTGTGGAGAAATAGGAGTGCTTTTACAATGTTGGTGGGAGTGTAAATTAGTTCAACCATTGTGGAAGACAGTGTGGTGATTCCTCAGGGACCTAGAACAAGAAATACCATTTGACTCAGGAATCCCATCACTAGGTATATACCCAAAGGATTATAAATCATTCTACTATAAAGACACATGCACATGTGTGTATATTGTAGTATCATTTATAATAGGAAAGACTTGGAACCAACCCAAATGTCCATCAATGATAGACTGGATAAAGAAAATGTGGCACATCTACACCATGGAATACTATGCATCCATAAAATAGAATGAGTTTATGTCCTTTGCAGAGACATGGATGAAGCTGGAAGCCATCATTCTCAGCAAACTAACCCAGGAACAGAAAACCAAATACCACATGTTCTCACTCATAAGTGGGAGTTGAACACTG
Source organism: Homo sapiens (assembly GCF_000001405.40). Classification (NCBI taxonomy): domain Eukaryota; kingdom Metazoa; phylum Chordata; class Mammalia; order Primates; family Hominidae; genus Homo; species Homo sapiens. The sequence continues at coordinate 65,633,838 of NC_000018.10, forward strand.
AGAACACGTGGACACAGGGAGGGGAACATCACACAGTGGGGCCTGTTGCAGGGTGGGGGGAAAGGGGAGTGAGAGCATTAGGACAAATACCTAATGCATGAGGGGCTAAATAAAAAAAGTAATAACTAGATGACAGGTTGATAGGTGCAGCAAACGACCATGGCACATGTATATCTGTGTAAGAAACCTGCACGTTCTGCACAGTATCCCAGAACTTAAATAAAGTAAAATAAAATAAAATAAAAGTTACATAAGCAAAGAGGAAAAAGAAGGGCTTCTCAGGAAAAGATGAAAATATGAACGACACAGTGGCAGAAAGCTTGGAGAACAGCAGGGACTGAAAGAGTGCCAAAGGCAGGTGTGGAGAGAGTATGGGGAGGTATATTTTAAGGGCACAGAGGAGAATTGCGGCCTGAAGTGGAGGTTCATGATGGGCAGTGTGAAAGGAAGCCTCTAAGAGGCTGCCAACGGTTCCTGCCACCTGGTCATTCACGCCATTGAGTCTGGGCTCATGATCCAATTGTAAGATTATAAAAGTGATATCAAGTCATTTAGAAGATTAGGTTACAAAAACTGTGATTTCCATTTTATTCTGTCCCTGTCACTTTGTCACAAGCCAACTGCTATGTATCAAGGAACTGATATCTCTATTCAAAAGCCATTTAGAACTTGAAGACTGACAACAGCCACATGCTCGAAGTTGGAAGCAACTTCTCCCCTGTAAAGCCTTAAGAAGACCTAAGTGCTGGCCAAAACATTGATAGCAGTTACAGACCTTGAGCCACATTTCTGGCTCACAGAAACTGTAGGAAATGAATGAGTGTTGTTTTAAGCTTCTGGGTATTGAGGAAATTCATTACACTAAAATAACTAATACAGAGGATTTGAATTTTATACTAATAAGAGTGAGAAGCTATTTAAGAGTTTTAAAGAAGATCAGTAACCAAGTCATGATTTATGTTTAAACTTTAGCTGCAGTGCAAAAATGGATGGGGAAAGGGGAATTGCAAAAATAGATAGAGATGCACGTTAGGAGGCAATCATAGTAGCCAAGATGAAAAATGAACCTGACCGAGGGAAGTGGTGATGTTAAAGATAGAAAAAGTAGAAAAAAATCAAGACACATTTAGCAGATAAAATAATCAGGAGCTGATGATGGAAGAGTGATGAAGAAATCAAGGACTGGTGTCCTTTTGTCCAGCTCATAACAGTGTCCCTTACTGAGATAAAGAACCCCAGGAAAGAACCAGATTTATCCTTCCTGCTTACTTCTTGTTCTGACGTTTCTGGCAGTGACTTAAGCCACTTGAATGGGGCTGTGATATAGATATTCTTTCCTCTCATCCCCTGCGGAGCCCACCCAGCCAACACCTGGGTTCAGCTAGCACTGCATTCTCTACAACAGCTCTCTTTTCAGGGAGAATTGCTCTTGGCTGCCATGTCCACAACAGAATTCAGAATCACTTCAGAGATACATGTAACTAGCTGCAAGATAAATTGTAGTCTTACAACTTATCTTGTGTAGATCTTACTTCCTAGTTAGACGATTGTTAGAACTATTGATAAAATTAGCTTGCATATACCACCTAAAAATGAGAAGTAGGGTGGGGGAATAAGGAAGAGACACAAACACAATCCAGTAGCCAATTTGTATTTTGCCACTTATGATCTATAGATGTGTTTCTCGTGCCTTTTTTTTTTCATTATCACTCTTCTAAGTATTTTTTAAAGATTTTTTCCCCTAATTACCCTTTCCCCTAAAATGTGTTACCCACAGATATATTGTATATGAAATATCATTTGGGGACCCACACATTGTTGTAATGTCTAAGTTTTTTTTTTTTCTTGTTCCCATGAGAACCAATTTTTACTCCACTGAAGAAAAGATCACCCCCATTGAGAATGCATAATACCACATACAGAATGGTAATTCACATTCAATAAAAATAAAGGCAGGTGACTTTCAGCAAATTCACACTCTTTACTATAGAAAAATTTTCATTTTGCTGTACATGTATTTAACAAATCATATTGATGGTGGCAGGAATAAAGTTAAAAATCTGTCAATTGTGCTTTAAATTCTCAGATGTGTTTTCTATAGTACTGCTCCATGAAAGGGCCATATATGCAAAGTGACCCCCAAATGCTGAAGGAGCCACACCAAAGAAGGAGGCAGACAAACCTAGTTTGTCAGTATTGGGTGATTTATTAAGAGAACTTAACGATGGAAGTGTGGTCTTGGGCAGCCACAAGACAAGCAGATCTCTGCCCGGTGACTCCCTAGACTCAAGACTTACCTACCATAGAGAAGAGGCATACGTGCTCCAGCAAGACAACCAAAGGTATCCTCCAGAACAGACAAGAATGCTATGTGTGTCATAGCCTATAATTTGTGTGATAACATCAAGGTTGCTTTGTTTTTACACAAAGGACAAGAACTAATGTAGAAACCAGGGGGCATTCATGAGACTGGGGCTGATCAGAAGTCAGCATGGCAGATTAGCATCCAAGATGGAATCATTTTTGTCTCCACTGATACAAACCCATAGCTGTGACCCAGGAGATTGTCATAATATGATGAATGGTTCCATGGAGGTGTTTGCTATGTTTGCTAAGGAGAATGAGATTGTATTTTATACATTATGCCAATCAGACCTTTCCTTGCAGTAAGGGAAGGTCAATCTCACCTAAACTATAAGATTGGTATAAAGACCAAGAGATGAAATAGACTTTAGAAGGCAAGCAACAATGCCTGATTCAATAATGTACTTGTTATGAATATTTAGCAATGTATTCATTATTAATATTATTGTTACTGCAATGGCATATTTGCTATGTCTGTTCTCAACAATGCAACAATGCCCTCTTGATGCTGCCGGGAAATAGAAGGGTCTCCTTTGGGACATGTGGTCACAGGGAGTCTCTGAGTTTGTTGATAAAGGGATTCACCAGGAAAATCATCTTCCAACCTGGGCCACTTCTTAATGAAGACACCCCTTGCTGCCTGAGTCCTGAGTCCACACAGTGGATCAGCTGGTACCACAGGCAAGCTGGATGCTGAGCTGGAATCAGAAACAGAAATTAACAACAAAAAATTAAAACCTACCTAAAATAATGATTTAACACTGAAAACTCGACTCTTTAGTCAAAAAGCTCAACTTTAGAAGAAGCCCATATATATTTAAAGTAAACAGTATATCTAAGGAAACCATATACTGTCACCAGGTAAAGTCACCTGGACAAGTCAATATAAACCATAGATTGTCATCAGGTAATGCCCATTTTGTACACATTCATTCATTCGTTCAACAAATATTTATTGGCTGACTTCTGATTGCTAAGAACACTGTTGGGCACAAAGCCTACAAAAAATGGAAATAAACTGATTGGCCTCAATGAGCTCATAGACCAAGGGAAGCACAGACAAGCAGTCATGTGCAAAACTGTTCCACAAAAGATTATTCCTCGTGTCAAGGATAACGTCTGGGCCTGCCTGTCAGACAAGATGCAACAAAGGAAGTAGCAGAAAAGCTAAATCTTAAAGCAAAGTCATGCTAGAAAGAGTCCTGCATATGCCAAAATATCTTCCATGGAGGGTAAGATCCTCAAGTTTTATCCATTTTTTTTGAGTAATGCGTTTGAAAAAGTATCTCATAAATTTAAAATGTTAAGCTGTTATTGCTGTGATTTAAATCTATTGATCAGATTAGTTATTCAACCACATTATATTATAGATCCCAGGAGGGATAAGGAACGAGGTAAACTAGCTTTTAAATCTGGAAGGCAACTGGTCTTGGGAGATTACCCAGGATAGAAGACCAAGATAGTCACCCAAACTGGCAAACTAGTGCATTATAATTATAGGGAGAACTTAATGAGGATTTAGTGTATCAGAGAAACACTGCTTCTTTCATTACTTTATTTTAAACTTGCTCTGATTTTTTGTTCTTCGGGTGAAAAAGATTTCAGTGCTTTTGTTGATGATGTAGCTTTTGCTTAGATGTTTTCTCTTTCTTTGCTAATCTTCCCTCAGTTTTCTCTCACAAAACAGGATGATGAATACCTACCAATTTAAGCTTTAAGCCAAAATTGTCCTCATATGTAGAGAATCTTTTAACCCTCCTAGATATAGGTGCTCACAATTTGCTTCATTCTTCCACGATAGCATGTGAGGTCTTCTGCCACAGCAATTTTCATTCACGCATCTGTTCATTCATTCATTCCACAAAATATTTATTGAGTATTGTTTAGTACAATAAATGTTTTCATAAGAGGCCATTAGACTAAACGAATGAAAAAGACAAGCTTGATTTCTGTTGTCATGGAGCTTATACCTTCAAATGAGACTTAGAGGCTTTCTTGCGTTTCCCTAAAATGTTGCAAGTTCTTTACAAGAAAGATTCATGAATTATTCAATTTAGTATCTCAGAATCTAACATAGTTACTGACACTGGCTGTAAACAATAAATAAGCAAGGTTTTTAATGATATGCAATGAAAAACAGGGTTTTTTTTTTGTTTGTTTGCCTGTTTTAAAAGATAGAGACATTGTCATATTTAACACAATGTAAATTCTACTATGGAAGAAGGAACAAATGGATTAAAATTTTTGCCACAGACAAGTATTATCATTTCTATTTTAAATAACATGATTGATTGAGTGCTCAGAGATGTTAAGTAATTTTTCAAAGGTCACAGAAGTTTCACTGCTAAGATTCAAGCACAAGCTGACTCTAAAGTGTCTGCTTTTAACCAAATCTGCAGTCCAGGAGGTTTATTCTCCAGTATCTGCTTTATAATGTCTTGGCCATTGTGGCTGTTAATCAACATTACTTCCATATTACTTTTAAATAAACTTTTTATGGAGCTAAACACATGCATGCATACATGCAGGAAAGTGCACAAACAATAAATATTAATAAAATGAAAGCAAACGTGATAGATACACAGACCAAGAAATAGAATATTATCTGTGCCTCAGAACTGCAACTTTTACCCCTCCTCATAATTAAGCCCTACACAAAAAAATAATTATCTTGACTTCTAACACTAGATATTTGTCGTTTGTCTTTTTGTTATTTTTTTCTATAAAGACAGTTGTTCAATATATATGTGTGTCTATCTTCATCCATTCAACATTGTGTTTGTAAGATTGAAACTTGTGAGTACAGCAATTGTTCATTCATTCTCATGATTTTTTTTGTAATGTATTTCTCTGTTCAAATGTTGATGAATATTTGTTGGGAGTTTTTGTTTATTATGAATAACATTGCTATAAACATCTTTGTACGTATCATTTGTTAAACTATTCTGATGGGTATTTGCCTAACAATGGAATTTGTTGTATGAGTATATGACAAAGATTCTGAAAGTGCTATGGATGAGAGTAACAAGCATTGTTTGAGCATTCCAGTTGCTCCATGTCCTTAACACTGTTCAGTCTTCATTGTCAGTCTTTTTCCTTTCTTTATTGTAGTAGTCATCTTATTAGTAGTATCAAGTTGAGATATTGGTTTGGATTTTCCTAACTACTAATAAGGTCAAGCAGCTTTCACATAAATTTACTGACCATATGTATGCTCTCTTTTGTAAACAGACACTCAGGGTTTTGCCCATTTTAAAAACTTGATCATTCTGTCATTTTTATTGATTTGTGGAAAATTCTCTATTCTTAACACTGGTTCTTAATCAGACATAAAAATGGCAAATATTCCTCTCTACTCTATGACTTATTTGCATAATTGTAACGGTGTGGCTTTTAATGAACAGAAATTCTTTGTTTTAACACAGTCCAGTTGTTCTATGTTATCCTTTACATTAGACCAGTATGAAAGCAATCGGGCCAGGCGAGGTGGCTCACGCCTGTAATCCCAGCACTTTGGGAGGCCGAGGCTGGCGGATCATAAGGCCAGGAGGTCGACACTATCCTGGCTAACACGGTGAAACCCCGTCTCTACTAAAAATACAAAAAATTAGCCAGGCATGGTGGAGGGCACCTGTAGTCCCAGCCACTCAGGAGGCTGAGGCTGGAGAATGGTGTGAACCCGGGAGGCGGAGCTTGCAGTGAGCAGAGATTGTGCCACTGCACTCCAGCCTGGGCGACAGAGTGAGACTCCGTCTCAAAAATAAATAAATAAATAAATAAATAAATAAATAAATAAATAAATAAAAGAAATAAAAAGAAAAAAAAGAAAATAATCTTCGCCTGCTCCAAGGTCATTGACTTTCGTTATTTTATCTTCCAGAAGCATTTTTAATTTATTGGCCATAATTATTGATAATATCATCTTATAAACTTCTAACATCTATAGAATCTGTGCTATTTCTCCTTTTTAAAATTTTCCCCTATTTTCTTTTCTCCTTATTGACTAATTTTGCCATAAGTTTTCAATTTCATTAATCTTTCCTCTCCCCTTTCAAAAATAACTGGTTTCATTGATTCTCTCTATCGTGTATTTATTATAACTTTTACTGCTTTCTCTTTTTATCATTATTATTGCCTTTCTTTTACTTTCTTATTGATATTCTGTTTTTAAATAAGCTCTTTATAAATTTGTAAAATGGATACCTAAAGCTCTATCATTCAACAATTCTTTACTTATATATACATTTGGGCTATGAACTTCAATATGCATATAATTCCATTATTTTCATTAAAAAGTCAGCCTTCTTTCTCATTTTTGCCTTTTATAAGAAAATGTATCTTTATTCTCTGAATTCTTTTAATATATTACTTTTGTTGGTGATGTTCACTTTTCTACATTGTGAAAATCTGGGATGATTTTTACTTTTATTGACCCTATCAATGTTAGAAGAATCTCTTGAAGATATAGATAGATTTCTCTTATTGGTTTAAGAAAATTATTAAACATTATATTTTCAATTTTTTGTCATTCTTTGTATCCTACTTTTGTGGGAATCCAATTATACAACTGTTAGACCTTTTTATTGACTCCTATACATACAACTTTTAAGCTATTTTTAATATTAATGAACTAGTCCTTTAATAGTCCATTGTTCAGATTGAATCTTTTCCACTGAGCTTTCTACAATTAACTGATTTTCTCCTCATTTGATTCCAATATGTGTTTAAAATTAGTTATTTGCATAATAATGTGTGTGTCCATGTCTGCGTGTGTGTGTGTATTCTGGATGCAGAATATGTATTATATACGTATTTATTCTGGACTTTACATGTGACCTTTTAATCAACTTTAATTCTCTGATTAAAAACTTTCCAAAATATCATATATTTTATTGAACACATATTTTATGGTTATTCTGGTAATTATAACTCTGTCATTTACTGGCCTGATTCTATTTTTGATTTTTTTCTAAAGCTAGTTTTTAGTATTTCTAGTCACATATAATTAAACGATTGTTTATTCATTTCCTAAGGCTGCTGTGACAAACTAACACAAACTGTTTGGCTTAAATCAATAAGCAATTATTATCTCACAGTTCTGGAAGCTAGATGTCTAACATCAAATTTTCTTCAGGGCCATGTCTCCACTCAAGTCTCTGGGGAAGACTTCTTCCTTCCTTGTCTCTTCCAGCTGCTGGTATCTACTGGCAATCCTTGTCATTCCTTATTTTTTAACTGCACCACTCCAGCCTCTGATTCTATTATCACATAGCTTCTTCCTTATGTGTGTGTGTGTCTCTATGTTCTCTCACTTCTTAGAAGAACATCAATCATTGAAGGTAGGACATACTCTAACTTAGTGTGACCTCATTCTAGCTTGATTACATCTGCAAACACCTTATTTGTAAATAAGGTCATATTTATAGTTACCAAGTTTAGGACTTGAACTTATCTTTTGGGGAGAAACAATTCAACCCAGTACTGCTAGATATTGTGTATGAAACATTTTTGAGATATTTGATAATGTTACTTTGCTGTAGAGTGAGTATATTATCTGCTGAGCATACAGAGCAGGAACTGAGCTAACTTAAGGTTGAGCATAGCTTTTGTAGGACTACTGATTAATCCCAACCTCTATAGTTTATTTTATCAGAACTCCCCACCAAGACTTAATAGTCTAGGTTCTTTCTTTTTTGGCAGATTCTATACCTTGTTTTTTGTCCCCCTGTCACTATAAAACTGATCAAACTTTTCTCTGCTTTTCAGAGGCTTTGAGCTTACCTTTTTATCTCTTTACACTGCGGAGCTTAAGAAATTAGCATATCCATCTAGGAGAAATCTGCACTGCCATATTTATTTCTCTATCTCTCTTTTCTCTCTGGAATTTTGGACCTCTAAGTTTGGTATTCCTTAAAATTCTGAAACTCAAAATTTTGTCTCTTCAACCTTATAAGATTGCTAGAACTCTGATGTTTGACCTACTCTAATCAATAATCTTCTTATCTGTTTCCAGCTGCCCTAGCTGATATCTTGTAGACCACAGAGAAACCAAATAGTTGGGCTTTTCCCAAGTTTTTGATTTCCAAATGTAAGAATCAAATAAAATTGTTGTTTTAGACCACTAAGTTCTGATGTAGTTTTTTACACAGGAGAGAAAAAACGCCAAAAACCAAAGACTGAAAACAAACAAACAAACGCACTCAACACCTATCACCAATTGTTCCCATTTGCTTTCCCTAATGTTGGGAATAGTAAACTAAATACTCCATCTAATAACTCATTTTTAACTAGGGAATACACAAAACATAAAAATGTTTCATGAGATACAGGTGGAGTCTATGAATAAAGTGTCTTCCCAAATCTAAATAATAATAATAAAATAAAATAAAAGCAAAGTCTTGCTTTGTGGAAATATTTATAACCCTTAAACTTTCTTTTTCTCTTTTCCTGGAACAGACACAAATGAACAGCAGAACTCTTGCTCCCATGAATTGGCAAGTATAGTCAGAAGTCTCCCCACTGTGGATGGGAGACAGAAAAGAAAGAAAGAGCCTGAATTACTGAGGGGGTGAGTAAATAGCCACATTAGTCCAGGACTCCTATCTCTCCAATTATTATATAGGACAAATAAGTTGGTATTTCTTCATGACACTCTTTGCCTAGGTTTTCTGTTATATACAGACAAATTCATCCTTTAAAAATAGAGATATAACATGGATATATTGTTCTAAATGGAACTGGAAATGTTGTGGAATACTATGGCGTTACGATTTTCATATAACTAATAACATAATAGAATTTAAAAAATGCCCTCTCCCACAGGTGGTCATTTAAAAAACTTGTATTAGTTTTTAGAGGTTCATTAAAATGAATTATTGGCAATGTGTTTTAAAGATTAAGGCAATTCATTTTTCTTCGAAGAAAGAGGCTGTGTGTTTTCATAACATATGGAGTAACCCAAAATGAAACTTTATTTTGGCAATTAGTAAAGTATTATATTCAAAATCATACATTGACAAAGTATCCTGTGTATTATAGGGTCTAGATACTCATTGTTTCAAAAATCTAACACATAACTATTTGAAATTGATATAGTTACGAAGTAGTAACCTAATTTACTTTATAAAACCATAACATTCCATCCTAAAGACTTCTGAGCTGAGAACTGTCAGGGTTAAATTCCTTTAGGAAATATATACTATTATGAAACTAGAAGAGAAAATCAATTTTCTAAGATTGGAATCAGAGGCTCATTAAAATATTCATTATGTATGTGAGATATTCTTGTGGTCCACAAAAGTACCAGACTGAGTGACAGAAAAGATTTTCAGGCCAAAACTTGCTTCACTGGGAATGAGAATTGGTAGGTCAGAAAATTTCAGAAGCTGAAATCTACTACTGTATAACATTATGCTGCATGCTAGAAACCCACTGTCATATCAACCTCTTTCCAAAAACTTTTAAACTTAATCTTATTCCACAACAAAGTTACATTGATACTGCATGGAATATTAAATTTTTCCATCTATAATTCATAGTAAATTAGCTAGAATATGCTTAATTCACAAACTATGAGACACATATATATTTATATAACTATGTAATGGGACAAAAGATATCAATTATATACTCTATAGCCAAGAGAAAATTAATCCTTGAGGAACTTTTACTTTGTTTTGTAAATTCAATCCCATTTAGCATAATCTAGAAGAAAAATGAAATAAACTTCATTATGAAGATGCAGGCCTGAGTGCAATATAAAAATAATTTTTCTCATAGACCTTTTTTTAAAAAACACTGTGATTAATCTTGACCAGGACCGATCTAAGAAGTAAAGAAAATGACTTGGCTTTCTCTTGATGAAATTCAATAGAAAGTTTCATTACATTTTTTTTTTTTTAGAGAAGCTTAGGGTTTAAGTTATAGTTCAATATTTTTTTTGCTCTCAATACAGGTGATTTTTATTAAAAGCACTGCAGGAATTTTCAGTCAGGGTTCAACCTGAAAAGCAGAACCACCAGAGGAGAGAAAAAGAGACAGAAACAGAGACAGAATAAAGACTTGTTTTAAACAACTGTGAATGCTGTCTAGGCAAGTCCAAAGTTTGTATTCTTGTAGTAAATAGATTAGACAAGAAGGAGGGATCGTGAGCAGAATGTAACCCCACAGAGGCAAGGGCAAGAGAGACATCCAGGGGTGAGATTCAATTTCTCTCTCTCAAAGGGAGGCCGAGCCATCTTTTAAGGCCTCCTAATTGAATAAATGAGGCCCATTCAGGGTAATGTCACTGAAAAAATGTCAACTGTTTATAGAGCTTTTACATCTACAAAATCCCTTTACAGCAGCACCTAGATTCATGTTGGATTAAAACACTGGGGACTTAGGTCAGCCCAGCCACTTACCGCATCAAACATAGCCAAGAACATGTAATGTGCATCTATATATTTTTAGGATAACTCTAAAATTCATAAATTTAATCAATTATGTAAACTTTTAATTATGTAATTTAAGCACCAACATTAAGAAGTTGAAAACCGGCCAGGCATGATGGCTCACGCCTGTAATCTCAACACTTTGGGAGGTTGAGGAGGGCGGATCACTTGAGGCCAGGAGTTCAAGACCAGCCTGGCCAACATGGTGAGAACTCCATCTCTACTAAAAAATACAAAAATTAGCTGGGCATGTGGCACTCACCTGTAGCTACTCTGGAGGCTGAGGCAGGAGAATGGCTTGAACATGGGAGCTGGAGGTTGCAGTGAGCCGAGATCGTGCCACTGCACTCCAACTTGGGCGACATAGAGAGACTCTCTGAAAAAAAAAAAAGAAGTTGAAAATTTTTCCAGAGTGAATAAAAAAGGAAAAACTGACTGCTGGTGATTCATAATTGGGAAAATAAGTATACAAAGTAAAGAGGTTTGAGGCCCAATAATATTTTAAATGTGGTTATATTGCCACAGTATTTAGGATCTATGAAGAGACATTTATGGCTCTGTCTGAAAGTTTCTTTTCCTTAATATGCCACTGCCTTTCAACTGGGAGTTAGAAAATTTAATTTTCTTTTCAAGGTAGACAATATTTTTTTTTCAGGTTTGTTATGAAATTGATTTTGTGAAGTGCACGTGGCAGAGCATTCTAAAAGGGAAGGCTGTAATGATCAGTGTTACATAGGCGGTAACTTTTATGGATTAATGTGCATAAAAGACACACAAATGTACAAATACACCATTTGAGTACAAAATACGTGGAGATATACATTAGTGTTCTATCACATCCTCACCTTCTTCTTCTCCCAATTATCCTATTAAATGCAACCAAACAAGGTCTAGAGAATTTTGGAGCTCTACTCCTATGCTTTCCATATTTACAAGAAGTAGGCAAGAGCAAGCAGAAGCAGATGGTGATTGTTTTTTCCTCAAAGAAAGACCAAAATGCATAAAATATGACTCAATGATGCTAATTTTTTAGGTGTATGAGCCTCAGTTGATGGTGTTCATTGTTATTAATATATTGCTGGGCTTCTGCTTTTTCCACTACTAAGAGCAAGAAAGATTCACCCTTAAACATTACCTTGCTCTTGGCTTGACAAACAGTGAGTTACAAAAAGAAATTCCAGGAAATGAATATGCTATTTCTTAAAGATTTTTAGGCTGCTCATCTTCCCTTTGTAGGTCTAAGTTTGCATTTGAAAGCTATGTTCATCTTTATGATTGGTCAGAAATGCTATCAATATATACTTCGTTAATGAATGATAAAGTTGAAACATATACAACTTTTCAAAATAAATTGTCTACTTTATATGAAGTTAATTATTTTCCATAATAATGAGAACAATAGTCAACCACACTACTCTCTTTTGTAAACCTCATCTTCTTAGATTTGGCCCTGAATTCCTTGACTGAATTCCCAAAATGTGTTTCTGTCCCTACCCATTGTCACCTGAGGGCCTATCCAATAGGACCTTTACCCAGATATTGGCCAAAAGGCCATAAATGATGATATTCAGTCTCTTCTCAGATTAGGGAGTCTTTTAGAAATAGGATATTCATTAGGGAAGAAGACAATGGAATAGCAGTGATTCTAAGACCCATAGAAAAAGTCATCATTTTTACTTGAATTTGGAAATAAATTTGGGCACAGAGTACTATGTATAATAGGCCTATTACACTTTGGATCTAATTTATTTCATTTGTGTGAGAAATCTAGTCATAGAAATCTATAGTGCATTTAATTATTACCCTTTGCATGCGAAATTTGCAATTTTTTTCCTCCCAAATAAAACATGTTAGAAAAAGCCATGATAAAAAGTAGAAAACCTATACATTAATTATAGGCCAAAAAGACACTGCAGTTAAAGTTTTTAATTTTGTTTTTATTCCTTCAGTTACTTAATATCTAATAATATATCAGAGAAAGAATTATTATTAAAGTACTTTCTTCAAAGTGCTATGAATTATACAATTTTCACTTAACCTCATTTATATTTACATTATATATAAAGAAGACTTTTATCTTAGACTTGGAGAGGCCATGCTGAAAATGAGAAGGAAATCAAAGACAAGAGATAAAGAAATAATAGAAAAATATATAGTGATTTGAACCAACATCCCCACTGAACCCTTATAGAAAAGCTGATTATATTTATAAAAATCTGCTTAATGTCACTAGAGAACTAATAAGACTGTAAAAAGTTATAGGTCCAAAAACTAGAAAAATATTTTGAAACCTAGAAATGTGAGTCCAGCATGTGAAGATGGTTTCTCCTGTGAGTTCTACTTCTAGAAGAAATTCTCATTCTAGAAAAGTGCCACTTCTCAAATTTAGCAGCATATTTTAAAATCTTATGGGATAGGGGTATATAAATAAGAGTCCAGGACCATCAAGCGGGGATGTTTATTATAAGTACCATTTACACTTTCGGTTGAGACTTTCCCAAGGTACACATTTTAAAAGTAAAACTGACCTAAAAGACAACTGGTTCTTGCAGAAACTAAATCTCAGTTTCAAATCACCTTAATCTCTGAAATTTGATTAGGATGATTTCAGACTTCTATTGTTCTTAGCCACTTTCCAAATGAAAATAAAACTTCTATCTGGAGGTGATAGATAGGCCTTGAATTATCTCAAAGGCTTTTCATTTGTAATGTCCAGCATTTAACCAAAAATATTTAGGCACATGAGGGGACAAAGCTGCATGAAAGAAGAGAGAACACACAGAAAGGGAACAACAGAAAAAAATAACCCACAAGAAATCTATATATTAAAGACTGTGTCTGAAGTCCCAACTTTAAAATAACTATGCTTAATATACTTCAAGAAATAAATGTCAAAATTGAGAAATGTAGCAGATAAGAAATGCAACAAAAAAGAAACATATAAAAATCTGAGCAATATAATAACTGTAACCATGATTACAATGTATGACTTTAACAGAAGATTGAACACAACTAAAGAGAGAATTAGTGAACTGGAAGATATAAAAAATTAAAAATCCAGATTGAATCTCATATGAAAAGGTAGATAATATAGAAGAGAGATTTGAGATGGCAGCATTTTGAGAGAAGACCTGAAAGGACTGAGGGCACTTGCTAGGCAAGTATGTGTGGGAAGAGGATTTCAAGCAATAAGAAGGGCAAATAAAAATTCCCTGAGCTAAAACTGCTTTTTTCTTCTTCTTTTTTTTTCTTTTTCCGCAAGATAAAGCATGAGGCCAGTGTGGATAGGGCAGAATGAGCTATAGAGAAAAAAGTAGAAGATGAGGCTAGATAAGTAATGGGGAGGACTGCAGTGTTACATATATAAGGCTATTGTAAAACTTTGATGTTCACCTGAAAGGAGAAGAGAAGACATTGGAAGCATTGAAGAATTTATAGAAGAGGATGACCAGGCCTGTATTTTCACAGGATCCCTCTGGCTGATGAGGAGAAGAGGAAAGCACAGGGAGGAAAATGGGAATCAGTTAGGAGTCTGTTATAAGAAGCCTATAGATAGATAATAGTGGTCTTCACCAAAGTGATAGCAGTGGATGAAATTTGAAGTTATTGTAATTTAAATATATTTTGAAGATAGACTCAATAAGATTTGATTGCTGTATAAATGTTGTGTGAGAGAGAGAGAGAACGGATTCAAATATTTGATTTGATCATCTGAACTGCTGAACGGATAAAACAGCCACTAACTGAGGATGAGGATTTCAAGAGAGGAATGTATGGGGAAAATAAACTTATGGTTAAAATAGTTTTTATGCAACCCAGTGGTGATATTGAGGGAGTGGTTGAAGAGATAAGTCTGGAGACATGAAATTGGGAATCACTTATGTATGCATGGCATAGGAAGCCACTAGTCAGGATGAGATGGACCACAGGCCTGTGCATGTTGAAATAAGGTGTATACCAGTCAGAATGGCTATTTTTAAAAAGTCAAAATAACAGGTGCTGGCAAGATTGTGGAGAAAAAGGAATGCTTATGCACTGTTGGTGGAAGTGTAAATAAGTTCGACCATTGTGGAAAACAGGCTGGCAATTCCTCAAAGACCTAAAAACAGAAATACTGTTCAACCAAGCAATCCCATTATTGGGTATATACCTAATGGAATATAAATCATTCTACCATAAAGACACATGCACACGTATGTTCATTGCAGCACTATTCACAATAGCAAAGGCATGGAATCAGCCTAAATGCACATCAATGCTAGACTTGATAAAGAAAATGTGGTACATACACAATATGGAATACTACACAGCCATAAAAAATGAAATCACCTCATTTGCAGGAAGATAAGTGGAGCTGGAGGCTATTTTCCTTAGCAAACTAATGCAGAAACAGAAAACCAAATACTGCATATTATAACTTATAAGTGAGCGCTAAAAGATGAGAACACATGGACACAAAGAGAGGAACTACTGGAGAGTGGAGAATGAGAGGTGGAAGAGGATCAGGAAAAATAACTAATGGGTACTAAGATTAGTACCTAGGTGATGAAATAACCTGTACAACAACCCTCTGTGAATGAGTTTACCTATATAACAAACCTGTACATGTACCCCCGAACTTAAAAGTAAACAAAAAAAAAGAGAGAGAGAGAGAAATAAAGTGTGTAAAAATAGAGAGCCCTGAATATGCTCACTGTGAAGGAGTCAGGGAAATAAGGAGAAACAGAAGGGAAGGTGGTCAGAGGAAGGAGACACAGAAGTAAAGGCCAAAGAAGTAAGAGGAAACCTGAGATATCCATGTCCAAAAACCATATAAGAAAGGTTTAGAAGAGAAGGGAATGTCAAAGTCTGATAAGTCAATGGAGAGACGAAGCTTTAGAACTGAACATTGTATTTAGCAAAGTGGAGGTGATTGGTAATTATGACAAGATCTGTTTGATGAGTGTGCAAGCCCATTCAGACTTTTTCAAGACAGAATAAGAAAATAATCTACAACTACTGAAGAGATAATTTTATGATATTTTACTGTTAAAGGCAGGAGGGAATTGAGTGGTTACTGAAAGGAATAATGAAGTCAATAGGTTTTCAAGATGGTAGAAATACAATTATGTGTATATTCTAACGGAAAAGATCCTAATGTGGGAGGACTAGGAATTAATGGCTGGAAAGGGAAAAAGTTGCCGGAGTCAAGTTCTTGAGTAATTAAAAGGAAGTAGAATCAAGTACACAGATAGCAGTGTTGGTCTTTGCTAGCAGTACAGAAAGTGCATCAATATTATCAGGATTGTCATTGGTTGTATCAGCACAATTACAGACAACTGGGTAGATAATGTTGTAATGGGGCTTATGGAATTTTTGGTCTGTTCCATTTTCTCAAAGAAAGAGAGAATTAAGTTATTAACAACAAAAAAAGATGGGAAAGGAGATGCTGAAAATTTTAAGAGAGAAGAGACGTCAGGGGAACATTCTTAGACAGGAGTGAGTCTCAATGAATGAGTAAAACATTGTGTGATGGCCAAGAAACACTAAAGACTGCATTGACCAACAGGAGAATCCTGAGTTTAGTAAGACCAGTCAGCTAATGGTGTCTTTCTTACCTTTGATCATGTTCAGCTGCAGTTTCAGGGCAAAGGTGCAGAGCAGATCAAGAGTTAGATATAATCAGAGCTGAAGTTTAGCCAAACAAGGACAAAGCTATGGAGAAGAAAGATAGTGGAGGCTGAATGCAAGGACATGCTTATGATGATTGGACTTTAAACTCTGTAAAGAAAGAAGTGAAAAAATGGAGTGAGAAAGCAAGTCTATAAATCCTAAATTCTGGTGGGATCTAAGGATTCACTAGCAATTGAAACTAGAGGAAAAGTTTGGGAATATAATTTGATGGTGATCAGAGAGCAGGATGCTTCAGAATGGATTCTGGAGGGATTGCAGTTATTGATTAAAGACAAAATGTAAACTATAAACAGGGACTGAGAGTTTGTAGTGGGGTAAAGAATAAGATCCTTGAGAGTTAGAACCTTGAGAGGCCCCAAAGAATTGATGGCTCATACATATGTATGTTTACATCTTAAATAATTAGCCCGGGGTGGTGTATTAGTCCATTCTCACACTGCTATAAAGAACTACCTGAGACTGGGTAATTTATGAAGAAAGTGATTTAATTGACTCAGAGTTCCATGAGTTTGATAGGAAGCATGACTGAGAGGCTTCAGGAAATTTACAATCATGGCATCAAGCGAAGAAGAAGCAAGCACCTTCTTCGCATGGTGGCAGGAAGAGTGAGAAAGAAATGGGAAGTGCCACACACTTTTAAACCATCAGATCTCGTGAAAACTCACTCACTATCAGAAGAACAGCAAGGGGGAAATCTGCCCTCATGATCCAATCACCTCCCACCAACCTCTTCTCCAATTCAACATGAGATTTGGGCTGGGACACAAATCATATCAAGTAGTATATGAATCACATGGTAAATTTCCGTTACATCAGTTCACTGGAAGTCATTTTTAATGAAAGATGCAGGCTGTATTGTCATTTAATATTTAAGATTCACTGTATTATATTTTAAACATGTAAATACAACCAAAGGAAGTGGAAAGAATAGAAAAGGATTATAATTAATACCTGCGATGGTTAATTTCACATGTCAACTTGACTTGGCCATGAGATGCCAAGATAATTGGCTAAATGTTATTTCTAGGTGTATGTGTGATGGTGTTTCCAGAAGAGATTAGCATTTAAATGGGTGGTCTGAGTAAGGCAGATGGCCCTTCTCAGTGTGAGTGGGTGTGAGAAAACATTTTAAATGGTCCATTTTCAAGGCATGATAAATCTAAGTACTGGCAGCCAGCCTGCAGATGTAACAAATCACATGGCTAATGCACCTAGAAGGTCACAATAACCGAACAGAATGTAGGGTAGAAGCTTTTATTATTGAGAAATCGAAACTTAAGCGGGGAAGGGGATGGGGTATAACCTTATAAAGGGGATAATGAAACTTAGTCGATGTCCAGGAAGATTGTAACCCCATAGTACTCGACCAACGAAGGACTTGGGGAGGGACTTGCATCCTAGGAAATAAATTACCTGCTATAACTGCCCCAGGTGTGCCTGCCTACCAGACACCCGATCTTGCAAGACCGCCATTAAAAGTCTGGCTTCTGCAGTTCTTCGTGTCCCTGGGTCCATTCTTCGGGTTTGGATGGGTAAATGTGTGTTTCTTACAGTGGGCATCACCCAATCCCTTCACAGCCTGAACAGAACAAAATGTCAGAGGAAAGTTGAATTCGCTCTCTGCTTGTGAGTGCTTGAACTGGAACATGGATTGGCCCTCAGTGCTCCTGTTTCTTAGGCCTTCAAGACTAGATCAGAATCTTCACCATCAGCACTGTTTGTCCTCCTGCTTTCAGGCCTTCAAACCACACCACCAGCTTTCCTTGGTGCCCAGCTGGCAGTTGGCTCATTGTGGGATCTCTCAGCCTCTGTAATCACATAACAAATACTTTACAATACATCTCTTTTACCATCTAATATAAACTATGTATATAATACATCGCATATAATATATATATTGTCTATTTTATACACACACACACACACACACACACACACACACCCTATGCATCTGTATCCCTCCTTTTGGTTCTGCTCCTCTAGAGAACCCTGACCGATATAATATCATCAACTGAAGACAACGTGTTTTACCGAACCACCAGCAGGAGATGTATTTTCACTTATTGGAGTTGTTTGAAAGAGTTAACAAGTTAGATATCTTTTAATATTTTAAGAAAATCAAAGTAATGATTATATATATATAATGTATAGTGATAGACATTGCTTACAAAGTTCTGTTTGATGTGTTTACAATAAAGCTGTGCGTTAAATATTATTGTTGTCCTTATTTATTGTTGAGAAACTAAGGCACAGAGAGTTTAAATGGTTATTAAGGTTAAAGAGCTAAAAAGTGGAAGAACAGGCATTTTAACTCAGGCTGACTTCTGAGACCTTGCCCTGTACCCAATGACTAATATAAAGTGCATATTAATAGACTTTGTTCAGACTATTATCCTCATAATGTGCTTTTCTATTTCAAATTTCTTTGATTTTTCAAATTCATTACATCCTTCCAAAAGGTATTCTTTATTTGTCTGTCCTTAAATGAAATCATTTTGTAGGATATATTATCAATTATGAAGGTGATGAACGGCTGCATTACTTTTCAAAGAGTAATACTTTATTACTCTTTACACTTGACAGCAGCTGTTTCAGCAAGCTGTCAAGTATAATATTTCCTCAAAAACCACTAAGGTCACGATTAGTCTTATCACGGCCCTAACAAGAACTCTTCCTTTGCGAGTGATGCAGTTAGTTGTCAAGTTCCATCATATGTTGTTTCTTCGTAATTAATTCAAGACAAATATCAAGTTGCAGGGAAGCTCATTTTAAATAGGATTCGAATCGTCTTGTGAGACTTATTAATTGAAGTGTCAATGGTAGGCAAAACTGACTGTGTACCTGGTATTTCTCAACACATTTAAGTATCTCTTATAAAGAATATTATATTAGATGGAGAAAATGTTATAAATATGTGCTTAATTAAAACCAAATAAGAGAAGAGCTTTTAAGAATATTAAGGAGTAGGCCGGGCGTGGTAGCTCACGCCTGTAATCCCAGCACTTTGGGAGGCCGAGGCGGGCAGATCACGAGGTCAGGAGATCAAGACCATCCTGTCTAACACAGTGAAACCCCGTCTCTACTAAAAATACAAAAAATTAGCCAGGCGTGGTGGCGGGCGCCTGTAGTCCCAGCTACTCAGGAGGCTGAGGCAGGAGAATGGCATGAACCCAGAAGGCGGAGCTTGCTGTGAGAAGAGATCACTGAGCACTCCAGCCTGGGTGACAGAGCGAGACTCCGTCTCAGAAAAAAAAAAAAAAAAAAAAAGAAGTAGGCTTATATCTTAAAACACCCAGATATTGCTGTGGACTTTGTACTTGCTCTTCCTGGGAATTTTTGATGGCTGCCTTCTTCTCAACTTTCAGGTACCATGACTCATTCTCATTCTTAATGAAATTGTCCAACCATCTTACCCAAAGTAGCATTCTTTTTTCCCATTATGCTCTATGACAAGACCCTATTTTCTTCATTATGGCAATTAATAAATATGCTTATTTATTCTTCTATTTTCTTCTAATTTTAATTTTAATATTTTTTTGAGACAGGCTTTTGCCATGTTGCCCATGCTGGTCTCAAACTCTTGGGCTCAAATCGTCTGCTCATCTTGGCTTCCCAAAGTTCTGGGATTAGAAGCATGAGCCGCTGAGCCTGGCCTATTCTTTTATTTTCTTCCCAAGCACCACTGCATGAAGGAATCAAGGAGGCATCATTGACCATTGCATTTAAAGGCCCTTAAGAGTGCCTAGCAGAGAGTAGATATTTTAGGATATTTGAATATTTTGATTTGATGCATATTTTGTAAAGTAATTTCAAAAAAAACTATTGACTGCTTTAAAAGTATTTTTGCAAAGAAAAATCTGTTACAAATTTTAAAAAATGGCAATTAGTAAATCAATTTTGGGTTCAGTCAATATTGCTTGTGAAATCTCCTGTTTGAAAACATCTCACACAATTTAAAGCAAAAGTGGTTTATTTTTGTACATTTATATATTCTCACTGCATTCATCTTGTTTTTAACATGCTCAGTTAAGCCTGAAAAATAGGCAAAAGCAAATGTAGATCCAATTTTGTGAGTACTGAAGCTTATACTAATTCAGAGGTAGGGGGCCCTTTAAAAAAATAGGAAGTGTTAAGTGCAAGATCAGTCATAAAATAAATAGTTATTTAGATTGTGAATATATATAACAATAGATTAAAACTGAATGCTAGCAAATATTACAAACATCAGAAAGTTCAGACTAATTAATACTTTTATTAATTAGCCCCCGACACATTACATAATAGTTTTCTCTCCTAATTTTTGGCTCAGTATTTTTTGAATGCATCCTCATTTGACAACAATTTTGTAATATTTTCTAGAGAGAATAGTAGGGTAATTCAGTATTTTCTATGGATACATTCGGCAATATTTAATTATTATTTATAATCCCTAACAATTCCCCCATCATTTTAAAATTCAAGTATATTTTATAATTTTTTTCAAATGAGAGAAAATTGCTAGAAATATTTTCAACATATGAGATGGAGGATTGCAGAGCACTTCCAGGTTCCTTCTGCAGTAGCTAATCTTACACATGCTTTAAATTGACAACAGTCATTGGCCAATTTGTACTGATGTCCTGGTTTCAGAGGTGTGAGTTTTATGTTGTCTTTGTTCATATCAGTATTTCACATTACATCAGCAAAAAATTTATTTTTCCAACACGTTTATATGACTCAGTCCACTTCATTAATGGGATTATAACACAATACAAAAGCCTTTTAATTACTTGTGTTCAACATGTATCTCTTCTCTTACGTAAGTTACTGCTTTGGTGTAACTTGAAGTCATTTTTCATTACAATTAGCATCTTCATGTCAGAATTATTTCAACTTATTACTTTAATTTTGCATTCCATCAATTTTAGCTTCATTTTCGCTCAGGTCTTTACTAAATAAATTTAATATTCACATGTAGTTTTAATTCAGGAATTTGCAGTTTCTTAATTTATTGAAACTTTTCAAAATGTATTTTTCCTCAAATTGTAGTTTTCCAGTCTATCTTCTTTCCCATGATGCCTAAGTCCAATCTATTAAATTCTAAACAAGGAAAAGTACAGCAAAAAAAAAAAAAAAAATGTAATGCAAAAAGCCAGCAATCTTAACTAATTTGAGTTTAAATATGCAATTTTTGATAATTAAAAAGATGCATATGACCATGTGAATACAGTGATAAGATTTATCTGTGGCATTGCAAGGACAAGGCTGTGAAGCTTAAGCTTAATTAGTTCTATGGTACATCAGTTTCAAGTAAAAGATGAAAATGGTACTATACTCTCCCTCAGTCTATGTGCTTGATAGACAGGTGTATGCTTTCAATGCAAATCTTCAAAGAAGATTTAAAAACACATTTTATTTTTAAACACCTGTAATTGTTTTATAAACAAATTGAAGGGAAACTTTTATGTAGCTCTTTGAAAATAATACTAATTTCTTAAAATATGTATTGAAAAATTTATATGTCTAAAAATGGACATTACTTTAAGAACAATAAAACCAAGTTTGAGAAAAGCTGGGCAAATTTTAAAGCAGACTATAAGCCCCTTGAATAAACTGATTTCATTTATTTCTAATTCCTGTTGTCTAGAATGCAAATTAAACTCAGTAAATATTTGTGACTGTATACATAAATAAATTAATGAGCCTAAAAATTTGAAATAAGTACCTAGAAATCAAATATTTAATGCAAAAGGATAAACACACCATGTAAATAAAAGGAAACTAGTCTCCTGATTAAGAAAAATTATAATGGAAAATATAATATTTACATAGTAATGGTTGATTTATATTTAAACATTTCTTTCGGATAAGAGGATAATGATGAAAAAAGTTTGGCTGTTCAAAGTAAAGAGATCTAATTCTGGGACAAGGTAATTAGAGTGAGTAATGCAACTAATGTGCTATTAAAAGACTAATCAATGGCCAAAGGAGAGAGAAAAAGTTAACAATATCTCTGGTAAACTGAGGAATCTCAACAAGAAATGGCTTTACATTTTCCCAACTTCAATGCTTCTCTTCTTCTTAGCTTTATGAACCCACTTTCTTTGATGGTTCTTCCCAAAATACTTAACTTTTTGGCCACAGGTACTATCATTATAATCCCATTCTTGTGTTTAAGACATAGTCATGTTGACTTTGAACTGACAATTTCAAAACTGGGTCAAGGGTCCTCTCATCTCTGCAGTGTAGGCTAAAGCCATGACTTTCATGAGTGTGAGTTGTTGTGCATGCATGTGGGCCTCCTGTGGTGGGGGAAGTTCAAATTCCATCTTTCCCTTCCCCTTCTAAGCCCCAACTCCTCTATCATTGAAGGCAAAGGCAGGAAAGAAGAAGACAAAAAAGGCAATCATCTTACAGGTAAGGCGTGAACACAGCCTCATTCTGTTGGTTCTTGCTGCATCTTTGGTTAACCTAATAATGGGAGGGAAGGTGGAGTACAGTTACAATGTATTTCTTTGCTGAAAGTTTCATCTGCAAGTGGGAGAGCGATTCTATTACCTGCAGGATTAATTTGCAATGCTGATTGTCCACTGGAGATTTGTGGTCTTAAATTTCAAGCTAATCTGTATGTTTTAATGTTTAATCCACTGGGTTCAGCTATTCAGCTTCAGGGAGAGCCTTGTCTCTAATCAGAGATGGAGTTTTACCAGGAGTATACAGAAAGAAGAAATTGTACGAAGTAGATGCAAATAGTTCATTAGGACTACTAAGTATGAAATCTAAGGGGCAGAAAAGAGGGATAGGATAGCCTTTGTAAGTTATTGGATTCAACAGACGGAGGTTCTATGGTTGCTGAGAAATTGTTGAAATTTGGGCCCTAAACATGGCATTTTGGAGTTTCTGCTTTTGAGCAGTGTTCTAGAATCATGCTAGAAATGCCACCCAGGGTCTAGCATCAACTGGATCACCTGGGAGCTTTTATAAGTATAAACTCTCAGTTGAATCAGGGTTTGCATCTTAGAAAGTTCTCCAGGTGATTCAAATGCACATTAAGCTTGAGAAACACTGGTCTAGAATAGTGGTTCTCAACACTAATTGCATATTAAAATCAACTGCAAAGCTTTTAAAATATTCCCAGTTCCATTGAAAATCAAGTGGGAAACTCTTGGGGTGGGGCTGAGGCATTGATATTTTTTAAAGCCCCAATTTGACCCTAATAGTGGATGGTTACTAAAGAGTCATCTAGGAACAGAGAGGCCATCTACATGGATTCTGAAGTTTCCAAGTTACCACCTCTTTCTCAGCTTCAGCCAGTTGCTGTCATGTGGGAATACGAGTTGTCACAGATCAATTTTCAAAAAAAACCAATACATCTGGATTTCATAAGAAATACCTAGATTTTTAGATGTTAGTTAAATTTAAAAATTAAAAAAAAGTTCACTGGAGATTTCAAACAGTAGTTGGATTCAGACTTCAGGTTTGCATTTCAGAAATAATGTTAAGCCCTCAAGCTTTCAGACTCAAAAATTCTATTTTCTTAGCACACCAGAGCCATTCCCTTTCTTCAATTGTTGAGCCACATTAAGTAAGTTCATAATTATTTTAAAAGTAAATTTTAATGAGTAGAATCTCTGGGGATTTTACAGGGATCAAAACACTCACATTCGCATTATCATCGTCTTCCCTGTAGGCTGAGCTACATGGGTACAAAATAATCAGAGGTCATCAGGGAAATGTCATAGAAAACATTAAATTAGATGAATCCAGAGAAAATCTTCTCCTTATATCTTTATTAAATGAAAAACTGTTCTCTGCAGTACAAAAATACTTAAAAGTCTTTATGTTAATTCTTCCCATTCAGAGTATGTGAAAACCACATACATTATTTGGTCCATTTTTTTCTTCTTTCTATATTATCTTTTCTGAATAAAGTCTCCCTTGATATTAGACACATTGGGTTTTTTTGTTGTTTTTCTTACATTAATAAAATCAATTAAATTTACTTCAAGGACTGTGAACATGGTAACCATTTTCTTTTATACAGTGATTTTCAATAACTGTTCTAATCCATTATTCTGTGCAAACATCCTCTTTATTAAAATTGTTTTAATTATCCATAAGCTATGGAAAATGTAACCATTTGGATTTGTAGGTAATAAGCTGGGCAATGACAATGAGAAGCAGTTCATTCAGATGACAAGCAGTTCATCGAGATAAAGCTGTTATCAGTAACTAGTGCCTCTGTGAGAGCTACCCCAGTTCATGCCCTCAGTTACTCTGTAGGAGCTTTCTCCCCCACTCTACATCCACATTCGCACACACCACCCACCTCTCCATCGCCTTCCAAATTTAGGGTTACAGGTTTCCTAAGTATTGCAATATGGTCTGTGCAGAGTATTGAGACAGGGGCCAAACCCAATGGGAGGGATGACTACTGAGACACTGGCAAGGATAAACCAGCATGGGCTCTGAGTGCAGGAATGGAAGGATCCCATTCACATGAGGGATGAAGTTAACCAGGCTGTTCAGAGGACTTGGATTCAATGATTTTAGACCTTCACTCAATGACCAGTTTCTTGATCCACCAACTCAACATTTCCCAGGAAACCTCTCCCTCACCTATCCCCTTTGCAATCTGCCTTATAATTCTTAACATAAAGCTTTTTTATCCAATATACAAAAGCTGAAGGATGGAGGGTGGGAAAGCTAATTTACTTTACAATAGATCTGGAAGGAGTAGGGACCAAAATTATTGCAGCTAAAACTCTAGATCCTCTTTCCTTGAGAGTAAAGAGGGCTCTATTTTCAAAAACTACGAGCAAAGGAAAACGACTCCTTTACTTTTTGGAATGGAGGCGTCATAGACCCTTTGAGAAGGCTGAGTTCTTTCAAGAATGGAAAGACATGAACGGGGGAAAGAGTTATTTCCACATTAACTGAAATTGAATATTCTTATTTTACATTTAAGTAAATATGAATACTATATATATGTATGTTTTGGGTAGCAAAATTGTGTTACACACATTATATTTGGGACTAGAGTTAAACAGAATATGGTTTATCCTTTCCAATGGTTTAGAGACCAGTGGAGACATAAATGTGGTCAGAGAAAAGTACAAATTCCAGGAAGAAATGATTAATACCAAATGCCACAAAGATGTCAAATAAAGTGAAGATTTAAAATGATCTACAAAGTTTTAAGTCAGAAGGTCAGTATGATTTTTCTGTGGTGATGATGACTAAAGCCACTTTGCTGTGGCTAGAAGAATTAATAGGGAGGTAAGAATTTGGAAATCAGAATTACAGATTATACTTTCAGGAAGCAAAACAGAAAGAAATGAAAAGAATGCAGCTAACAATGGGACAGGAAGACAATGAATGTTTGAAGGAAAATTTATTTTCTTAACTTTATAGTTATTGAACCAATAGGGATAGATAAGTTAGAAATAACAAAAATAAATTGTACAATTAGTGGAAAAAAGTGACAAACAGGCAATGGATTGAATTCAGGAAATCAGTGAGGGGATTAATCTTATGTAGGAGATTGGGTAGTGCTTCCTCTGAGAAAAGGAGAAAGGTAAGGCTGGGTTGGAATGCAGGTAATTTCTCTGGACACAGAACATTCAACCAAGAGGCTGTTATTGCCTCTATGAGAGAAGGCACTTTACCTCTTTAGCTACCACCCTGACATAAGCCATCATCACCTCTCACCTGGACTATTGCAATTGTCTCATACCAACCTACTCACTTTTAACCTCATCTCCTCTCACACATTTCTCATTGCCACACCCAGAGTAATATTACAATTTACTTTTGGTCATATTACTCACCCTGAACAAAACCCTCCAGATACTTGACATAAATGCCACAATACTCATGGTGACCTATTTGATTAGCCAATGTTCAGCCCCACACCCACCCTTGCTCTCAAATTCCCTGACTCATCTACATCTCTCTCTCTGGATCTCTGGCTTCAGCCACAATGGCCTTTCCGAAGGCCACTATGTGTGCTCCAGTATTGCTCAGAACTTTCCATTTGATGTTCCCGTAAACAGGAAGGCTCTTCCCAAGAAGCCATGCTCAGCTTCTTCACTTCCTTCAGATGCTACAACACAGTGAGACCTTTTCAAGTGAAGATCCTAAAAATTTCACAATGTTCCCCTCTTGACATTTTTTATCCCCATTTCCTGAATCCCATTTTCGATTCAGACTGACCACTTGAATTCCGTACCATTGTCTGACTCCATCAGGAGAGAGTACTGATTTTAATCTGCTATTCACTGCTTCATTCTCAACTCCTAAACTGGCGATTGACGTAGTAGATACTCAATGCGCATTTACTCAATAAATTGTAATAAGTAATTGAGCACTGAGTCCATTGGGGACAAGTTAAAGGCCATCTAAGAAGTACTGATGGTCATTTTAGGCTAAAAATTGATTTGGTTAAAAATGGACATATTAGGTTAGAACATTTTTCAAGGAAGACACAACAAGTTCAAGGCTCCAGAGTTGACAGTAAAGGACATATATGGATTGCCATGTGTAAATCAGCACTGCTCAACAGAAATATAATGCAAACAACAAATGCAAGCCACATGTGTAATTTTACATGTTCTAGTAACCATGTAAAAATAGATTTAAAAAAAGAGAAAAGGTAATGTTAACTTAAAAATTATATTCTATATGCTATTGATTTCAATTATCCAAAATTTTATTTCAACATAAATATTATAAATATTTATTATAAAATATTTATTTTTATACAATCTTTATTATAATAAATTCCTATTATAAAGTATTACTAATTTGATCTTATATTTTTCCATACCAAATCATCAAACTCTACTGCATTTTTCACACATTTAACAAACATTACTTGTACTCAGTAGACCATGTGGATAGTGGCTACCATCTCAGACAGTGTAAATTTGGATAAATGTAGAGTTGAAAATGGCTTGGTTCTGACTGAAAGATATTGAGGAAATTGAGTGTGAAAATAAGACATTTGTTGAAATAATATAACAAGAAGTCAGTTGCATCAGTAGGAGAAATGAATATGAGGAAAGTAGATTGCGGACAGAGTTCTAAATTATGTCAAAGGACAAATTCAGTGGAATTATGAGAGTGTAACATCTTAAAGAAAGGGTTTTGTGATCAGAGATTGCATGAAACGTGAGATGGCAATGAAGGTTGTTACAGTTAAACACTTTAATTGGGCAGCAGCAGCAGTTTAGAAAAAGGGCAGTTGGGCAAGGAGACTGAAGCCAATGTTCTCAGAGAATGTGAGTGACAGGTCAATAAATGACAGCAATGAAGTCCAGATGGTGATAGCTGGAATGCCTGACACCAAAAAGAGAAGACCTTAGCACAAGGGTGAAATAATGGATCTTTTAATACATTTAATGTGGGCTCTAGAGATGGCTAAGAAAAGTCATCAACATGGGGAGGGGAGAATGATGAGAAAGAGGTCAGAGGGCAATAATAGGAAACATATTTGAATGGAAAATAGGCTGCTGGAACAGCAAAGGGAAGCTCATGTTTTCCCAGTTAAAAGAGCAAAACATACCTATTGAGGATCCAGTTAAATCAGAAGATGTGTCCTGGCTATAAAGCAGAATTTTTCTTCAAGTAAGCTAGCATAGACACACTACCCTAATCTTCTAACATCATATGGCTCATCCTGAGGGACCCAGATAATAGTTCTTTGTTAGCCAAGATAAACTGCTTAAATCTAAGAAGTGATATCAAGGCAACTCCTTCTGATAATTCACAGTATATTCACTATTCCTGATGGCCCTTCTATATTAATGAATTCAGAAGCTTCTTTAGAAGGGTGAAGAAGGAAATAAAGGAGGCCCTAACTGAGTCCTGGGTCTCAAAAGAATGTATCTGAGACTTTGTAAAATAAATCTTAAAAACTTAAAGAAAGGAATAAAGTCAGTATTCATGTGAAAATATATTATTTAGCCCAATAAAGACTGAACTAGTCGCACAAATACTCCTAAACAATTCATTAAACTTTGGCATTATTTAGTATTCATTCAACAAATATTTAGTGGATTTTAGCATACTACAAAGTTCTTAAGATAAAGCAATGGAAAAGTTAATCTTTCTTGAAGAGTTTCAAATTAAAACAGGAGGCTGAAAATCAGCTAAGAAATTATAATAGGATATGGAGGGGCTTTTATGCACTATCTTAACTTGTGGATGGGAGATTTGTAGAAATACAACATCATCTCATGCAACATACAGTCATTCACCAAGTAACTGACACATCATAGAGTTTATAGAGCATGAGAACACAGAAGAGAAAACCATGTAACACACCATTGCAGCACAACCATAATGTTCCCTAGACCCCCTCTTCACTTATTCACACACTCTCTGAAAATCCGAGTTTTTCTATTTCTCTCTGCAAGACAGTTATAACTTAACAGAAGTAGTTCTCAAGCTTGGCTGCACATTACAATGACTTGCGTAACTTTTACAAAAGACCTTTGCAGAGGTCACACCCCAGGCCAGTTAAATCTGAGTCTCTTGGGATGAGATTCCTGCATCAGTCTTTTTTTTTACAGTTTCCCGGGTGGTTCCACATGCAGACAGGTTGTGCACCACTGCCTAGAACATTCAGTAAACCCAAACTCGGCCTAATTCAAAACATGACTTCTTGGCCTCAAGCATGACCTCTTTAAAGAGCTTAAATTATGGCTTTTCTCATGCAATCCAGGTCAAATTCTGTAGTGTTCTGAAGGCAATTAACTAAGAAAGAGAATCTTAGAGATTTCAGACTGGGAAGGATCAAGGATAGTCCCACAGTTTCTGGCATGAATCGGTGGTAAAAGCTGTAGCATTAATTGAGATAAGGAATCCAGGGAGGGAAGTAAATTTAGGAGCAACGGAGAAAGTTCAGAAGTTTGGCAGATTTCGGTTGCCTACATCTGACAGCAGCTAATTACATATAGCCTATATTATGTTTCTAATAACTAAGGGTCACTGGAGTACTTAACATGAATGAAATCAGGTTGTTTTAGAAACCAAGTTTTTTTGTAAGAGAATAAAATTAATTACATAATCTTGCAAATGAAAGCAGAGTCCACGTGCTGATGTTAAAGAAAAAAAAAAGATATTCATCACACTTGTTAAGGATGGTAAGGCAGATTTTATCCAAGGTGACCATTGCCATCGGTAAATGCAGTCTTGCATTGGGAAAGAGAGATTGGACTCAACTCTGATTCCAACAAGGACAAGTGGAGATTTTTAACCAAGAAGCAGGGTGGGTGTCAATGGATAGAAAATTGCTAAGAGAAAACATCAGGGATAAGGGGTTTCTGGCTAACCTGACTTGATGGGATTATTGCTGAAGGTAAGCCAGGGTAATCAGCCATCCAGGCTTGTCCAATGCTGTACCAACAGAGGGTGAGGATGAATTTTAATAAACTGACTTGCACAATTCTTACTCAAACTGGATTCTACAAGGACACAGAGGGAAGCCCAAGGTTGGGCCTCGCCAAGCAGAAGAAGACTCTGAGGAGCCTGACACAGAGGGAAGCCCAAGGTTGGGCCTCGCCAAGCAGAAGAAGACTCTGAGGAGCCTGACTAAAGTTTTGTTCAAAGGAGAGAGTCTTCGTCAATGCTAAGGAAGAATCATCATATCTAATGGGGGAAAGTGTTTCTAAATAATAATATTCAAATTAAGAGAATATTACATAGTGTTATACTCAATTTGGTGAAGATATTAAGTCTCGATTGTGAAATCATGTTATCTTTTAAAATATATCGATGTCTTACGTTGAACCCTACCTTTTAACCATTGACTCTTCAAATCTCAGTAGTGTTCTGCAAAGAATAATGTATCTCTTAAGCATATCTGCATGGGTGCTTTAAACAAAGGCAAAATAAAAGTAATTACTATTTTGTAATTGAAGAGGTCTGAATGAGTACAGCCTTTCAATCAGGGTCTTGCCAATATTCAACAACATAGAGTATTTTCCTCCCACTATAATTCTATGTACATTTCTTTATAATTTCACAAGATGTCTTATGATTTCCACCATTTTTACATGCCCTTAATGCTGTTCTTACCAATAAAGGTGTAAAAAATAAAAAATACATTCTTCAGCTTCTATTCATTTAATATTTTATCCCCAGGATATAAGTATAGTTGCATGAGTTTGGTTTTAACAAATAATGCATGTGTCATAACTTATAATTCTTTCTTGACTTTGGTTAGATATTAAAATAGGAGAAATGACACATTCAGAGCCCTTTTACCTTTCATACCAGGCTTACAATATTCTCCAAGAAGATGAATGACTGGATTACATTTTGGGTATTAAAGTGAGGCTTACTACGCTGTTCAACAAAAGTGCGTTTAATAGCATTTTCATTATATTCAAATCATTTCCAGAGTTACACACTTAAAAAGTAAATGAAGTGTAGTCCTGTAGAGAATTACTCCTGTGTGAATTCAGGCAAAGTAAGAATAGTATATTATTCTTAATAGAAAATCCTAAATATATATTTGAGCTATAAATACATGTAAAAATAAATGATATGTTTTCCAAGGATATTTTACTGTGAAGTTAAAGGTGGTTAAGGCAAAAAGTCATTAAAAAAACTTAGAAAAATATATTCTGGAAAATGAGTGGCATGCTGTTCAGTTTCTACAGCCTTATTATAGCCTATCCCCCAAATTCTTCCATTTCATCCATGAAACACCCAACTTTTGCATGTCTTGATGTTCATAAGCTGAGTGGTGACATTTCTTCTACTCCTCTTGAAAGACATGAGTCCTTTCTGTTGCCATCAAAAACTCCATATATACTTGCATACCTGATTTTTTCTCTTACCGCTTTTCCTGTTCTTTGGGATTACATAAAATACTTCCATATAATTATGCCATAACAAACCTGATATAAACAGGTAACATAAGAAGATAATAAGAGAGAAAGGTAATTATATTTGTTTTACTATCTGCATAATATAACATTTATTATGAAAAGATGATGATATAAAAGGGCGATTAATTTCGTATAGATAAATATAGGCATTACCAAAAGTTTACTTAAAATTAACGAATAACATATTTTTTCCAATTTAAAAATTTCTTTTATTCACTCAGTAAAATAAATACAAGGATTAATGAAAAACTTTTTACTCTACTACTTAATACTCATTGACAAATTGTATTCCATATTATTCTTTCAATTTTTTCTGCTCTGATTTATAGCAGGATATTCGTAAGTAAATTTAAATTCATCCAGGATTTGATACTTCAGTTTTATCATTCTTGCTTTCTGCATCAGTCATGTGAACCTATATTGAAAGAAATTAGACGAGACCAAACAGAAATGAGGCTGTTGGTCAGAAAATAAAATAAACTAAAAAAAGATTTGAAAATATGGTTCACAACATTATTCTTTATATCAGCAATGCTTTCCACTACAAGCTGTTTATAACTATACAACTGGCAAGACCATTTGAAATGTGTTTTTAAAAGCTGAGTCTCTTAAGAAAGTTCATTATATTCTTTTATTTTGGAAATTATTATAGTGTTGAGGCTCATCTATATGGTGGTAAACAGCCATCTAATTGTAGTAAAATAGTACCTACATGATATATTAGCATTTTAAAAACCCATTGGAATTAAGTTGTATTTAAAAGTTTTCAGTCAAAAAAATTTAACAAATGCATCATGTAAAATAACTTCAGCTTTATCTTAGCTTTTTTCAAAACAAATTAAATAATTTAATTAAATTTGTATAAAATATTATATTTCTGTGGTATGAATTTCAAGTGATTGTGACATAGCTGTATTTTTAAAAGAATCTTTCTTAATATCCTTTAATACCATTTTCAGTATTATTTATTACTTTTTTGTTTATCCTTACAGTTTTCTATTTTGATCATATATAGTATTTTGGTTATATTTGATTTGAAAAATATGAACTGTTATAATATCAAACTAGTAATTATTTTAAGCTAATAAATGTGAATGAACACCATTAACAATAAACTTTAATTTTACTGTGAAAATAGTATAATTTTGACAATTAGTGTTTTAGGTAATTTTATTAATATTTGGTTTGAGATTGGTATTGCATATGTTTTTAATGAGACTGTTATGAGCAACTTTGAAGAATTCTTCAGAATTAAAAATACTTAAATATGAATGTGTCATATATATTGGCATTTTTAGATTATGAATTTATGGATTTTCTTTTAGGATTAGTTAGAAACAGTGAAAGAAAATCTTTTGAGTCTAGTTATAATGGTTTTATGAAATATACACTAAGACATGCCTTTGTAGTAAAGAAAATATTCTACTAAATTTCTTTTAAAAGCTTCAATCACTAAATCTCTTTTCTCAATTGTATGACACTAAAATTCAATTCTATATTAAATAATGCTATATCAAATTTCTATTGCATATGTAGCAGTAGCTGAAAAAGTATAACATTAAAATAACTGAAAAATAGTATTTTATCAAAAAACGATGTGAATTTTTAAAACACACTATTAAAAAATGTGTCAGCCTATTAATACAAAGTGAATACAATTACTGAGATGATTTATCATGCAACATTAGGTACATTTGAATATTAAAAGTATCTATGTGCTTCTGGTTGCCCAGTTCTCCAAAGGAGCTCAGCATTGAAATCAAATAATCAATGTTGAATTTTACATCTCAACTCTCCCAATGCCCAATTTACTCAAATGGAGCAAATATGACATTTTTAAAAAGTACATCAACATTTCAAGTCCACCAGGGCTGAATACATCATTTGTGCAGTGCAGTGCATAATTCCTTGGCGGCATGAAAAAGTTAATACTCCTAAAAAGGTGCCCAACAGTCATTGGGAGGAATTTGAATTGAGTAAGATTTCAGTTGTATCATCTTATTGAGCGATGGCCTTTTAGGTTTAATAATTACAAAATTAAAAATAGGGGTCAGTATTTCATGGCATCTCATCTAATGTTAAAAACCATCTCCAGGACTCTTAGATCTGTGTCAAATTCATGCCGCACCCTGCAGGGGAATGGAGTGCAAATTTGTTTCAGTTGAATCAATTGAAACTTCCCATGGAAAATCTTCAACCAAGTAAAATGAAAGACTGAACAATTTACCTTCAAGTTAAAAAAATACATTTTTGAAACTTTTTGTAATGTTAAGTCATATGAGTCCCAGTAATAAGTAAAAATTATACTCTATAAATCTTTTCCTTTCTTTTTCTCTATTAGACTCCTCGACTCTATCGTTACCTCAAGTTTGCATTTTACGTCCCTTACTCCCCAGCAAAGATACTACAGGCAAGATTAATCTGATATATTCATTCATAAAATTAGTCTTTTTTTAGTACACTAGAGTGTGTAATTCTCCATTCATATCTACCCTATTGTTCAAATTAGTCATCCTGAAATTTTAAAGTACCAATATACTTGGCAAATATAATTCTATTTTTTCCAGTGTTATTGAGGTACACTTGACAAAAATTATATATGTTGGGAGTACAGCGTGGTGTTATTTTTACAGCTTTATTGAGGTATCGTTGATGTATAAGAAACAACACATATTTAATATATACCATTTGATGAATTTAGACAAGCATACACCAGCCACCCACTCCTTTTTATTGAGGTGCGGATTCTGCTTTTTTAAATAATTTCAACTTTTATTTTTGGTTTTGATTTGCATTTCTCTGATGATTAGTGATGCTGAGCATTGTTCATATGCTTGTTAGTCTCTTGTAGGTCTTCAGGGGTATGTGTTCAGATTTATTACATGGATATACTACATGATGCTGAGGTTTGTGGTACAAATGACCCCATCACCGAAGTAGTGAGCATAGTAGCCAATATTTAGTTTTTCAACACTTGACCACCTCCTTTCTGT
Organism: Homo sapiens; assembly: GCF_000001405.40. Lineage (NCBI taxonomy): Eukaryota > Metazoa > Chordata > Mammalia > Primates > Hominidae > Homo > Homo sapiens. The sequence continues at coordinate 65,668,179 of NC_000018.10, forward strand.
GCATGAGTACCAAATGATTAGCTCCCATTTATAAATAAGAACATTTGGTATTTGGTTTTCTGTTCCTACATTAGTTTGCTTGGGGTGATGGCCTCCAGCTACATCCAAGTTGCTGCAAAGGACATGATTTCTTTCCTTTTTATGGCCACATAATATTCCATGGTGTACATGTACCACATTTTCTTTATCTAATCCACCGTTGATGGGCACATAGGTTGATTCCATGTCTTTGCTATCGTGAATAATGTTGCAATGAAGGTACAAGTGTGTGTGTCTTTTTGATAGAACAATTTATTTTGTTTTGGATATATATCCATTTGCTGGGTCAAATGGTAGCTCTGTTTTTAAGTCCTTTGAGAAATCTCTAAACTACATTTCAAGTGGTTGAACTAATTTACATTCCCACCAGTTACATATAAGTGTTCCCTTTTCTCTGAAACCTTGCCGGCATCTGTTATTTTCTGACTTTATAATAATCGCCATTCTGACTGGTATGACATAGTATCACCTTGTTTTGATTTGCATTTTGCTGATGGTTAATAATGTTGAGCATTTTTTCACGTTTGTTGGCTGCTTGTATGCCTTCTTTTGAGAAGTGTCTGTTCATATCCTTTGCCCACTTTTTAATGGAGTTATTTGTTTTTTGCTTATTGAATTATTTAAGTTCCTTATAGATAGAGATGCATTGTAATGCACTTACGACAACCAAGCTAATTACCATATCCCTCATCTCATGTAATGGTTACTTTTGCATATGTGTGATGAGAACAGTTAGAGATGAGCAAATTTCAAGTGCACAGTAGAATATTATTAACTATAGTCACCATGCTGTACATTAGACTTCCTGAAGCTACTTATCCTGCATAATTGTGGCTTTGTACCTTTTGACCATCATCTTTCTATTTACCCCACCCTCAAGCTTCTGGGCTGGGACTGAAGATAATTTTAATCTTGATACTTCTATCATTATCCATGGCCAAGATGGAAAACTTGAGACAAGTTTCTTCCAAACTAGAGTTCCCTGACCTCCCTTAGAGCATTTACTTTAGAACATTTGGGATTGTAAATTATTTCTATTGTCCTTTTTATGTAAATCTTCTACAAACAAGAAATATCTTTCTCAAGGACCTAGGAATTATGTTTTTGAAATGTGATAATTACAATCATCATCTGAGGAGATAGTTCCTCTATTTCCCAATCTCTGTGGAAGACGGAAGCCTAAAGTCAATAATCAAGCAATAGTTGGCAAACACAGATGGCCTAATTGCTTTTACCAACCTCTCCTCAATATCGTTCAGTACATTTCCATTGGCTCACACCTGTATTTAAAAATCCTCTCTCTTTTTATTTCAGCAAGATTGAGTTCCCTCTACTTTCTTGCAATAGCCCGAAAATCTTCTTCAGATATTTCTTGCAAGTGTCTAATGCATTTTTTGAAATAAATTGGTAAGCTTATTTGATTTACTCAATTTTTTAAGTGATTATAAATCTATTATAATTTTTATTTATTTCTGAATCAGTTTGCATTAGTTATAGTATTGCTGGTAGAAAATTGTCTATTGTAACTTTAAAGTAACAACACAAGCAGGTCTATGTAGACTTGTTATGTGACAACCAGCTAACTACACATGACAAGATCAAGTCCTGAAATAACAATATTAACGTTAAATATAAATGGACTAGGCACCCCACACAAAAGGCACAGAGTGACAACATAAATAAAAAGCAAGACCTAACTGTGTACTGTTTTCAAGAGACCCATATCACAATTCAATGACACCCATAGGCTTAAGGTAAAGGAATAGAGAAAGATATATCAAACAAACAAACAAAAAAAAGAGCAAGTGGGTTGCTATTCTCATTTCAGACAAAGCAGACTTTAAACCAACAACAATCAAAAAGGACAAAGTCCCCAGAGTGTGATGTTCCCCTTCCTGTGCAGGAAGGGGAACATCACACTCTGGGGACTGTTGTGGGGTGGGGGGAGGGTGGAGGGATAGCATTAGGAGATATACCTAATGCTAAATGACGAGTTAATGGGTACAGCACACCAGCATGGCACATGTATACATATGTAACTAACCTGCACATTGTGCACATGTACGCTAAAACTTAAAGTATAATAATAAAAAATAAATAAAAATTAGAATTGTAAAAAAAAGAAATAAAATAAAATAAAATAAAATAAAAATAAAAATCATAGAGAAAAAAACATTACTTGTAATTACTTGTAAACCATTACTTGTAATTACTTGTAAACCAAGGAAGATTTACTCAACATGTTGGGAAACATAATTCCTAACACCTTGCAATACATAACGTATGTAATTTTTAATGGGTTTAATCTAAATGCTGTATTTTAATATACATAGTTCATTCAAAAACATTTCATAGCAAACTTTTCTTGTCAATAAATATAAAAATACAAAAAAAAAATCTCCCACTGTTAACTTTTAGAGTACATTTAAGCTCTTAACTTAATGTTGTTCTGTGACAATTCAAATAACAAAATATTCTTTATGACAGATTTTTTTTCATGCTTGTAAGGCTATTTTGCAGTGCTAAAATAAACATAGAAGGTGCATTCTAAAAAAAAAAAAAAAAAAAGAACAAAGAAGGGCATTTAGTAAGAAGACTTAAGTATCATAAATACATATTCACCCAGCTAGAGCACCCAGATTCATAAAACAAGTTCTTAGAGGCCTACAAAGGCGACTTACATAGCCACACAACAATAGTGGGAGACTTCAACAGAACAGTATTAGACACATCATAGAGTGGAAAACTAAGAAAGATATTTGGGATCCAAGCTCAACACTTGACCAAATGGACCTAATAGGAATCTACAGAACACCATCCAACAACAACAGAATATACATTTTTCTCATCAACACATGAATATACATTTTTCTCATCTGCACACTCTAAAATTGACCGCACACTCAGCCATAAAGCACTTTTCAAAAAATTTTAAAAAACTGAGATTATACCAACCACACTCTCAAACCACACTGCAATGAAAATAGAAATCAATATGGAAAAGATATCTTAAAATCAAACAATTCCATGGAAATTAATCAACTTGCTCCTGAATAACTTTTGAGTAAAGAATGAAATTGAGGCAGAAATCAAGAAATTCTTTGAAACTGACGAAAACAAAGATAAAACATACCAGAATCTCTGGCAAACAGTTAAAGCAGTAGTAAGAGGAAAGTTTATAGGTAGCACTAAACACCCACATCAGAAAGTTAGAAAGATCTCAAATTAACAACCTAATATCACACCTAGAGGAACTAGGAAAACAAGAGCAAACCAACCCCAAAGCTAGCAGACAAGAAATAATTCTGATCACTCCCTGGGATGGAGCCATTTGGGGGAGGGGTGGCCATTGCATCTGCAGTTCAGCCAACACCCTTTCCTGCCTTCTGGCTCTGGAAAGTCCCAGAGGTCTGAATGCGGGAGATTGTCCCCAGCACGGTACACCTACTCTGCCAAGGGGCAGCCAGACCGCTTCCTTAAGCAGGTCCCTGATCCTGTTGCTCCTAACTGGGTGAGATCTCCCAATAAGCGTCTCCATACACATCCTACAGGAGCATTTGGGCCGGCATCAGGTCAGTGCCCTCCTGGAACAGAGCTCCCAGAGGAAGGAGCAGGCCGCCATGTTTGCTGTTTTGCAGCCATCACTGGTGATACTTGTAGGTGCGGGAGGGTCCGAGGCAGCTAGGGTCCGCAGTAGACCGCCAGCAAACCACAGCAGACCTGTGGAAGAGGGGCCGGACTGTTAAATGAAAAACAAACACAAAGGAGCAACAACAACAGCATCAGCAGCAACAACAACAGCATCAACAACAACAAAAAAGACCCCGCTAAAACCCCATTCAAAGGTCAGCAACCTCAAAGATCGAAGGTAGGTAAGCCCACAAGATGAGAAGTAATCCTCGCAAAAAAGCTGAAAACTCAAAAAGCCAGAGTGTCTTTTCTCCTCCAAATGATTGCAACACTTCTCCAGCAAGGGCACAGAACTTGGCGGAGGCTGAGATGGATGAAATGACAGAAGTAGGCTTCCGAAGGTGGGTAATAACGAACTTCACTGAGCTGAAAGAACATGTTTTAACCCAATGCAAGGAAGCTAAGAATTATGAGAAAACATTACAGGAGCTGATAACCAGAAGAGCCATTTTGGAAAGGAACATAAATGACCTGACAGAGCTGAAAAACACAACACAAAAACTTCACAATGCAATCACAAGTAGCAACAGCTGGATAGACCAAGTGGAGGAAAGAATCTCAGAGCGTGAAGACTATCTTTCTGAAATAAGACAGAGAGGAATAGAGAAAAAAAGAATGAAAAGGAATGAGCAAAACACTGTGGCAATTTCTCAAAGACCTAAAAACAGAACTACCATTCAACCAAGCAATCCCATTACTGAGTATATACTCAAAGGAATATAAATCATTTTACCATAAAAACAAAGGCACACACATGCTCACCACAGCCCTATTCACAATAGCAAAGAAATGAAATTAATAAGCCGGATGCGGTGACTCACGCCTGTAATCCCAGCACTTTGGGAGGTCTAGGCGGGTGGATTGCCTGAGCTCAGAAGTTCGAGACCAGCCTGGGCAACACGGTGAAACCCTTTCTCTAATAAAATACAAAAAATTAGCTGGACTTAGTGGCGCATGCTTGTAGTCCTAGCTACTTGGGAGGCTGAGGCAAGAGAATTTCTAGAACCTCAGAGGTGGAGGTTGCAGTGAGCCGAGATCATGCCACTGCACTCCAGCCTGGGTGACAGAGCAAAACTCCATCTCAAAAAAAAAAAAGGAATTAATATAGATACCCATCAATGGTGTACTGGAGAAAGAAAATGTGGAACATAGATATCACAGAATACCATGCAGCCATAGAAAAGAGTGAAATAATGTCCTTTGTAGCAACATGAATACAGCTGGAGGCCATTATCCTCAGTAAATTAACGTAGGAACAGAAAACCACATACTGCATGTTCTCGCTTATAAGTGGGAAATAAACATCGAGTACACATGGACACAAAGAAGAGAACCACAGACACTGGGGCCTAGTTGAAGGTGGAGGGCAGGAGGAGAGTGAGGACCAAGAAACTACTTATTGGGTAATATACTCATTACTTAGGGGGTGAAATAATCTGCACAGTAAGCCCCGAGACATGCAATTTACCCATGTAACTAACCTGCACATGTACCTCCTGAACCTACAATAAAAGTTGGAAAGGAAAAAAAGAAAATTGTCTATTGCAAATTGTCCACTGCCTCCAATTGGACAATTATCATACCACAAAGATACCTCTGCACCTATATGTTTATTACTATCCACAATAGCAAAAATATGAAATCAAATGAAGTGTCCATCAAGAGAGGATTGGATAAAGAACATGCAATACATAGGTCAGGCATGGTGGCTCATGCCTGTAATCTCAGCACTTTGGGAGGCCAAGGTGGTTAGATCATTTGAGGCCATGGGTTCAAGCCCAAACTCACCAACATGACAAAACCCCATCTCCACCAAAAATGCAAAAATTGGCAGGGCCTCATGGCTCATGCCTGTAGTCCCAGCTATTTGGGAGGCTGAGGTACAAGAATCACTTGGATCTGGGAGGTGGAGGTTTCAGTGAACTGAGATAGGACCACTGCACTCTAGCCTGGGTGATAGAAGGAGACTCTGTCTCAGGGGGAAAAAAAAGAAAATGTGGCATATATACATACATACATATGTATGGAATAAAAAATACAATGCAGTCATGTCTTTGGCAGCAACATGGATATAATTGGAGGCCATTATCTTAAGTGAAATAACCCAGTTTACCACATGTTGTCACTTATAAGCAGGAGCTAAATAATGTGTACACATGGACATAGATTGTGGAATAATAGACACTGGAGACTTGGTAGGGTGGAAGGGTGGGAGGGGGTGAGGGATAAGAAATTACTTGAAAGGTACAATGTACACTGTTTGGGTGATGGCTACTCTAAAAGCCCAGACTTTGCTGCTATGCAATGTACCTATCTAATAAAACTTCACTTGTACCATCCTATTTATTTATATAAATTGCAAATGTAAGGATGCTTTTTTAATAAAAGGATATATGTATGTATAGGTATATATATATATATATATGAAGTTACATAGTGATACTTTAGTATCTAGAATTAAAGTATAGTACATATCATCAGGTTGACTTTAATACAAAATTTAATGTAATTTAATAAATATAAAATTGTAAATTTAAACATATTTGGAAATCAGAAAACAGTCCGTTGTTAAATCTAATGACTATTCAAAAACAAGGATGACTACTCTTGTTATATCATATTTTCTTAAAAATAAGAGTGTACATAAAGACATCTGTCTGGGATATCAGAAGTATTGGCCATACATCTAATTGACATCAACACAGTTATTCTGGCATATGATTATTATAAGTTATTTCTTGTAATTTTTGTAATAGATCTGAAGCTTTATAGACTCTACAGTAACTAGTATATAAAGTCTGTAATAGTCAAGCACATACAATAGATGTAAACAAACACATATTAGAAAGACTAAATGGATGTCCCTTAGAGATTTTTTAATACAAGTAATGTTTCCTGGAACTGTCTTGAAAAAAAGATTCTTAACACATTTACCATGACCGGGTGGTTTAAAGAAGCACTAGTAGTAAAGGGCAAACAAAGTGCCTTTTCTCTTCTAACTAAATATTAAATTAGCTTCACTTCAGTGTTGCTCTGTTGCGACATACATTACAGAATACAGAGCTAATTGCTTTAGTGTTTCAGCCCTCCAAGCAGTACAGATGTTATGCAAATGGTTTAGTGCTTATTTTCAGAAAGTAAACAATTGTGGTAAATTTTGCAAGGGTATTTTTTTTTTTGCATTAGCACTAAACTTTCTAAAATTGTTGCTAGCTGCAATGTTAGTGCCTAAATAAATTGAAACTTTTGTGCAGCAAAAACTTGTCAGATGTGAAAGTATAATGGATTTTTTCTAATTGTAAAACTTCATTACATTAAAAAACAAAATGGAGTTAAACAGAACAATTAGTATTAAGTTAGCTCCATAATTTGATGAAACATATTATTGCTATCCACAGACAACAAGAATTTGTCAGGTGTGTCTGCAATAACTATAAAATAAAAACAAGTTTATTTCTTCACATAAAACTTGCATTTTAGTAATCATTTAAAAACTTTCATAGTTCAACACTTGTTTTGTATCGAAAACCAAGATAAATTAGGGAAAATGCTATTAATTACAAATGTCCACAAATATTTTTGAAATTTGGTATCTAACTAATATGTAATCATTTGGAAATACTTATCGATGTGGCTTAGAAATAAGAATCTTAATAATTTATAAGTATTCCTACTATAGGAGGACAGGGTGTAGATAATTCCTGATTATGTGGATTTGTGAAAATGTGTATTTATTTTCTATTGCTGCAGTAACAATTAAACACAAATTTTGACTCTCAAAATTACACAAATGTATTTGTTTACAGTTCTGTAGATCAAAAGTCTGAAAATCAAGGGGTAAATAGGGCTGTGTTTCATCTGGAGGTGCTGGAGCAGAATCTGTTTCTTTGTCTTTTCCAGCTTTTGAGACTACCTGCTTTCCTTGGCTCCTGGCCTATTTCTATATCTTCTAAGCCAGCAAAAACATTTTCAATTTTCTCTCTCTTTCTCTCTCTTGTCTCCACTATAACATCTCCTTTTCTGACTCTGACTATCCTGCTTTATCCATTTTCTTATAAATTACTTTATGGTTATACTGAGCACATTCAGGTAACCCAGGATAACCTCTCTCATTTTAAGGCCCAATTTAATCACATGTGCAGTGTCCTTTAGGCTATGTTTAGTGGGTTGAATAGCATTCCCAGAAGGCATGCCTACTGGAGCCTCAGAATGTGACCTTATTTGGAATAAATGTCTTTGAAGATGTAGTTAAAGATCATAGAATGAGAGCCTTGTGAATTAGAGTGGGCTCTAAATCTAATGAGGAGTGTCCTTATAAGAGACAGAAAAAAAATTATACACTGATGCGCAATAGAAGATGGAGGTGGATTCTCCGTCTGAGCCTCCAGAAGGAATCAACCCTGTTCAAGACCTTGATTTCATGCTTCTGGCCTCCCTAACTATTAATATAAGTTACATTTCTTTTGTGTAAAGCCATCCATTTTATGGTAATAGGTTATAGAAGCCCTAGAAAAATAATACATCATTTAAAGCAGCACATTACAAGATTTGGAGATTCTAGGATGTGGATCTTTGAGGGGAACTATTCCATTTATAACAAATGCTAATATGCTACAATATTTGATAAATTAGCCCTATATTTTGGCATGCTATATTGTTTCTGCCTCATCTGTGTAGTAAGACTGTCGAAACAATGTCTTAACGTGACTTTTTATGGGTGATAATGACATGAAATCCAAGCATAGGTGAAGATGTTATTCCTCATTGATAAAAGGCTGATGAGGAAAAACTTTTATTGAGATTACATAAAAAGACACATATTCTAGAAACTTAATATACTGTCCCTATAGTTTAGTAACATTTTCTACTCTCTATATTGGTCCTTAACTTCAATTACAATAAAATTTCTATAGTTTATTAATGGTGATTCTCTGAACAAATAAAACCCCAGTACCTTCTCTGGGTTTTCACCACGAGTTGAAATTGTTTTAAGCAGAGTTGGATATCTAAGAATCATGCTTGAATTAGTGAATTATGAGTCTCTGAGACATAAATGTTTAATATTTTTCACTAAAATAAATACATACATATGTATACATATGTAAATACAATTCTTAATACAGTTGTAAAGACAAATGGTATAAAATATAATTCTCAAATATTTCTTCATTTAACTATTTCTCCCATTTTGCTTTTTGCAAACTAGTATTTGCATCTAAAATTTTCTGAATTTAATTGCATGGTGAATTAAATCTTTCAAGTGATCTTACAGTGTCAGATTTTCTTGTTCACAATTACATTGTGACAATGGTCTTATAATAATTATAAATTCCTGTTATATCTCTGCATAAATTTTTTACATTCTAGACAACAATATTAATTTAATTTATTAGTAGATAAAGTAGAATTGATTAGATATGCTATCAATAACAAAGCTAGTTGTTTTTTATATGTTGAATTTAAATAACACCAAATCAACAATTAAACAGCTATATACTTTGTGAACACTGATTTATTCAGTTTGCCAATAGCTCACCACAGGTGTTTTCACTTTAATCAGATATCTTTTCACCATCACCAATTAAGTCTCTTTGTCAGGTTTTAGAAATAATAACTGAAAGCAAAGTCGGCTACTCCTATAGTTGTTCATGTCCCCAGACTTACTTATTCAAACAGTAATGACATGCGTACAAGCAGAAAAAAATACAGTGTGTTTTCTCACTGTTTGATATCAGGCAATGCAGGTAATTCACACAAATATTTAGCACACAGTTATATATATTACAGACAGACAGAGCCTGAGAATCAAGCATGTAATGTATATGACTATAATTTCTTGCTGTCTTAAATTTCTTTTCAGAAGAGACATGAATTACAACGATTTCTCTAGATTCCATTTCTAGTTACCTGTTCCAAGAACATGTGGAGCATTGTGATAAATTGAACTTAATTGAATTGCAAGGGGCTCACCATTTCTCAGAAATAGTATCTTTTCATCAAGCACTAATGTATAACAAGCAACAGAGTGACAGAAGTCTTCTGAAAACACTATATGCATATGCTGCTTATACTTCGAATAATATGTGGTTTTTGAAAATATTTCGTCTTGAGTTGGGAGGGTAAAATTGTAGAACATGAAAGTACATTTAAAATGACTAACACAGACAATTTCCATGATATTACTCTATGATTTAGGCCAGAAATTTACCAGAAATACTGAGCTTTTTAATGTACTTTAAACCACCAATGAATACTGCAATGCTTTTCCTAAAAATCACATGAATCAAATACCACGAACATCACTAGACCACTCTACCTGCTAACATTTTGACATGTTCGTAAAAATAGTGAACTTTTAGCTACTCAGAAAGTACAGTAGAACATAATAATTACCATTAAATATGTTCTTGAATCTGCATTGTTATTCTAATACATGATGGCATAATTTTCCTTGATTGAAATAAAGTGTTTCTAATTACCTACCAATTTTTAAAAAAACACATCTGGATGTATGCAACATTTAAGCTAATGAAAGTCATCATCAAAAAAGAAGTTGATCCATGCTTAATTAATATAATTATCAATAAGCTCAAGGAAGATGTGAATAACACACCCAACACATTTTTTCCAGAAACAGAAAATTATGAATTTACACGAAATCTCTTATATTAAAGACATTCTTTTTTAACTTGTATTTTAAGTTCAGAGGTACATGTGCAGGTTTGTTACATAGGTAAATTTGTGTCATGGGGGTTTGTTGTACAGATTATTTCATTACCCAGATATTAAGCCTAATAACTTAAAGCAATTTCTTTTGACTATTATAAATTTGGAAAAATGGAGGAAAACAAGAAATGGAAGTAAGAAATTCCATGAGAAAGAAAAATAGGAAATAAAGAAATATAAAGTAGGAAAAGTGTAACAATAAAGGGTGATTTTGGAGACTTGGTGGGAAGGATGGGAGAGAGGTGAGGGACAAAATATTACATATTGGGTACAGTGTACACTACTCGAGTGACAGGTGCACCAAATCTCAGAAATCACCACTAAAGAACTTTTTTCATGTAACGAAAAACCACCCGCTCCCCCAAAACTATTTAAATACAATTTTAAAAAGAGTAATTGACACGATAATTAATTTTAAAATAATGTAATAATGTAGTGAGTGGAAACTCCATCATACCCTGTTCTTGTATACTCCATTAAGCAAACAAAGAAACAAAACTAAAACAGTCTAGTCCTTGAGGAAGTGCTGTTTCCCACCCACTTCACTTTCCATTCTTAGTTCCATTTCTCTAGCCCAGTATTTTTCTGGAACCAGAAGCATCATCATTATCTGAGAATCTTTTAACAATGCAAATTCTCAATATCCCCATCCTAGACCAACTGAATCAGAAATTCTAGAGGCATGACACAGCAATCTGCTTTTATTTTTCCATTCATTTTTCTTGGTCCTTTTTTTCTCTGCAAATTTCCCAGTCTATTCTCATGCACACTAAAACCTACTACCCTAATCCAGACCATTATCGGATTTTCCTCAATCTCTTTGTGTTCATTGGTTTCCAACCAAAGAATCCAAACTCCATACAAGGCTAAAATGACACGGGAGGTAATATGATGTGTTTGTTTGCTCTCTCCCTCCCCTAGCTAGAGTAGCCCAGGAGATTAATGAACTTATGACATAATGGGGTACATTCATATATTTGACATTCAACACATTTATAAAAAGGCCAGTGATGGAAAATTAATGAAATAATAAAGGTACCCACTCAATGCATCTTCATACATCCAGTATTTCCAAATACAGGATTTCTGGGGCATATTTCCAATCTGCACCACCGTCATTACAGCTATGTGCAAAGTGCCAGTGGAATGATCTTTCTTAAAACTAGTTATAGGAAAGTCAACATTCAGTCCAAATGTTTGAGGTCTCCCTGTTGCCTCTAAAATTAAGTACAAGTGATTAGGTATTTTTCAAATTCTCGAACACTTTACTAACTTTTTCAACCTTCTGTATGCTCTGTACCTTCCAGTTCAGTACTTATCACAAGACTTTGTGCTATCATGCCCACAACCTCACTCTTGCTATGTCTACAGCAATGTGTGATTATATCACCATTTGAACCTGTGAAAATTCTAGGCCAGGTGTGGCGGTGCACTCCCGTAATCCCAGCACTTTGGAATGCAAAGGCAGGCAGATTGCTTGGGCCCAGGAGTTCAAGATCATCTGGAGCAACATGGAGAAAGCCCCTCTCTACAAAAAACCAGACAAATAAAAAATACAAAATTTAGTGGAATGTGGTCATGTATGCCTGTAGTCACAGCTACTTGAGAGGCTGAGGAGGGAGGACCGTCTGGGCCTAGGGAGGTCAAGGCTGCAGTAAGCCTTGCTTGCACCACTGCACTCCAGCCTGGTTGACAAAGCAAGACGCTGTCTTAAAAAATATATATATATATATATTTTTTAAATTCAATTTCATCATCTCTTATTTCTTAATAAAATGAGGTCACTTATGTCCTCATTTTATTTTTGACCACCTCTCTTGGCCATGTCTTTCCTTCAATGTTCTCTTTGATCATTTGCTCACTCAGCTTCTTTCCAGGAATGAAGTTCAATCTCAACCACAGAGAACAGTTTTGCCACACCTCATGTTCAGTTATATTGTAGACATGTCTTCCCATCTAAATTTCTGTTCTTTATCCAATATCGGATAATTTTTAAACTTTTTACAATTATGCAAATATTTGTTGGCTCTCTGTTTTAGTTTGCTATGGCTGCCACAACAGAGCTCCACAAACTGTGTGTTAAACAAAAGAAATGTATTTCCTTATACTTCTGGAGACCAGAGTTTAAGATCAAGGTGTCAGCAGGCTTGGCTCCTATGAGGCTTGTGAGAGAAAAATCTATTCCAGGCCTCTCTTCTTCGTTTGTAGATGACTTTCTTTCCTTTCTTCACACGGTCTTCCCACTGTACCTCTGTCCAAGTTTTTCCTTCTTATTAGAACACTATTCACATTAGATTAAGGTCTTCCTATTGAATTCATTTTAAATGAGTCACCTCTTTAAAGACCCTTTCTCTAAATCAGCTCACATTCTAAGGTAATGGGCATTAGGACTTCTGTATACGAATTTTAGGAGGGATACAAATTAGCCCATATTGTTTCCCTTAAATCATGCATAATGACATAATTCATAACAGCGTGTATAAGGGGTGTTATATGGAAAGTATAACTAATTGCATGGACAATTTAAGGGCAAAAAAAGCCTCACTGGTTAATTCAAGATCATAATATTTAATCTTCAAGGTCTAAACCAGTTGAAGTCATCATGAAGTTTTATTTTTTAAATATTTGTCTCTCTTCCATTAATAGTTTTCTCTATTGGTATGTTTAAAAGTGACAGGAAATATATAGAATAACATGAAGTCTATAAATTTGTTGAGAAATAAAATGCCTTCTTAAGAGTAACAGAAGACCTTTAGCAAATTGTTCCTTTGCTGTTGTACTCCAGGCATTGAGAAAAACCCAATCAATTTCTGTTATATTCAATCACAAAAAAAAAAAATCATTTTTGAATAAGTTTGCTTGAAAAGAATCCCATCATATCTAATGGTGTTGTGGTGTTGTTATTGTTTGACATTATTCCCTACAGAGAATTGGTTTGGACAGAAATAAGCTAAACTGAATTGGGAAAATTTTTCAATGATATTTCTGACCATCAGTTATCAAATGATTCATGTTATGTCATGTTGTTTATAAGGTACCAATAGCACTTAAAATATACCTGATGTCTTTAAATAATGACTTTATCTGGATAGAAGACAAAAATGACATAACATCTTTCAACTTCCAAGAGTGAATCCCTTCAACATATTTATGTAGAACACCTCTAACAATTGTAGAATGAACAGAAAGTAGCAGTTTGTTGTTGTCAATGAGAAATAAGACATATGTTCAACCTTAGCATAAATTTATTGTTTTCTGTATGACATGATACAAAATGCTCATGCTGTAAAACTTTTAAATATCGTTAAAAATTAATTGATTCATAAATTGGCAGAATCATAAAAAGTTGAATTTATGATTAATTTTAAATCAATTTCAATTTCATGATCTCTTATTTCTTAACAAAATGAGATCACTTATGTCCTCATTTTTATTTTGACCACCTTTCTTGGCCACGTCTTTCCTTCTATGTTCTATTTGATCATTTGCTCACAGCTTCTTTCCAGAAATGAAGTTCAACCTCCATCACAGAGAACATTCTTGCAACACCTCATTTTCATGAGATCGTCATTTTTTAAAAGATTTCAAGAGATTATCATTTAAAAAAAAAATGAAGAAATGAAGTATTGTAGATGTTTGACCTCTTTTTCAGCCGTGTGCTAGGTGCTACACACAAAAAAGATGATTTTATATAATTCATCATTTCTCAGAATGTATAATCTACTCAAAAGGAAAGCTATAACTATGTGAAAATTTAATAAGGCAAATATATTCATGGGAAAATGTGTAAGTACCATAAATAAAACATTTTAAATAATATACATTCAATCTATATGAATATGAATGGCAGGTGTTGGCTAAGTTTTTGCTGGACACAACTAAATCTTATTTCTGAAGTGATTTCTTACTTTCAAGAGGTTAAGACATAGGGGTTTACATGTGAAGACATGATTTTATAAGCTGTCTTGACAGCAGAAGAAAAACTGAAAAAAAGAAATTTTATAGTCTGATCCATCCTCACGTTTTAAAGGTATCAGATTATACGCCTTGTCATAGGTCAAAAGTTAGTATGTTAAAGACCTCTCCAAATGGGCAAAATTCATCCAGGTAATTTAGTTTCTTCCTGTCCAGTTACTGACAGATGCCTTTGAAGTTGAGCTGAAAATGGACTATTTGGTTCCCAATAAGTGCTTTTTGTTTTGGCATGGTATGGGATAACAAACAAACAATGGCTTGGATTTAGAATAATCCAATTTACTTCATCCAAAATGTCTTTTACTTTTATGTCAGAATTCACTTAGGAACTCCTGAAATAAAATGCGTAGGTATCCTCCCTATCTTAATTCTTCCTGTCCAGTTGTCATAACTTGTGAAATTTGCCCCAAACACAATGTCTGTATAGCAATTTGACATGTTCATGCAAGGAGAGAAAACATTCCAATTGCATAAGATTAAGTGAGAAGCTGTAGTGTGTGCTGTAGTTATATCTCAGCTTCCTCCATAGCAAAATTGTATCTTGTATTTGTGGTTGTGCATTATCATTTTTATAGGCTTTTTGTTTTTTGAAATAAAATCTCACTCTGTTGCCCAGGTTAGAGTGCAGAGGTGGGATCTAGCGCGCTGCAGCCTCAAACTCCTGGGCTCAAGTAATCCTCCTGCCTCAAGGCCTCAAACTCCTGGCCTGAACCAATCCTCCCACTGAGGCGTCCCGATGTGTTGGAACTGTAAGCATGGGCCAGTACGCCCTGCTAGACTCCTCGTTTTTAAGTAAGAAAGAAAAGTCATACACATTGTAAAATCTTGAGAAGAAAGTAGGTGGGCCTAAGAAGCCCAGAAAAACTCACTCATGAGAAGAAAATTTGGTAAGGAAACTTACTGAGAGTTGTATATGCCTAAACAACATAAGCTTAGCCATGCACAAGTTTCACTAGAGTTTTATTGGTTCTGGGTAGTCACACCAGGATACTTGAGCACTGTGTAGTATTTTTGAAATGCTAGATAAACATTGTCACAAAAGATCAAAAAGTCATGGTTCCTATATATACCATTGAGAATCTTGTTGACATAGAAGAAAGTGCTGGAAAGTCTTTGAGGAGCTGAAAGAAAAGTGATGAAACAAAGAGATGGTTTAGAGAATTGAGTTTGAAAGCAAGATTGTGATGGTTTGGGGGATTAAAGAATCTTTCATGACTATATAATATGAAGATCAATGGTGAAATGCGTTACTTTGAAAGCGAGACTGCATTAGCCACTATCCACTCCTGGTAGCAAAAGTTGGCTGTAATGCAAAGCAAATATTGTAATTTGAATAAAGAAATACTCATTGGAAGCAAGTGGCCATTTACTGATTATATTGGAGGTGAAAAAAAAAACATGTGGCCCTTTAAGTGTCCAAAGATAGACACATTCTGCTCTGGAGTAGAAATTATGAAAACAAAGATAAAATCTTTCTTGGTATATTACTCCAAAACTCCAGGGACCTTAAAATAATGTCGGAGTGTGCACTGCTTGTTATATAGTGCTCAAATAGTAAAGCCCAGTGAGAAAGTAGGTTATTTAACTTTGGGTACATTTATACCGAAAGAAAGAAAATCTTACAAACAG
Source organism: Homo sapiens (assembly GCF_000001405.40). NCBI lineage: Eukaryota > Metazoa > Chordata > Mammalia > Primates > Hominidae > Homo > Homo sapiens. The sequence goes on from NC_000018.10 coordinate 65,684,238, forward strand.
TGCCTCTGGATAGTAGACAATACATCAGGAATGTATTTATTAATATCTAAACTATTGATTTATAGAGAGTAGAGCGAAGTGGGCTTTTTGCCTCAAAATACATACTTAACTGCAATTTTTTGGACCAAATATTATGCACAACATTCGCAGCATATTCTAAGCAGTATCTGATTAGGGGTGCTCATGAAGATGTTAGTGATTCCATGAAGGACTTACAAAACAGTTCTGGATCAAGAGGCACTTAGGCTTCAAAGGAAAGTATCACAAGAAAGAAAAGATAATGGAAGAAATGGTTATGTCACTTTCTTGAAGATGTCCAAAGTGCTAAAGGTCTGAATGATCACCCCATTCTCACATTTAAAGACATCACGGATCTTTCAGAGAGGCCAGGATTTTGTGACAATGAAGAACTTAATCCTAATGTATTCATTTTGATGCTATCATTGATTACAGGGAGGAGAAGATGAGTAGCCATGAAAACCAGACATCAGCAATTTAGTTGAAATTTTAGGTTATGCAAAAAAAAAGATTTAAAAATCCTGTTAATGATAACTCCTGATGTGAACAGATATATCACATAAAAAAACTGTAATGGCATGTCAGTCTTATGGTATCTGGATTCTTGGAATTTTGATCAAATGAGCATACAAACTAGTTTCTTGGATTCAGAAATCGATTAATCTCTCATATTTACTGTTTCCCTGGCTCCTTCCCTGGAGCTCACCTTAACCTACTTGATGACTGTCCTTAATTGCCCTCCTCACCAAACATATTCCAGCAACACTTCCAATGTTAAGTAGCAATTGTGTTTGGTGTAATTTGAATTCCTTATGTATCCCAATCATGTTATTTTGATTCTTAGTAACATTAGAGTTGAATGATTAACTATCACAGTTTTTACCTGTTATCCAGTTGTAATTGTTAATAGTACATGATTCACACTCAAAACTGATGGTTTTTATTTTCAATATGGACACTGTAGCTACAGCAGATATTTGTTGCAGTTTAGAAAAAAAATGAATTGGTATTTGAGACTGTGTGCACTATCATGTTATGCCAAAAAAGAGAGAGAGAGGAAGGAAGGAAGGAAGGAAGGAAGGGAGAGAGAGAGAGAGGGAGAGAGAAAACTAATCACCAAAAGAAAGGAACCAATCATCACAGTTCATTCATTGGTTAGTAGCTAGGTAGTTTGTATTCTACAAATCCTGGTTGAATTTTTATGTAGGCATTTTATAGTGTTTTAAAGGTACATGAAGAAAGTTGGGGTTCTGTATAGACTTGAAATGCGTTATTGCTTTTCTATTTCAAGTAATGGTATATAGATGTCCGCTATCTGAAATTTCATTACCCAGTCAATTTCCAGGGACTGATCAGATTCTGGTAAATAAGAAATACTTGGACTATTATTTGATCAGAAGGCAAATAATAGATTTAGACAAGAAAGGATACTTATAGTTTCCTATATGTTGTAATAGAAGATTGTTGAGTTTGTTTTATTCATAGAAATAAAATCCAATAGGGATAGAAGGTCTAATCCTTTTTGTTCAATATCTTTGTCTTAGTCAACAAATAGAAATAAAATTGCTGGTTAGCATCCTTAGATGAAATTAAGAGATTAATTGCATTTATAAAGACTTGAATTAGAACAGTGTTTGTTTCTATCTGATTTATGGCACAAGCTATTTTCCTTTTTAATTACAAAACTAGCAAGGACAAATTTGTTAATCTTCTTGGAAAGAAAAGTTTGTTTTGTTTTAGTTTGGTTTTCTTTGATCTAGTGTGAATTAACAAATTTAGTTGCATATCAGGCAGAAAGAAACAGAGAGAATTGTTCTAAAAATATAAGAGATTATCAAGATTAGTATTGTTAAACTACTATCACGCGCTGACACAGCTTTTATTTAAGTTCATAGAAGAAATGAATAGATCTCTTCTGTAACTGAGATTCAGCTAGACTTTTATGTGATCATCCTGTTGCCAGTAATAAACCAGGACTTATTCAAAGACAGTAAGCTAGCTCTTCTCTTTTTAAAGCTGAATTACGCAGCATTTTAACAGTGAGTGAAATCACAGAGATTTCATTTAGGATGCGCTGCCTCCATTGGTAAAAAAACTGATGCCGATTGAGGACATATACAAGAATGAGCTGGCTGACTTGGGAATATTAGCAATGCTTTTTTCTTTTCCTTTAAAAATAAGATTAGCATTTGCATTATAAAAATAGCCATGTGTGAAATTAATTAAACTTCATATAAACGCTGATTTTTCAAGTTTTATAATTATTTTACTGAGAAATTAATACAGAAGTGTACTTATGCCAAGCAAAGCACAGGTGATGCTTTCTTGGGACCAAACCTTGAGAAATTATGGCCAATCTAACTGATCCTATTTATAATGTAACTCTTTTCACACTCAGTATCTTCATATATAAATATTCTCTTTTTAGATAGGGATATTTGATGCACCTATTGGGACAAATAAAACCCTTACAGAAAGTGCTTTTTATACATGATTATCAATTTACTAACTGTTACCAAATAGCTTCAATAATTATACATTAGTTTGATCATACATTGAATAGCTTCAATGATCATACATGAAATTGATATTTGTTGAGCAAAAAATTCATTATAGAGTATAAATCATGATAACAAGTCATCATTTCCTCTAGTCATAACCATTTTATTTTAACCAAGTATATTTGGAATAACATGCCATTTTAAAATAAATAACTAGTTTTTCAAAAAGCATAAGGAAGGTATTAAAGCTGTTAATATAAAATTATAAAACAAAAGAAAAATAAGAATTAAATGTTATGGCCACTGTTATTCAGTAATTATTCATTAATTTATTTATTCCAATTTTTTTTTGAGATGGAGTTTCACTCTGTCTGCCAGGCTAGAGTGTGCAGTGGCGCGATCTCGACTCACTGCAACCACCACCACATGGGTTCAAGCGATTCTCCTGCCTCAGCCTCCCAAGTAGCTGGGATTACAGGCGAGTGCCACCACACCCAGATAATTCTGTATTTTTGGTAGAGATGGGGTTTCACCGTGTTTGCCAGGGTGGTCACAAACTCCTGACATCAGGTGATCCACCTGCCTCGGCCTCCCGAAGTGCAGGGATTACAGGCGTGAGCCACTGCACCCAGTCTAATTTACCTGTTCTTTCAAATATGTATTCATTTTTTAATTAATATTTGATAAACCTTACCATGTACTAGTGTGCTATGCATGCTGATATAACTGTAAGTACAGTGAGTAACTTTGTTTTGTTCCACATTGTTTTGTTGCAATGTTGATGAGAAAAATATATATATATTCATGGCAGGGGCCACTTTCTGTGTGGAGCTTGCATGTTGTACCCATGTCTGCCCAGGTTTTTTCTGGGTACTCCAGTTTCCTCTCACATCCCAAAGATGTGCACCCTAGGTTCGATGGCATGTCTACATGGTCCCAGGGTGAGTGTGAATGTGAGTGTGTGTGTGAGTGCATCCTGGGATGGAATGGAATTCTGTCGAATTCTGTCCCACCGTGCTCCCTGAGCTGACTGGAGCTACCTACAACTTGAATTGGAATAACTGGGTAATTAATTATCTTACTTGTTTTAACTAATCTTTCTTAAATGTATGTATAGCTCACATTTATTTCAGTGTTCAATTTTAAAAGTGTTTTGGTCTTTAGGAGATTTTTGATGTTTTCATAACCAGAAATATGCTGATACACAGTTGGAACTTAACTCTTATTTATATAAATTATTATATAAATTAGCCTGTGGTGAAATTGGTTTTGTTATATGTCGTTGCACTTAAAATTGCAGTATCCAAGAGCCAATTGATGATTTTAAGTAAGGACTTACTCCATGCCACATGCCAAAACTTTTAGATTTCCCAGTCTCAAGCAGTATAAGTAAATAACATGTGATAATAAATGCTAACATAGATTCATATTATTAATTGTACATCTTTTTACTATATTAATTGCAACAAAATTGATAAAAATAATAAATAGAGAAAAAATCATTTCATGCATGAGAACATAAGAAAATTACCTCAACTCCAAACCTAAATCATGAAGCACAATGCTTAATACTATAAGATCTGGAATAAAATGAGACCACATGAGAAATAATAAAGATTACCCCCATTTTTACAGGAAATAAAGATTATTCTAAAAAATAAATGCCACCTACATGAAAGGAATAACCAACCAAACTTTCATTGAAGCAATAAAGTTTAAGATTATGAAGAGGTCATGCTAAAGTTGTTATTTTTTTCTTCTACACAGATTTGCTTAGACCTTACAAAACTTCAAGGTGTTAACATTGAAAATAAAAATATTGTACAAGATTGAATAGTTGAGTAGTTCCATAATACTGCTTGAGCAGCAGCTAGGAATAGTAGAAACTACTAGATCCAATACAAAAACCTTTGCCCTAATGGACTATTACATACATACAATATAAAATATAATATATAAAATGTATATATTATATGATATACAAAATATAATGCATAATAAAATACAATATGTAATATACAAAAATATATATAATATTGTATGCATATATCTTTGAAATATTGAAAGTAATGGCAAAAAACACAATTACTTTTGCACTAACCTTATATATAATATAGTACAATTTAATATATATAGTTACACTATATACATATAATAACACAATTATATATAATATATGTAACATTTTTTCAGGTCTTGAGGTGTAATTGACAAACAAATCATATACATGTAAAGTATACAACATGATGATTTGGTATAGGTGTACATGGTGAAATGATTACCACAGTAAAGTTAGTTAATACATCTATATCCTCACACAGTAATCTTATTTATGTGTGAGAATGCTTAAGATATATGCTATAGCTAAGTTCAAATATGTAATACAGTATTATTAACTATAATCATGATGCTGTACATTAGATCTTTGGAACTTATTCATCTTATAACAGAAAGTTTGTACCCTTTGACTAGCATCTCCTAATGACCTCCACCATCATTCCATTGAAATCACTATACTATTCCCTGTTTCTGGGAGTTCAACTTTCTTTTGTTTAGATTCCACATGTAAGTGATACCCTACAATATTTGTCTTTGCCTGTTTTTTTTTACTTTGCATAATGTTGTGCAGGTTCATCCATGTTGTCCCAAATGGCAGAATGTCCTTCTTTTTGAAGGCTGAATAGCATTACATTTTACATAAATAAATCAGTTTGCATCCTCACCAACAGTGTACAAGCTTGCTGACACTTATCCTTTTTGACATTTTTATAATAACCATCCTAACATGTATGAGCTAATATCTTATTGTGGGTTTTTGTTGCATTTTATCCTTTAATTTGTTAATGTGGTGTATCACATTTATTGATTTGCATGTATTAAACCATCTTGCATCCCAGGAATGAATCCCACTTGATCACAGTGCATGAGCTTTCTAATGTACTATTTCATTCGGTTTGCTAATATTTTGTTGAGAATTCTTGCATCTATGTTCATAAAGGATATTGGCATGCAATTATTTGTAGTCCCTTTGTTTGATTTTGGTAACAGTGCCTCCTAAAATTAGTTTGTTCCCTTCTTTCAATTTTTTGGAAATGTTTGAGAAGGACTGACATAAATGCTCATTTAAATAACCAATGAAGTAATCTGGATCTTGACTTCTTTTGTTTAGAGGTTTTGATTACTGATCAAATCTCCTTATATATTATTGGTCTGTTCATATTTTATCTTTCTTCATGATTCATTCATGGTAGGTTGTGTGTTTCTAGAAATTTGTAAATGTATTCACCTTATTTATTGACATATAATTTTCATAAGTCTCTTATGATTCTTTGTATTTCTACTGTATCAGTTGTAATCACTCTTGTTTCATTTTTTATTTTCTTTTTTCTCTTTTATTCTTAGTCTAAAGTTTTATTAATTTTATCTTTTCAAAAAATGGGTACTTAGTTTCATTAATCTTTTCTGCTGTATTTCTAGTGTCTAATTTATTTTTACTCCCGTCTTCGTTATTTCCTTCTGCTAATTTTGGATATAGTTTCTTTTTCTTTTTCTAGTTCTTTAAGGTTTGATGTTAGGTAGGTTGTTTATTTTAGCTCCACTTCTCTCTTTAATATACAAATTAATCACTATAAATTTCTCTTCTAGAACTACTTTTGCTGTACTTCAAAAGTTTTGGTATGTGGTCATTTATTTCCACATATCTCAAGATGATATTTCTAAATTTCCTTTTTGATTTTTTGACTCATTGTTTAGACCTATGTTGTTTAATTTTCACATATTTGTGAATTTTCCAGCTTTCCTACTGTTACTGATTTCTACTCTCATACCACTGTACTGAAAATAAATACTTTCTGTGATCTCAATCTTATTAAATTTGTTCAGACTTGTTTTGTGAACTTACATACAATCCATCCTGGAGAATTTTCTGCATGTGCTTATAAAGAATGTGTATTCTGCCACGGTTGATAAAATCAACACTTTCCACACTTTCCTGACCTGCAACATTTCTGCAGAGAAACTGATAGCCTTATGATGTTCCTTTGTATGGGTGATTTTCTTTTCTCTTGTTCCTTTCAAAATTCTTTTTTGGCTTTGATTTTCAAAGTTTTAAAATATTATTCCGCCATAAAAAAAATGAAATCCTGTCATTTGCAAAAACGTAAATAGAACTGGAGAATGTTAAGTTAGGTGAGATAAGCCAGGTACATAAAGACAAATATTGGATGTCCTCTTTCACACATTGCAGCTAAAAAATAACATGAACTTGTGAAGATAAGGAATAGAATGATGGTTAACAGAGGCTAGGAAGGGTAGAAGGAAAGGGGGAACAAAGAGAGAATGGTACAAAATACAGTTAAATAGAAGGAATAAGACCTAATGTTGTTTAATAAAATAGGATGACTATAGTTAACAATGGTTTATTGTATATTTCAAAATAACTAAAGAGTGGAATTGTAATGTTCCTAACACAAAGAAATGATAAAGGTTTGCTATGATGGATTTCCCAGTTTCACTGATTTGAACATTATGCATAGTATGCATGTTTCAAAATATTACATGTACTCCATAAATATGTATGACTATTAGGCTGGTGCAAAAGTTATTGTGGTTTTTGCTATTAAAAGTAATATCAAAAATTAATATTACTTTTGCACCAACTTAATATTGTGTATCCATAATAATTAAAAAATTTAAAAAGTGTTTTATTATAATATAATGTGCTTCAAGAAGTCAAAACTTTGGGTTAAATCTGTATGAGGTCCTGTGAATTTCATTTAACTTCTTGTTCATATCCCTCCCCAGATTTGGAAAGTTTTTATTCATTATTTCTTTAAATAAGCTTTCTGCCACTTTTCATCTCTCTTCTCCTTTTGGAATTTCATGTGAATACCATTTCACTTGATGATGTCCCATAATTTACACTGGCTTTCTTCTCTATTTTAAATTATTTTTCTCCTCTGACTGAATAATTTGAAATCACCTGTCTTCAAGTTCACAGATTCTTTCTTTTGCTTAATTCTGCTTGATGCTTTATATTACATTTTTCATTTCATTTATTGTATTCTTCAGGTGTAGAATTTACATATGGTTCTCTTTTTATAATTTCCACATTTCTTTTGAACTTCTCATGTGGCTTTTGTATTGTTTTCCTGATATTGTTGATTTCTCTATTTGTGTAGTCTATTAGATTTAAAACAATTATTTTGAATTTTTTGTTTGGAAACTCATATATCTCTATTTTGGGGTTGATTACTAGAAAATTATTGAATTCCTTTGTTGATACCATGTTTCTTTTACTTTTTATGTTTCTGGTAGTCTTCCACTGATGCCTGCATATTTGAAGCTGAAGAAACAGTCACCTCTTTTAGACTTAAGGACAATTTTGGTGGATAAAGGCCTTTAACTTCAGGTGGGATGAGGCCACCAACGAGATGAAATGTGGCACTTACAGCTCTGAGGATGGCCTGACAGTGTAGTCTCCATGCATCTCTGTTACCTGAGATCAGCATTAGAGAAGATTGTAGAAGTCTTCAAAAGCCAAGACTCTGAGTGTTCACAGTACCAGCAAAGGCGCTAGAAATCTTTGGTGGCAAAGGCTCCTAGGGCCCTCCTGATTTCTTTATCTCCCATTGAGGATATTGTCACTCTTGGTGACAGGATCAGATCGTGGGCACCTTTGCGGTGGTGGTAGCACTACTGTCTGATGCATGAGTGCTTGTAGAATGACCATGGATATGGGATTTGGAGCATGGAGTTCATGGAATGGCAGTCTTTCTGGGATCTAGAATTCTGGCTAGCTCATGATAGCACTGCTTCTGATGGCTGAGACGTAAGTATGCATTTGTCAGCTACAGTCCCAGGTGTGGAATACTTTCTCGTGTAGATCACCTGCAGATTCAGGGTCTGGAGCTGAACATACACAATGCAGCTGTGGTCTTGGGATCTGGAGCATAGAAATAGTTGTAGGAAGTTGGCAGCCATGCTCCCAATGTGATGGGACAGCAGATCCTTCTGGAGGTGGTGGTGGTTGTGCAACAGTGTCTCTTTCTCCAGGGTGTCTATAATTGCTATGGCTGTTGGTGACTTCAGTGGTGAACGCTGCTTTTGCCTCTGCAGAGCAGGTCCCTGGAGTTGGTGCCGATGAACACTATAGCTTCCACTGCAGTGAACGCTGTAGGCATACACTGTTGTCATAGGAAATTTTGAGGTCCTTAACAGCAAAGGCTGATAAAACTCTCAACAGAAGACCACTGGGGAACACAATGGCAGCTGCCTCATGGCTGATCCAGATAACCCCCACCTTTTTTCTATGTTCCTAGCCATTTTTCCATGTGTCTCTGCCAGGGCAATATCTCCAGAAGAATCCCTGTGTAGTTATTCTTCCCTTTATTTTTGCTCCATTGTCTTTCTATAGGTTCTTAATTGGACTGTTGAGCCATCCCATAGTTATTTTTGTTCATGGATGGCTGTATAATTGGTTTTTCATTGGGGCATGCAAATTATTTCCTATGCCACCATCTTGATGATTTCCTTGATGAAATTAATTTCCTTTTTAAAAACACATATAATATCTTTATATTTTTAGGAGAGGATATTTAAGACAATAAGTCAAAGATATAGCCAATATTGTCCCATTTCACAACCCTTTGGTGGTCAGTCCACATTCTATTTTTCAGCAATTACACAGGGTATAAATAAATGTCTCCCCTAAATGAAAGTTTTGGTTCTGATAGCCCACCACCAACAACATTCTCCATATGCAAGCATCAATATACTCTCATGTTCCTTTTTGTACAGTGCTAAGCAAAGTATCATCAAGGAATGCCAGAAAATCACCCGTCTAACAGATTATTTCCCTAAGCCCAACTTATAAAGTCTTGAACCAGTATTGAGAGTTGTCATCTCTTTTAAAATAGTTAATAATTAAAAATATTCGTGGAACATAAGCATAGAAATTATTTTTAGAAGGAGATACAGAATATAAGCAAAAACAGTATTTCAAATAAATAACAAAATAATTTATCTTATAAAAATATATTAAAAAGGTGATAGTTGAAGTAACAGTCACAAGCTACCAAAACTGGCTCGAGAAGAAGTAGAAATCTAAATATCCTTACATCCATTGAGTTGATTGACTTGTTAATAAAATTCTACCCACAGTAGAACTCTAGGGTCAGATAACTTTCACTGTGAATTCTCTCAAATATTTAAAGAAGAGATAATACTAACCTTAGAAAAATAGAGCGTGATTCAATTCATTTTATAAGGCTACTGGGTTAGTCCATTTTCATGCTGCTGATAAAGTCATACCTAAGACAGGGCAATTTACAAAAGAAAGAGGCTTATTGGACTTACAGTTCCACATGGCTGGGGAGGCCTCACAATCATGGCAGAAGGCAAGGAGGAACAAGTCACATCTTATGTGGATGATAACAAGCAAAAAAGAGAGCTTGTGCTGGGCAACTCCTGTTTTCAAAACCATCAGATCTCGTGAGACCCATGCACTATCATGAGAACAGCATGGGAAAGACCAACCCTATGATTCAATCATCTCCCACCAGGTCCCTTCCACAACACATGGGAATTATGGAAGCTACAAGATGAGATTTGGGTGGGGACACAGAGTCAAACCAGATCAGCTACTAGAGCCCTGATACCAAAACCAGATGAAAAAAATTACAAGAAAAGACAATTTCATACTAATCTTGCCCATGAACATAAATAGAAAATTTGTCAACAAAACATTAGCAAATCAAATTTAAAAATCTGTGTCAAAGATAGTATACCATAATAAAGTTTACCTATGAGTTTACGCCAGGAATAAAAAGATTGATTTAACACATGATAATCAATGAATATAATTCAGCATGATAACAGATTAAAAGACCAAAACGACATAATTATAGTAATATCTGCAGCAAACATAGCTCAAAAAAGACAGTACACATTTATAATTTTAAAAATCTCAGCAACCTATAAGTTGAAGAAACTTCCTCCAATAATTAGTATTTAGAAAAAAAAATTACTATGTAAAACAATTAGTATCCAGAAAAAAAAAACAAATAGCACACTTAGTGGTAAAATATTTAATGCTTTTCTGCTCACATCTGGAATAAGACAAATATGTCTCTCACCACTTCTATTAAACATATTACTGGAAATCTCAGCAAGCATCAACCCCCCACTGCCAAAAAAAGAAAAAAAGAAAAAAGAAAAACTCACAGCATAATGAATAGACCTGAACATTTCACTATGTGTAAATTTTGTCTCAATTGAAAAAAAAAAAGATGGGATTGAATATAGAACAGAATAACCTCAGAAAAAAATAAAAATAATGAAATTGAACATTACAGTAAATGGAAAACAATTTAAAAAACCCAACAGAATCCACAATTTAAAACATGGTGGAGAGATTTTAAGAAATCAATATCCAATTAAAAAATAATCAAGTATAATTTAAAAATTATTATTAAAAGACACACAAATATCTCCATGAATTTAATTGTTTTGGTTTTTAGATCCCAAAAATTATACTTGTCTCTCTGTGCCTGGTTTATTTCACTTAGCATAATGACCACCAGTTGCATCCATGTTGTCGCAAACGATGGGATCTCATATCATTCTTTTTTATAGCTTAATGGCACTCCGTTTTGTATAAGTACCACATTTCCTTTATCCATTCATCAGCACAAAAACACTCATATCCTCCCTTATGTTCACTGATATATTCCATTGCCCAAGAAAAACTGACTATCATAACTAACATCCTGTTCCTGTGTTTAAAGTCTATAGGAAGCGCTGTGTGGTCTGGTAGGCAGAAAAGGTGAAAGAATGACAAGGGAAAAATCTATGCTGTTGCATTTTTCTATTGCAAACCATAAAGCTGGAAAAATAATATCAAGAGTGAGTGATTCAAACATTTATATAAAGCAAATTACCCTTTAGGTAAGAAGACAAAACTACATATTCTCAAGCAAGTAAGCAACAAGCTTCTTACCAAAAATACTGCAACAAAAATCCAACAATACTGTATTACTTAAACTTTCTTATTTTTGGCTCTATCAATAGACACAAGCCCTCTCAAAATAATCCATTATAGGTTAGATTTTTTTAAATCAATACTTTCAGTAGACTATTCTGTGTACAGTAGCTCTTCCTCCATCCTGTCATAAAGAAACAGCACCACTCATGATACCTTGGCAATATCCATTACATTAAAAAATACAATTTATATGATCGCTTTTATCATTTTTGTAAAATTATGTTTGTATTATCCATTGTAATTGTTTTTAATAGGAAATATCTGGTATACAATTCATATGTATCCTACATTTTGGTAAGCGATGGACTTTATGATGGCTTACAACATTAAAGTTGTTGCTGTGAAGATATAAAAGCAGCAACCAGAATCAGTTCAGAGGATAAAAAAGAAAATCAGGAAAAACTTCCTATTGATAAATTGAGTTTAGTGGTTAGTGTATTTTGTTTTAGATATTTACAGCCATTTCAAGAGCTTTGGTAGACCTAACACATAATTTAACTCAACCTTATCATCTAACACCAAACATAAATACCATTCACAATAGCATCTAAAAACATCATGTACTTATATATTGAGAAATTAGTGAGCCCTTTACACTGAGAACTTTAAAACCTCACTGAAACTAAAGATGGCCTAAATATATGAAAAGAAGTCCTGTTAAGATATAAAATTGTTATATTTTTAATACATGAATTTTCCAAAACTTGATCTATAGATTCAATACAAGCTATATTGAAGTAACTTCCAGTTATTATGATATTTAGCACTAACCCTATATGGCTTATTGTCCCTGCTCTGTCATTCAAACCCTATTCAGAGGAGTATATCCCATGATTTCACAGGTTTCCTTTACACGGATAATTCTCCCATGATTCTGGGTAACTTTAATCTCCACAAAAGTAAATTCTCTTAACACACGGTAATGATTCCTTGGCAGGCATTCACATCATCCTTCCAGCACATCACTCTCATAACCAAACCAAAAAACATGTTGTCTGACATTGTTTCCTCCTTGATATTGTGAAAAGGATATGTGAGGGTGTGTGTTTGTGTGTCTGCAAGTGCATGTATAAAATTGAATCATGTTTGAATGCAGAGAAATTATAAAATTCAGATGGGTATAAAAATAATTATTTAAACATTGGAACCCAGGGATAACTACATCCAAAATAGGTAGGTGAGTGATAGAAGGTTGGATAAATGATGAATGATAGATAGATGGATATGATCTGATAAGATTTTTAACTTGTTGTCTTAGTGTCCTTATATAACCACCTCCCTTGAATGTACTATCCTGTAATATTGACTGCAGGTGTGTATTATATAACAGACTGATATTATCCTCTTTATATGCATTTTCTATTCTTTAAAATAATTACATTGTTGATATTTCAATCTTATTACATCTGTTATAAAACAATATATAATACTTTCATAATTAATATTCTATCATTAGATATTTAAAATGTTTTAAAATTTATAATAAAAATACTAGATGACACTTAATAAAATGCTTTGGCACATCTTTGATTTTTTTGTAGGGCACATTTCAAGATGTGAGTTGTCAAAATGTACAAAATTTTATATGCTTGCACACATTTGCAAATGCCTTTCAGAAAGGTTTTACACAAACCCAAGAAGAAAAAGGGACCATATTTTAGCACACTTAAGTCTTTACTAGTTCAACCAGTGAAAAGGTAGTGCATATTCCATTTAATTTACATTTAATTCTATTAGAGAAGGTAAACATTTAAATGAATACGTTGACATGTGTATGCATCATGTGTCATCTCTATTGATACATAATTACACAATAGCAATTATTTTATTATAAAATCTCCATTCACAGGTTTGGTGTACTTTTATATTAAATCATTTATTCATTTTTTTTTTTTTGACAGAGTCTTGCTCTGTCACCCAGGCTGGAGTGCACTGGCCTGATCTCGGCTCACTGCAAGCTCTGCTTCCCAGGTTCACGCCATTCTCCTGCCTCAGCCTCCCAAGTAGCTGGGACTACAGGCGCCCGCCACCACACCTGGCTAATTTTTTTATATTTTTAGTAGAGATGGGGTTTCACCGTGTTAGCCAGGATGGTCTCGATCTCCTGACCTTGTGATCTGCCCACCTTGGCTTCCCAAAGTGCTGGGATTACAGGCATGAGCCACAGCCATTCATATTCTTTTTAATTTAAAAAATAAATGTAGGATTGGAAACATTTCTTACTCATTTAGAAAATTTTGTCTTTATTGAAATTATATTCTAAATAACACACATTTTATTTGTTTTCTTGGGATTCTTGAATCATAAATTGGACCTTACATAAACTTTTTTTTCTGCAGTATTTTAAATCAAATTGCATATGTCCTGTCACTTCACCTGTAAATAGTATAGTATGATCTCTAAATGATGAGGTCTTTTTCAGGACTTTGGTTTTGGTTCCCGGGAAGTCAAATCTAGGATGGAAACTTGGGTGCAGAATTTTTATCGGGAAGATATCTTGTGGGGAAATGTAAGGAAATGAAGAAAGCAGGACTCCACAGAAGGAGAAGCTAACCTGAAGTGAAGTGACAGCTGATCCCAAAACTAATAGGATCTCTGAAGCTGGCCCTTCAGTGTTGTTCCAATTAGGCAAAGAAGATGGGACTTTTATGTCCATATTAGCCAGTCACTGGCTGCAGGTTGTTCCTTGGAAAAGGTGTACTTGGCCGGCCGCGGTGGCTCACACCAGCACTTTGGGAGGCCAAGGTGGGTCGATCACCTGAGGTCAGGAGTTCGAGACCAGCCTGGCCAACATGGCGAAACCCCATCTCTACTAAAAATACAAAAAATTAGCCGGGCGTGGTGCATGCCTGTAATCCCAACTACTCAGGGAGATTGATGCAGGGAGAATTGCTTGAACCCAGGAGGTAGTGGTTGCAGTGAGCCGAGATCGTGCCACTGCACTCCAGCCTGGGTGACAGAGGGAGACTCCATCTCAAAAAAAAAAAAAAAAAAAAAAAAAAAAGAAAGAAAGAAAAAGAAAAGGTGTATGTTTAAGCAAGGTAGTTCCCTGTTGCCCAGACAATATTATCAGCATCTCAAGGTGGTTGTACTAGCAGAAAAGAGGGAACATAGGCAGAATACCACATCACTACTATAGACAAGCCCCTGCAGTGCTCAGATTTACCTACTTCTTACAGTCACTTATCCTTATCCTGTCTTGTTCTCATTTTTGTGAAACTTAGAAGTGCTAGTGTGATAAATAACAACTCACGGTGCTCCACTGCATCTGGAAAATGCAACTGATTCTTATTATCCCTCGTCTCCATAACCCATTCAAGATTCCCCCACCCTTTGTAGCATTCCTTTTAGTCCAGACACCTTGTGTATAAGATGACCAGATGTTCATTTTGGTTGTCATGCTCTTCTCAGTCTGTAGCTGCTATACTTACTGATTTACTATTAAAATGGGGCAACTGGCTGCAGGTTATTGTGTGAATGCTAATCATATACTCCCTGCCCTCATTGTGTAGAGGCAGCCCTGCCTTTCTTGATACCAGAGTATATTACCAGCAAGTATGGTGACAATTTCCTTGCCTGATGCTCTTTCAGCATGGTGAACCCAAAGTGAATAGATATTATCTATCAATCAAAATAGCTATCAAAGCTATTTTATTATGTATTATGTTAACAGCTATCAAAATAAATACCTATTATTTAAAGTTCCCTGGAACTCTTAAGGTCTTCTCTTCTAGAACTCATTCCACTCTGGGAACATGGACCTCTAGATGCACAGTGAAAGGAAGGGCAAATATCCAAGTCAGTTAAAAATAGTGATGGTAAATGAGCCCATTCTTTCTTCCATCCTTTGATACCCAGACCTGTTTATTCTACCTATTGAGGACACAATACCATTCAGTAAAAATTAATTTAAGGTATACATCACAGCTTGGTGGAGACTACCTTATTCTCACAAGGTGGCATATCTATTTTAGCCTATTAGTTTTGTCTTTAAGGAGCCATTCGATGGACAGTGGTTTCTAGATTGTGGTTTTCAATAGAATCAGTGTATTCCAAGGTTAAGTGACCATTGTCACAATCATTTTGCTATAAAATAGATGGATTATTCTGGAGGGATATTACATAGCACCATGTGTGAACAGATTACTCTATATTCTTCATTTATTTACTTGACCAGAAGTAGACTTCTGGTCAAGGTCATAAAATAGGAAGGCAAATCTATAAGTTTTTCTGACATTTTGCCAGAAAAGCTTAACAAATAACTTTTGTTCTTCTATAACCAGGATATGTGCAATTCAATTTTAAGAGGAAACATTTATTTTCCCAGGAGAAGCAATCCAGTATCTTCAACTTGCCACCAATGTTAATTTCTCTTTTGCGTATGTTGTCATATCAGGTGCATAGCTTTGGTCCCTGTCAGGCGCATAGCTTTGGAAAGTTTGTCAATAGTTAGATCATCGTTGGAATGATAGATTAACTTGTGAACTCATGAACAGACTTCATCACTGCCACTGTGATCATTCTATTCATAAGCCTTTTTGTCACCGCTGGGATGACCAGCAAGAGACATTGATTTACTTCAACTGAGTCTTTCTTTTGTTTATTTGGCTGTGTTGCATGTCATTTTTAGTACATGCTTTCCCATGGTTTGAAACAGCATAAAAACATATTTCTGCTTGCTTCTCATTCTAATAGATACATCTTTATGTCTCTTACCCAGAGCTCTTTATCTCCAGTTTTCTAATCTTTCTACTTCCAAACAGCTAAAAAGCAGCATTTCAAATTTCAGATTTTTGAATTGGGGATACTCAACCTTTAAGAATATAATTAATGTTTACTTTTAAGTACTGTACTTAATTTGTCACATACCAGTGAAAAACGTTGGACCACCCTCAATTCACTGCTGTAGAGATTGCCAGTTTTAATTTACTTTATTACATTCATCTGGTGTAGTCCGACATGTTGCTCTATTCTTTTAAAATTTTCTGGAAGTTGATTGGTTGCACAGCCTTGCTCTGTTCCAAGTATGACATTTTGCCAGAAAAACCTAACAAGTAAGTTTTGTTCTTCTATCATGAGATATACAATGCTTAGGCAACTATTTTTTGTGTAGTTAGTAGCCATTGATATTCAGTATTTAGACCTTTCAATTTATCACAGTTGTAAAAAGGTTCACTCATTAATTTTAATTAATGATTCACTCATTAATTTTAATTAATGAGAAATACTTCTGTAAGTTACTGTTTAGTTTGCCCAATGGTACATTTTTTTTACAATGATGTACAAGAAATGTTGAATTTATTTGTCTTATAGACTACTTTTTAAAAATCATGAGTTGGTTCCCAGTTTCCTGAAAAGTTGAACAATTAGTTTATGTGCGTATAATAATGAATGAGTGGATTTAAATAGCTTTAAAATGGCTTGATCAATAGTATTTTATCTTTATTGAAGCCCAAAATATTTTATCTTCATTTATTTATCTCAGTTCTGCAGGCAGAAAAGTCCAAAAGCAAGGCATTAGCATCTGGTGTGGCATTAGCAAGGGCCTTCTTTCTGCATCTAAACATGGCAGAAGGACAAGCTCTGAAGCTTTCCTAATTCTGCATGAAACCTGTTTTATAAGGGCCTTAATCCTATTAATAAGGAAGGCGCCTTCATGGCCTAACCACCTCTTAAATACTCTACTTCTTAATACTATCACATTGGCAACCCCTGAATTTCAGAGAGAATTAACTTTCAACATGAATTTGGAAGGAGATAAAAGCATTCAAACCATAGCACACTTCTTACTTTCTTCTTGGCCCATATCTAAATTCAGCCATTAATCCAAGAAGCTTTAGTTCTTTGGTGGGAAATCGTATTTCAAGATCACAACCAAAGTGGTAACAATGCTCATTTATTCAATTCTATCTGCAACTCTAATTCCCTTTTTCCAAGTAACATAACATATGCACAGATTCCAGGTATTAGGACATGGACATCTTCATGGGGCCATTATTCTATCACAATGTTCTTGTGTATTTTGGTCACATCTCTCAAGAAAGACATAGTTGTTTATTAATGCTCTGTTATAAAAGTCACACATTCTTCTACAGGTTGACAATTTTTTTTTATTTCAAAAGAGTCTGTTATAGCTTCAGTGTAGATCATTTTCTTGAAAATACAAAATGATGGTTTTATTATCTTTTCTCAAGAATTTGTTTCTGTTTTTTTAATTAATTAATTTATTTTTTATTATACTTTAAGTTCTAGGGTACATGTGCACAACGTGCAGGTTTGCTACATATGTATACATGTGCCATGTTGGTGTGCTGCACCCATTAACTCGTCATTTACATTAGGTATATCTCCTAATGCTATCCCTGCCCCCTCCGCCCACCCCATGACAGGCCCTGGTGTGTTGTTCAATTCCCGCAGCCAACAGACACATGAAAAAATGCACATCATCACTGGCCATCAGAGAAATGCAAATTAAAACCACAATGGGATACCATCTCACACCAGTTAGAATGGCGATCATTAAAAAATCAGGAAACAACAGGTGCTGGAGAGAATGTGGAGAAATAGGAAGACTTTTACACTGTTGGTAGGACTGTAAACTAGTTCAACCATTGTGGAAGACAGTGTGGCAATTCCTCAAAGATCTATAACCAGAAATACCATTTGACCCAGCCATCTCATTACTGGGTATATAACCAAAGGATTATAAATCATGCTGCTATAAAGACAAATGCACACGTATGTTTATTGCGGCTTTATTGTTTTTGTATTTTATAATTTATTTCTAGAGTTCCATTTGTTTGGGTTTATGTCAAGGTAATATTTACTGAGTTATATGTTATAGATATAATCCTTACCACTCTTCAACCTATTCATAAAGCTTTAAATTTTATGCTTATCGTTGGAGTTAATTTGTACTTACAATCTTAATTGATATCTATGTAATTTTCTCACTTTATTTTATTATTTTAGGTTTTTGTGGTAATTATTTTATTACTGTTATTGTTTTATTAGTGTTAATTCAACGTTATAAAAACAGCTTAATAAAATAAAAATGATACTTTCTACCATTAACATCATTCCCTTACTCATATAACTATTTCCTATTTTATGTGTAGTTTCTAGAAAGCCATCCAAAAGCTGTTCTTACTCAAGCTAGAGCCACTATGACAAGGTATAATCGGTCTAGTAATATGTCTAAACTTTGTTGTCAGAAACTTGGCCATATGGAGAAGGAATGGTATGGTTGCATCTGAAGACTTGGAGACCTGAGAATACATTATTACAGTAATGCAGGTGAAAAGCAAGACACTCCTGGAAATAGAATAAAAAGAGAACAGATGAAAAATACTCTAGAGATCAAAGTGGCATGATTTCATGACTTATTGGATACATGAAGAGGAAAGGAAGACAAAGATCATTCTTAGTACCTACTTCAGTGATGGTGCCTTCTCAAAAATAAGGTCAGAGGAAGAGCAGGCTTTTTTATTATTATTATTAGATTAGTTAAATTAGGGACATTCAGGCTGTGATGCTTATGATAATCTCAATGTGAAATATGAATTTGGGAATCATTATAGATTCAACCCATAAAAACAATTAAGATTACCCAAGGAGAGCAAGTGGAGGGAGAAGAGAAACAAGGAGGGAATCTTAAGGAACATGAATATTTAAGCTATGGAAAGAACAGAGGCAATGTGGAAAATCAAATACAGAGCAGACTGTCAGGTTGGCATACTCTATTGGAGGCAAAAATCAGAAAAACAAATTCCAGTAGATGGGATTTTCTATTTCACATATTTCAGCTAGGTCAAGTAACTTGAAAATTGAAATGCAATTATAGAAGTTGGTAACGCTTGGGAGCTATGGATTTTCTAATGCTCAGAAGATGGGCTTAGAAAATCCAAGTTAACGTGTCCAAGATTAAACAGCCAAAGTGTTGACAATTATTAATTTTAGCTAAGAATATTTGATTTCTCAATCTTAAACAATACAGTTTAAATAAAGTAAAAAAAATTAAATAAACAAAATACCAACATAAATTACTGATAAAGACTTTCTGGTTCTTCTGATGGAAAACATTCTAAATTTGAAACCTTTATAAAAAAACAATTAGAGGAAAAATATTTTTTTCATAAAAACTGTTAGTATCTGCATGTAAAAACAGCAAAAGCAAACTTAAAGGAAATATAATATATTAAATGTTATTCTTGATACCTGTAAATTTTAATTTCAGATGTACTAAGCTTCTATCAATTTTTCTTAAAAACACATATGATGACTCAGAAACACCAAATATCATAATACTGAAAACTATAAAATATTACAATAATCTGAAAAGAAGTACAAGACCTATGGGGCTGAATTGAGAATTACAATTGGCAGCTGGCATGAGCTTTTACAATTCAAGCAGATGGTATAGATATGCTTTGGTCCTGTGCCACAACCTCCCCCTGGTAAGAGACCAGAATCTATGCCAACAGAAAACTTGGAAGCTGCCCTCCTACTGCACAGACATAAGATTTTTAGGGGATAATAGTATACCTGATTTCCTGTTGCTACACTGCTGTCAAGTACCTCTCATAATATATAATGTAAGGTTTTAAAAAATAGAATGAGGACAGAGAGTCGGAGATTGATATATCTTGTAATATACAGGATATATATATGCAGGATATATAACCAAATGTGTTAAATTCCGTTGGCAAGGTCACCAACAGAGCTGCCACTATTCATGTCTATTAAGGAGTATACATATTTTTGAATTATTTTAATTACCATAGTGTCAAATAAAGTAGTCATGACTCTTTAAGACTATTATAGCTCAGTCAAGTGGAATCATATTACATAAGTATTTTCCAGCCCATGAAATGGGTCCAGAAGCTGTACCATCAACCTGATGTATACAAATCAATAAGCTGAGATTTGCTTGCTTTTTTCCTCTCCACTAAACAGGTTGGTATTTCAGCTTTCTGTTTAGAAAGCAAACAAATGCTATAAAGTGGCATATATTAAAGTGGTCTTCCTTATTCCACAGGCTTCAATTATGCAAAACTTTGCCAACTGGTTGCTTAAATACATAAGCAAAAGACTTCATCCCAGAAATTATTTTCTAATACTATCTAAGAAGTATACTCAATGGAGAGTGAGAAAACCCACTGTATGCCATAACATGTTTTTTTTCTAGAAACAATAAACAGGCTAGACAACTCTTTATTCCAAAATAAATAAACAGAATCAAAAATAAAAATAAGACTTTTTAAAAAAAAGTGCAGAACAATGAATAACAGTAAAAATTGCTTTGAGAGTCAAAGACTTTTCTTCCAAAGGCAGCTTAATTCTCTGAAATCATAAACTCAGATATCCTTTAAAATCTCATAGTTCAGATCATCCAACTATTCAATACCACTATTACCTTTATTTTGCTTTTCAACATTACTGACACCTCTAAACCCTGACCTCCTCTTCTTTATTTCTCTCGACTTCTTTTTTTGTTACTTCCAATCCAGCACAAACTCCAGAGTCTCATCCTTGATTATATGCTTGTGAATATCCTCAGCTTTTCTTCTCCATCTTGTTCTACAATAGCTATTGCCCCCTGGAAGAAGTTCAAAGTTGGATAGACCCAATGTGAGTTCCCTAAACCTATGCTAGGTCTTCTGAGCTATGGTAGAAAAAAAAAAAAGTAGCCATTATAAAAATAAAGGGAAATTTTATTTTATTTTCTTCAGAATTTTACTACAAGATGCTCATCAACTTGCCCTTTTGGAGCTGGTATTATTTTCTTACAATAAATATGTACTATATTAGAAAGTGAACAGGATAAAATAAAAGTAAAGCAAGTTAAGGAAAGTGAGAAATTTTAAACAGAGACTTATAATTTAAAATGGTTGGAAGGATATACCTAATTGAGGAAGTAACAATTGAGACTATATTTGAGGGAAGTAATGAATCTATTTATTTAACTAAGAGATGTACAGGAAAGAAGAGCCCCTAGTAGGAACCTAATATATGCACACCTTCTAATACCTAAGTGATGATAGCTGTAATAATCTTGTTTCTGGTATAGTTTAAAAGCATAATCATGGTGTAAAAATAGTGCATACCTTAAAAGAATATTTAGATATTTCACCAGAAACAATGTAATTTATCTACCAACACTAAAATGTGTAATCTGCTTTGTAATAAAATATATCATAATAAAAAGAGAATCTATCCTTTTAAAAATGCAGTAAATACATTTCTTTTATTCAAAATTGTTTAATAAACTTTAAAAGAATAAAATATAAATTTCAGAGTTAGAAGTTGTTATATACAAAGAGCAATAATCAGGAATGACATCAACAAGATGGTTGACTAGAGGTGCTGAATGTTCACCCCGCCCAACACACACAAATAACACAATCTGCACTAAAGTAGCTGAAGGAGAACGTTGGAGTACTTCAGGGGAGTGGCAGAGACCCTATGGAGCATGGAGACTCAAGATAGTTGTATAAAAAAGGGAGCAAACACCCTGATTTTGCCACCCCATCTGCCCGGTTGGGATCAGCTTAGAACCAAAAGAGAATTTCTGTGCAGGTAAAAGGTAAGTAGGAGGCCCATAGCAACCCCCGTTATAGCTGAGAATACCTGTAGTCTTTGCTGTTGAAGAGCCCTGCAGTCTTCACAGTCCCTGAGCTCAGTGTAGAGAGTAGCCTGGAATTCATACAGCTGTGTTATTCCAAAGAAGAGGCCCATGTTGTACCTGGCTTCAGGGGCCAATAGCCACTACATCTCCCCTTCCCTGAGGCTCTGCTGCCACTTCACTGTGTTGACACATGGAAACACACCATTCCTCAGCTGAGCAACTATAGCTTCCTACTCCCTGAGAATGTACTGCCTAGGAGGCAATCCATCTTTCCCAACCCAGTGACTGCAGTGCCCCAGCCCTGGCTACTCAGAGCCTAGGCCCAGAAGAACAGCCGTAACCCACTGCCCAATCCCACATGTTACCATGCCTGTCAAGGCATGTTGTGGGGAGGCTGCTCTCAATCCAGCAGAGCAGCCCCTTAATGACTGCCTCCAGTAGGAGGCAGCAACCTAGCCAGTGAAGAAGTCCCCTTGCAACCTTGGCATACAGAACAGCCCAGCTTCCCCACTGTCAGAAGAAAGATCATGCCCAACCTAGTAGAGAAGCCACACAAATTTCTACAGCCTAGACAACTGAGGTAATTGCATCCAGTTGACTACAACTGAAGAAATTCACAGACTGCACTACTGTGCTCAACCAGAACCAAAGCAAAGTAATCTTCCCCAACTGACACCTTGTCTGCAGGCAAAAATATTTACCTATGAGAGCCACCCTATAAAATTGGTATAGGAGACCATTCCATTAGATGCTGAGATATCAACACGTTGATGTCAGAAACCTGAAAAGTCAAGAAAAATGACACCATCAAAGAAGTCAATAAATCTCCAGTAAAACCGCCAAAATGGAAATGTTCAACTTCTGTGACAAAGAATTTAAAATAATAAACTTTAAAAATGTCAGTGAGATGAAAGAGAATACAGATAAACTATTCAACAAAATCTGGAAAACAATTCAGGAGCTGAATAAGAAAATCAGCAAAGATATAGATAATCCAAGCAAAACAGAAATGCAAACAAAAATCTTGGAGTTGAAGACTTCAATTAATGAAATAAAAAGTTATATTTACAGCTTCAGTAGCAGACTAGATAAAGTAGAAGAAAAGAAGAAAAAAAAATTAACTAGAAGGATTTTTTTTGGAATATTCTAATCAGAGGAAATATATTTTAAAAAGAATTAAAAAGAGTAGAGAAACACTACAAGACTAATAGGATGCCATTAAGCAAACAGAGGTTTGCATATGTTAATTAAGGAGGGAGAAGATACAGAAAATATCACAGAACGCTTAATAAACAAAATAAAAGCTGAAAACTTTCCAAGTCTTGGGACAGATGAATCTTCAAATTCATGAAGTTCAATGACCCCAGTTAGATTCAGCCTGAAAAGTCCTCTCTAGGGCACATTACAATAAATCTGTCAAAAGTTAAATACAAAAAAAGAATTCTAACATCAGTAAGAAAAATGTGACAAGTTGCAAAAAAGAGATCTGCCATTGGAACATCAGAAGATTTCTCAGCAGAATTCTTGTAGGCCAGGAGAGAATGGAATGATATATCCAATGTACTGGAGAATAAACCTAGGGGACATTATATTAAGTGAAATATGTCAAGTATGAAAAAATAAATATTGCATAAACTTACTCATTTTAGGAATCAAAAAATCTGGTATCATAGAAGTAAAGAGTAGAACAGTGGTTACCAGAGGCTAAGAAGGGTAATAGAAAGGTGGGAGAAGGGGAGAGATTGATCAATGGGCATAAGAAGAATCAGCTCTGGTGTTCTATTGCATAGTAGAGTGGCAATAGTTAACAATATCATATATTTCAAGATAACTATAAGAGAGGATTTTGAATGTTCTCACCACAAATAAATGATAAATATTTGAGCTGATGTATGTGCTAAATACCCTTATTTGATCATTACACCAGGTATACATGTATTGAAACATCACACTGTACCCCATACATATGCACAATTATTATGTGTCAATTAAAAATAAAATAAAACTTTTTAAAAAGAGTAATAGTTAAATGTCTCTAAAAAACTTTTCACTTTTAAAGGATATAGTAGCTACAAATTTTTCCTTTTATTTAAATAATTTTGTATAACTGAATATTTATATTTTACTTACATTTTTAGTTTAATTTTGTATGTTTAATTTCTTAAGCATAATGTATGTATGATATTATTGTGTATCATTATTGTACTTCAGTTCTTAAACTAAATACATAAAGACTAGGAATATGTGAGATCAAATGTTTACAAACTACTGATTTTTT
Source organism: Homo sapiens (assembly GCF_000001405.40). NCBI lineage: Eukaryota > Metazoa > Chordata > Mammalia > Primates > Hominidae > Homo > Homo sapiens. Next base: position 65,708,705 of record NC_000018.10, read on the forward strand.
TTTATCAATGAAATTATTCCTATTGTAACATTTTTATTAAAAAATAATTGGAGGGCTGGGCATGGTGGCTCACACCTGTAATAACAGAACTTTGGAAGGCTGAGGCAGGCAGATTGCTTGAGCCAAGGAGCTTGAGACAAGCCTGGGCAACATGGCAAAAAAAACATCTCTACAAAAATACAAAAATTAGCTGGGCATGGTGGCAGGTGCTGGTAGTCGCAGCTACTCAGGAAGCTGAAGTGAAAAAATTATGGGAGCCCTAGGCGGTCAGGGCTGCAGTGAACTGTGATCATGTCACTGCGCTCCAGCCTGGGCAGCAGAGTCAGATCCTGTCACACACACACACACACACACACACACACACACACACACACACACACACACACACAGTAAATGGAGGTCAGGCACAATGGCTCCCCGCTTTAATCCCAGCACTCTGGGAGGCTGAATTGGGAGGATCACTTGAGTTCAAGAGCTCAAGACCAGGGACCGGGCGCAGTGGCTCACGCCTGTAATCCCAGCACTTTGGGAGGCCGAGAAAGGCAGATCACGAGGTCAGGAGATCAAGACCATGCTGGCTAACACGATGAAACCCCGTCTCTACTAAAAATATACAAAAAAATTAGCTGGGCATGGTGGTGGGCGCCTGTAGTCCCAGCTACTCGGGAGGCTGAGGCAGGAGAATGGCGTGAACCCGGGAGGTAGGGCTTGCAGTGAACCTAGATCACGCCACTGCACTCCAGCCTGGGCGACAGAGCGAGACTCCGTCTCAAAAAAATAAATAAATAAAAATAAAAAATAAAAGAGTTCAAGACCAGCCTGGATAACATAGTGGGACTTCATCTCTACAGAAAGTAAACAAAATTAGTTGTGTCTGGTAGTGCGTACCTGTAGTCCCAGCTACTTGGGAAGCTGAGGTGGAAGGATCGCTTGAGCCCAGGAAGTCAAGGCTGCAGTGAACCACGATTAGGCCACTGCAGTCCAGGCTGGGTGATGGAGCAAAACTCTCTCTCTCTCTCTCTCTTTCTCTCTCTCTCTCTCTCTCTCTCTCACACACACACACACACACACACACAGTAAATAGATACCTACTCATAAATTTAAATGTCAACAAATTTTGCAAATTAGAAGAAACTGAGACTACATTTAAAAATCCCACATTTATAAAAATTGAATTTCATATTACAATTGTTTTTTGAATTGACTGTGGGTGTACTGAGTGGTTAGAAGGAATGGGAAAAATGCACCCACTATGAAGCCTTAGAAATAAGAAGTAGGAGTACCATCTGCTTTAGAGAAAATTATTCTTCATCCATTAGTTAAATGTTTGTAAGCATTGTACTAATTTCTCAAAAGTTGTCTGTGTTGCTTAAAGTAAATGTCATTTATGAAATCAAATATAAATATTCATAAATGAAATGTGTGGCTATATACAATATTGATTTTTTTGCTGGAAAAGATCCTAATTAAAATGGAGCATTGTTAAAAGAATAGCAAAATCTTAAAAAAAGAGAAATATTCAATTGTCTATTAAATAATGGCACTAAAAGAGAGATCATTAATTTGAATACTCTCTTGTGTCGTGAATGCAGAATGTTTTTAGTCAAAAAATAAGTTAAAAGTTCTTGTGAAACTTAGAGATTCAGAGAGATGGTTAATAGTTTGCCTATTTATCTTAAATATTATTTTTAACACAGAAGAATGTAGCAAATGTATTTGAGACTGAACTGAAGCTAATTATTCAATATTATTTTCTTTCAGAATAAAAATATACCTTTTTTCATTTATGGTAAGTGATAACGCTATAAAAATTCTATAGTGTATAAAACCTCTTAATGAAATGACTGAAAATCTAGGGGTTTGGTCTCTGATATACCAAATACGAATACAACTGACTGAATTGTTCAATTTTTGCTTAAATATTTTACCTTTACCTAAAACTGCCCTAAGTTAATAAGTTGCTTGTATTATATCCCACTGTATGCTATCTTAAAATTTGAGCTTGATTCTGTCATAAAGACACGTGTGCTTAAATGTTCATTGCAGCGCTGTTCACAATAGCAAAGACATGGAATCAACCTAAATGCCCATCAATGACAGGCTGAATAAAGAAAATGTGGTATATATACACCATGTGATACATATGCCATGGTGTATTATGCAGCCATAAAAAAGACCAAGATCATGTCTTTTGCAAGAACATGGATGGAGCTGGAGGCTACCATCCTTAGCAAACTAATGCAGGAACAGAAAACCAAATACCGCATGTTCTCCCTTGTAAGTGGGAGCTAAATGATAAGAACATATGAACACAAAGAAAACAACGAACACTGGGGTCTACTCGATGGAGGGGTGTGGGAGGAGACAGAGGAGCAGAAAAAATAACTATTGGGTACTGAGTTTAATACCTGGGTGACGAAATAATATGTACAACAAACCCCCCTGACATATGTTTATCTATGTAACAAACCTTCACATGTACCTCCAAACCTAAAATTAAAAAAATTAAAAATAAGTAAATAAATAAAATTTAAGCTGGATATTTTTGTTTCCAAAATATTTATATTTTACTAGGTATTTTAATATCATATTGTTATGTTTTGTATGTACACAAAGTGTATACATGGTGTATACTTACAAGGTACACACCATGTATACATGTAATTCTCTTAAAACAATATTTTTCAGTAGTGTGCTATATTTGGTTTTAGAAACAAATTTGTTCGGTGTTGATAATTTTCTTTTAATACTTTATCACTTTATTTTTTATCACCCATTTTTAGGGTTTTTTTGTTAAAATGCATTTAGTGATTTATTTAATTTACTTAATCATTTATTTCACTGAGCAAGTGCATTTATTTTGCTAAAGTCTTTTCTCAATATGAGAATAATTGATGGTATATGATTATGTCATCTCAAAAGGTCAAATAGCTTCTAAATAGAATCTTTGAAAGAACACTGCAGGGAATGTCTGAGTGATTGTATAGTTCAGGCTTGACAGAACTGCTGGCTAAATTTAATGAACCCAGTGTTCTTGTCAAAAGTAAGGAAGCTGAGATGTTGTATATTTCCACAACGTTCATCCATTTTGGCTGACACTCACTTAAACATTGGTTATTTCAATTACACTCTTTGTCTGACACTCACTTAAACATTGGTTATTTCAATTACACTCTTTGTCTGGCTTGCTTCTCAACCATTTATTTTCACTAAATTAGCTATTTTAGGTGTGATTTTAGAATTAGTTGTTTAAGTTGAATAAACCCACTAAAGTAGAACTTTTTTACATGTAGACTTAGATATTGATAGTGATATGTTTACAGTATTTTAAAAGAAGTTTTTGATTACCTTCAATTATTTTGGATACAGAAATGTAAGTCATTTTGTGGAATTACTCAAAGACGTATATTTCATTTCTGATGTCATGTTCAGAGCATTTTAAAAAATGTTTTTAATAAACTCTAATTATTTTTCATGTAATAAAGTATTACTTATTTGCAGAAATAGATTAGACAGATATATCCAGTTCTCTGCTGCTGCAATACACGTGACTTTACAAATAATAAAGTACTTATATAATATTTAAATAAAATGTATGAGAGTTAATGTGCTTTATTGACATTTGACACTCTGGATTAATATAATATGTTTTCAAACTAGAACAAAGTATTTTGGTATTGAGGTCGTTATGAAATGATATTTTTTTACAAACTATTGTAGAAATAAATGTTGTTTTATTGTAAAAATTTGGTCTAAATATTCTAAACTTTAAAAACTTCCTATTTTCTTCACTGGAAATCTCTCTTTGGGATTGGTTTCACATTATCAGTTAAAAACTTTACCTCTCCCTACAAAAAATTAACGTTTTAAAGAGAAAATCTTGATTAATTGAAGCAAAATATCATATGTTCCTCATAAATACATATAATGATTATGTATCAATTAAAATAAGATAGGGAGCTGTCTAAGCACCAGTCCCATGGTGAATGTAAATGTAGAAGCATCTGGTCACTGAGGGGAAGGACAGCAACCTGAGGATATAGTATCTAGATAGAACTTCTTTCCCCAAAAGAAATAAAGACCAAGTCATTATCATAGACAGACTTGGCACTGCAATGTGTGCTGAGGTAGGAGCTCAGTCACTGATTTTAAGATAAAGGATGTGGAGCTTGTCTTCAAGTACTAAGATGCAAAAATAAAGCTATTACTGCAGCAAAGGTGCAAAATTAGGTAATAACAATGAGGTGTCCTTATAGAGATCCTTGGTGATTTCTCTGTCTTTGTATTCTTCCTGCCCAGAGACAGAATGAGAGAACAAGCATCTGGTGTGCATAAACTACAATAAAAGATTGTGTCCTTTCCTTCCTTCCTCACTTCCTCCCTTCTTTCTTCCCTTCCTCCTTCTGTTTCTTTCTCTCTCTCTTCCTTCCTTCCTCCCTCCCTCCCTTCCTATCTCTCTTCCTTTTTCCCTTCCTTCTCCCCTCCCTCCTTCCTTCCCTCTCTCCCTCCCTCCCTTCCTTCCTTCCTCCCTTCCCCTCTCTTTCTTTTTCTTTCTTTCCCCTCCCTCCCTTCTTTCTTTCTTTCCCCTCCCTCCCTTCTTTCTTTCTTTCTTTCTCTTTCTTTCTTTCTTTCTTTCTTTCTTTCTTTCTTTCTTTCTTTCTTTCCTTTCTTTCCTTCTTTCTCTTTCTTTCTTTTTTTCTTTCTTTCTTTCTTTTTCTCTTCATTCTATCATGCTATTGATCAATCTGTCTGCCTGCTGGCATGCTTGTCCATCTGCCCATCCATTACCCATTCACTCATCCATCCATCCATCCATCCATCCTTCCACAGATACATCTATTTAAAATAACAGGAAAAAAAGAAAGAAAGAAGGAAAGAAAGAAAGAAAGAAAAAGAAAGAAAGAAAGAAGAAAGAAAGAAAGAAGGAAAGAAAGAAAGAAAGAAAGAAAGAAAGAAAGAAAGAAAGAGAAAGAAAGAAAGAAAGAAAGAAAGAAAGAAAGAAAGAAAGAAAGAAAGAAAGAAAGAAAGAAAGAAAAGAAAGAAAGAAGGAAAAAGCCTGGGCATGGTGGCTCACGCCTGTAATACCAGCACACTCGGAGGCCAAGGCAGGTGGATCACCTGACCAACATGGAGAAACCCTATCTCTACTAAAAATACAAAATTAGCTGGGCGTGGTGGCACATGCCTGTAATCCCAGCTACTCGGGAGGCTGAGGCAGGAGAATCGCTTGAACCTGGGAGGCAGAGGTTGCGGTGAGCCGAGATCACGCCATTGCACTCCAGCCTGGGCAACAAGAGCAAAACTCCATCTCGAAAAAAAAAAAAAAAGAGAAAGAAAGAAAGAAAAACAAAAAGATTACAAAGATAACATATTTAGAGTACAAATAAGATTATTTTTATTTCTGCCTCTCCAATTCACTAAGTCCCCAGCCTTTTCTAGATCCTCACCAAGATTCTCTTACATATACGTGCAAATATTTGGATATATGACCAACTTTTATCTTGTATTTAAGTGGTATCCAATAGAAGACAATGCACTCACACTTGTACACCACATGCATGACCTTAATTTTTTAATAGTCAAATTAACAAAAACACAAGTAAATACTTTTAATAATACATTTTATTTAACTCAATATATCTCAAATATTATATTTCCAACAAGTCAACATAAGGCATAGTAATGAGATATTTGATGTTTTAAATATTGTCTTTAAAATCAGTGTATTTTACACTTACAGTACATCTCAATTTGAAGTAGCCACGTGTCACATGCTGAGAAGCCACACGTGGCTAATGGCTTCTATAGGTTATTCTACCATACACACTATGGAGCACTTCATCTGCTCCATTTAGTATATTTTGCTCATATTCTTGAAGAGGATGGTGAGCTATGTCTCACTTTCTTTTTTTTTTGAAACGGAGTCTTGGTCTATCATCCAGGGTGGAGTGCAGTGGCGCGATCTCGGCTCACTGTAACCTCTGCCTCTTGGGTTCAAGCAATTCTGCCTCAGCCTCCCCAGTAGCTGGGATTACAGGTGCACGCCACCACACCCAGCTAATTTTGTATTTTTAGTAGAGATGGGGTTTTACCATGTTGGCCAGGCTGGTCTTGAACTCCTGACCTCGTGATCTGCCTGCCTCAGCCTCCCAAAGTGCTGAGATTACAGGCGTGAGCCACTGCGCCTGACTGGCTATGTCTCACTTTCTAAGGGCTCCATACCATTCCATTATATGGATGTTTCAAATAGGGCTTAAATGTCTCTCAATGCAAATGGAAAGATTAAGAAAGCTCTATACATTACGAATGAGATGAAACGTTACTGTGTTAAAGATGAGTAAGTGAAATTTCAGTTGTTATGCAATGGAAATTGAGACATTGGAAGTCTTAACAAATCAATATACAAAACCATATTTAAATATGTTTTACTTGAGTATTAGGATTGAAAATCCTAAAAGATTGACTACTTTTAACTATAACTGGAAAAGATAAAGAAAGGAGGCTTAATAGAATCATCATCTACATCTTTATTGTGGCTTTGAGATTATTAGGTGTGATCTGGTAGTTATTTCCTTATAATTATTAAAAATATCAATAATATATTCCTTATGAAATACAAAGTTATTTTCCTTGTAAATGCTTCAGATAATGTTCCAACACATTTGGGTTAACTCATATAGTCAGCATTGAAAGGCAATAGTTAAAATAAATTATCAATTAGAAATGCAAATTAACTTCAAAACGTATGCCGAGATGTACACTCAAAGCTGAATGACTAGGCAAACCATGCTATTCCTTCTATACATGTATAGGATCATTCAAGCTGCAATCTCTGAATCGAGTGTTGGAATCAGGAAGAGATTTGAAGTTGAGCTTAGTTGCTTTGGCCAAGATTCACTGACACAGGACTTAAGCATGCTCTGCTGTAGTGGGCTGAGCACTGATGCTCATAGATGCACACATATACTTTCTACCAGATGGAGTTAATTGGTTTGTTTGAATAGACAAATTTCCCTACTTAACACTAATTAATAGTATTATTTCTTTTTAAATGCTGAATAGTTTTAAAGGCTACATTTACATGTACAAAAAAACCTTTGGGGTTTTTTTGAGAAATATGCCAATGTTTTATACTATTAGTTTTATTTTGAGGGAGGTGTTCAGGTAAGTGTTCAACCAGCTAATACTCGTCAATTCTAAAATAATATCAGAAGAGAATTCCTCTTTTAAAAAAACACTAAATTAATTGACCTTTCATTTTATTAGCATCCTTCTGGTAACTAGGCCTATATTTATTGACAAACATACAGGAATAAAATAATAATTATAAGATTAATATTAATAGACTTGGAGAAAAAATGGCAGATAAAGGTACTACGTAATGAGGATATGATTTTTATTTTTACAAAACTCATGAACGCTCATCTGATTTAAATACTGACTTAACCCTTAAAATCTTTTAGAATGTGCCTTTAGTGTTTAAGGCCAAAAAAACAAAAGATTTATTTATGAAAAACAACATAAAACAATCACTTTACTTTTTTATTTTATAAATATAACATTTTAATATTGATCATAATATAATAATAATAATATTTAAATCTCATTAAATCTAACATATATCAGAAAATTTAGAATGAAAGGATTATCTTAGTCTAGAGATGAGGCTAATTTCCCTTTTAAATAGACAGCATTATAATTACTAATTTGATCAGTGAAACTAAGGCATAAACACCTCTTCATTTGGAAAGTTAGTAATATAATTTTCCACCATGTCTTAATAGTACTATTCTTGTGTTAATATTTTATCTATTTAAAAACTTGTGAAAATAAATTAAATCCAGAGTGCCTGATTTTTCTCAAATTACAAAGTAGTGTTATAAAAATGAGATTACAGAAAATTACGACACCTCATTCCCGGTAAAAGTAAGAAAGAAGTAAATTTTTAAAAAACTATCTACAGGATTTAAAAGACAAACGCATAAAAATAATTATAAACCTCTACTATTGGACACAAGTGTATAAAAATATAATGTGTGACTACAGCATACAGGGTGAAAAGACAGAGCTGTAGACATATGTAAATTTGGTATGCTATTGAAGTTATGTTGATATCAATTTAAATCAAGTTGTTACAAATTTAGGATTTTAAATGTAATCCCCATGGAAACCACAAATAAAATGTTTTAAAAATATACATAGAAGGAAATGAGAAGAGAATCAAAAGAGTTTACTAAAAAAAAATCAACTAAACATAGAAGAATGAAGGAATGGAAGGAATGAAAGAAAAAGAACTATAAGACATAAAGGAAACAAATAATAAAATGACAGAAGGTAGAAATAAGTTTTCCCTTATCAATAATTGCTTTAAACGTAAATGGGTTATTTTAAAATAAAACACAACATGATACAACTACACACTATCTCCCAGATACTCATTTTAGATCCAAGGACACAGTAGATTAAAAGTGAATGAATGGAAAATGATATTGTATGCAAATAATAATAAAAAGAAAGCTGAAGTGACTATCAATATCATGAAAAACAGACTGTATGTGAAAAAAAGATTACATACAACAAAGAAGGACATTACATATTGATAAGAATTTTAATTTCTCAGAAAGGTATAACAAAAACATACATACCAAATAAAACTGATCCCAAAATGTATGAAGCAAACATCGATAAAAAAAAGAAGGGAAAAGTAGGCAATTCTACAATAGTTGGAAATTTCAATACACCAGTTCCAATAATGGATAAAACATCTATATATAGATTAATAAGAGATAGATAACTTGTACAACACTATGAACCTACTAGACCTAAGAGATCTATATAAAACATTTCACCCAGCAGTAGCAGCACACTCATTATTTTCAGGTACACATGGAACATTCTGTAGGATAGATCAAATAGGCCACAAAACAATTATTAGAGAAATGCAAATGAAATACCATCTCACACCAGTCAGAAAAGAGATTATTAAAAAGTCAAGAAACAACAGATGCTGATGAGGTTGCAGAGAAATAGGAATGCTTTTACACTGTTGGTGGGAATGGAAATTAGTCCAACCACTGTTGAAGACAGTGTAGAGATTCCTCAAAGATTTAGAACCGGAAATATCATTTGACCCAGTAATTCCATTATTGGGTATATACCCAAAGAAATATAAATTATTCTATTATAAAGATACATGCATGTGTATGTTCACTGCAGCTCTATTCACAATAGCAAATATATAGAAACAACCCAAATGCCCATCAATGATAAACTGGATAAAGAAGATGTGGTGCACCATGGAATACTATGCAGCCATAAAAAGGAACAAGATCATGTCTTTTGCAGGGACATGGATGAAGCTAGAAGCCATTATCCTCAGCAAACTAATGCAGGAATAGAACACCAAACACTGCGTATTCCCACTTATAAGTGGGTGCTGAACAATGAGAACACATGGACACAGGGAGGGGAACAAAACTCACTGGGCTTAATACCTGGGTGATGGGTTGATAGGTGCAGCAAACCATCATGGCACAGGTTTACCTATGTAAAAAACCTGCGTGTCCTGTACATGTACCCTGGAACTTAAAAAATAATAATAAACATAAATTTAAAAATTGAAATAATATAATCTATCTTTTCTGACCACATGATATGAAGCTAGATATCAATAACAGAAGGAAAACTGAGAAATTCACAAATACATGGAAATAAAATAATGTACTCAAAACCAATAAGTCAGAGAAAAATGTCACAAGAAAAGTTAAAAAAATACTTAGAGACAAATGAAAATAAAAACACAGCATATCAAAACTCATAGGTTTGAGTAAAGGCAATACCAAGGGAAATTTATATTATAAATGCATACCTTGAAAAAGAAGAAAGATTTCAAATTAAGAACCTAGTTTTACATTTTGAGAAACTATAAAAAGCCAGCTAAACTGAAAGCTAGAAGAAGGAAGGAAATAATAAATATTAGAGTGGAGATAAATAAAAAAGAGAGTAATAAAACAATAAAGACAGTCAACAAAACTAGATGTAGGGTCTTTGAAAACATCAACAAAATTGGCAACTCTTTAGCTAGACTGACCAAAATAAATAAAATCAGAAATAAAACTGTTGACTATACTACCAACTTTACAGAAATGAAAAGGATTGTAAAATAATACTATGAACAATTTTATACTACCAAATTATAAAACCGAGAATAAATAGGCAATCTTTTGGGAACACACATATTACCTAAATTGATTCAAGAAAGAACAGAAATTTTCAACCATTTTGTAACAAGACATTGAAACAGTAATCAAAAACTTCCTAACAAGAAAAAGAACCAGTGGCTTTCCCAGTGAATTCTACCAAATATTTAAAAAACAAGTACCACCAATTCTTCTCAAGGTTTTCTATAAAATTGAAAAGGAGGATACAGTTCCTGAATCATTCTAAGAGGCCAGCATTACTCAGATACAAAAGTGAGATAAAGACATCACCAGAAAAGAAAACCACAGGTCGATTTCCCTTGTGCATAGAGATTAAAAAAAGCCTCAAAGAAATATTAACAAATTGAATTCAAAAGCATATTAAAAGGATTATAAATCATGACTATGTGGGATTTATCCCAAAAATGCAATTGAGTTTCAAAAGCAAAAATCAATTAATGGAATACATAATATTAATGGAATAAAAAAATGCACAATAGGCCGGGCGCGGTGGCTCACGCCTGTAATCCCAGCACTTTGGCAGGCCGAGGCGGGCGGATCACGAGGTCAGGAGATCGAGACCATCCCGGCTAAAACGGTGAAACCCCGTCTCTACTAAAAATACAAAAAAATTAGCCGGGCGTAGTGGCGGGCGCCTGTAGTCCCAGCTACTCGGGAGGCTGAGGCAGGAGAATGGCGTGAACCCGGGAGGCGGAGCTTGCAGCGAGCCGAGATCCCGCCACTGCACTCCAGCCTGGGTGACAGAGCGAGACTCCGTCTCAAAAAAAAAAAAAAAAAAAAAAATGCACAATAATCTCAATTGAACAGAAAAAAAAAAACATTTGACAAAAGTGAACATTCTTTCAATATAAAAAAAAATACCCAACCTAGGAATAGAAAGAAACTTCCTCATTATGATAAAGGCCATATATAAAAAATCCACAGATAATAGCATACTCCACGTGGGAGGAATGAAAAATTTTCAGAAATAGGACAAGAATGTCCGCTTTCACTGCTTCAATTAACATAGCATTGGAAGTCCTAGAAAGGGCACTTAGCCAAAACTAAGTAAATTAACTAATTAACAAACAGCATTCAAATTGGAAAGGACTAAAATTTTCTCTGTGTGCAGATATAATCATCTTATACATGAAAAACCCTAAAGATTACACTAAAAGTAATAAAAAAAAAACCATTTAGAGCTAATAAACAAAAGCAGAAACAATGCAGGATAGAAAATCTATACCCAAAAATCAAATGCGTATTTATACACTGGAAATCAGCAAATCAAAAAGGAAATTAAGAAAACAATGCCACTTATAGCAGCATCTAAAATAATAAAATACTTAAGAATATATTTAGTCAAAGATATGAAAGATTTGTACCCTGAAAACTACAAGAAAAATGGTGAAAGAAATTAAAGACATTTTATTTAAAAAAGAAATGTATCCTGTTTTCTCAATTAGAAAACTTAATATTGTTAAGATGTCAATACTACCCAAAATGATCTATATATATATACTCAACCCCAAACCTATCAATATACCAACATCCTTTTTTGCATAAATGAAAAATCTGATGTTTTAATCCATATGAAATTGCAAAGGGACCCAAGTAGCAAATCTAATATTTAAAAAGAAGAATAAGTCATAGTTCTTATATTTTTCAATTTCAAAACCTAGTACAAACTACAGTTACCAAAACAGTAAGGTATCGGCATAAGGAAAGACATATAGACCAAGGAAATAAAATTGAAAGTCAATAAATAAAACCTTATATTTATGGCCAACTTACTATTGGCAAAGGCCCAAAGTTCCTTTTCCATTAAATGGAAGAAGAACTCATGTAGAAATTTAATTGCCATTGTAATGGTATTCAGAGGCAAGACCCTTAAAAGCTGGATGGGTTATGAGTACTCTTCTCTCATAAAGTGATTAATGCTATTATCTCAGAAATGGGTTAGTAATTGCAGAAGTGGGCTCCTGAAGAAAGGATAGATTATTTGGTCCCATTGTATATCTCTGTCTCACGTCCCTGCCTACCTATGCCCCATGGGATAATGCACAAGAATGCCCTTACCATCTGCCAGTGCCATGCTCTTGGACTTCCCAACATCCAGAAATGTGAGCCACATAAACATCTGCTATTTATAAATTACCTATCTGTGGTATTTTACTACAGCAGCAGAAAGTAGACTAAGACAAACAGTGTCTTCAAAAATGTGGCTGAGACAACTAGATTCCACATGCAAAAGAATATGTTGGATATCTCTTTCAAACCATGGTCATACCATACCATGTATAATAAAATGGCTCCCACTATCATACAACTTGATATCCTCAAAATGGATCAATGACCTAAATATCAGACCTAAAATCATAACTCTTCAAGGAAAACAAAGGAGCAAATCTTCATGACCTTGACTTTGACAATAGAATCTTAGGTGTGCCATCAAATGTGTGAGCAAAAAGAGAAAAACAACAAGATAAATTTGACTTAATATTAAAAACTTTCGTGATCAAAGAACATTATTAAGAAAGTGAAAGGAAAACCTGTATGGTCGGAGAAAATATTTGCAAATCATTTATCTGATAAAGGTTTAATATCCAGAATAGACAAAGAACTCCTAGAATTTGTCTACAAAGAAATAGTAACCCAATTAAAAAATAGGCAAAGGCTTTTCTCTAGAGAATATACACATCAATAGCCACTAAGCACATGAAAAGATTCTCAACACCATTAGTCCTAGGGAAATGCAAATCAGAACCAGAAGATATCCCTTCATGCCTTTTCTAGAATGGTTATAACAACAGCAACACCAAAGGAGTAGGGGACCGGTGTGGGCAAAGATCTGGAGAAATCGGAACCCTCATACATTGCTGGTGAGAATGAAAAATGATGCAACTACTGTAAAAAATAGCTTGGCAGTTCCTCAGGAAACTAAAGATAGAATTACCATATGACCTAGCAATTTCATTTCTAGGCATATATCCAAAAGAATTAGAAACAGAGACTCAAACAGTTACTTGTACAACAATGTTCATCGGAGAATTATTTACAATAGTCAAAAGGTAGAAACAACCTGGGAGCTCAACAACAAATGAATGGATAAACAAAAAGTGGTATGTATTTGCAATGGAATATTATTCAGCTTTAAAAACGAATGAAATTCTGATAAATGCTACACCATAGACGGACTTTGAAAACATTTGGCTAAATGAAATTATCCAGACACAAAGGACAAATATTGTATGATTCCATTTATATGAAATAGCCAAATTCATAAGGGCTGAAAGTAAATTAGAGGAATCAGGTACTGGCAAAAGGAGGAATGTAGAGTAATTTTGTAATGGTTACAGAGATTCTGTTTGGGCAGTTAATAGAGTTTTGAAAATAGATAGTGATGACAGTTGCACGATATTGTGAATGCAAATAATGATATTAAATTGCATACTTATGATGGTTAAAATAACTACATATATACACATATATACAACTATCAAGTATGCAACTTAATATCATTTTAATATCATTATTTATACATTATTTATATATAAATAATTTAATATTTATAAATATATAAATAAATTTATATAATATATATATTATATTATATATTATATATATTATATATTATATAATATATTATATATATTATATATTATATTATATATTATATATATTATATATTATATAAATATAAATATAAATAAATAAAAATAAAATAATATATAATATAATATATATTATATATAAATAAAATATATATTTATATATAAAATAGAAAATTTATTTACACATTTATAAATATATAAATAATATAAATTATTTATGTATAAAAAACGATATATATATAGCCCCATAAAAGTTGTTCAAAATTCTGCATATACACAAAAATAAAAAATAAACAAACAAAACAACAATAACAACAAACCTGGAAATCAGAAATTAGATGCATCCACGCTAGAAATCTTTGATTTGTAGGAATAGACCTGTAACAGGTAATGAACAAATTCAGACTTCTAATGTAATATTCCAAATGAAACAAAAATAAATTCTTTTCTGTGAAATTCTGACTTTCTAGATTATGACTTCTAAAAGAATTAATAATATAATATAAAATCACATGAGTCATTAAAATATTTTATACTAGATAATGAGCTCATAAGGACAAGGACCTTTTTTATTTTTAAAAACTACCGAGGATATAAATATTTTAGGTAAAGTAATATTTTTGGAAAAAAGCAACGATGTTTGTTGCTGTTTAACACTTTTGCAAATCTAATGTCTAGCTTAATAACAAAGTAGGATTCTCATATTTGGGTCTGCATTCAGTTTGGTAAGATACAATGTTTGGTTTGAAGAATATGAAGAAAATACAAACTTACACACCTATGTAGTCGAAAAGGGAGGATCTAGCAGACCCTGAACTACATCTCAGAGACTCCGGGAGACTTCAAGTCACAGTTTAGGAGCCAGACATCTATCTGGAAACAATTTTACCAAAAAGACAAGAAGACATTTATAAAAGACATAGATGACCTAGATTCTATCTAGAGTTATTCTCATTTTCCAGGACTCATAGGAATGACACTTTTTGTTGTTGTTTAAGGAAACAATCACAGATACACCTATTTTGGGATAGATTCTTTTCTTCTGTTTTCCTACAAAACTTTGGCTTATCTCCATCCCTGTCTCATCATTTTGAGGAAGGAGAATAGGGTCCGCAGGAAGGAAACCTAAGGCTAATTTGTTCTGACTTCCTAGAACTGAATCAAAAGGAAAACCCCACCTGTCCACATCCAAGTAACAAGAGGATCAGAGGCTACTCCCTTTGCACTGCTTCCCAGATAACAAATGGAAAGTACCTCTGATTGGTCCCCTCCCAGAACCAATCAGATTGGTCATGAGCCATCTTCATTTATATAGGGTGTAACTTTGTAACCACTTCAGCTCTCATTAGTTTCCTTCCACAACCAATCAGACTGGTTGCAAGCCAAGTCTTAATTTACATATGGTGTAACGAAGTAACCAGTGAGAAACCTGTAGAGGGTATTTAAACCCCAGAAAATTCTGTAACCAGCACTCTTGAGCCCCTTGCTCAAGCCCGCTACCACTCTGTGGAGTGTGTTTTCTAACAGTATTGTTTTAATTACTGTTTGTCTCAATACGTTGCCATTCTTTACAGGGCATGGGAAATGTCTTTCCACTAGATAGAACCATGACAGAAGTTAAGAGTACAAGGAATCACTTGGAAGCATGTATAAATGATTAGTTGAATGCACACAATATTAGAGCAAAATATTTAAAGTTGTATTTAAAAGGAAACAGCATATCTTCTGGTAAGACTAGGAAATCATCAAAGTGTTCATGTCGTCAGAGGATTTGGCAGGCTAGCAAGTGAGAGGCTTATATTCATCCACCTCTGGGGGAGAATTTCACATCTCGTAGACCTCCTGCTGGTATCCTTGACAGTTAACCAGCAAGTTTCTTTCTTTATTTTTTCAGTTTGCTGATGTGGTTTCAATGGTGGCATTGTTTTTATACTAATATTACTATTTAGAATCTGAAAACTATTTTTATAAAATTATTCAGTTTGTTTAGGAATAATTTCTAAATTTAGATAGTGTGATGGGAGCAGTAAGAGAAACAATCTCCTTTTTTTTTTTTTTTTTTTTTTTTTTTGAGACGGAGTCTCTCTCTCTGTTGCCCAGGCTGGAGTGCAGTGGCACGATCTCCGCTCACTGCAAGCTCCGCCTCCCGGGTTCACGCCATTCTCCTGCCTCAGCCTCCTGTGTAGCTGGGACTACGGGAGCCCGCCACCACGCCCGGCAATTTTTGTATATTTGGTAGAGATAGGGTTTCACCATGATAGCCAGGATGGTCTCGATCTCCTGACCTCGTGATCCGCCCACCTCGGCCTCCCAAAGTGCTGGGATTACAGGCGTGAGCCACCGCGCCCCGCCAACCATCTCTTATAATAATAAAGCAATCATTCTTTCGAGTCACTTATCTGGCTACCTCCTAGCAAAACTTCTTACACATCTCCCAAATCCTTGACAAGGTAATTTCGTCAATGCCATTTAATTTAATCTTAATTTTGCTATAGTTTTGTATTGATAGTAAAATTGTGACTTTCAGTTTGTGCATGCATATGTGTATGCATGAGACACAAACAGAAAAATATTATATGACCTGTAGAATAAAAATATTAAATATTTTCTTGCAATTTTTGTAGAGACTTTACCTTTTTCCAGTTGCTTGATTTTACTTAAATTTTACTCTCCTCCTTTTACAGTAACGTATAAGCAAGTACAATACAAATGAGTTGCTCAAATTTATATAATTAGCATAGAGTGAAACCTCCTGGACCTGTACTCTCTGTCATGAAATTACTTTGCCTCCTTTCTCTTCCTCTCACCAACTCAATCTCATTACCATAGATGTGCGTTTGCTCTTTCTTTTGGTGTTTTGGATGAAAGCATAGTTGACTTTGTAGATCTTGCATAATGAAGCATTTGGTAGAAGTCCCGAAGTGGCTGGCATTCTTGTGAGTTTGCTCCACAGCTCAGTACAGATGGCAGCAGCGCTGATGAAATGATAGCTTCATGTACACATTGAGCCGCAGGGACAACGTATTCCCTTGTGTTTCTAGTACCAAAACCCACCTGGGAAAGGAATTACCTTACTCAGGGGAACGGTGGCTATTTGTGAGGCGGCCACTGGGTGGGGCAAAAGTGCATCCTTTGTAAGAGGCCACTGACCTAATTGACGAGTATAACAATAAGCTAAAAGTGTTTCCCAAGTTCATGTTTGAAAACAAATTGGAAGACTTAAATTCAGATTCTAAGGAAGGTCTGAATTTTTATTATCTAGCATACCTCCTTTATAGTATTTTTATTAATTGCACATATCTTTGCACATGTTAGAGAGGATTGCTCTCTCACACACAGTACAAGAACTAAGCACGATCATTAATTTGTATAATAGAAAGTAAAATACCAAGTTATTGTCATGTATAATAAAATTTTGTATCAAATAGATCTTATCTGCTGAGTGTTTGTCTTTCTTAGCATGTATAATTTTGCTTCAGTGTGGCAATTTAAAAAATGATAGTTTATTGCATTTTTCTTCTTAGTTCTATTGCTTTGTGATTGTTGTAGTTACATTCATCAAACACTACATTCATATGCAGCAACATAATTGTGGCCATTCAGTATCTATAATCACTTACAGAGAATGAGTGGGAATTAGCCCTTAGTTGGAGTGTCTAAAGAGGGAAAGAGTGAGTGTTAGTGTTTCAGAACAGATGAGCCATTTTCTACCTTTAGATTTCTTGCAGAATTTGTGCCTAGTCTGATTTTCTTTAGATTGAGAAAAATGCTTGTATCTTTGATGCATTTAAATAAGTACATTATACAAGTGTTCTATTCAGGTGAAATATAGTATAATGTAGCAGTTTTTAAAGAGAGTCACTGCCTAAAAATCCAGTGCAATAAGTCTGATTCTCACAGACTTTCTGAAAAAAAAAAAGTTGCTTTAAAAATAGTTTTACATATGAAAGACTCCTAACCTTCATGTATGTTAGTAACAAATGTGGAAATGCCAACTGAAAATGATACTATCACAAACATTTCAACATTAAATTAAATTAAAACATTTAGTGATGTGTCTGGATGTATTGAGTGGTTTTGTTTTTGTTTTTCTCTCTTTGTCTGTGAAGCAGGACTCCTCTTCCTTACAAATGTGAGAAGATAGGTGCAGAGATATTGAAGTACACAATTTGGAAAAAGGAAATAAATCAATATTGAATGGTATTTTTCTTTTCCTTTTCAATTTTCCTTTTCATTTGTTTATTGCCAAGAATTATTGCCAAGAAATTTCCTTTTCGTTTTTTATTGTCAGTTTTAAGATGAAGCATTTTTAGAATAAAGTCCTTGACTTTATTTTGTATTTATTTGTTATAGCTTAGAGATTTATTCATAACAATCTACACAGTGAGTACATAAGATATTCAACTTTTCCATATACAACCTCATTTTACATATGTTATAAAAGTGTTGCAAAATAGCTGAAAATTGCATTCAGCAATAAAACGTGCTGTAGTCAATGTTTCCACTATTCTATTACAACTGAATGGATAAAGCACCATCTTAGCATGATTATTCCTCAGCCTCATTTGTGGCCTCTGAGTAATGTTAGAGAATGGTTCACTAACAACTTTATGAATCAAGATGACACAACTCTAAAACAAATTGGCCAGTCTAGATATATCATGGAAACGCTATGGGTATCAAGATGTGGGTAGAGAAAACAAGAAAATAAATGAGGCTTTGTGAGAAATACCAATAGTAGCAATAATAATAAAGATCAAGGTAATAACATAAAATAAGAATGCAAATCCCACATACAGAACAATGTACCTAGTCTGCCCTAAGAGATACATATTCCCTAAGTCCAATCCCTATACTTCCACAATACAAGGTTTATTCCCATTAGCAGATGTGAAAGCAGCAAAGTGAAGAAATACAGTTTTCCCAAGATTAGCTCGAAAATTAGTGACAGAGGGGTGGTTCCAGGATGCATTTAGTATGACTATAAAATTAAAAGTAAGAAAATATAGATATTTTATACTTGTTCAGTGCTCTACAGTTTACAACGTGCTTTCATACCACTATTTGATTCTTTCTGGAATCCTAGGAGATAACAGATATTATTACTAACCCTGTGGTACAGAGGAATTAGTGGATACTTAAAATAACAATAATGACATGCCTAATAAAGCACAGAGGCTAAGGGGGTAGGAAACTAGCTCAGTGCTCTCTCCATCAAATCACACCAGCTGGCTTGGAGAACTGACTGAAAGAAAATAATATAGATATATGGGGAGAAGGAATATATATATATATATATCCTGGAGGCCAATTTAGACAAGGATTTACGGCTTTTTATATTTATCCTTGTTTTACAGGTTACTAGAAGAAATGTGCCTGGAGAGGAACCATGGGGGGAAAAGTGGAAGAAATAAAGGTAGCTTACAAAGGCTTCGTGTGCTGGCAGAGATCTGGAAGAGCTAAATCTGCCAGCAGTTAAGGGAGGCAATGAGTTATTCAGAAAAAAGCTCTGGGCCTGCAGTCAGCAGATATGGGTTCGAGGACAGGCTTTGACATTAAACAAGCTGAAAGATCTTTGAGTCACCTAATATCTTGGGGACTTATTTTTCTCACTTGTAAAATGAGAAGATTGAATTTTATGATGTGCAATGGATTTACCAACTCCAAAAAGTTATGATTGTAGCATCTAATTATATTTCAAGCCTTATTAGAAAGCTATCACTGATACAGGAACAACTCCAGTGGGCCCTCCAAAGCAGGAAAAGTCCCAGGAGGAATGCTGGCACTTACACCTAACCCTAAGCATCAAAATTGGCAGCAATAGTATTAACCTGCTAATTTATTTTGTACTTGTCTTCCTTGCAATTAAATCAGTTGAGGAATAAAAGGAAGCTTCTGAGGCAATAAGGAGATCAAAGAAAAAAAATTGGAAGCAAATGATTCTTCTAAATTTTCTTACCCCTCAAGTAGAGGTTGTATCTGCAGGACTGCTTTGATACTAGATTACGGATTCGAAGAAATAAACCAATAACATCATATTGTTTGAGGCAACTGAGCCACATTTCCCTCTCATACTTTCTGGTCACCTTAAGTCCAGGAAAACTTTATTCTCTCCATTCAAATGATGATCATCTGCCTCTCTGCTCTTAACATATAACAACAAAGAGAGAACGCTGCTGTTGAGACCTCCCCAATTATTTGTGGCTGTTTTGTCTACATGTATCACAGAAACTCAGGAACAGGTATTCCAGATCTCTAAAAAGACAATGCCTCTGTCCTTCCAAAATATATCTACATCCAAAATTTTCAGTATAGGCATTTTGGGTATTGGTAGGGGCAGTTCTGCTCCCCCCACCAAGCATTTACATATTGAAATATACATTATTTTATTATAAACTACTTTTTAAATTTCTCATTAATTTTTTTGGTATATTATATGGATAATTTTTGGTTATTGTGAGTGTATAGGTGGGTTTACTATCTATGAATTCCATTTCACGATATTGAATAACTATTATACAGTACTTATTATGAAAGTAATTATTGGGTCTTATAGGAATCTTGCTCACTGGTCTAATACAACTCACATTATTGATGAAAGGTTTACAGTCCAGGTTGGGCAGACCACAATGCTTCCCTTAGCTCCAGTGTTCCTTTAACATTTGTGATTAACCAGCTTTCTAACTGACCAGGATTAGAAGGTCATCTGATATTTTATATATTCTCATATGGATTGAAAAACATGGGCAAAAAAAAAAATCTCAAATCAGTGCTGCTACATCTCCAGCAGAAAGGTAGTTGGCTCAGCTAACATTTACTGTACTCATACAGCTATGAAAGACACACTCACTGTCTGAGTAAGGTAACGCTTATTGTTGGCAGGGTAGGAGGAGGCACTTGAATAAAAAGCATAAAGCACTGGTGTTCTATCAGGAAACAAACAACGTTCTGTGGAATTGCAGAAGGAGAAAAAATTCTTAAAAGAGTGATCAGAGAAGGTTTTATAAAAGAAATAACATTTGAATAGAGACTTAAAGGTCAAATAGGGCTTTGATATAGTAGGAGAGCAAACACTATGAACAAAGTTAATTGGTGTTAAAATTTGTCTGTGTTCAGGGAATAATAAGTAGTCAGTATGAGCACAGAGGTGTGCTTCCAGATGGAGTGGAAAAGGGAGATGTGGCCAGACCCTGGACGGTCTGGAATGCAACCTAAGGAACTGTGGCATGTCCCGTTAGACAATAAGGAGATTCTACAGGTTTTAAAGAGAAGGTACCAGCATAATTCAGTCTAGTTTATGAAAATGACTGGCAGGTAAAGATCAAGATGTGAGCGCAGAAAACACAACCAAAAACAGGCAGGGAGACTAATTAAGAGTTTCTTCCATAGGCCAGTCATGCAATGACATCCCAAGCCTGAGGCTGGGCATCGATTGTAAGAATGGGGAGGAGAACAGATAGGACAGAAAACGGTATTTGATAACTGGGTACAGAGAGTGAGAAATATCAAGGAGAGGAAGACGGCTGTAACTGAAGGAGAGAAGACACTCTGGCAGACTAAATATTGAAGCTGTCCTCACAGAGTTAATAAGAATTCTGATGGAAATATAGTTGTAATTAAGCATTAATCAGGCTGCACTTTTGCCCACTGCCTCCAAACCAAGTCACAAAGCATTAGAAACTGACCATCTGCATCCCCATTTTTACTATAGATAAAATTTCTGATGTTAGAAACATAAGGCTTTTGTTTTAAGAATTATTTAAGCAGATCCTGAATTCCAGTGGAACGGCTGACACCAATCAGTTTAAAGACCCCATCAGAGGAAACAAATCAGCATGAAAATACAGGTTCTTTATCTTTTTGCCCCATGACTTCACCCCGCACTCTTTGACTAACCAATAATCTGTACACTTTGGTCACTCCAAAATCCTTAAACCCCTAGCCCCACATTCCCTGGAGAGATTAATTTGACGTTTTCTCCTGTCTCGTCTCATTTAGTGGCCCTACAATTAAACCTCTTTCTTTCTGGTGCAATCTCGTGTTTCCACATATTGACTTTTCACATGCATTGGGCAATGAACCTGTTACACTTACAATATTTAGAGAGAGGATAATTAATGTGGTTTGGAACAAGCTGAGTGTCCCTATAATAAACTTTTCTCTCACTGAAGGTAGTATCAACATCAAAAGCAAAGCAACTTCCCAAAACCAATACTAACTTGTGAGTAACAGCTGTCTTCATGACACTATATGGCTGGTTTAAAAAGCCATTCAAAGCGTAAAAGAGGTCCTATAATGTTTTAAAGAAAAGGTAATTGAATTAAAGAAGCTTCAATGTTATAAATAAACTTCATCAGCAGATACAAAATAAAAAAGGTCTTAAACGAATGCTATAATTTAAAAAATGTATTGTGTACATCATTTGGTAGTTAAAAACAGCTGTTTACACTACTTAATGTGTGTTAGGATATGATTTGATATGATACCACGCAAAAGAGTAAACTGATGTTGGAGAAGACATTTATATGCATATACATGCCCCGAATCAATTTTCAGAAGCAACTTGCTCTTACACGCATTGAGGATGACAATCTTTCATAAGATCTTTCACTAAATGCTAATATTTTATTTTTCTTACTGTTTTTGCTGTGTTTAACAAAAGCATTTCATGTGCTCTTCATGCAGACTCTAAGGCTGTTTCGATGTGACAGCCTAATTCTAATACGCTATTAAAATAAGTGACTATAATTGTTGGGCTGTTAAAGAAGACATTATTCTCCATCTCTCTATCTCAAAACCACTGGGAAATGTTCCTGCTAAGGATGCTGGCACTGCTCTGGGTGTGGGGTAGTGGAGAAAGAAAGATTTCAGAATCAGACAGAGCCCCTATGTCACTTGATGGATTGAATTAGAGATCAAGTGAAGTCATCAGCAAAGACAATAGCTCCCAGATAAGACAAAGCTTGGAGAAAAGAAAAAACAAAAAACAAGGAAACAAACCAAAAAACCTTATCAATGTATCTAGATAAATAAAGTGTTGATCAGAGAAGGGGCGGTAGTAAAAAATGGAAACATACTAGTAAATTATAAGCTAGTTGAGTAGACATGCATAAGCCTACTTTAGCTTGATGCCTTCACACTTTTAAATCACGTCGCTAACAATCCTCATTGTGATTTCATGCTCACCAAGTAATAGCCTGATTACTCTGTGGTTTCCCATGTGGCACGCCTGCAGGTGGAGTGTCTGCTTGCCTCTCCAATTAGATTGCTCATAATAAATTGAAAAACTGGTATGCATCATTCTTTTTGAGTGGGGTTACTTCTGATATGTTGATAAATCAGCTTTCTAAGCCTCCTAGATTTAGAGCCAATCTTTGAGCCATGATGAATTTGAGGGGGTTGCCCTATGAAGCTCCTTGGAGATGGATAGAATGTCTTCTCTTAAGATTTCCAACATTGCATTGCAGTAATTGTCCCTATTGGCAGAGTGAACATCAGCATGAAATAAAATACAAGGCAGCATGTTTGACACAGTACTGTCATAGAGCCAGGGTGCAAATATAATGCAGAGTTCAATATCAGCTTACATTAGAGTGAAATGGAGCACTAACCAAATGTGAAAACAGGAATTTTAAACAAGGACTGTCCTAAAGAAACCAAGGTATATAATCATCCTACTTATAACTCAGGTTGCTGGACCAACCTTGACATTGAACTGGAAACATTTATGATCATTCTTTTGTGAATCTTATGAACCAGTAATACCTCAAGCTATAGCTTCTCTTCTGACAGCTAAGTGCAGACCCCTCTCAGAACTGCATGGTAACTCCCCGAGGGTCTCCCTCATGGGATGCCATAGCACACACTTCTCTTCTAGACGAAATCCAGGCCTGGTGGTCCCAGCTTGGGTTAGTCTGTATTTGCTGTGCCTTATCAGAGAAAACATTTTTATTTATCATTTTCTGTATTGTTTGGATTTTCTTCCATTCATCCAATTTTTTAATGATAGTCTTTTAAAAAAAGTTGTTAACCTCTTCCAAAATTTTTACATATTTCTGCCCTTGTGCAATGAAGACCCCTATTGATGGACCATGAGCTTCTGAAAAGAGCAGAAATAGGTCAGGCGCATTGGTTCACGCCTGTAATCCAGCACTTTGGCAGCCTGAGGCAGGCGGATCACGAGGTCAGGAGATGGAGACCATGCTGGCTAATCCGGTGAAACCCTGTCTCCACTAAAAAAAAAAAAAAAAAAAAAAAAAAAAGTACCTGCGCATGGTGGCGGGCGCCTGTAATGCAGCTACTCCGGAGGCTGAAGCAGGAGAATTGCTTGAACCCTGGAGACGGAGATTACAGTAAGCCGAGATTGCACCACTCAAAAAAAAAAAAAAAAAAAAAAAAAGGAATATTCAAATTTTTGAGTCTCACCAGGGCTTACACACAGGGCCCCAATACAGGAGAAAATATATATTTTATATAATGTTAGATAGATAGATACATAGATAGATAGATAGATAGATAGATAGATAGATAGATAGATAGATATCGTATATCATTAGGGTTGTTGCTTTCTACAGACTTATTTCTTTACTGGATTTCTCTTTTTCTCCTGATTATTCTATATTGACGTTTATCACTGAGAAGAGTCATGGTAAATTCTCCGTGGTATACAAAGTGAGATGTCTGGGTGCAGACTTTATTTACTGAAAAAGATTCCTCTGAGCACACTTTACAAAAGGAGACAGCTGCTATAAATCATGAGAAATTAAACAGTATATTTCAAATTTCTTAAAATTAGAAAATACCCGTTAGTGAATAAATATAGAAAAACAATTCTAAACTCAACGGCAAATTCCTATGGCTTAAAATCAGCTCCATGTTTTAGATTGCTTTCAGTTACAATATCAATGATTGCATAAAATATATTAAGACCTAATCCAAAGAAAGAAGTTCCAGCGTAAGTGATTACAACAATGCAAGTCATAGAGATCCCAGCCAAGAAGTAAGTTGCATACACATCATCTTGACTTGTAATACAGATACTACAATTTCTCTAAAATAAAAGGCTTTCCAATCTTATTGACCTAAATAAATTCAATCCTAGACAGTGGAGTAACGAGATTTGGGGTACGTCTGTTTAGAAGTATCAACTAAGAAGGATAAGAATTTTAAAAAGAAAATACTAAAAACAAATCGAGGAGGAAACAAAAACTTGTGTTACTACGGTTTAATTACTATTTGCCATATGACGCTGTTACATATAATTTGCTCACAGAAATTAGACAAAATCATAATACATTCAGAAATGGGGCAGTAAGAAATAGTTAATTTTCAAATAAATGTCTAGATGAGTAGAAAATGTATGTATGTGGAATTCATTCTCAGTGAAGCAATGGAAATTGTATTACAGTTCTCATAGCATGAAAATCTAGCAATACATCCTCCTAAACACTTTTATTTAAACATCTTCAGGCTGATAATAAGGTATTAGCCACTTTTAAGAAAATTATTATGGGGAGAACATTTTGTGTATGAAGATAAAAATTTCAAATTGTAAGAGCAAAATTTTGGGATACTAATCTTAAATTTCTAGCATTTACTGAGTGCTCACAAAATAGTAGGGACCCTTCTGAATTCTATGTACATGATTTCTCATCTACTACTTTAAATGAACCAAAAAGTTAGATATTATGATCATTTCCATTTTATAGATTAGAAAATAGAGGCTAAGTGACTTACTCAAAGTCATACTGCCAGTAGGTAGTACAGTCAGAATTCTAACTCAAGAAATCCGTCTCCAGAGTCCTCACATTTTGGAATGAAACTAAATATATAACACTAGGAGAACAGCTACCTAATTATGGTTTATCAGCCTTCAAGTGCATCATTAAATAATACTAATGAGTACTGGATGATACATAAAAAGCTTTCGATATTTAAATTTAATATATTTTATGTATTTAATAGATTTTTAAATGTTAACTTTAATAAATGAACAATTGCCCTTAGACTTTGTCTGTAGCTGTTTAGAGATTCTGAATTCCTATGATGGCGAAACCAAACGTGAACGTGAAAATTCTTGATGCATTACAGTAGGCAAACTCTGATAATGGAGAGAACCCAAAGGCAATGAACCAAAAAGATAGACCATTTGTCTCTCAGATGATTGTTTCAGGGAAGATAAGCAGGTCCCCAGCAACAAAACCATCCAATGACCTAAGTTGACAATGGCTTTGTCATATTTACTATGCAGTATCCATGGCTGCTCTGTGCATGGTCTTTTCAGACAATAAAGGCCTGGGAAGGGGGAAGAACAGAAGAGGCAGATATTTCTCTTTAGTGCACACATTACATCACTCACATTCCTTTAAGAAAAATTTGGGCTCTTAACCATGCCCAGCTCAAGAAAGGCTGGAAAATGTACTTTATTCAAATGTCTGCACTGAAGAGAGAGATCAGTATTGATGGACAGCTGCTAGTCCTGGCCACATAGGTATGGTGGATATTTTTCCTCATTACCTTTATTATAATTATTTATTTCATAAAGACAAATGAAATTCCAGTAATAATTGAAAATTATTTCTAAATAATCTTCCATTTTTTTCTTTTGGAAGTTTAATGAAAATGCAAAAGTATTTAAGAATTGAAGGGTTGGTCATGACATATAAGTAAGGATCACATGACTTCAACTGGTATACACAATCGTTTTGTGAGAAAAAATTGGAGTTATCATTCTGGAACAGAGAGTCGATCTCGTCTGGTGGCCAATGCCAGATGTTTCACTGAGAGAAATAAACCTCCCATAATACACTTAATTTCACAATACTATACCATAGGGGGGAATATCTTCCTGACCCATCTGGTGAGCAGCTTCTGCCCTGAAGCATGAAGATTGATAGCTGGTGTAATTCTATCCTAGCTAGTGTACTGTAACTGCAGATGCATCTCTTCCTCATGTGAATGTCTAATTATTTTCAGGATCATTTTCTCATATTCATATCCTGTTGCCTAGAGTTACATAGGTGAAAAATATTGTTAATTCTTGAATGTTATTCTGAAAAAACACATATGAGTGTTTAATATATTGTTCTATCTTGTTTTACTAGCTACAGATCAACTGTTTTTAGAAAAACTGTTCAACTTATATTTCGTATTCCCCTCAGTAGTTTGAAAGGTGCATTATTAATAAACTATGTTTATCAAAATATATAATTGGCTCCATTTCATTTATGTCAAATGTCTTTCTTTATTTTCCCTGAAAATTTATTGTCATGAAATAAATTTCTTGCTGTTAATTTCACTGTAAATTTCATTGTGTTATCACACACACTATGGACCCTAATGGATCAATACACTGAAATTATATTTGATATGGGGCTATTAGCACCCATATCAGCAGGATAATTAACTTCCAAAACAGATATCATTCCTTGTCTTCATTATTAATAGTGTGCATATCTTGAAGAGATAATTCTATTTGTATCTAATGTACTTCAAATGAATCTGTGGCTAAATTCCAAAATCCATGTGAATTCTAGACTTTAGGAACAGGATTTCTTGGCATGGAATCATTTTAAGATATCTTAGGAAACAAGCGAGTTGAAAAATATTTAAATTGCCAATCATGAAAAGAGCTACGCATAGGAACAATTTATAGAGGCCACATGGAAGAAAGATTTCAATTTTAAATACTATGCAGAATTTAGATCATCCTTTCAGAAATAGTGGAGTCAATCTCTATTTAAATGACCATAGAATTCACTTAAAGGTCAGCTTTCACTCAGTAAAGCAAAGGCCAACGGGTTTTTCGTTGCCAGAATAATTCTCCCTTTATAACTTAGGAGGTGAATAACTTGATCCAAAAATATGTTTTGTGCTTAATGACAGCTAAAAAAATACAGTAGCTTTCACGTATTTGCATTTCTTTATTTTTGCATTGTTATTACATTAATCTAATTTACATTAACATGTAAATATGATTCATTCATTGACTAAATGCATATGCTATATAAGAGCCTCTACTAAGCTCTACTAACATGGACAAAGAATGTTTTCTATCCTCAATATCTGGCAGTTCTAGTGGGGATACAAAGAAAAGATATTCTGAAACAAAATTTTCACACGTTAAAATCTCATCACTGCCTATGAATGGGAGATCTGGAATTACACTGGTCTCATGAAATAATTATCCTGAACCTTAACATCGTAATAAATGCTGGGGACTGAAAAATGTAGGATTGATGCTAATGATTAAATGACTATAATTCCATCAAATAAAAAAAAACCTCATCTATTTTTAGATAATGTTTGCCTAATGTTCTTATGTCAATTAATGGATTAGGTGCATTTTATTTCAAAAGTAAATATAACAAATTTGAAGCATGCACATTTAAAATTTCTTTGTCTAACGATTTCTAACCTGACTAAGAATGATAGTGCCACTAAAATCTATTTATGCTGCTATTTACTTAACTCATTTGTTACACTTTGGACATTTTCTTTTACTGCTTCATTTTGGTATAAATCTAGCTTTTAATTTGAAACTGCTCATCTAATTCTATGCTTAAATTGGAAGACAAACTAACAAATGCTGCCTGACCATCACTTTGCCTAAAATCACTTCTTATTTAATGATAGGTTTTTCCTTTACGTTTTCAGCCACCCTTTCTGCATGTACCAGGTGCACCTAAAAAGTTTATGATGTATCTAAGTGCCAAAGAGAATTCCTCAGGTGTTAGGAAGAGGCAAAACTTACAGGGCATTTGATAATTAAGTGTAACTTAATAAATGCCCAAGTAATGTTTTTCCTTATTGTCATTCATATAACTGTCTTGTAGTTTTTTTTACGACATTATGGCCTACTTTTCAATATGACCATGTCTTAATATCAAGTGTATCAAATCTAATCCTATGGTTTATTGTGGGCAACCCCAGTTGGTCTGCTCTGAGCTTTTTCCTCCCTTCTCAGTGAATGGAAGTTATACTTATGCCCGGCTGGTGGTTTGAATCACCTCAATTTGTTCTGGCAATCAGAGGCAGCTGCTTCATGTGAAAGGCATGAGGACCACTGAACATCACATTAGGACTGACCTCAAGCTGAATGTAAAAGGCTCAGACCTTTCTGCCAGGCCAGCAGAGCATGTGCAAACAGATTTGCTGAAGTGCAAAATGGTCCAATGATTTAGAGCAAGACTTGTTGTCTTTTCTTTTTCTCTCTCCCTCCCTCTCTCTCTCTCTCTTCTTTCTTTAAAAATGAAACAAGATAGCAGACAGGCTGGTATAATCCTAGCAACATCTGTTGCCTTTCACAAGGGTCTTGGTTGAGCACAATCACTTTTCAAAAGGGGACTGACGTCCTGTTGAAAAGGGTAAAATAAAAGATCTCAGCTGAAGGGAGTATGGCCATGTTGCCTCAGACCCACTTGAGTCTTTTGTGGTTTCTGTCAGTATGAGTATAAAGAAAGTTTATTCTCCTCTACTTCCTGATGAAACTGCCAGAAAAAAAAATGTATATAGATATATATATTTTTTTCTCACTTAGTGCTTAAAGCCCTTAAGGAAATATAGAAAAGTTATATTTCAAACTCCTTGTTTTTATTCCCAATGATTTCTGAACTTTAAGCTCGGTTAATCAGAAGCGTGAAGAAATTTATGCTGTACATTTTATCATGTCTGTTACTTTTGGCCTTTCTTATTAAGTTAGTTTTATACTTTTTCCTACAGTTTGGGAGCAATAGGAAGGTTCTTTTTTGTGAAAATGAATATTTCACACTGATTATTTTTCCCTTCAATGGATCTGTTCATCTTACCCTACTTATCTAATGATGGGTTACAGTAAACATTAACTTGAGATAATTTATATAGAAAAAGTTACCTACTCTTATTTGCAAGATGTTTTTTATGAGCAATTTTGTTCACTCTAACCATCACATGCTTTCACATAAATGAGGATGCAGATGCAGCTGATATGTATATATATCACCTGCTGGCTTCTGTTTTGTAAAAGAAAATAGAATTATATATGTATATATATATTATACATATATATTTTAGATATTTCTATTGTTTTGTATTTGTTTCAGACATTTCTCTTTTCCTTTTAAATATATATATATATATATATATATATATATATATATATACACACACACATATAGAGAGAGAGAGACAGAGAGAGAGAGACAGGGTCTCACTCTGTCACCTAGGCTGGAGCACAGTAGCACAATCTCAGCTCACTGCAACCTCCACCTCCTGGTCTCAAGCAGTTCTCCCACCTCAGCCTCCAGAGTAGCTGTGACTACAGATGCGTACCTCCATGCCAGGCTAATTTTCTTATTTTTTGTAGAGATAAGGTTCCTCTATGTTGCCCAGGTGGGTCTTGAACTCCTGGGCTCAAGGGATCCACCTGCCTCTGCCTCCCAAAGTGCTGGGATTACAGGCATAAGCTACAGTGTCTGGCCTGACATTTTTGGTATTATTGATATTTTTATTAATTATATATGTTTTTGGAGTTATTCACATAATTTTGAAAATATATTTAAAGACAACATCTAAAGATGCAGATTTATGCATATCAAGAGAATAACAGATTTGTATATACTCTTAATACTGATGAACCTTGTCCTATTATAACAAGGACATAGAGATACATCTGAAAATATCTGAATTTTTACATTTATTTAAAAAATATATAATAGATCTTTTGATGCTCAAGTTATTTTACCAATATAGTTTATTAATACCTAATGTTTTAAAGTATTATTTAAAATGCCCTTTAAATTTACAAAAGTGAGTATATTTTATTTCATAATTAAAATGTTAATGCCTCAAAAAGTTAATTTTTTTTTATTATACTTTAAGTTTTAGGATACATGTGCACAACGTGCAGGTTTGTTACATATGTATACATGTGCCATGTTGGTGTGCTGCACCCATTAACTTGTCATTTACATTAGGTATATCTCCTAATGCTATCCCTACCCCCTACCCCCACCCCATGACAGGCCCCGGTGTGTGATGTTCCCCTACCTGTGTCCAAGTGCTCTCATTGTTCAATTCCCACCTATGAGTGAGAACATGTAGTGTTTGGTTTTTTGTCCTTGGGATAGTTTGCTGAGAATGATGGTTTCCAGCTTCATCCATGTCCCTACAAAGGACATGAACTCATCATTTTTTATGGCTGCATAGTATTCCATGCTGTATATGTGCCACATTTTCTTAATCCAGTCTATCATTGTTGGACATTTGGGTTGGTTCCAAGTCTTTGCTATTGTGAATAGTGCCACAACAAACATGCGTGTGCATGTGTCTTTATAGCAGCATGATTTATAATCCTTTGGGTATATACCCAGTAATGGGATTGCTGGGTCAAATGGTATTTCTAGTTCTCGATCCCTGAGGAATCGCCACACTGACTTCCACAATGGTTGAACTAGTTTACAGTCCCACCAACAGTGTAAAAGTGTTCCTATTTCTCCACATCCTCTCCAGCACCTCTTGTTTCCTGACTTTTTAATGATGGCCATTCTAACTGGTGTGAGATGGTATCTTATTGTGGTTTTGATTTGCATTTCTCTGATTGCCAGTGATGATGAGCATTTTTTCATGTGTCTGTTGGCTGCGTAAATGTCTTCTTCTTTTGTGAAGCATCTGTTCATATCCTTTGCCCACTTTTTGATGGGATTGTTTGTTTTTTTCTTGTAAATATGTTTGAGTTCTTTGTGGATTCTGGATATTAGCCCTTTGTCAGATGAGTAGATTGCAAAAATTTTCTCCCTTTCTGTAGGTTGCCTGTTCACTCTGATGGTAGTTTCTTTTGCTGTGCAGAAGCTCTTTAGTTTAATTAGATCCCATTTGTCAATTTTGGCTTTTGTTGCCATTGCTTTTGGTGTTTTAGACATGAAGTCCTTGCCCATGCCTATGTCCTGAATGGCAATGCCTAGGTTTTCTTCTAGGGTTTTTATGGTTTTAGGTCTTACATTTAAGTCTTTAATTCATCTTGAATTAATTTTTGTATAAGGTGTAAGGAAGGGATCCAGTTTCAGCTTTCTACATATGGCTAGCCAGTTTTTCCAACACCATTTATTAAATAGGGAATCTTTTCCCCATTTCTTATTTTTGTCAGGTTTGTCAAAGATCAGATAGTTGTAGATGTGTGGCATTATTTCTGGGGCTCTGTTCTGTTCCATTTGTCTATATCTCTGTTTTGGTACCAGTACCATGCTGTTTCGGTTACTGTAGCCTTGTAGTATAGTTTGAAGTCAGGTAGCGTGATGCCTCCAGCTTTGTTCTTTTGGCTTAGGATTGTCTTGGCAATGCAGGCTCTTTTTTGGTTCCACGTGAACTTTAAAGTAGTTTTTTCCAATTCTGTGAAGAAAGTCATTGGTAGCTTGATGGGGACGGCATTGAATCTGTAAATTACCTTGGGCAGTATGGCCATTTTCACGATATTGATTCTTCCTACCCATGAGCATGGAATGTTCTTCCATTTGTTTGTATCCTCTTTTATTTCATTGAGCAGTGGTTTGTAGTTCTCCTTGAGGTCCTTCACATCCCTTGTAAGTTGGATTCCTAGGTATTTTATTCTCTTTGAAGCAATTGTGAATGGGAGTTCACTCATGATTTGGCTCTCTGTTTGTCTGTTATTGGTGTATAAGAATGCTTGTGATTTTTGCACATTGATTTTGTATCCTGAGACTTTGCTGAAGTTGCTTATCAGCTCAAGGAGATTTTGGGCTGAGAAGAGGGGGTTTTCTAGATATACAATCATGTCATGTGCAAACAGGGACAATTTGACTTCCTCTTTTCCTAATTGAATACCCTTTATTTCCTTCTCCTGCCTGATTGCCCTGGCCGGAACTTCCAACACTATGTTGAATAGGAGTTATTTTTTTTGTTTAACTGCATTATTATGCTTTCAGTGCTATTTAAATATGTGCGATTAAAAATATAAAAGTACACTATTGTATTTGTGCTTCTTATGACTCTTTTTAGTAATTATCAAGTTTTTTAAAAATTTTTAAACCAAAAGTAAAAATAGCAAAACAAGTTCACTATAAGAAGTAGAAACGGAGAAATATAAGATCATGTACTATAAATGTGAAAAATATTCCAGGAATAAGCAAAATAGTTGCATTTTTTAAAGAAAAGAATTTTTACAAACTGGGTGGTATTCACTAACATCTAGACCATCTTACTAGGAGAGAGGAGATTAGAATTACTTAAGAGAGTTTCATAACTAGTCTCTATTGAATGGGATGATTAATATTTTGCTTTTCTTGCTTCTGCTAAAGTTATCTAAATGCTTTCAAAGATTTCCAGGCTTGGGAAATCTACTGGTTTAATATCTTAAATTATATCTTAATATTTAAATACTTATTAAAATAATATCTTAATATCTTAAATCAGTAGATTTGCCAAGCCTGGAAAACTTTGAAAGCGTTCCATTTTACTTGAAATGGAAAAAATAAAATTGGTCAAAGGTAATTTTCAAACTCAGAAACAGTAAGGTAGACATGACCTAGTGGACGGTAATCAAGGTTTCCAGGTATGTAATAATGCAAATGGGCTGGTACTGAGTTTTCCATTCACATCAAATACACACTGCACACAACTGTCATACACAAGGATGATAAGATCTAATTATGTCTGATGGTTAAATGACAAAAATAAAAACCACTTTAGGCTTTGACGTCTACCTCCTTGTATACCTTACCTTTGATATTATACTAGGAATCCTTAACTCACATGCCTACAGAATCCTGACACCTAAATTAAGGGGTAAGTTGACTATGGTGAACTGGAGTATACACGGCCCATTTCAAAGAAATAGACAATCCTGAAGTTCAGTCATAGACGAGATTATCAAAATGAAAAACCAGATATGGTCAGATTTTCAGTGAGTTTAACAGAAGTCAAAAATAGAGTTGCATATATCAGCTTCCAATGACAAACCCTAAAAGACACTTAAAACTCTTTTTAAAAAAGCACTATGTGGGCCAAAGTTAATCTGCAGTTTGGGTGAAATCAGAAGAACTGTTAGCTGGCACACCTTGATTAAATCAAACTATAACACCTAAATATTATTTGCCTTACTTTTTTTTTGAATTCATGCAAATATGAGACTCACTCTAGACAAATTTCAAGGTCAATTAATGAACAGTCTTTTGGGGATTAAGAAAGACATCTTTTAGTCTGTAAGGAAATATTTAAATGTTTGAGCACCTAACAATTTTTTAACAGGTAATAAAGCTGTAATTTTTCATAAAAAATTTTGAATAAAATTATTTAGTTATTTTAAATTACTTTTGGGTAGAAACTAATAGTTCTTTCATTTTTCATTTCATTTTTTAAAATGTTATAGTGATGGGATACTTGCTATGTTCCCTAGGTTGTTCTCAAACTCCTGGGCTCAAGCAATTCCCTTGCCTTAGCTTCCCAAGGTACTGGGATTACAGGCAGGAGCCACTGCACCTGGCCTTTTTGATCTTTCATGGAATAGAGGAACTGAATTATGAGATTCTAAGACGAGCTTACTCTCATGCCATGAGACTACATGGACTATTCTTAATTTGACTTTATAGTCCTCTAAAATATATGTGTTTTACTATAAAGTGACTGTCTCATTCAATTCTTATTCTTCTAAGAATATGAAGGCTGGACACGGCAGCTCACGCCTGTAATCCCAGCACTTTGGGAGGCCGAGGGGGGTATATCATGAGGTCAGGAGTTCAAGACCTGACTAGCCAAGATGGTGAAAGCCCATCTCTACTAAAAATACAAAAATTAGCCGGGCGTGGTGGTGGGTACCTGTAATCCCAGCTACTCAGGAGGCTGAGGCAGAGAACTGCTTGAACCCAGCAGGCAGAGTTTGCAGTGAGCCGAGATCATGCCACGGCACGATGGGTGACAGATGTCGCTTGGGCGGCAGAGCTAGACTCTGTCTCAAAAAAAATATGAATTATGATTTACGTTAGTATTTAAATAAAATTTCAAGGTGTGATCAATAGCCACATCTACAGAAATATTTATAAAAATATTTATAATTTTTAAATAATTTATTAAAATGTTTACAAAGCTTTTTATAATTTATTAAAATATTTATAAAATTATTTATAAAAATACATTCAATTTTTACAATTGTAAATTCACTATAATACAAGCTATAACAAATAATTCAAAACAAGAAAGGCTACAACCAAGTTCTTATTCCATTGCTTAGAAAAGCTAGAAAATGTAAATAAAAGTCCTGTTTGGTATTTGAAATACAAAATATTAAATAATAATGGTCTGTATATCTAGGATCTTTAGGAATCTTGCCTTGGATATTGCTGTATGCATCAATCAGGCTTTATTACTGGATTTGGATTTTTATTTCCATACATGAAGTTTGCCACGAGGTCATAAATCAATTCCTTTACTTTTCTAAACTTCAGTTTTGTCACTGATAAAATAAAAAGAAATATGGGTGTCTTCAAAGATCTCTTATATAGGTCATATCATGCATATGGTATTGAGCTCAATTATCTTCAATGACTGCCTCTGGTAATTTAGTTGCTTAACGAGGCTCATTAACCCTTTTAGACCATTATTTGTACCCACAACTATATTTGGAAGTAAATTGTTACATTACATACTGTAAGTATAACATTTTTCTGTTAGTGTTAAATGTTAAATAAAAAGTCCTAATTAAATAAATGTGGCATAATGATTGTTCATTTCCATCAAAACTTATTCTCACACAAATACACAAATAGGCTAGAAAATACTGTGTTTATTTTGTTTCTTAGATCCATTTGTTTATGTTGTTTCTAATATACAGCATCACTCTGAATGAATTAGTGTTTTATTTAATCTTTTATAGGCTGGAGCCCTCCCTCAATTTTGGATTTAGAGTTATCATTTTGCTAGATAAGGAGAGAGTGAAGGAGATGCTTGCTACATCCCTTTTTAATCGTTCAGACCTAAAAGTGGAAAGTGGAGACACTTGCAGTTCACAAAGATAATGACTGCCTCAGAATTCACCTTTGTGCACAAAGTAGTTCAAGTTCATAAAAGGATTACTGCTCTTCACCATAAGTATCTTATAGGGTGGCAGTATTTCAATATTTTATTAAACATCCTTCTCTTCCTAAAAGTTCACCTTTGAATAAACTGGCTTATTTTATCTAATCTTTCTTTCTAAGGCATGTAGTTTTTTCTCATATTTTTCCCCTTCTGAATTTTCCTTTTGAATATGAGTTTAGCCTCAAAGTCACATACACCAGGGAGTTGAACTCTTGGCTCAATGCGTCAGCTGGAAGTAGGGTCATTTCTGCCTGCACATTTTATGTGTGTTAGGAGAGCACTAAATAAAATTGAGTGGCACCAGCTATAAAACCTGCAGAACCCAGGGCAACCCAGCTCTCTGGATCTACATGCAGGGAGCAATCAGGTTAGTTCTTCTGAGAAAAAAAAGCAGTGGGCATGGAGTGGAGGGGGGAAACAGTACTTCAAGTACAAATGCAGGTGGACCGAGTGAGTGCATGCTTAGGAAGCTCTCTTTCTGTTTAGGTGAGTAGAGAATTATATATATCTCATTTTAGCTAAAAAAAAAATTAATTCCTTATGCTTCTGGAAGATTAAAGTTCTCTGAACATTCTTTCAATTTTCTGCTGTCCCTTCCTGTCTGTATCCAACTCATGTTTCAAGGCCCAGATGAAATGTCACATTGGTTAATGGTTTTAGGACTCTCCAGTAGCATGTGCTATCTTCCTCCTTCAAATCCCATACCCTACTACTTGCTATTTGCTTAGTGAGTTTAGCCTAATCTTTCACTTGTATGTATTTTAGTTACATTCATGCCTGTACCTGCTTGGGGCCTTGGTCTTACTTTCCTCGGTAGATATCGCAAGTTTTGGCATAGAACCTGCTACATAGCACATACTTAAGAAATATTTTTGAAATGAATTGAGATGTTGCAAAAATCTACTTTTTAAAAAAGATTCTATGGCTTATCACAAGTGAAAGATAGAGAAATGCTTAGCAGAAATTTGCATTATTTTTTTTCTCTCTTGAGGTTTTAGAAGGCTTTTACAGAACAACTATAATTCGAGAGACAGTGTGGGCCTAGCTGTATTATTTCTGACAATTTTGATTTGAGCTGCTTTTTAAAAATATTTTTTGTCCCAACTATTCTGAATCCAGAGATACATTCACACATCGGTGGTATCATGTGCTATTTTAAAAAGTAAGTGTTCCCCTGGTTTGACATTTGACACCAAATTGAAATCACATGTTTATCTGTTTGACTTTGTTCTTCAGAAAGAAAATATTGAAATTTGACATGTAGTGGAGAAAGTTAAACTCCTTCTTTAAGACGTTAACCAATGACACACACCATCACAGATTTTCTCATGCCTGAAAAGAAGCCCTAAATATCTGTAGGAGACTGGAATAATAGTAGGAACCACTTCGTTTGCTGAGCACGGGGCTAAAATGGACTTTTACCCTTGCTTTCCAACCCCACTAGGTGTCCTTTCATTCTCATTCCTTTTCTGAAGGATTTTTCTAAGTGGTTCAGGGAAGGAGTAACTTACTTGCAAACTCCCAGCTGAAGCACCATCTCTGGCAGCACAGGCTGAAAGCTGCACAGAATTCTTCCGTGAGGATTTGCACTTACGTTCTGCCAGATTACATAATAAAGTTCCTTAGACCCCATCAAACATCTTTGCCTCTGCCTTTTTTTTTTTTTTTCAGATGGAGCCTCACTCTGTCACCCAGGCTGGAGTGCAATGGCGTGGTCTCTGCTCACTGCAACCTCTGCCTCTCAGGTGCAAGCGATTCTCCCACCTCAGCCTCCTGAGTAGCTGGGACTACAGGCACGTGCCACCACACCCGGCTAACTTTGTATTTTTTGTAGAGATGGGATTTCTTTATATTGGCCAGGCTGGTCTTGAACTCCTGACCTTGTGATCTGCCCGCCTCGGCCTCCCAAAGTGCTGGGATTATAGGCCTGAGCCACTGCGCCCGGCCAACTTCGCATTTTCTAAATATTTCTGTGGCGTCTAAGCAGCTCCTTTATTCTATGAATATTTTAGGGTCTTTTAACTGAGTGGTATACTCTCCAGGTAAGCATTCATTTTTGTGCAAAACTGAATTTTTTGGATAGTGAAGGAGGAGACCTTGAGTATATCGTAAGAAGCAAAATTGTTGTATTACCTCAGATTTTGGATTTTTCTAGTTTGGTTACTCTATGAAGTGGCATGGTCATGAGTGATGCGGTTTGGGGGTTGACTCCATGACGCCAATCTGAGGTACCAACATCTTTCTTCTTTTAGTGATTATTTATGCTGCATTAGTGATGACTCTAGTCAAAAAATCTTTACATCTATTTATATTTTCTGACTATATCCAAGGAACTTTCATATAATTCCAGTGCCACAACTAGAGTCCAGGCCAAGGTTTTTCCCAGCAACTGGATTTCTAAAACGACTTCCTAAACATTTCTTTCACCTCAGGTCCAAGACTGACTTAACAGGGGCTAGGGTGTTTCTTCTTCTAATGCAAATATGATCACCATTTTTCTTCATAACACTCCTCAATAAAGCCCCTTTTGTCCTCACAGCACATTCCAAACATTTTTCCTTCATTCAAGGTTTCTCATCATATGGCCCCTTTGTTGTACTCCCACATGTGACATTTTGTGCCCACCTCATCACGTGGTGTGTGGAGATATACACACCTCTTTATTTTCAGAGTAGATTGAGAAGTTCCTGACGTTAAGAACTAAATCTTATTTATCTTTGTGTTCCCATGCCCCAGTTGAGGAATCATATAGCAGGGGTTCAGTAAATATGCACTAAATGGCTACCTTGTGCTAGAAGTCCTTACTTTCCAGAAGATGGAATCATATTTAATTAGATGAACTAAACTGAAGGACATAGATACCCTCAGAACAAATGTTAAGCATTAAATATAAATTTTTATTATTATTCACAGTTTATATTGGGAGAAACATTCACAAGAAACCATAAGTGGTCCCATGTTCTAAGACCTTTTGTGGCCTTATGGGGAGAGCCTCCTACCTTCTGCCATATCTCTGTTTTCCTACCTGAGGTTCTCCAGAATGTTTAGAACTGCTTAGTTCTCAAGGATTACATCTGTTCTCTTCTTAGCTACCAGATACCAGGCCTATGTCTTTGGCTTTAGAGTAAGATCATAATGGAATGACTATGAATAAAATCTGATCAGCAATCTCATCAGAAAGTACTTGCTTGCATCGTATCTACTTTGGATGATAAAACACCTAAGAATATACTTTTCATACAAACAGAAACCGTGAAAGAATTCTCCTACATTTTACTGATTCCTCCTTCTCCAAAATATAGTTTCAGAGCAGGTTAACTTTTCTTAATTTAATCAAGACAGTGAAAATAAATTGAAAAGAGGCTTTTTAAAGTAGGATAGAAAAGGGAACAGTTATTCAAATAATGCTATATACAACACTAAAGACATAAAGCCTTCAACTGAGGGAATTTGAAAATATATACACACATATGAATAGAAATATTATAACATACATTTGAAATGTATAAGAAAACATGAAATTTTGTAAGTAAGACATTATGGCTTGCATTTGTAGTTTATGGAATCTTAAATAATTGGCAGTGCCTTGGGATTCATCTACTACAGTTTTTTTATGTTGTTGTTGTTGCGTTTCTCAGAAAACTGGGTCTTCTAATCAAACCAGAAATTGTGAGAAAAAGAAAGAAGAGGAGAAAGGACCTAATAAAACATGTGTTGACCCTAAACTTGACAACAGCTTAAGCCTGGTGAACTCTTACTTGCTGTTCTTGATGCTGGGCTTCCTCCTAAGATAAAATATAAACATCTTTCAGGGCCTGGAAGACCTGGAAAGATCTATTCCATATCTATTACTACAACATAATCCATCTCCATTCTCCTCCCTTCCTGCAGTACATACATCCAACCCCTTCCTGCCGCAGACATTCCCCTTGTTTATTCTGCCTAGATCATTCTTCCCTCAGAGCTGCACAACGCTGACTCATTGT
This sequence comes from Homo sapiens, assembly GCF_000001405.40. Taxonomy (NCBI): domain Eukaryota; kingdom Metazoa; phylum Chordata; class Mammalia; order Primates; family Hominidae; genus Homo; species Homo sapiens. The sequence continues at coordinate 65,748,566 of NC_000018.10, forward strand.
CATCATTACATTTCAGCCTATGTGCCATCACCTCAGAAAGAGACCATCCCTTAGGTAAAAGGTGTCCCTTGGTTTCTGTCTGTATTATTCCCAGTTCTTACCCTTGCTCTAGGTTGTGTCTTTTGGACAAGAAGAATCTAGACCTCCCTCTAAGATCAACAGCTGTTAGTGTGGGAACCAGGGCTAGAATTTTGGTTAACTGAAATTACTTCACCTGTTTTGGATTCTGTAGAGGTTACTGAGGAAATTTTTTAAAAGGAAGGCACATAGAATGGTTTAAGAAGAAAGCGTGCATTTGGAATCAACATTTATGTGGAGTCATAAGAAGAGAAAAAATATGAAAACTTGAGGAAAAATATCTTTTTCTTAAAGGGCCTCAAAACATTTTCATTTTCTATGCAATGTCTTTTGACCAAAACAAGCCGGTAGATGAAAACAGTGCAGTTTCTGATTCCCAATCACAATATGACCTCCTATAGATGAACAACCCAGGCAATCCAAGAGCAGTTTAAAAATAGCTTGGTATGGTCAGATTTGTGATAAATGCTAGATGGGATACAAACACTTCTTTATTCAAAAAATGCTTACTATGGGCCGAACATGTGCTGTGTCTTGATGATATTGAATATTAATCACAGCCCTCCTGAAGCTTTTAGTTCAGAACAGTTATAAGAAAAAATCTCATCCCAGAAGTCAGTTCGTAGGCAAAACAAGGCAAATATATGTAATGTTACCAGAAAAATCTGAATTGAATCTAAAGATTGTACTACATGAGCCAGAATAATTGAGCATTTTAACACAGAAAAGTATTTCAAAGAGCTCAAAGATGAAGCCAAGGTTTGATACCTGGCTACCAGGTGAATGATAGTGCCCCTGACAGAAAAGAACATACAGGGAAAATCCAAGCTAATATCTAAAAAAAGATACGGAGGTCTTTTCTAAGCATCTTGAATTTGGGTGATGGCTGACAGCTGAGTGGAAATGGACCATGAAATGGTCATCCAAGCAGCCCTGGATCTGGGGAGCTTTGGGGTTGGAGTTAGAACTTTTAAAATGCATTAATGTTAGGTAAGCAACATAGGATGGTATCTGGAACTTAACAGGAGTCCATAATTGCTGTCAGAATTATTAGCATAGAATTCGGTTTTAAACATTGACTAAATTGAATGGGCGAGGTGGGGGAGGCATGGCGCCAGTTAAATAGCCAGGAGAGGCTGGACTGGGGACAGAAAAGTGTGCTTGACTGCACAAGAAATCAGAGATAATGGTACGGACAAGCCTAAGCCCATGTAACTGGTATCCGAAGAATTACTGCTAAGGTTAAGTAAGAATAAGTGCGTAAGAGAAAGAGGACACTTTCCATTGGTAGAGTGAGAAAAATGAAAGGAAGGTAGTTGGAAATGATCTCTTCCCCCTCCTAACCCCTATGACAGAACACCCAGTCATCAGATTAAAGCGAGCACCAGAGCAGGGGAAAACAAAGCGTGCTCAACTCCAGGGGCTGCACCGCGCTCTAAAGAAAAGACCAGATCCTCTTCCTTCCTTCTTTCCTTCCTTCCACACCTTGCAAGGGTCCTCTGTCCCGCACTGCGAGTAAATCATACACTTTGGAAGTTTAGCATTAGAGAGCCCAGCAGGGGAGAAAATTGTCTGCAAGTTAAAAAAAAAAAAAAAAAAAAAGTAGAACTAGGGCAGTCCGAGGAGATTGAAAGGGCAAAACTATCAAGCAAGAAAACTGTAAGTTCTGATTAGTTTTATGACTTTGCCTTCATGCCTCAGGAGCTCAACTGATCACGGCTTTCACGACAGGCTAAGGTGGGTGTTGGAGGGGCAGCTTGAAAATACCCTCAAAACTCTCCTCCAGCTCCGTGCTTTCAGATGCAAATGCCTCACGGAGAGATGGATGGGCTGCAGCCCCTCCTACTTTCACCCCTCTTCTTTATTTTCCTGCGAAGGAATCCATCTGTACAGATCCGCCAGGCGGGAGGTGGAGGAGGGTGCGCGAGGGTGCGCGCGTGTGTGTGTGCGCGCGTGGCGGCCGAGCGGCTCCGTCTTCGCGTTCTTTTCCAGTAGCCCCCACCGGGTCTCTGGGAGGCGCCGAAGTCTCAGTGGCTCCCTGGGCCGGCCTCCGACAGCGCTGACAGCAGGCGCCCGCCGCCCACCATCGTCGCCCTCTTCCCCTCCCTCTTCGGCCCCGGCTCCGGCGCGCTCTCTCCTCCTCTCCTGCGCGCCCTCTCGCCCTCTCTCTGGCCGCGCGCTCCCGCTGGCTCCGGACCCTGCGTCTCAGCTGCCCGGGCGAGCCGGAGGGGCCCCTCGCAGTGAGCAGACGCAGCGGGCCCCCGGCGCCCGAGGCCGGGGCAGGGTCCCCGCGCACCGCGGAGTGGGCTGTGATTGGAGGAGGAGCCCGTGCCGGGCGGGCCCGAGCGGGTGTCGAGCCGGTTCCTCCAGTCTGCCCCGCGCGCGGAGCTGCGCGCACTGGGTCCCCAAGAGCCCGCGGGCGTCCGGCAGCCGAGCGCACGTTCTTTCGGATGCACACGCCCGGGTCCCTGGCGTCTGACGCCGTGGGGAGGGCAGCGAGGCCCCAGGTGAGTGTGTCTGCCTGCGCGGGGCTGGGGAGGCGCCGCTGGGCAGATGTGCGCCCTTGCTGTGCGCCTTTGGAAGCAGGACTAATCAGTGAGCGGAGAGCGGGCGGGGATGTCCGTGTGGAGTTTCCCTTGGCGTCCCCAAGTTACTGCGTGTTGCAGTGAGATGTGGCTCTGCAAGGCAGGACAGGCTTGTGGACGGAGGCGGGGGCGTTTGGCCCGGAAAGCCGGTGTTGACAGACACCAGGTGCGACACGAGGAGTAGTAGTTGAGGGTAAGAGCAAATCCCGGCACTCTCCAGGTGCAGCGGCAAACATGGGCAGGCTGGAGCACTCTCCTCAAAGAGGACCACAAGCAGGCTCCTCCCTCAACCTCGGACTGATGGGGGCACAACTCCGCGCCGGCTGTGCCGCCGGGTTCTGCAGAGGTCTGAGGCTGGAAGGGGGTATGCGCCGCTTTGGGCAGGAGTCCTTTGAACCATTCGCTCTGGACACCTTTTACCTTTCGTGAAGGTGGAGCTCACTTCAGGGTGCTTTGCTTTTTTCCCCTGTAATTAGTATTCTGCTGATCTGGTTCATCTGCATCCTGCGTCCCCTCCGCCTGGCAGTACCTTAAGTGTGCGCTGGGAAAAGGGCGCCCTGCTTCTCTGAATGCATGGTGGACTTCTTCATGGGTGCACATGGTACACTGCTACTTGCCGGTATTCAACCTTCCAGTGTGGATTAATGAGAAAAGACCCGTTATTCTGTACCGCTTCACGTTTTAGATCGTTAACCCTACGGATTTCTTAAATGTCATAGTTCAGGTGAGTAAAGATTGGCAATGAGTTCACCCAGCACTGGGCAAATGGCAAACTATTGAGAAACCATCAAGGATTGGGTGTATCAAGGCTTTGGAGATCTGCAAATTGAACGAGGAATGTACTTATAACATCTTTTGCTTTGCAATAAATATCTTGTCTCTATTAGATCGTTTATTAAGTGAGACCTTTACGTAAGACTTGTCCTCATAATTTCTGTAGCTACTAGACAGGTGTTCAGATCATTTTTCATAGAGAAGTAGATAAACATAACTTTATACAAAAAATAAGAGAAAAATGTAAGTGACTTGTTAATATATGGCCCTTGCCAAGTGACAAGTATGTATTTTTAAAAGCAGATAACACCTCACACAAAAAATGTGTATTTTAAGAGTTTAAGAGCAGTAGCAGTCTTTTTTTCTAAAGGAAAGTTTGCATAGACACAATATCTAAATAGTTTTAAGAGAGTCTTTATAAAGGCAAATTGTTATGGGAGAAAAGAGCTAAGAAAAAAAATTAATTACATTTGAAGCGTTCAGTAACTCACCAAGAATTACTTCTTTCCTAAAGAACTAGTTAGACTTTGGTTTACCTAGGATATTTTCTTGTTCTATATGTCAAGGGGAAATGCATGAAGAATCCTTTTCTTTATTTTTAAGGCTATTTTGAACAGTATGAATTAAAATGCAAAAGAATTGAGACAGGTAGGAAGACTGGCAACTTTGTGGAAGTCTTGCTTCTGTGTTAGTGTTTAATATGGAGTGGGATAGCAGAGCAATTAGGTAACATCCAACGTCAATAGTCTTATCTGGGAAAGCTAGCCGAGTCTGTCTGAGGAAAGAAAAATAAAGAAAACAATAATCAGTAGCACAGACCATCACCCTGCTAAAAGCTATTAAGGTTTGCAGCTTTAATAAAAGGGCATTGTGCACTTACAACGTGAGATATTATTGTAATTAAGGGCTGCAAGAGGTCATTAGAATTGTGTTAATCACTTTACAGACTCACAAGTCTTCTTAAGTCTACTTTTATTGATTTAATAGCACAGAGCTTTTTCCTTTCTTATAAAAGGATAATTGTAAAGCATCTATATTACTGCAATTTACCCTTGAATTGACTCTAGTGTTTAGTGTCCAATGAAGAAGAGAGGGTGGAGAGCACGCGGAGTTGGCCACTGTTCAGCCTTCCTTGGCCTAAAAATCAAATGACTGTCTCTCCTGGGCACTAGTGTCTTTACTGGTTTCCCTGTTATTCAGCATTTTGCTTTTTTGATGGCAAAGCTGATATAAACTCCTCAGAGTGTATACTGATATAAGGAAGTGAATATATTTTTGTGTTGAGCAAATACTTTTTTGTCAGATCTTTCAGAAATAATTTATAAAATACTAAACTCACAAATTGTTCTGTGCTGTGGATATTTATTGCTGAATGGTTACAATCTTCCTGGATTTCATAAGGTTTTACATTTATTGCATTAATAGCTTGTATCACATCACAGTTCTCTCTCTCTTACACACACACAAATGTCTTTTACTTGATTGGAAGTCTTCAAAGCCTTAGCTTAAATTGGAAGTTTCAGGAACTTCTAAAATAACTAACATGCATTAGTTGATTGCAAAGGGTTTGAGATGGAAGCTTTTTCTTCCTTGGATGAAGGAATCAGATGCTACTTGGTGGGGTGATAAAGGGGAGCTGAGGACAAGGAAAGAAGACATGTGATCAGAGTCTTGTGTGTGACCATCTCCCCAGCGTCTGACAAGCAGAGCAGATCTAGCTGTAACCAGCAATACACGAGTGCCTCCTCTGGGGATTTGCTGGTTCTGCAGAAAGATACCCCTGCAAGCACTTCCCCCTTGTTTTTCTGCAAGTCTCACAGATAAAATTACCAGTTCAAATGAATATGCAGACATCTGTCCATATCTTCATTTCAGATTATAGTATAGATTTTCATTCTGGTAGAATCTCTTTTCTGCTATTTTGCAAAGTGTTTATTGAAACCTGCTGACTTTTATTGAAGTCACATAAATCACACGTGGCCCAAGGTAAATACAAGGGCAAATTAAAAATTATAGTTGATACAGCTAAGATTTCTTGTAAGAATAAATTATAAAAAACTCTCTGAATATAATTTTACCATTTTATTACATAAATAACTCAGAAAGATTGTGCCTTGTTACTTTGTTTACTTTTTAATTTACGAATGTTTCTTCTAGTTAATTATAAACTCTTGTTTCCCCTTTTAAAAAATTCATTTCACCCATGGCAGAAGTTGTGCTTAGTTGAAATTGAGTCTGTAATCCACTTTGAGAAGTTTTCTTTCTGTGTTTGATAACCAGATGCACACTACAGGCTGTGTGATTCATTTCCAGGGCCCCTGCCTGCATATTTAGGCCAGTTAACAGTAGGAGGTTGTGGTCTGTGGTTGTAATGTTATCTGGCCCAGGGAGCTAATGGATTTGATCGCAGTTTCTTTACGTGAGAAGTCACATATCACAGAGAGTCCCTAGCCTCACTAATTAAAATGTAAAAAATTATACCTTTTAAGTACAAAAGAGAGAGCTCTTTCATCAGAATTAAAATTATCGAATGTGATGTTAAACTTTAAATGGTATACAGATGAAACAAATTAATGTTAGTATATTACTATACTAGAAACTGAAGATAGCAACATTAAGTTTAGGATGATTATAATGCGAATATCAGCAGCAAGCAGTCATCTCAAAATATAGGACTTATGTCACCAACCAAAAGGGTACAATAGGAATGATACTTATTTTGCCAAACAAAATGGCCCCATATATAGAGTTTATATCCTAATATACTGTCCTGAGTTGGTACCCTATTTCTACAATGTTCACTGGGCTGTTGTTTAAATTTCAGTGGAAATAGTTAGCTACCTTGTGTCATAGTGTAGTAGGAAATTATTTTTGGATTCCAGAGTTGTTTAGAAGGGAAAAAGCAATTTTAAATTTGGATAGAGCTCACTCTTCATTTTTTTGTAAGATAGAAACATACAACCCTAGACAATAGGTTCCTTCACCCTTTCTTCTTAGTCTGCATTTTCTGCCCTTCTGAATGATAATGATGGTTACCATTACCTACTTAGAAAATTAAAACTTATGGTCGTATAAAAATTTAAGTACAGCCAAATCTACTTTGTTTCACTTTTAGGAAAGATGATAAGTTCCAAAGATCACACATTGCAAAAGCACTTATTACCAGAATGAGCAATTTTTAACAAATACTTTAAAATACTCATTACATACAGTTATGCAATGGATATTGGATCAGTACCTAGCTGTGTGACCTTGGGCATTTCACTGGGAATCTGTAGATTTCCATTTTGTTCAAAGTAAAGCAAGGGCTACCTTGGTTTTTCTAACATCTATTGCAGCTCAAACATGTCATCAATCTGTGGTTCCACCACTTTGGGAATCTTCAAACTTAAGGAGCAGCAGAATTTGAAGATTTTAAAATGTTTTTCCTCTAACATGAACCCTAATGAAAACCAAACTATTACATTTTTCAGTATTGAAATGGCATCCTCTTTATTTATCTCTTAGACATTGTCCTGAATAGTGTGGCTGGTAATGTTGTGGTTCGAAATGAAGTGTGGCTTCAGCTCTGAAAACATTCTGTCCAGGACTGTTTTCTCTCTAGTGTTGTATTATGGCATCTGCTCAGTCATGAATAGGAGGGGATTAGAATATATTTTCCCCCTTTGGCATTCCCAAAAATGTATTAAGGGATTCTACAATAAAAATAGGCAAAAGCAACAATGAATAAGTACTATCCTTTACACAAAGCAGACTACTCTAACTCTGTGGACTGGGATAAATCACAGGGAGGACCTCAGTGGTAACAGGTGACAGTGGCAGCTGTACTGGGGACACAAGAGCAAATGAAAGTCTTCAGAGAAGACAGTGGATGAATCAGCAGGCAGTCTCTTCATGGAATTTAAATAAAACCATTAAATATCCAAGGAATTCCTAAAAAGAAACAGACTTCTCCTAGACTATACAAAACAAACAAAAAAACAAAAACAAAAACAAAAAACAAAACAAAACAAAAACTAGTAAATAGAAGGTTCATCTTAAAACAATGGTAATATGTTTCATAGTTCCCTTGCTGTGGAATGGTGTCATTTCCACTTTTAAACATGTACATCTTTCACCCTACTTAAAGATTCATTAAAAACATGCTGCTGCCTAAATGTAGTTCAACCTTAAAGCAATCTTGGAAATGACAGTTTCCCCCCAATAGCTCAACAATATTTTTTCTATTTTGGTGCTATTATTCCAACTGTGATGTCTTGTACTATTATGTTTCATAGGTCAGCCAACAAAATGTCTCAGGGAATATCAGTTAGATTCTGGAGGTGTTTGTCAGACAACCATTATGGATTTTTCTGATTCTCTATTAAGTACACTGACAGTCCTCAAATGTCATTCCTACACTTGTTTTTCTAGAAAATGCAAATAATTGAATTTAGTCTTGGACTATCATTCTCCATCTAGTCATAAACTATACCAGTTTTTAAAAGAGAGGCATAACTTCTTTAAATCAGCATTACCAATTGATAATAAGCTGTGTGTTAGTGTGTTATATATTAAGTCTATTTCAAAACAGTTTCAGAAGACCTGCATCTGAGGCAGACTCCAGACAGCAGAGAGCATGAGCAGCTGCTCCTTGCCTAGAATTTAGAGAAAGTTTGGTGGAATGTGGTCTTTAATTGTGATAAGCCATTGCTTATTTATATTGGACTGCAACAAACACATTCCAGTTCAACATTAAGTGCCACAAAACCAAAAATAGTCCTATATTTCCTTTTAGTATAGCTGATAGTTATATATCATAGCACATATTATTTCTAGAAAGCATACAGCACTGTGTACTTTTTAAAAAAGCAGTCTAGAACATATGAATTAATTGGCAGTTAGCCATGTTTTAAAAACTACTCTTGTGGTGATATGTTAGTGTGCAGTGGCTGAATATGATGTATACTTGTTATGTTTTTAGCATGTTGACTTTGAATGGAACAGGTTTTGGAAGACTCGCAATTTTGCTGATTAGTAATTGATATGCTAATGCATAACAGTTTTTTTTTTTTTTGCATGAAAGGACCTTTAGTCATTGTTTGTAAGTTTGAAAACACCATTTGATTAAGAGCACGATAGTCACTTGATCTGTTAAAAGTGGTTTCCTAGAGATGTCAAGTGGAGGAGAAATTCCAAGAAAACGTTATAGTAATGAATTTGTTTTGGTAAAATAACATTAGCTGTTAAAGTTAAGTGGATAATAAACAGTCTACTTGAAACTAATACACTGCCACTTAGTTTAACAAAAATAATTGGAACAAAATGGTAGCATGATCAAGTGATTTCATATCAAATGACGTTGATTTAGTAAATACTGCTTAAGGGATTTTTACCTCTTGTTTTTTCTTTTTGCTTCAGTCCGTTCAAAATATATTTTTCAGTGTTTTATTTTATATTCTGATGATTAAGATCTGTTATGCTTATCACAGTACTACTTGTGATTTTCATGTATTTCAGTTTGTAAAACATGGAAAAATATTATAAATTGTTTTTCAAAATACAAGTTTTAGCCTTAAAATATCAAACAAAAACATTTTAAATCTTCCTCAATTTTTTTTCCGTTTCAGATTAATCATTTATCCAGTAACCATCACTACTACTCCCTGAGACATCTGTGATTTACCTCTGTGCCCTTCTCTCCTCAGATATAACCTGTTCTTGTTTTTCTCTTCAGAAATGTTCCAGTGTCCAAAAGTTTGTAAAGATCTGTAGACATTCCTTCAACTGTATATCCATATATATATATATTTTTTTTTTCTGCACTTTTTAAAGAACTAGTAATAGTGAAGAGGTCAGCTCTCCAAACCACATGCATGGATGCAGAGTACTCATTTTTTTCTGACATGAATCTTGTTTTTAACTCCTGTATATGAAACTCAGATAGGAAAGGAGGTGGAAGATAGAAGATAAACAACATAGACTTCTAAAGAGGGATGCAGTGTTTTTGCTTTAGGCACAGATTTGTGAGGCAATATTTAATCCATTGTGAAAAGTCAACAATTTGTTACTGACTCTGTACTCAAGTTCATTTAAATGTAATAAAAGTTATTGTGGTATCTTTCTACATGTTGATATTTGTAAGAAGATAAAAAGCCTTATAAAGAGGTTATACAGTGTGTGAGAAAAATCTCAAGTTTAAGTTTGGATTACTTCTGGTTGACAACCACAAAGAACTACAGGCTTTTTAAAATAATGCTTCAGAGCCCTTATTTCTTTCATGATACCCAGCTCAGGACAGAATGAAACCAGTTGAACTGCTATACTCGCCTTTCTCTTGAAAATGAGATTTGATTGAAAAAGAAGGCAAACATTTGTGAAAGACTGATAAGGAAAGGTGGCACCTGACCTGAGGCCATGCGACTCTTCCCCTGCTATAGAGGGCATATGTTCCTGGGAGAGTTGGTTACTGCCAAAAATACTGGGGAACACGTGAAACATCCTCACTTCAGATCACAATGGTTCACACACTGTTTTCTGATTTTCCAAGTGCATTCCACAAAGAGTATGACAGAGACACTTATCTCAAAAAAGAAAATTTCGTCCTCTGATAATATACACAATGCCAGTTAAATATCCTTGTGCACTCTGATAGAACTTGGATCAAGGTAAAGACAATTTAGCTCAAGAGGTTGGCAAATACTTCAAATACTGCAGAGAAATATAATGGAATTTTCTTGAAAGTGATTGTGACTTATAAACATGGTTGACTTACCAAGGAATTTGTATCTTGACTTGTTATACGGTTAACTTTTCATATCAAAAAATGAGGTTGATCATAATGAAAATGAGCATTATGTAAATGGTTTCCGAATGTCAATTATGTGCCTACTTCAGTCGTAGATACTACAGATACGATAGGGTAGATCTCCTTCTTCATCAAGGTTTATGTTTATACTAGCTGCTTTTAAAAACCCTTGATTAAAATGAGTTGCTCAATTATCAAGTATCTTCCCTTCACAGACATTATTTCAATGACTTTAATGTAACCCATGCCATGTTCTGTAACTCCCTTCTTTGATATGTTCTAGCTAATTTGATAAATCTCCAGTCTTGTTGAATGGAAGAGAAATAATCTTCAAGAGCAAGAAGAGTACATTAAACAGCTCTTCTTAAAGTGAATGTTGCATTTTATAAGCAAGTCAAATGTTTATTTTACATTCCTATAACTTCCTTAAATTTCTCTGCCCATTATCTTTTTTTTTTTTTTCTTTTTTCTTTTGGAGACAGAATCTCGCTGTCACCCAGGCTAGAGTGCAGTGGTGCCGTCTCGGCTCCCTGAAACCTCCACCTCCCGAGTTTAAGCGATTCTCCTGCCTCAGCCCCCCAAGTAGCTGGGATTATAGGTGTGTGGCACCATGCCCGGCTAATTTTTTTTTTTTTTTAATTTTTAGTAGAGACAGGGTTTCACCATGTTAGCCAGGATGGTCTCGATCTCCTGACCTTGTGATTTTCCTGACTTGGCCTCCCGAAGTGCTGGGATTACAGGCATGAGCCACCACACCCGGCCCCCATTATCTTTTATTATTAACAATGTGTATTTTATCACAGCTTTAAAAGAGCTAACAAAATCAATTTTATATAATTGTCAAAAAGTAGAAAAGTAAGACCTGAAAAAAGAAATAGACTTTATAAGATAATTGAGTTCAGCTCCTTCATTTTGCAACTGTGGAAAATAAAATCCCGGAGCAATCCAAGGTCGTACAAAGTGGTGGAGCTTGTAGGACAATGAGTCCTGTGCTCTTATCCCTAGTCCAGACTGTGTGCTTCGTTCCTCATCAGTAAACACCTAGTGAACTAAAATAAATTTCTCCAGCTCTGATATTTGTGTTTGATTTCTAAAAAATTACAGAAGGCATGCCTTTAAGAAATAAAGAATTATACATATATATATAGTACTTTGGCGCCTTTGTATTCATCTTGATTTTTTGATTTATGACCATATGGTTCTCTGGAACCAACTACAACTATCAAAATGCTTTCACTTGGTGTAAGAGTTGTCTAAAACATTTGAATATAGATAACATTCCAATGAAAACTAACATCAACCCATAAACTAATTTTAACATAGCCAGTTTCAAACTAAAAAATATGATAATAATCCCAAGAACTTTTTAAAAATACATTTTTGATTGCCAGGCACTATTTTTATCATCTCATGATTTGCTCATTTAATCCTATGAAGTAGATGCCATTATTATCATCTTTGTTTTATAGATGAGAGACTTAAGGTTTTATCTCTGGAACGTCTTAGAATTTAACTTATTCAAGATTACGTAGTTAAGACATGACTGACCCAGAATTTGAATATTTATCCGATGCAGACACCAACAGTCTTTACTGGTAACTAACTCCTCAAGTATTGAATTCCAAAAGCTCATTTGCTATTTAGGTTTTTAGAAGTTGGATGTATTGTCACTCTCTGAAACAATGTTACCACATCCCCTCAATCCATAAAGTAGCCTAAATGGTATAATTTTGCTCTATTGCATCTAAAAACTATATTATCAGGAGCCAAAGTGTTTATGTCATTGTCTTTAAGAGAGAATTCATTCTCTTGAGAAGGGAGAGTGGTGAAACTGGAACTGTTCTATGGCCACAGACCTCACATGCTTGTCTCAGCCACCTGACCAGATCTCTAAACCATCCCTCCCCATCCCCAGGAGACTGGTTTACCACTATATGAAGGAAGAAGCTACATGACTTTGCCCCTTCCCATACTGTCAGCCATTCCTACTGAAGACCACTCTTCACGATTCTCATCTCATCACTGGACTAATCCCTACACTAGTGCACCATGTCCAGATCAAGTTTAAGCACGTCCCTGCCTTTTTAAACTGTAGGAAGCACGCCTTTCAGGTGGGTTAGTCAGACCTACCTACAATAAACTTCCAACTTAATTAAGGGGCCTACATTGGAACATCAAGGCATGATCCCAAGTTACTTGTTCTTTATAAGTCAAAAGCTAGAACAACTGGCCCTCTAGGGTGGTTTCTAAATGGAATAAATTTATTTTTGATCCTTGGATAGGGTATCTGGATTTGGGTAGATTGTGTTCTCTGCACAGGGTGCAGTTAAGAGTTACCATTCTGGTGGCTCTCAGGTACAGTAATTAGATGAACATTGGCTTTTCCTTAAATGCCCTCTGGAATATCAAAACTTTATAGATATATATTTTTAAATGTATGCATTCATTTTAACAGTTCATTGCCCAAAGTCATTGGAACCTGTTTTTTCTAGTCATGTGAACGATTTAAAAATTTGATAAATTTGTATGTATGTATATATTTGTTTCACATTTCTTTTACTACATATAGTATTTTCTTAAGAAATTTGACTATCAAAAATATTTTTTTATTGTATAACAGACACTCTTCTTACAGAAGGGACAGGTAGAAAGACTGAAAAGCTTATGAGGATAGTGCATTTTCTGCCTTAATAGGAGACATCTTTTGGCTTTATGTTCTCAACACTATATTTTTCTCCTCTTCCTCAAAAAAAAAAAAAAAACAGAAATAGGCAAATGATACTTCTTTGCCTTAATTGTTCTATTGTTGATTTATTTATAGGAAGTAAAATGAATTCATAAACCAAAGTGCAACATGGTGATTTAAGTGAGGACTTTGTCATAAATTCTCATTTCTTTGTGTTTTAGGGGTATGTTCGAAAGTTTGTTTTGTAACTGATTTTATATCTCTTGCATAATCAGAATTCTGTAACTGAAATAAATAGACATTAGAATAAAAGGGCTTTTCCATGCTTCTGCTAAAGCACCTCCTGGATGCATGCCAGCAATGAATGGGCCTCACAAATACAGCTGTTTTCTCACTCTTCTGTTGATCAACATAATTCAATTCTATAAATGTTTATGTAGGGAGGCCCTACTATGCACAACTCATGCTGCAAGATGCTCAATAAATAATTGTAAAATAGCAAATAACCGCAATGCAATAGCATAACCTAACATGCTACACAGCATACATGACAATAAGTTCAAAGAGTGGAAAATGGAAACTACTGAGCTTTTCAGCTGACCACAATCAAATCAGAACACATCAAAACAGCTGGTGTTCTGTGACTCAGAATCAATCAACCAGTTTTGCATCACCTCATACTTCTTTATTTCTCTTTACAGTTTCACAGAAGAGATTTAAACCAGCATGTGTCCTTCCCATTTGGTTAAATTTCTGCTTTGAGTTGCTTTGCTTTCACATTCTAATACCAACGAATGAAAATCACTGTAATATAAAAGAAAAAAAATAAAGGCTAACATTAAAATGATTTTTAAAATGATGCCGCTACATTTGTGTAAAATAAACCATATGCTCAAATAAAATGCCCTAGAAGAAAAGTGATATTTTAAAGTAGTGTTATGAAATGAAGATAGTTCTGCATCAGCTGTATTTATGTAATTCACAAATATATCAATGTATATTATAATTTTCTAAGTATATAATTAATATTTTAATTACACAAATTATGATATTTGTATAATCTTGGAAATTTGTATAGTCTTAAGAAAATCAATAGTAGATTAGTCAATGAATGCTAAATATTATTATGTGTTTTGGTTCCTGACACCAGCTCTTCTCTTTGTTCTGATAGGTACTTACTACACCATTCTTTGGCGAAGGCTATTCAGCAGTGGTGACCTCTTCCAATCCAACACTCTACAGATTATTATCTCTGGACTCCCAGCTGACACCCTGCCGGAGGCAAGAGCTACTAAGCCAACTGGAACTGTGCCTTTTCTCTTGTCAAGGTTTTTTTCTTACACAGGAAAAAGAAAGAAAAAAAAAAGATGAAGTTGGGCAAAGTGGAGTTCTGCCATTTTCTGCAGCTAATAGCTCTTTTCCTGTGTTTTTCTGGGATGAGTCAAGCAGAACTCTCAAGGTCCAGATCAAAGCCCTATTTCCAATCAGGGAGGTCCCGGACCAAGCGCAGCTGGGTGTGGAATCAGTTCTTTGTGCTGGAGGAATACATGGGTTCAGACCCCCTCTATGTAGGAAAGGTAGGGTATTGTGACCTTTCAAAGTTGTAAATGATTATTGTCCATGTCTATGGTTTGATGAAAAACTGCTATATATATATAAAATTTATTTTTTGCTATGGGGATGGTAAACACAAGACATCATTTCTATGAAAGAGTTTATGAAGGTTTTTGGCGATAGCCACTGCGAAGTTGCAATCAAGGTATAATATTCATTACAGTGAAACTGTATATTAGGGAATGATGCTTCATTCCTAGAAACAGATGAGGATTCTACAGAGGCCTAGTTTACTCTGGTTGTAACACATTGATAAACTGTCGTTACCAAAGTGGAACAAGACTATTCATAAAAAATGAAGAGTAGTGGGTTCTTACAGCCAGTTGGTTTCAGTTGCTGCTTTTGGGGTATTATTAAAATGATGTCCAGACTAACATTAATACTTAGGTGTCCTTCCCTGATACTTGCAGTGGAAAAACTGCAAAATGAAACTATTGACCCTAATGTTTCTAAATTATGAACAATTTAAACCCACTTTTCTTAGCAGTCTTGTTTTGATAGGGGGGTGTGTGTGTGTGTGTGTGTGTGTGTGTGTGTGTGTGTTAGGTTGCTTTAAACATTTTCCTTTGGATTAAAAATGATCATGGACAGAAGTCAGTTAGAAATGATATTAGACAAGTGATGGGCAGTTCATGGTGCATTTATTGGGTGACCAAGTGTTAGCTGGATGGACATTTTGTTTTTCACAGTTTCTTCTGTCTTAATATTTGAGAAGGAGATTTTCACTGGAGAGCTTCCTGAACCAAAAGGTGCTTCTAGAAAGCATAGCCTTCTCTCTGCCATTTGGCATATCATGTTCTCGGTTCCTAGTCTACTTCCGGTTCAATTTTTTTAATATTTGTAAAGGCCTACTGAATTTCTCAATTTGGTACTGAGTCCTGGTGAAGGTTTTCTAAATAGGGTATATTAGCACAAAATCTGTGCCTCTGTATTTTTACACTTCACTCTGTCAGTTTTATATTTGTCTTCCTGGTAAAATGAAGCATAGCTACCTACTGAATTTATCTATAAATCAGTTTTTCAACTTTAAAAGATAGAGGAATAATCCTGGTGATTTACTGCATGGGTCGTTTTTTCGTTTGATCACACCTTAAGTAAGGGCCAAAATTATGTTTATTGATGAGCATCTACATCAATCAAGGTAATTTGTATTATATTTATTATTTTATTTATGTCTCTATATTTTATAAATACTGACTTTTACTACCTTGTAAACAAAAGGACATTAATAAGTTAAAGGTTTCTAGGGATGTGAATTAGGATTTTTCTTTTTTTGGTCCAGTTACAGCATTTTCCTACCTAAGCTTATGTAAATACAGAGGTGTTTTGTGTACTAATATATTTTTATAGCCATTCTACCAGTAACACCGTCATATTTACTGTACATATATATGCTAAATATCTGTCTCACTCTCTTTTTACTTGTTTTCTTATAAAGAAATTGAGAGGAGTAACCGTAATGATTAGGATTTGATTAGGAAACTAGCTCTTAATTTCATTCATTTTTAATGGACATTTAACAAAGTCATCCAATTTTCTTAAATGGACAGAGCTATAATATTCAAGTAATGTATAAAAGGAAGTAATAGTTATTAAGCAAAATCATATTTTGTGACAATGTAAAATTTTCTAAAAGCAGCAAAACTGTTTCCAAAGTAAATGCCATTTAATTTGGTATTAAATAAAGTTGCTTGGGTGAAGTTGACATTTTAAAAATCTATATAGTTTTAAAATTTAAATGGCCTTCTTTTGAATTTCACAAATTTCCCATAATAATTCAGAATGCTTATTCCATAAAACTCCTATAAGTCAATTTAAAATTATGAAGAGGTGTGTCCCTATGTTACTTAAATTCCATATGCAAACAAAGTTGTTGGGCAAAGGTGTTATTTTTCTAAGAGAAATTGTGTAGTTTCTTGATTAGGTAACAAGAAATATTATGTACCTCTCTTCCAACTAATCAAAGAAGGTCACTTATATTTACATGACAGAAGTTAGTTCGTGTTTATCTTTTGCATGCTGTACATTGGGAGTTCAATATCGCCTTTCATAGTAAATTGTCCAGGATGGAAATGGATTTAATTTTTTAAAAAATTGACTAAAATACAGAAAAAGGGCTGTAACATAATTTGAGATGGAAGGAGAATTTGTACACAAGAGAGACAAATGCAAGGCCTTACAGGAACAATTTTCATATATCCTTGGAAAAAAATGGCAGAGAACTTGATTACTATAGATTTTATATTTGAGATGATGAAATGATTCTTTTTATTAATAATTTGGTGGTCTGAATAAGCAGAGATATAACAATAACTTTGACTTAAGTACGTTTTTTATTACTTGGGTAAATAGACACATTTTCCTTTCCTTTTTTCTTTTTTTTTTTTAGTTTTGGGAGGTGATGTCTGTGCCCAGAAATGTTTGTAGGACAGAAAGAAATAAAAATTATAGAAGAAGATGTGAAGAAATGGCTGGGCAGATAATCATAGAAAGAAAAAAAGAACCTAATTAATCAGTGCTTTTCACAGATGTGTATTCAACCTAGGCCACTTAGATGGTCACATTCTTAGTCATCCTAACACAATCTAGCTATTTGGGTAATTTGGAAAATATAAGTGATGACTTTGATACATTTTGTACCTTAACTTGATCACATAATGGATAACTACCGTATGTGTCAAATTGACATCATTTTTATTTTCTTGCTCTACCACTTTCTACTAGTTGTATAACTTGGGGGCAAATTGCCTAATATCATTAAGTTTTAGTTTTCTAATCTATAAAATAGAAAAATGGTATCTACAATTCAATTCTGTTACTCAATAAATCCGATTAGTCTTTATGACCTACATTCAATTACTCTGGACATTATTATATTTTATATTTCATTACATATTAATTATAAATTAACTTAGTTATGGATCATCTATTTTGTTACATGTGAAATGTTATCTGTGTGATTCCTCAGATGAAAGCCGGTATTATTTTATGTTCTAATAGTGTTTATATTTATTCCAGTTAATTATAGGAATGTCTATTTTGGGGGAGCTTAATAATGCAGCTTTTAGAAATTATTTATATACAATTAAACTATGGCAGAGATATAATTAGTGGGTAAAAAATTCACAGAAATTATATCTGTGAGTCTTTTAAGACTTTCAAATTTCGAGTCCATGTTAATGGCAGGTGACCAGCAAGATCAATTAAATGACTCTTCAGTCAATAAAATTTGATCATTAAGACATTGAAGATAATGAGGCTACAATATGGCTTTCAAGCATATTATTTTAGGTAGTTTACTGAGTTGCTTTTTACATATGATAACCAAAGACCAAAGTAGAACATTCTGTTGAAGGGGACCAGGAGTGCTTCTAGAACCCTTACTCAGGAACCACCCGGGCTCAGACTTCTGGGCTATGCTAGACTCCGATGGTGCAACCTTTATCATTAGCTTCCCATCATTTTCTTGTGAAATAAGTTGATAAATGTATAGACTTAAGGAAGGAGTCCTTGGATGTTACTCTGAGTTCTGTTTTAAAAAATAATAGTGCCCCTTTCCTTACATGTATGTTTTAATTACCATCATGCCTGTTTTCTTGTTTTTATATGGGGAGAAGGAAGGGGGGAGGATCCTTTCTTTTCTCCTTTTCACTTTATATCACCCCTCCCGTGGCTATTCACAGTACATAGGAGGTCCCAGTTTCCACCCATTTCATTGGATCGCACTGCATTTCTTCAGCCCAGTCTGTTAATCACCTTGGCATTACTCACTTAACGTCCTGTAACTGTCTGACGTAAAAAAAAAAAAAAAAAAAAAAAAAAAAAAAAAAAAAGTCTACAAAACCACTCAGCCTCTGTTCCAGGTATTAAGTATTTTTCATCTTTCCTAACCGTAATGGGATGCCAGCCGATCGCTGTGCCCCAGGCCATTACTTTCACTGAAATGTGTGCTTCGTGCCTCTTCCACAGTTGCTTCCCTAGCTGTTAACATCACTCTTTCTTTCTTTTTTTTTTTTTTGGCTACTCCTCTTTCTTCCTTACTCATTCAGGGAAAGTTTATACCTATTACCCCAGTAGAAATCAAATACACAGAAATGCAGTTTGCAGGATTGGCTTTGCTTTAAATTTAAGCTTACTTGGAAGCATTGGTGAGCATTTTCAATGCATTTAATTATACCTCAGCAGTATCTCTCACCAAGAAATTATCTACCTCCTGATATCTAAAGATACATTCAGTGTTCCAAAAAAGGAAGTTTCATATTGAAAATAGGTTGTGTTTATTTTTAAAAACTTGAGTTACAAATTAGATTCCTTAACTGGAAAATTTTATGTTAGATACAGAAAAGGTCAATAATGAATGCCAAGTATGAGCGACAAGAAAGAGCATAGTCATCATAGCAAAATCTACAGTTTATAGATTTTATTGAGAAAAGACAAACAGGAAAAGTGTCCTCTGAAAATGTAGATTGCCTAATGCCAGGTCAACTCTTAGAAGAAAACAAAGACAGTTTATTTTTTCTAGGAATGAGTAGAAACCCCATTTTCATAATAACTTTACAACTAGAGTCAATTTGTAAAGGCATTTGTTCTCTGTCAGTTTGCTGATAGATGTGTGGAATTCCTGGTGATTTCAAAAGGAATTTGGACACGGATCAGCTCTATCAGATGCAAATAAGTTCAGATTTTTAGAAATACTTCTTGGCAGTTATATTCAGCTCTTATAATACTGCAATAAGCAAATACATTGTTATTTTGTTTTTTTCTTACCATTTTGTAAATAACATGTTAGATTGTGCCACTAAAATGCAGAAACCCACCATTTATTCGGCTTAATATGGCTAATTAACTTAAAAAGTCACCTCAGTTCAGAAATGAAGGTTATAATTACCAAAGGCTTTAGCTATACAGCTAAAAGTTGGACAGAGTGGAAGACTCTCAGTTATATGCCTGATTATAGCCAAACTAGGTACTCTAGATTGGGCTCCACATTTCCTGATTGTCTGTGTATGTTGATCAAAATCATTTAAAAATTCTGCCTTTTTAACAATGTTTGTGTTTATGTGCAATCTACTTGCGTCCTATTTTGTGATGAAAACAGCAAACATTTTCAACTGCAGTCTATATGCGTTGTTGTTTTTTTTTTTTATTTTTTGGTTCTTGTTTTGAGATGGAGTCTTGCTTTCTTACCCAGACTGGCACGTAGTGACGCAATCTCAGCTCACTGCAGCCTCCGCCTCCCGGTTCAAGCAATTCTCCTGCCTCAGCCTCCCCAGTATCTGGGACTACAGGCATGTACCACCATACTTGGATGGTTTTTGTATTTTTAGTAGAGACGAGGGTTTCACCATGTAGGCCAGGCTGGTTTCGAACTCCTGACTTCACGTGATCTGCCCGCCTCGGCCTCCCAAAGTGTATATTAGCTGTGTTTTAACATTGTATTTATATTGAGGTTTTAGGTGCAAAGGACAAGATATAAACTGAAACGATGATTGAGTTTTTTTCTCTACAAAGTGCGCTGTAATTGTTTGGACAAGCTTTATGTGCATTGCTCATAGATACAGAGTCACAGGATCTGCAGCCCTCCGTGACTCACCAGGATAAACGACAGAATTAGATAAGCAGCAGGACAGTCACTGAGACTTTGCTGGATTGAGCATATGTAGGCAAGGACTATATTGGGAGAAATTGGGTCCTCATCGTTTTGTATGATTTATATTGATTATATGCCTTAGGCTGATTACCTGAAAGAAACACTAGTTTGTACAAACATGGTTAACATTGTATCCAAGAAAATCTCTTTTGTATGCTGCTAAACCTACCCTCTGTGTTTACTTTCTTCTTTTCTCTCTCCTTTTTTTTTTCAAATATTTATCGCATACTTATACTGTGATTGATAATGTGCTAGATAGAAGCATTAAAAAATAAACTCTTTCATAAAATTCACAGTCTGGTTGATAAGCCAAGCAGGTAATCCCATGGCAGTGGAAAGCAGTAAATTCCAAAACTAACCAACAGCTGTGGAGGTGGTTCCCACAGAGGAAGAACTCACAGATCCAAGAACAAACGCTTGCATGAGGACACCTGGTGCACCTCTGTGATTTTGTATCTTTTTAATACAATCTTCAAATCAAAGCAAAAGCAAATTATCTTCTTAGAAAACAGGGCAGAGTTTTCTAAAACTATACTGAGAGAAGCTTTATATAGTAGAAAGATCAGTAAGCAGAAACTCCAGGTTAAAGTAGCAATTTTCTTGTTATTTTAAACACAGCCCTGAAACAATAAATTTTGATTTTCTCATCTGTAAAATGTGATCAAATTGGTAAAGTTTTAAACTTTTTTATTTTGAACTAATTTCAAACTTATAAATAAGTTGCAAAGTGCTATTCTCTAATCCAGCTTTTGCAAATAGTAATATCTTACGTGACTACAGCAATTATTTAAGCTAGGAAATTAACATTGGTACAATACTATTTACTGATTAACAGCATATATTCAAAATTTGCCAGTTGTTCTAATAAAATATTAAATACTTGTTTCTGGCAGGAACCAGTTCAATATCACACCTTTCATCTGTCCTGTTTCCTTATATTTTCCAGTCTGGGATAGTTCCTTAGTCTTTCGTTGTCATTCTTGACCCATAATTGGGTAGAACATTTTATAATATGGGCCTGTCTCATGTTTCTTCTTAATGCATATGTTTCAGGGAATGTATTTTTGGCAAGTATAAGACAGAAGTGATGCTTTTCCCTTCTCACTGTATCACGTCAGAAGATAGAGGATGTTGACGTGACTCATTCATAATGATGTTGAATTTGATCCCTTGGTTAAGGTGGTGTCTGCCAGGTTCCTTCACGGAATGAACATTATCTGAAAGCTCTAAAATCTTGAAAGAGATATAAAATAACCTAAACTCTCATTACAGATGGGAATAAATACTACTGCTGGTTTGAGGGAGGTGCAAGGGTTGATTCAGTACAATCTGTTGTCCATGTTTAGAATCAGGAGTGTGAGCCAGATTTAAATCTATAAGACAGTTAGGTAATGTTCATAATTTTATGCAGCAATTGACTGTTTCTCAAAAATACATCAATTTAAGATGTCAAAGGGCAATTGATTTTGCTTATTATTTTTTTTCTGAACCATGCAATAGTATTCTTTATAGTCCAAAATTGCAAGAAAGTTTCACTAATATAGAGGTTAAAATAAGAGCTTTCTCCCCACATTGCCTACAAAATCTAAATAATTGTTTTGCATTGTGAGGTTGGGCCCCAAATACTTAGCCATCATAATTACAAATGAAACATTGTTTTGGAATAATAAACACTTAGAATCCTATAAGTTAAAGAACTAACACAAGACATTACAATCTGATGTATTACATGTTAATGTATTTACAGGGTTGAAATCTAAACAACTCATGGAATTACATTCAATGTTGAAATAAATTAGTAATGGCAGTTTCTTCTAATTATTCTTGTTTAAAACTTATATTCCTGTTGCCTAGTCAGTACTTATTAAATCTTTGGAAAGCCTTGTGAATTAGAAAGGTGATGTTCTTATGTTAGAGTTCAAGTAATATATATGTTTGGTAATAAAATAAGTAGAATAATGGAACAGCATTAGAATTATAATTGAGAAGAGCTAGAAGGCATATCAGAAGTCTACATTGAATAATTATCATTTTTTCAAATCTTAAAATTTTAGAAGAGTTAGAACTAAAATGAATACTACTTTGTCATAATACCAACCAATCATATTTTGAAGATAGATATAATTTCAGTATGTATTTGTCTGTTCTGGTTTCCATAACAAAATATCAGATTAGATAACTTAAACAATAGAAATTTCTTTCTCATCGTTCTGGCTGAGAAGTCCACAAAGTGCCAGCAAAGTCAGTTTCTGGTGAGTGCTCTTGGCTTGAGGACAGCACAGCCTTCTCCATGTCCTCACATGGCAGAAGAGAAAAATTTCTTACTCTTTTAATGAGGCTATCAGTATTATGGGATTCAGGTCCCAACCATATAATATCATTTAACCTTAGTTTACTTGCAAAAGACATACCTACAAATCAGTCACATTGGGAGTTAGGGTTTCAGTTTATGAATTCTGAAAGGGGGAGGGTCACGACTCAGTTCATAGCAAATACCTAAATTCATTATAATTCATAAGAAATGAACGAATAACAAGTAATTGTTGACAATAATAATGTAATCTATAGTTTAGTTTTAACAAGTAGAAGTTTACATAGCAATTTCAAAAATGTATTAGAGCCGTAAACAGTGGCTCACGCATGTAATCCCAGCATTTTGAGAGGCTGAGATGTGTGGATCTCTTGAAATCAGGAGTTTGAGACCAGCCTGGCCAACATGGTGAAACCCCATCTCTACTAAAAAAATAAAAATAAAATAAAAATAAAAAACAAACAAACAAAAAATTAGCCGGACGTCATTGCATGTGCCTGTTGTAATCCCAGCTACTTGAGAGGCTGAGGAAGAAGAATCACTTGAGCCCGAGAGATGGAGGCTGCAGTGAGCCAAGATCATGCCACTGCACTCCAGCCTGGTCTAGAAAGTGAGACTCTGCCTCAAAAGAAAAAAAAAAACAGTATTAGAAAAATAGTTTAACTGAAGGTTTAGAAATTTTACCCACGTTTGCTTCAATCAGCTGTAGTTCTCAGGCCAAGAGCCTGAGAATTACCTTCTGTCCTTTTGCCATGCAAACGAAAAAAAAGAGAGAGCCAAATGACATTGGGGGAAAACAAACCAGTATGGGGAGGCCATCTCCATTTCTAGTTAGGCTAGAATCTTTGTCTTTTTTAAGATAAATGCGGAAGAGTAATTTCTCAAGATGGGGCTGTGTTATAGGAATGGTAATTAAAGCACCAGAACCAAAATGATTAACATCATTCTAGCAAGTTGTGTGTGTAAACAGTGCAGAATTATCTGATAAGAATGCTTCCCTTAGAATGTTTGCTTATCTCCTTCGTTAAAATGCTGACATGTTTTAAGGTATTTAACTGAAAACACACAATCAAAATTTGGACAACACATACATAATGTTCAACAGATGTGAGTTTGAAAGATTTGTGATGATCACCAGTGAAATTAGTCAAACCATGCTTAAATTAGATTTTTCTGATTTGTGAGTCATTTAAGGGTCCATATTGGAGTGGAATGTGTATGGAGAAGAAAAGATTACACATTCCGCACTTGATTCTTTGAAATGAAGAAGAAATAAGATAAAAATCGGCATTTTCTTTCCCATAAAATATCTGAGAAACTCAGTTCTGTATTTCTCATCTACTCTATCCCTGACGCAGTTTACATAAATTTCTCAACTGAATCGTAAGAGCTGAATTTAGGTGGTTAACTGATATGTTTTGCTTAATCTGGAGAAGCAGATACTGGGGAGTTCTAGTCATTGCGATTTGATTTAATTATACCTAAGAACATGTAGCCATCAACAGTTAAAAATGATTACCAAAGAAATAGATGAAAATTATCACATTTGTAAAGCTAAAGTCATACATAAGGCTTATAATGAAACATAGAGTCTGTAATATGGTATAAAATAAAAGGAACTGCACTATAGGACATAGACACAACCTTAGAACAGTGATTTTTACAAGTTTAATATCTAATGAGGTACAGTTTAAAGCTTGCTATTAAAATTAAAAACACAAGCTTTATTACAAAGGCTAAGTTATCTTCTAGACTGATGATGGAAAATACATACGAGTGAGTGTGGATTCAGGGTTAGGGTCAGAGGAGGAAGCGCATTCTGTTTACGATCCAATTAAGATTTCACAGTGGATATTTGTGACCAAAACAATATTCGAATGATTAACATCTTATAATATATGTATATTTTTCTCAGTGCTGCTCTCTTCACACTGTCTATGGCTTCCAATTTATGTTTAATTTCTCTGTTAACTCTGGGTACATCGATAAAGTCCAGTTTTTCAGTTTTTTACTTCACTTTTAACTTTGTGCTCAACCAGAGCTAAGGCATGTGTGTAAGGAGTAGAAAGTTTAAGGAGGAAGAAGTTTAAGCTACCTCAGAGGTTCAACAGTCATACAACAGCTCTTTTTATTATTTTTCCAAGCATCATCTTGGAATTCACCAAAAAGTATAAATTGTATAATTTTGGTCCTAAAAGACACATAAATCACAGGTAATG
The DNA here is from genome assembly GCF_000001405.40 of Homo sapiens. Taxonomy (NCBI): domain Eukaryota; kingdom Metazoa; phylum Chordata; class Mammalia; order Primates; family Hominidae; genus Homo; species Homo sapiens. Next base: position 65,773,270 of record NC_000018.10, read on the forward strand.
ATTTTATCAAATTATATAAATGCCTTAAACTTGAATATAAATATTATATGAATATCACATATTTTCACTAAAAAGAAAGAATATATTGTTCTTATTATTGTATTTTAATATTAGAGTGTCTTGGGCTTTGAAACTCATTTACTTTAGGTTCCTGAATACAGAAATTCTTTGTACAAATCCCTGATGAGTGATCAGGTAGCCTGAGGTCCATCTCTTAGTGGAAGCAGGAATTGTCTTGAAAATACACATTTCAGAGTCACATGATTTGGGTTTGCATACTGGCTCCCTAACTTACAGATGATGCGACTTCAAGCAAACAGCCTATTTCCTCATTTTTTTCATTTATAAAATAGGAACAACAATACTAACCTCACAAGGCTGTTGTACACATAAAAAGAAATACAAATGCACATGAAAGCCTGAAATATGGTATGAAAATGTATTTTTAAAAGTTAGTGAGCTTAATGAGGAAAGGGATTGTGTCCAATCCAAGCGTAATATCTGTATGTTCTCAGTGGATGGTTACTGCATGTATGGGACGCTTATGAAACCATGAGCATTGCTGTGAGAGGATTTTGAGTTTTAGGATGACACTTATTTCTAGGAGGTGAAATTACATTTGGCTATTCAAATATTTGAAGGCAGCATTTTTACACCCCCACACTAATTTTAAATGAACACTTAAAAAAAATGAAATAATTATTGCTCCCAAGCATTTTGTATGACATGACTTCTCAAACTGTCCTTATACTTAGCTGGGCTTGCTTTTCAGCATCCTAAAATATGAAGGTCAGCATTGAACCTCAATAATCTGTGATAATTCATAAGTCAATTCAAAAAATAAAAATCAAGATTTTTATTTCTGTTGATATTGGCATAAATTCTATCCCTCTATTAATACAAGCCATGATCTTATTATTATTATTATTACTGTTATTAATATTATGATCATCTCTTGAGGAAAACAATCTAAGAAAAAATAGGATTTGAGACTCAATATATATGATTAGAAATAACTAGTGAATACCTTGAAGGAAGCTATAATAAAATTAAACATTTTTATGCCAAAATGTCTCTCTTCAAAAATTATTTTTCTTAAAAAATGTTAAATGAGAAACCCAATATCTCTTCTTTCATAGCAAATTCCATTATTTGCTTTTGCTTACCCTTCCCTTCAGATCTTCCACATTCTTATTTGGTTTTACAAATTAAAACGACCTTTTTCAAATGCTCTCTCCTCCAAGCACAATGATAGCCTATTGCAGTGGTAATACATTGCACAGCTGTGGGGGCCTGACACTTCATTTTCCATATGGTACTGAATCTGTTGTACCTGAGTCAGCACGATTTCCTCGGGGCCGTCATTGGGAGTGTCTACAGCTACTCTCATATCTCAGATAATGTTGAGAGCCCTGGGTTCCAGGATAGTCTAGTCCAGTGGAAAGATGTGGGGCCTGGGAGAAAGAGAGGTCTGGATTTGAATGATGGTTATACCCCCCTGATGATGCAGGATCATGAATATCACCATCTCTCTAATTCCCTTGATGGTCCTGGCTTTATTTTAAAATCTTCCATAAAGCAAGCTGAAGGAAATAAATAATAGCAAAAGAGGCGGGGAAGGGAGAAAAGAGCTAGGTTGTTTGTGGGTATCTGGAATGTTCAATGTATGATCCATCCTTCTCTCTCAAAGCGAAGATAGTAAGAAGATTTCAGTTTGTTTCCTGATAAGTAAAGTATTGAAGATCCAGACAGGAAATGAGTGTTGAACCCAGAAAGTAAGGATTTTAGAAAAGTAAGATGGAAAGATGGAAGCTTTTTGTTTTGTTTTCTCATAGAGAATTAGAAGTTATACAGCAATTCCTATGTTGTATGATTGTCTTTGGCTATGTTACCTAACACAGATGGCATAGATAATAATGAATTATGATTATGCCAGTGCATAGAGAGGAAGTTTAGCCTAGTAGTTTTCACTGTGGTGCTGGGTGTGGAAGATATGACTGTGAGTCTCAGCATTGCTATTAACTTTGAAATGGCTCAGCTTTTCTCCGCTTAATTTCTGTAAAATGGGTTTAACAATAGGTCTCATGTAATACAATTGTTATCAAGACTAAATAAGTTAATATATGTAAAGAACTTCTTGTTTTATATACAGCAAACATTCATTAAGTATTAGTTGTTAATAATAGTGGTACATATTTTTATTTTGCATTCAATTGCTACTTTCTATAACTGGCCTAATTCAGGTGTTTTATTTTCAAGCATATTTTTAAAACAACCTAAAGGATAAGGCAGGGATGTCCAATCTTTTGTCTTCCTTGGACCACGTTGAAAGAAGAAGAATTGTCTTGGACCAAACATAAAATACAGTAACACTAATGATAGCTGATGAACTAAAGAAAAAAAATACACAGTGTTTTAAGAAAGTTTATTCATTTGTGCTGGGCTGCATTCAGAGCCATCCTGGGCTGCATGTAGCCTGTGGGCCTTGAGTTGGACAAGTATGGTCTAAGGAAAAAACAAGGAAGAACTCAAGCAAGAGTTATCACATTGGCCACTTGGTGACAACAGCCAAGTCCTTTAAATTACCTTTCCTTGTTCTCTCGTCTATCAAAAAGGGACTGTTATGCCAGGTATCCCTCCTCCTCAAAGTTGGAGTCAGCTTTGAATCAGATAACTCCTGCTAAAATGCTTTGAAATATAGAAAGTATTAAATGTTAAATAAGAGTTATTTCTGATGGAAAGAGCAGATGTTAGTTATATTTATAAATTATTAGAGTAAGAACAGAACTGGCAACACATACATCCCTTTTGGTAACTGTTTTTGAGTAATACTTGGGAAATATCTTTTGGCAATTATTGAAGAGTGATACATGTTATTTTATACTTTATTTTATTTTTGTTTAGAGATGGAATCTTGCCATTACCTGGGACCACAGGTGCACCCCACTGTGCCCAGCAAATAATATTTTATATATACCAGAAACACTTCCAGGATTTGGCTGCTGTTTTAATAGTTTACATATTCAGAATCAAATCAGAATTAAAATTACATGGGACAGCTTTTCAAATCACACATTTGAAGAAAGTACAGAACACACACACACACACACACACACACACACACACACACACAGAGAGAGAGAGAGGGAAGAGAGAGAAAGAGAGAGGGAGAGAGGATTGTTCTATTCTCAAATACTTTTCAAATCCTGAAAGCTAATGAAATCCTTGAGAGTTTCCCAGGAGGCAAGAGATTCTAGTGTCATTAGGATTCTACTGAAGAAAAGTGATGCTTAATGGAACTAGATAAATGAGATTGCTTGTTAATCTCTCAGTTAATTTTCTCTCACTCTCTCTCCTTCTTTCTCTCTCTTTTTCTTGACCATGCCTTAGGTCAGAACTTCATTGAATCATCGAATTCATTGAAGTTTGGCTCCAACCTATCATATCGCCGAGGTTTACCAATCCTATACTTCATAAAGTTCTAAATTCAGAATGTGAGGTTGACAAATTCATTTCAGTTCCACAAGTGGTAGCATTTAAATATCAGCAGCTTAAGTATTCAAAATTAATAGATTGCATTTTTAGAATGGTGAAATTCTGACAGTTTGCAGGGAAAAGGTGCTGAATATCTTGATATAATTTACATACTTCTATAAACAGGCATTTTTATACCTTTGGAAAGATAAATGAGTAGAAACCAAGTATTTTACAATTCTAATAGTTTTACTGACATGTAGAGGGAGGGGCATAGACTGTCCAAAAGGGGAACTATTGCCAGGCTTTTAGGAGCTGCCGTTGCTAACAAATCAGTTTGGGTAGGCAGGTGTTCTAGAAAAACCAGAAGAAAAATGAAGATCAGAGATGATTTTTCTCTTCTTTTCACAAATTAAATAAAATGAAAGACCTGATGCTGAAAGTAATTATCCACAGGGGCTTCCTGCAGTGTAATTCTGCAATATAAAGCTGAAGGAAATGTGAAGACGAGTATTTCTTCATAAACAAAAATAATTATGTTGGTTGACTATATCCAGATGAAAAGTACATGAGTTTTAGGGCAAACTCTCTACATTTGAGTATGCAAATACTCAAAGTTTCTTGATAAAATGCATGTTAAACGTACCAAAAGCTCCAGAGTCTCCAAAAGGAGATTTATTATATGATCTCCGCAGTGGGACTAGCCTACAGGTGAAAAGTAAAACTCTCCAAACGCGAAGCAAATTTATCCACTCAAATGGATATATTTATGTTTTATCCATCCAAGCAGAAGCATCTGGTTAAGTGGAAAGCATACTTGTATTTGCATGACAAATTCATCACTGCATAGGGTAACATGCTTCCTCCTTACTCCCTGCCATTTATGAAATGAAAAGTCTAGTAGGAATGCATGCTCTCCTCCCACCCACCACCAGAGTATAATTACTACTCACCAAATTATAACTATTATGTAATTTTTAAATTTTAAAGAGTATATAAGAATATGGCCATTACAAGTGCCACCTTTGTTGGTTTGTTGCAGTGTCTCCTTAGAAAAGCTAAATTCTAGATTCACATTTGTCAGAGCTTGATTGTATCTCTTTGAGAAGTGTTATCAGCCATTTAGCAATTTTGGTCTGTATTTTTCAGGGGCTAAATGAGTTTTCCTTTATATTTTATGCTGATCTACAAGAAAATGCTAAGGATACCTGTGTCTATCATTACTATTTTTATTTAGAACTAGTGCCAGCCGGGCGTGGTGGCTCACGCCTATAATCCCAGCACTTTGGAAAGCCGAGGCGGGTGGATCATGAGGTTCAGGAGTTTGAGACCAGCCTGGCCAATATGGTGAAACCCCCTCTCTACTAAAAATACAAAAATTAGCTGGGCGTGGTGACACGCACCTGTAATCCCAGCTACTCAGGAGGCTGAGGCAGGAGAATCCCTTGAACCCAGGAGGGAGAGGTTGCAGTGAGCCGAGATCATGCTACTGCACTCCAGCATGGGTGACAGCATGAGACTCTGTCTCAAAAAAAAAAAAAAAAAAAAAAAAAAAAAACCTAGTGCCATGCTGACTCAAAAGCATGTAACCCTGAATTCCTACAGAATTGTAGAACATGATGGGCTAAATTACAAAACCAAACCAGGAAAAACTGCACAGAGGAAACTGGTTTCTTTTTATTCCCAGGATATCCACCATCCTTCAATTCTCCTCTTCTGCAATCAGCACTTAAAGGACTCTGAGAGTGAGCACCTTTTAAAATTTTTTGCCCCAGGCGTCTCACTCTTTTTTTTTTTTTTTTTTTTACATAAAAATGGTTTAATAAGTTTTGGAAAATTCAAATGAATATTAGATATACAAAGGGTAATTTTATCATATTAAGAAAAATGGATAATGAAAGTTTGCATATAGAGTTTATTTTCTTTTTTTTTGTTTGTTTTTCAATGAGACGTCAACAGTTTATTTCATAATAAATAAATACACTTTGATTGAACTAAAGATTCAGGGTCTTTAAAAGCTGTCAGGCATAATTGAATGGTTTTCTGAAATTTTACAGTAATGTTCATAGCAGCACGTCCCCACAAAACACACTCATTTAATGTTTCTGGTTCAACTAATGGTTTTTATTTCACATTTGGCATCTTTTTCTTCTACAAACTAATAGATTCTCCAGAAACTATTCACCTGAGATTTCTTTTTCTACCATGCCTGTCCTTTGCAGGATTGTTTGAATTTTCAAGAGAATTTGAAACACTTAGTCTCTAGACAGTTTCTTTCAATGTAGCCCTTTGCTCTTCAGACATATGTGACAGGAGTCAAATCACTGTTTGTTTGTTTGTTTTTTTTAATGGAAAAAATGAGTTTATTTTTTAGTAAATTTTGTAGATGCAAAGGACATATCTGGTGGCAACTGGAATCACAGAATGAGCATTCAGAAGCCACAACAGAAAATGTAGATTTAGAAATCTTTCATACAGAATTGGAAGCTGGAGCCATAAGAATAGAAAACATTCTTTTTTTTTTTTTTTTTTCAGTCATTATTTGTACAGCTGTGTGAATTTTTTTTTTTTTATTATACTCTAAGTTTTAGGGTACATGTGCACATTGTGCAGGTTAGTTACATATGTATACATGTGCCATGCTGGTGCGCTGCACCCACTAATGTGTCATCTAGCATTAGGTATATCTCCCAATGCTATCCCTCCCCCCTCCCCCGACCCCACCACAGTCCCCAGAGTGTGATATTCCCCTTCCTGTGTCCATGTGATCTCATTGTTCAATTCCCACCTATGAGTGAGAATATGCGGTGTTTGGTTTTTTGTTCTTGCGATAGTTTACTGAGAATGATGGTTTCCAATTTCATCCATGTCCCTACAAAGGATATGAACTCATCATTTTTTATGGCTGCATAGTATTCCATGGTGTATATGTGCCACATTTTCTTAATCCAGTCTATCATTGTTGGACATTTGGGTTGGTTCCAAGTCTTTGCTATTGTGAATAGTGCCGCAATAAACATACGTGTGCATGTGTCTTTATAGCAGCATGATTTATAGTCATTTGGGTATATACCCAGTAATGGGTTGGCTGGGTCAAATGGTATTTCTAGTTCTAGATCCCTGAGGAATCGCCACACTGACTTCCACAATGGTTGAACTAGTTTACAGTCCCACCAACAGTGTAAAAGTGTTCCTATTTCTCCACATCCTCTCCAGCACCTGTTGTTTCCTGACTTTTTAATGATTGCCATTCTAACTGGTGTGAGATTATATCTCATAGTGGTTTTGATTTGCATCTCTCTGATGGCCAGTGATGATGAGCATTTCTTCATGTGTTTTTTGGCTGCATAAATGTCTTCTTTTGAGAAGTGTCTGTTCATGTCCTTCGCCCACTTTTTGATGGGGTTGTTTGTTTTTTTCTTGTAAATTTGTTTGAGTTCATTGTAGATTCTGGATATTAGCCCTTTGTCAGATGAGTAGGTTGCTAAAATTTTCTCCCATTCTGTAGGTTGCCTGTTCACTCTGATGGTAGTTTCTTTTGCTGTGCAGAAGCTCTTTAGTTTAATTAGATCCCATTTGTCAATTTTGGCTTTTGTTGCCATTGCTTTTGGTGTTTTGGACATGAAGTCCTTGCCCACGCCTATGTCCTGAATGGTAATGCCTAGGTTTTCTTCTGGGGTTTTTATGGTTTTAGGTCTAATGTTTAAATCTTTAATCCATCTTGAATTGATTTTTGTATAAGGTGTAAGGAAGGGATCCAGTTTCAGCTTTCTACATATGGCTAGCCAGTTTTCCCAGCACCATTTATTAAATAGGGAATCCTTTCCCCATTGCTTGTTTTTCTCAGGTTTGTCAAAGATCAGATAGTTGTAGATATGCGGCATTATTTCTCAGGGCTCTGTTCTGTTCCATTGATCTATATCTCTGTTTTGGTACCAGTACCATGCTGTTTTGGTTACTGTAGCCTTGTAGTGTAGTTTGAAGTCAGGTAGTGTGATGCCTCCAGCTTTGTTCTTTTGGCTTAGGATTGACTTGGCAATGCGGGCTCTTTTTTGGTTCCATATGACACTCTCAGGGAAAAACAAGGGTAGGGTTGGCAGTTGCCCACTGCAGAGATAGAATTCCTCCTTCAGTTTTGCACCCTTAACTGCCTTGTTTGCCTCTCTCTATTCCTGTTTTTTTTTTTTTTTTTTTCGGAGAAAATAGGAGGATTTTTCTGTCCAAATCTCTGATGCTCATTTATTTGCACTAGCTATGGTCCCATCTTCACTTGAGTCGCATATGTTCTTCATCAATACTCTTCGGAAGTCAATGCAGCTATAAAACACAAATAAGAATCTTCCCAAGATGGTGTTGGAATAGGAAGAATTGCATCTCTTTCAGTGTTTTAGGAGAAACATCTGGCAGAACTTAAATTCGATTCTGTCTCATAGCTACATCATTGCCAGTTTATCAGAGAACTGACACTGAATCCTCAGATTCGAGAGTGGTGCTTACTGCCCTTTTACATAGATTAGCCTCATTTTACTTTTCTTTGTATATATTTCAAATATATTTAATTTTATGTCAACCACATTTGGCAGGCAGTAAAACATGATTGGGAAAAGCAGCATTAATTTAAATAAGGAATCAGGTTAACATTCAAATTTTATGTTTTAAATAGCATGAAATAATCTGACCATACATATAAATTACATACAAATATATGCAAGCATACATAACCTAACTATTTTTACACAGAATATTTTGTATACTTGAATGTGGCTTTTTTGGTACAAGTTTGGAATTATTTCACATTTTAGACATTTTAAAAGGCTACATTGTTGGAGAGAAGGAAATACAAAACATAATACATGTAATTCAAATCCTTTTTCTTACCTTTTCCACTTTTTTCATTCTATTCCTTTTTTAAAATCATTCTGTCACATCTTAATAGCTGTCTGACTGATACTTAAGAGGAGAACTACAAATAGAGCAAACAACCTTTCTAGCTACCCTATTGGTTGATTTCTTTCTTTCTTTCTTTCCTTCCTTCCTTCCTTCCTTCCTTCCTTCCTTCCTTCCTTCCTTCCTTCCTTCTTTCTTTCTTTCTTTCTTTCTTTCTTTCTTTCTTTCTTTCTTTCTCTCTCTCTCTCTGTCTCTCTCTCTCTTTCTCTCTATCTTTCTCTCTTTCTCTCTTTCTCTCTCTCTCTCTCTCTCTCTTTCTCTCTTTCTCTCTTTCTCTCTCTCTCTCTCTCTCTCTCTTTCTCTCTTTCTCTCTTTCTCTCTTTCTCTCTCTCTTTCTCCCTTCCTTCCTTCCTTCCTTCCTTCCTTCCTTCCTTTCTTTCTTTCTTTCTTTCCTTCCTTCCTTCCTTCCTTCCTTCCTTCTTTCTTTCTTTCTTTCTTTCTTTCTTTCTTTCTTTCTTTCTTTCTTTCTTTCTTCCTTTCTTTCTTTCTTTCTTTCTTGACAGAGTCTCACTCCGTTGCCCAGGCTGTAGCAGTGGCACCGTCTAGGCTCACTGCAACCTCCACCTCCCAGGTTCAAGCAATTCTGCCACTTCAGCCTCCTGAATAGCTGGGATTACAGGCATGCGCCACCACACCTGACAAATTTTTGTATTTTTAGTAGAGACGGGGTTTTGCCAAGCTGGTCTTGAACTCCTAACTTCAAGTGATCCACCTGCCTCGGCCTCCCAAAGTGCTGGGATTACAGGCATGAGGCACCTCACTCAGCCGGATTTCTATTTGTAGATAGAAGTGGAATGTGGGGTTTACAAGTATATTAAAATAGAGCAAAATTTTCTTTTGGATGGGTGATAATTCATGTACAGTTGACTCTCATCTATGATAGTTATTTCTATGCAGACACCATGAACACTGAATTGGTGCATAGGGAACCATTGCTCTTAGGGGAAATACAAGATTAGATTCTTGTGAGACTATGGTCCCAACGTTTTCATGAACTGATCAACTCTTAACTGTGCCTTATGTGTGTTTCTGTGTAATTTAATACATTATTTAATATATACTATTGATTCATTAACATTAAACTCACAGACAACACACTATAACTAATGCCTGGAAAAGCTCATTTAACATACATGTTTCTTCCCTAAGGCACATCACAGCCTTTTTGTGCCTAGGAACACTGGACAGCATTTCAGTGCTATATCTGGGCGTCATTTTAAACAGCAAAACCACAAACAGAAAGTACAAAATAGGAAAAATGTGTCACAAAACAGACTGCAAAAAGGATAACTGTTTACAACATGGAAGCAGAATGAGGATAGATAGGGGTGTTGCTTTCTTCAACCTTAGTTGGGAATGTGTGAATCAGAACACTCAGATGTTATGCTGCTCTGTGTATGTTCAAGAATGACCACAGATAAATACATTTTATTGAGTAGATGAATTGCCAAACACAAATTCCTACAATAATAAATATCAACTCTATCTATTCAGGAAAGAGTAAGCATTTGGACCACAGTGCATGAAAACTTCAACATTCTGTTATTAGATAATGAATCCAACCAAATGAACAATCCAGAGAAAAGAAAATTGACAATAATAAAAGGTAAATTAACAGAAAGATAATTATAAGCAAGAATAGTAATAGTTGACCATTCTGAAAAGCTTATAACATCACTCATCATCCAGCATCCTTTCTGAAAACAAAGGATTTTTAAATCACTTTATGCACATATGCAACATAGGAGGTTGGCAAAATAATGCACTATTTCTTAACAGCCATGTCTCTTGTAGAACTTCAAGTTAATCTACAAATGACCATTGTGTCTTAACTTTAGATTATGAATACCACATTAGTCAGGTATTTGCACTAACCCTTAATAGTATATACAGTTTCTATGGAAAATTCAGTGGTCCAAAAATTTCCGTAGAATTTGAGAGGACGTTGGTGGGCTGAAGATAGCTCCTTGAGGGTCACTGATGTAGGCTGCAATGGGGGTTCACAAGTGCCTGACACCGTATTTTATTAGTCTAACCTTTTTCATGAAAATCCTGACTACAGCTATTTAAGGAGTAGTCTTAATAGCTGAAAATGAAGATAGAGAAAGACACCAAGAATATGACACAGTTTACATTCTAGTGAGGGACACAACAAAATCAAATTTAAAAAAGAGTGTAATAGATGCTGATAAATACTGTAGATAAAGCACATAAGAAAATAGAAATAAAGGCTGTCAATGGAGAAGTCATGATTTTTATTTTATTTATTTATTTATTTATTTGAGACAGAGTCAGGCTCTGTGCAGGCTGGAGTGCAATGGTGTGATCTCGGCTCACAACAACTTCCACCTTCCTGGCTCTAGGGATGCTCCCTCCTCAGCTGCTTGAGTAGCTGGGAACACAGGCATTACCACCCACAGCTATTTTTTTTTTTTTTTTTTTGTAGAGATTGGGTTTTGCCAAGTTGCCCAGTTTGCTCTCAAATCTCTAGGCTCAATCACCCATCTCAGCTTCCCAAAGTGCTGAGATTACAGGCATGAGCCACTGTGCTTAGCTGAAAAGTTGTAATTTTTAAAAGGGTGGTCAGCTTCACCTGAAGTGATATTTTTACAAAGCCCAGAGAGAAATGCAGGAATGAACAAAGTGGACACCTGGGGAAAGTGAATTTCAGGCATTGGAAACAGCAAGAGCACAGACTCTGAAGCAGGAGTGGCCTACTATGCTTGAGGAAGTAGAAAAGGCCAGCGTGGCTAGTTTGGAGTAAGTAGCGTATAAGAAAGGAGAATCAGCTTCTCACAAAGTTGGTGAATTATCTGACCCACCATATAATTCCAGTGGGTGAAGTGCTCTTTGCCATATTGGTGTTGGACTGCAGTTAAAATATACCATTAGGAGAAAAAGTCCTAGAACATCCCTCTTTATGTCTACTGTAGAAATACTGGCCTTAATCTTGTTAATTTCATTCCACAGTATTCTTTTTATGAATTCCTTGAGAAAAGTCATTAAGTGGTCCTTATATCAGGAATCATTCCACTTCATCTCCGTGTTGAATCCTTAAATCGCTAAGCTTTTGATTTTTGCCACAATTCTCGGAACTTGATTTGTGACCTAACAAATATGTCGAGAAGTTCTGCGTAGCATGTTTTCATTCCCTCCTATTACGAATTCTTTTCTGTGTCTCCACATTTTTTACCCTTGTTCATTTATGTGTTACATTATACTTGGAGTCCTTGTAAGCCATTAAAACTCCCTTCCAGAGGAAGATGTTTATAATAGGCAGATGAATAAATAAATAATAATCAGGAAATTGAACTTTTGTTCTTTTATGGTATCTGTGGCAACTGCAGTTCAATTAATGACTTTTGGATTGATTTTTAGTTAACTAGAAGTTTGGTTAACTTATTGCGACAATCCACTTGCAAAGCCGTACATTTAAATTACAATTTGGCTGAATCCAGTATGTTGTATCTGACAAGTTTTATGAAACTGATTATTAGAGAACCATGACTTGTCTAAAACAAGCATATTTGTCATATAATATATGTCATATATATATATATTATTAGGCGATTCTCAAATAATGGGAACAAATATGACATATAGTGTTCTGTAGAGATAGCATGAAAATGGTATCATTTTATTAGAATATGATGACAGTGTTGTAGATAAGGTTATGTACAACATTAAATACAATTTAGTAAAAATATGTCTGGTTAAAGTTGTAGCATGGAATTAATTGAGTCATTTTTGAGGCAAATACTGGTCATTTAAGAATCACATTCTTTAGCGTAGAGCTTTTATTAGTAGAAGGTACATTAACAATAAATTCTTAGCCTGCATTCTAAGACAGCTCTGCCCAATGCAGTAGATATTACTTATATAGGAGAAAACCTCTAAAATCTTTGAAAAAAAAGAAAAAAAAACTAAGTGACAAAACAATGAAAAAATATCTAATGGAGTTTAGGGAAACTTAATATATAATATTTTCCTAATGACATTAGTTTTGAGTTCATTGTATACATTATGGAGGGAGTATTAATTTTATTCTGATTTTGATATTGCCAAATAAAAAGCATGAAAATTATGATTGCAAAATTCTTTCCTTTAGAAGAGTTCCTTTCTCCTTAAGAAAGTAACACAAAAATTAAAACAAAATTAAACTTTTCAACATAAGAAATATAATTTGTAAAAGTACATATAGCAGTAGAATATGTTAACCAGCATATTATACTAGGATACTGGATATTCAGTTTAAAACACATTATAAATACATGTGGTGTTGATTGCACCTGCGTGTTTCCCGTACATTAGCATGCAGCTTTTGGTTCCCTAGGCCCCAAGATATTACCCGGAATAAATAAATGGTAGTGATTGATCTGAGCTAGAGCTGCCCATTAATATGGTTGTAACATGAATGGATAACAATGAAATTTTTACCGTATTATTTAACATATTTTCAAGCTTCTGTCTGTAGACTGAATGTACCTGATTATATCAGGGAGATCAATGAGAAAGTACTTTTTTTTTCAAGCTAAGTTTGATTTCATTGACAAATGACATTAGAAGCATACCTAACATTTAAAGTAATAACCAAGGGTAGATATGAGTTTTGTGGGGTCTCAGGCTGACATAAAATATATGGATTTTAAAGCTTCAAATAACATAAAAATTTATTTTGGACATTTTACAAAATTATCATTACATTCCTAAGCCCACAACCGCCCCCCCAGTTCTTGGACTTTAGAATGACCTATGCAAGTGTGAGGCTCTAAATCTTAGCCTGCATTAGCTTCAGAGTAAATCTACCTCTGCATAGCAAACCATAAATCAGTACTGATAATGTTTAATTGAATATATTAATATAATGTCTGTGATGGGATTCAGCCCTTGTTTAAAATGATGTTGTAAAAGGATAGCTTTAAGAGGTATGATAACGCTGATAACTCTCTGAGTCAGAGATAATTTCCTTGGCTGCTTCTTTTTCTCTCTCTCTCTTTCTCTTTTTTTCTTTGAGATAAGATCTTGCTTTGTTGCCCAGGCCGGAGTGCAGTGGTGCAGTCATAGCTCACTGAAGCCCCAAATTCCTGGTCTCAAACAATCATCCCACCTCAGCCTCTTGAGTAGCTGAGACTACAGGTGTATGTCACTATGCACAGCTAATTAATCAAAATTTATGTTTTTAGAGACAGAGTCTTGGTATGTTGCCCAGGCTGGTCTCGAACTCCTGGCATCAAATGATCCTCTGGCCTCAGCCCCCCAATAGCTGGGATTATAGGTGCAAATCACTAAGCCCACTCTATTTCCTAAGTTTCATGCCCATCAATGAAAACTTTTTTTTTTCCCTGACACAAGACTGTCACATATTTATATGTTTTCACCAAAACAGATTCAAGATCATTATCATTAGCAGCATTTGTTGACACATGCAGCCAAAAAGTCAGGCATGAAACAGAAAGTTTTTATGGAAAATTATTTATTTTAACATTTCAATAGATTTCATATATATGTAGAAAGAGCTTTTCTGACAAAACATTTCATCGTTTTAAATGTATCAAATTATGCAACATACATTCCTTCTACATATAAGAAGGATTATTAGAACTTGATTGAGGGGTGGTTATACACTGTTCCAAATTATTGCTTCTGTTGCTGCCATAGTTGGTGCTGCTCCTGCTAGTGGAAATGATTTTGACATCAGTTCAATTTAATTTAACAAGGATTTATTGAGCGTTTGCCACTTATTCTACAAGATTCAACAGGCGTTTACCTACTAGCAGGAGGATGGAGAGTAGTTACCAAATACAAGTAACATATTTTAAGGAATTCTTCATCTAAATT